>NC_000020.11:57548480-58165360 GCF_000001405.40 Homo sapiens | reverse complement strand
TGTACCTGAAACCAGACCTACTTTTGAGTTTTCCAGTTACATGAGTCAAAACATTCCTTTTGTACTTAGACTAGGGATTGAGTTTCTTCCTCTTACAATCAAGAGAGTCCTGATCCAAGTTCATAACGAAAGGCAGATCCAAAAGAACCAACCTTACAATATTTTCTGTTGATGGCAACATTTTATGTCCAAAATCTCTTATCAGTTTCGAATTCTAAAAAGCTCTAAAACCTAGAAATATTCTCCTTAGTTTGACACCAAGATTCATTTGTTGGCAGAACCTGAACCAAACTCATATGTGGCTCCTTTGAGTCTTTATTTCATTGAGTGTGAATATTCCTCAGTTTTGTTATAAAATATTAATAGATTTCATTTCAAGGGGCTGCCTCAGACCTTGCCAGAGGGGTTACATATAATATATAGCATATGCAGTTTCTCAAATACACAAAATTATAAATTCCCCAACAATCTGGTCCCAGGCTTTGGGTACTGAAAACCCAGAGTCCATCATGACAATGATACTCAGGTGTGGGTCGATGTGTAAGGGAATAGTTGTGTTTTCCAGTAATTTTATTTTTTAGTTGATCATGTCATTTTCTCCTAACTCAAATTTAAGAGTTTCTAATTTGTCTTGGGCTGAAATGTGCTTGTGACAGAATCCATTCCGAGTCTCCAACCTAATTATGTTTTGCATCATTTCAGAGATGGTTCATTTTGACCGAGGCCCGTCTGGTGGTTCGTTGCTGTGATGTATTTCGGCATCATCGACGCAGGTTCACCAGCCTCATCTCGACCTTGGAAATGTTGCGGTATTTTACAGTGTGTGGTGACATTTATGGGCCCATTTGGACACCCACAAAGAGGTTGATTTCCATAGATTAAATGTCAAGTTTGAAGCCATCCAGGGTAATTGAATCCTTGAATGTTGTCCACTTCGATTCTCAGCTGGGGCCGTTGACTGGACATTTGTGCTCTGTTACAAACTCTTGAGTGCAGCCCAAATTGCTTAATGCCAAAAGGTCACTCTGTGAGTCCAGGGGGAGGGTGTCGGTAGGGAGGACCATGGCACTGGAGTTTGATACCTGCAGAAATGTTGCCTTGTTTTTATTTCTTTAAATGAAAGCACATATGTGGTTAGTTGGTGAATACATTACCGGGGACAGAAGAAAAAAAACCCCACCAACTAAGACTTCCTAGATGTCAGTTAGTTTAAAATATCTAACCATCTATGTTTTGTCAAGAGCAAAAGGCTAAAAAGAACTTCACTGTAATGTTTTAAGTAGGAATAGTTTTAAACGGCATTAAACACATATACATAAACTTGGCATGAGCGTCATTTAAATTGAAGGGTAGCAAAAAAGCATCAAATAATTTCTGAGATATTGAAACGTATTCACCTGCTGATTGTCCAGAGAACATGTGTGTCTTCAGACTTTGGATCTGAGTGTCTTGAATTTTTGTCCTCACAAGGAACTGGAGTTAAATGGATCCAATACGGGTACACCCACACCCATTTCCTCCACTGGTACGCTGTGGCCAGGAGGCGCGGGCCAGCCTCAGAGGCCTTCCTCACTGGGATTTCTGGCTTTCTGCAGGTTCAGCTGTCCACACGGTGGCATGGCTTTCTCAGCTCCACTCTGATCATTTCCACCAGAAAGATCTGCTGACTAGTCTCCCTAAAAGTCAGGGCTGTTGGTCAACATACACAGGTTAGTGAAAACCAGGGCGAAAGTTAATTTACCCCTGAGTTTCAAAAGAGTAAAAATGGACATGTTGATTTCCTGTCCAGGCTAGGGGTCAGGACAGGTCAAGGGAACCCACCTTTTGGGCTAGATTTTTGCTGCCACCTGTTGTGGGCACGCAGATGACATGGATGATGAATCCTAGATTTGTTTTGTGATCAAGAATTAGAACTAAAAACAACCTGACATGGGAGGTTCATCCCCCACCAAGGCGGGTGCTGTCTCTGCTCTAGCAATGGGATGGAAATGCGGCTGAGACAGAGGTCAGCACAAAGCAATCCCGCTTTCTGGCCACTGCTTGACTGTGGTGGAGGTGTCTGATCACAAGAAGGGACAAATGTTCCTCCAAGGGCAGATGCTTTGCCTGCAGCAATGACTTGGATGCCAAAACATTAGGATTTAATAGGGACAGGCTTGGCCAAGCATTCAGTTGTTTAGTCTACATCAGGCTAAACCTCTGGGTGATTAGAAACATCTTTGGAGTTTGAGGGGCCATGTGATCTGTCTGTTATAGATTCAGCCCGGGTCAAGACCAGTGAAAGACACATGGTTAGAGGAGGATGTCTTCTGAGAAGGGAAGGAGAGGAGGAGGTAACATGTGTTCAAGGCCATATTTATTTCCTGGGGCTGCTGTACCCAGTACCCCAAATGAGGTGGCATAAAGCAACAGAAATGTGTTCTGTCACCGTTCCAGAGTCCAGAAGTCTGAAGTCAAGGCATCGGCAGGGCCATGCTCCCTCTGAAATCTATGGGGTAGAATCCTTCCTCGCCTCTTCCTAGTTTCTCGTGGTTTGCCTGCAAATGTTGGCATTCTGTGGCTGGTAGATGCATCCCTCCCATTTCTGCCTCTGGTGTGGCATGGTGCCCTCTCCTGCATGTCTGTGTCTCCACATGACCGTGTCCCCGCTGCGTGTCACTCTCTCCTCTTCTCATGAGGACACCGATCACACTGGATAAAGAGTCAACCCTTCTTCTATAGGACCTCATCTTCATCTAACTAATCACAGCTGCAATGACCTTATTTCCAGGTAAGTTCGCCTCCATGGGTACTGGAAGCTAGGACTTCATATCTTTCTGGGGGACACAATTCAACCAAATACCTTGCTCCCCCTTTTCTCAGAACCTAAATAGCCATGATGTTTCTTGATGGCCCTGGCCCCTATGCCCAGCGATGTGTGTGGGCACCATACTCGGAGGTAACGACAAGGCTCCTTGAAGGGCTGTTCTCTTGGGTATCAGCTCTTCTGGGCTGGGCAGCCCATGCCAATCTAGGAATTTCCCACTCTGGGGTTGGACAAGGGGTGTGGGGAGACAGAGAACCATTTAGGTGGCTGGGAGAAGCCTTCTGCTATGTGGCTCTGTTCTCAGCACTGAGTAGTTGGTGTCTACAGCCAGACCCTTGGAAAGAGGAAGGCTGGTAGTTTTTACAAGAACAGAGTCCCTGAATAAGAGAAGCTCTTCTGCTGGGGCTTCTGAGATTTGGGGGCTCTGAGCCCAGAGCTTGCAGGGGAGGACCCAGATTTGATAGGAATTCTGTCCCCTGGTATTTAGTGACCCTCAAATCATGGAGTCCCTTTAGGAACATGCCAGAGGGGTGACAGCCAGTGTTCAGGGCTTAGAGGACTTAGGTTCTCAGAGGCCTTAGTGGAGGGATTCCTGGGTTGGCTCTAGCACACCCACCCATGGCTGGACAGGAAGGTGAACAGGACATGTTTGGGTGGATGGGCCTTGTCAATGGGTGCCACCCAGTGGAAGTCCCCTCAGGCCCCAGTCAGCCAAACAAATGGAGGAATCCATCCCAGGAACAGTGAGGCCTGACCAACAAAGGGGAGGAAGGCCTGTGTTTCCACGGAGGATGGGTAACTGAACACAGCCCCTCCTGCCCTGTCTACGCCGGGTCTGAAGAGCGCGCCAACCCCCCACTCCTTGGAAATGAAACACAAACCAGCTCCCACAGGCTGCTGCAAACTCTGCTCTCCTACTTTTTGGGGTCCAGTTCATGAGGCCTGAGGACATGCCGGCTTTTCCTTCTGGCCAGCTGGACACTCCATGCCCCCAGCCCCCATTTGTAGGAGTAGGAGAAGAGAGACAGCTAGACAGTGTTTAGAAAGAAAATGGTAACTGTGGGGTTGATGTACTCGGGGAAGGAAAATGACCCATTTGGGCAGCCTGGAGCTTTCTGTGCTGGACTGGGGGTGGCTGGGACAGGTCAGCAGCAGTGGTTTTCTTAGAGGGATTGGGAAACCCATTTTTCTCCTGTGAATCTACGCCCAGTGGCAAATCTTGGGCTCATTTCTGCCTTTAAAGCTGTTAACTTATTGCAAATATCTTGAGCAAGGAGAGCCAAGGGATTCTCTAAGTGTATTCTTCTTCCTGAAAAACAGGCCCAGGGATATCTGGATAGAGAAACACCTGATCAACAAGTTCGTTATAAATAAGGATGATGATAGGTGCAATGAAAAGCTACATTGAAGGACCTAGACAAATATTTTTAAAATTGAATCACTTATTTTTTTTTAAAGCCCTGCATAGAAATTCCCAAGGTATCAAAAACAAATGAGAGAAGCCTTATTCATTACATTAGCCAAGAATGGGTGTGGACGTGAACATTCTGGAAGGGTGACGCTGATGACTTGAGAATGTCTAAGGCACACTTTGTGTTCTTTGCAACATCCCATGAGCAAGTACGCAGGGGACTGTGTCCTCGGGATTCAGGGGAGCTCTTCCTTTCCCTGGCATGGCCCTGGGTGCCTGGTGACCGATATGCAGCACCCCTGGGCAGAACTCCGTCTGGATTCAGTGCACGCCCTGCTTGGGCCAGCACAGCTCTCGTGCAAAAGCACCTTTGCAGCTTCTGATCGCATCGTCGAGCTCTAGGCACTTGTTCAGGCCTGGCACTGCAGATCTCCAGCCGATGAAGCCCTGGGTGGTCTGTGGGACTGGGGGGGATGGAAAGACCTGGAATGGAAATACAGGGGATTTAGTGACCTTCGGCCACAGAGACACGAGGCACCCAGCATCGGCATGTGAGGCAGGGGTGGAAAAGACAGAAAGAAAAGCCAGCCTCCCTGATGTGTACTGAAAACAAGCACATTCCAATCAGCTGGACTCAGAGGCTCTCATCTTTCCGGGAAGTGAGGAACATCAAACATGTTTCTTTATCGTGTAATGCCTAACATATTTAATTCATGACTTCCAGCAAAATAATTTTTATTTGGTAAGAAAGCAAAAAGAAAAAAAGATGCAGAAATATCAAGTGCTACAGTTTTCACTGCCTTTTATAAAATATATGGCACTGTTGTCAGATGGCATTGCGGCAGGTGCACGTCACCCTGTTTCGATGAGAAGCCTCTACGAAATGCATCTGTATATACACACACACTCCAAACCGTGGAGATCACAGGAATGAAAAGCAACTGAATTTAATTTTAAAAACCAAAAGGAAAATGGGCTTCTATCTGGAATGAAAAAACACAACTTCATTTGTCAACTCCTTGGACAGATTTGACATTTTTGGAAAATGAGGGTAAATGTTTAGGCAGGTTTTCCCCTTCTTTTGAAATAATCTGTTCTGCATAAGGGGATTTGAACAAAGGCAACAGTGCGGGACATTTGTTCTAGCAGAAGAACTGAGATAAAGAGGTTTAATATGCTTGGGGTTATGAGTTCACTTTTACTAATGGAACCTGCCGGTGAGGCGGTGGCAGGAGGGGATGGTCCCGAGTGGGCTGGCTGCTGCTGGTGGACGAAACCCCTTAGCATATGTTCTTGATGAACTCCTAAAATTAGTCTCCTGCAAGGCTACATGTAGGGCGGGTCATCAACAAATGACAGAGGGGCCAAAGCTTCCTTGAACCAGCTACAAGTAAAATTGTTCAGAAGGGAAGCAGCTCTCAAAGCTGTTTGTCCAGCCAGGCCTTTGGGAGCACACAGACTAACTTCCAAGTCTTTATCTAACTTGTAAAAGAAATGCAGTTGAAATCCACTGTGAGACATCATGTTTCACCCAGCAGAGGGGCAAAAAGATGAAAACACCACCACTAACAAGGGCATTATAGGAGCAAGGGCGATATGGCAATTATCTTTTTTTTTTTTTCCTTTTTTTAGACGGAGTCTTGCTCTGTCATCCAGGCTAGGGTGCAATGGCGCAATCTCAGTTCACTGAAACGTCTGCCTCCTGGGTTCAAGTGATTCTCTTGCCTCAGCTCCTGAGTGGCTGGGATTACAGGTAAGTGCCATCATGCCCAGCTAATTTTTGTATTTTTAGTAGAGACAGGGTTTCACCATGTTGGTCAGGCTGGTCTCGAACTCCTGACCTCAGTTGATCCACCTGCCTTGGCTTCCCAAAGTGTTGGGATTATAGGCATGAGCCATCATGCCCAGCCTGGCAATTATCTTTTGAAAGTGCAGATGCAAAAAAAAAAAAAAAAAAAAAGAAGAAAGTGCAGATGCAAACACTCTTTGACCTAACAATCTACTCTGAGGCATTCATTCTAAAATATCCTGATAGCTACACAGGTACACACCCATGATGGTGCAAGGGATGCCTTGCGGAGCTGTTTGTAATAGCAAACAATTGGACATAAGCTGCATATCCACCCACGGAGGCTCATTCACTATGGCCCATCCATGCAATGTGTGGTGTGCCATGCAATGGTTTAGAAGGATGAGACAAACTTCTAAGAGAAAAGAGGTGCACAAAACTATTCAAAGTATGGTACAAGCTGTGTAATAAGAAAATGAGGCCAGAGGCCCATGGATGTCCTTGTCTATGCAAGAGTGCGTGACAAATGGGTGACAGTGGCTCCAGGGGTCCAGAGGGAGGGAGGCATCTCATCAGATGCCCTTTTAGGTATCAAGGTTACCTATTAAAAATAAATATATTTTTAAAGGCTTTGGTCACCAATGAGAGGATAGGAAGGTGGAAGAAAGGTGGAAGAAGGAAACCAGCTACCATTTTTTTTTTTTTGAGACGGAGTCTTACTCTGTCGCCCAGGCTGGAGTGCAGTGGCACGATCTCGGCTCACTGCAAGCTGCACCTCCCGGGTTCACGTCGTTCTCCTGCCTCAGCCTCCTGAGTAGCTGGGACTACAGGCACCCACCGCCATGCCTGGCTAATTTTTTGTAGTTTTAGTAGAGATGGGGTTTCACCGTGTTAGCCAGGATGGTCTCAATCTCCTGACCTCGTGATCCGCCTGTCTCGGCCTCCCAAAGTGCTGGGATCACAGGCTTGAGCCACTGGCCCGGCCACCATTACCATTTCTTGGGCAAGAAAGGAAGTTTGGAGGGAAGCAGAGGCTGGGGACCTTTCTCGCCTGAATCAAGGTTCTTGTCCTTACCCCTGCCACCCCACAGGCTCTGTCTGGTGAGTGTGGCTTTAAGAGCTGGCCCTTGCTCCTAGACAGGAGTCTCTCACAGGAGATAACCATGTTTTGGTATGTTCTGGTGCCTGGATGGTTCCTCCCTGTTTCCCATCCTCCAGGAGGGGCACCTCTCTGGTATCTAGGTGGGGGCGCTTTCTTTGGAAAGAGAATAACTGTGGTTGTGCAGAGCAGGCCCAGGGGCCCTGGTGGCAGAGGGAAAGTCCAGTCTCATGGGCCGGCAAGGGATCTGTGGGGACAGCATGTGGCTGAGGGACATTATAGACACTAAGCAGATCCCATGCCACCGTATTCTTGGGATGGAGGCAGGTGGAGGCAGGGAGTTGGCAGAATTAAAGCCCAGCTCTGGAAAAATGTCCCACCTACATCCCAGTCTCTCTTCCTCTATTCTCCGGCCAGCCCAGTGTTCTAGGCCACAGGAGAGCGAGCTCCCTAAATGTGTGCATTTCATCTGAACAATCACCTTTGTAGGCACTAATATCAAGAAAATTACGGACTCAGAGCAAATTTCTGTGTCTACAAGGTGTTCCTTGCACGATTATTCTCCCAAATCTCATGCCGGATACAACCTCAATGGCCAGGAATAGGGGGATGGTTAAATAAATTATGACAGATCCACACAGTGGAGAAAAACACAGCCATTAATATAATAGCTATTTAGAGTGCTTTTTTAAACTGCATGGAAAGATGTCCAGGGTATGTTGTTAGGTGGAAAAATGAGATTACAAAGCAGCCTGTGTAGTTTGATTTGTAAACATATACCTAAAAAGTATGTGTGTATGTGCACAAGTGTGTATATACGTATACATGAACATACATTTGAGGAATATTTGAGGGTAACATTTAAAAGCAGGGCTCTGGAATCAGACACACTTGCTGTGTGGCCAGAGAAAGGAATTCAGCTTTTTTAAGCTTCAGCTTTCCCATCTGCAAAATGGGTTTGAGGATGATAATATCCGGGGCTGCAGTGGAAGTAAGATGAGACACCCAATGTAAAGCAGTCACCACGGTGAGCGGCTAAGAGATAATAATAGCTTGAGCTGGTGGGGTGGTTACTCTTACAGGTCAAGGGATGTGTAGGAAAACCTCTGGAAGGAGCACCCCCAAAATGTTAATCATGGGTAAGAGCCTATATGTGGGTTTTAATTATATTATATTTTGGTGTATTTCTAAATATTTTTTAGCAGTGACTCTATATTGCTTTATATTTGGGGTAAAAACTGTCAACATAACTCAGTGGAGCTCATTCATTCATTCATTCATTGGGGCTCACAGATGCATACCCCCCAAATGCTCACTATGTGCCAGCTACCCCATCAGACCACGAGCATGCCAGGCAAAAGGCTGCAGCTGAACTCCTCCTGCCCTGCGGCCTTCATCTTGGGTTTTCATCTGCTCTCCCCATCAGCACGCAGAACCACCTTCTCCATAGCTGGGCAGAGGGCAGAACTCCCAGCCAAAATGACAGACCCATGAGACATATGGAGCTCAACTGTTTCTAGAGGGATCTGAGCCATGTCCGCCGTGGTGCAGGCTTCAGGTGAGAGCATCGTCTAAGGCCTCTTTTCTCTGGGTTTGGCCTGGTCACTCCTGTCCCTCTCCCCACAATCTTTTCTCCACTAGCAATGAGAGCCATCTTTCCAATAGGCAGGTCTTGCCTTTCCATGGCCCTGCTTACAACCCTCCAGCGGCTTCTCTAAATTGGACTCCAATTGCAACTCCTTCTTCTAGCCTGCCCACTTTTCCACTCACATCCCTTCTCCACCCACACCTTCTCCTCCTGCCCCCACCCTCCACCCAAGCTCCTGTCGCATCGCCTTGCCTTGCTGTTCCTGAAACATAGCAGCCTGTGTTCTATCTCAGGGCTTTCATACATGCTGTTCCCTGCGCCTAGAATACTTTTCCTAGGGCTGGTGCCTGGTCATCCTTCAGTCCTCAGCTCAAAGGGCCCCTTCCCTGACCACCCCGCCCTCTCTTATCCTGTGACACACCACCGGCCTGTTTCCTCCATGGTGCTAGCATAGCGTATCCAAATGGTGTTGATTTTCTTGGTTAATGTTGGTTCTCTAGACCCAGACATGTGGGCTGGGGTCTTGCCTTCTTGTTCATTACTGTTTTCCCAACCAAGCTGTTGCACCTTAGTAATAGCTGACTGTCATCGGCACTCTCTAAACATGCTGGGCAGCCTGCTGAACCCTGAGGGTACTCCCTGAAGTAGGTGCTTCATTAACCCCCATTGTATAAGACAGGCAGGGGAGACACAGAGAGGTCAAGCCACTTGCCCAAGACCACACAGAAGGTGAGCAGCCTATCAGCACAGGGATCTGGTGGTCTGATTCCAGAGTCCCTGCCTGGGTCTGCCCTGCCTTCCTGCCCACACCCTGGAAATGTTTGCTGAAAGAACGCATGAAGACCCCATTTTCCTGCCTTCTCTCTGCTTCTGCAGAGCAGGAGGTCATGGTGCTTGCACTTGTAGACTTTAGCCTGGCATGTTTCCCATGGCTGGGTTTGGGAAGGACGTGGACCTGGACTCTGCACCTGGCACTGCTGTGCTCTTACCTTCAGTGCTGGCTTTGCACATCTGGAGCCATCAGTTTCCACTGGGGCTTATTTCTTACTTAGGAAAATGAGTATTTTAAAAAAATGAGTATTTAAAAACGTTTCAAACCTTGATGTACTTCTCCACTGGGGTCACCGGCCGGATGCGGAAACGCTCAGGAAGCTCGATTTTGGGCTTTGGGGTGGGGAGATCTTCTTCACACTTGATCAACTGAAACAGAATCCCCAGAGATGGGAAGTCTTACGTGAAGCTGGGGGAAATGTACTGAAACAGAATCCCCAGAGACGGGAAGCCTCAGGTGAAGCTGGGGGAGTGTCCTCCCCATTGCTTCCCCTAGAAGGCGCATTTTATAGACACAGAAGTGGGGCATGGAAATGGGAGGCAGAGGCTTGTCTTAGTTACACCGTTAGGAAAGTAGGGTGGGGACCTCAACGCAGGCCTGCTGCACCCAAAGCTGAGACCCATCTCCATCCCCTCCTGCTGCTCACCACAGCCTCCTGATTTACATCCCCTGTGGGGGAATTTGAGAAAACGTTACCAGTTACGGACTCAAGTTTTAAAATGCCAAAAAGGGTTGAGTGTGGTGGCTCATGCCTGTAATCCCAACACTTTGGGAGGCCGAGGTGGGAGGATTGCTTGAGCTCAGGAGTTCAAGACCAGCCTGGGCAACTTAGCAAGACTCCATCTCTTCAAAAAATACAAAAATTAGCTGGGCATGATGGCATGTGCCTGTGGTCCCAGCTACTTGGGAGCCAAGGTGACAGGATGGCTTCAGCCTGGAGGTGGATGCTGCAGTGAGCTGAGATCATGCCACTGCACTCCAGCCTGGGTGACAGATCCAGACCCTGTCTCAAACAACAACAAACAAACTAACAAAAAATGCCAAAAAGTTTTCAGGACCGAACTTTAAAATATTAGAGGAGAGCGTCCACTCCCCTTTTTAATTTTTCAAGCAATATCAAGCTTTTTGAAAACCCAATTTAATTACATATAAAGAATATTAATATAGACTCCTTATGCATATTATATTAATAAGAACTCATTCTATGCATAAAATTTCAAACTGTGGAACCCTCTAAGAATTAAAAACACCCTCATTAAGAACAGCATAATTTCAAAGCTCGTAGGATGGGATGAATTACAAATGGGCTTTACACTGCTGTGAATCATAGATACTTTGACTGATGTGGTGTTTTAATTAATTCTGCATCTCTTGTGTTCTGTCCTGAAGTTTGAGAGGTTGCAGATTGGTGGCCACCACCCCACCAGAACCCACATAAGCATTTCATTTCTAGACTCAGAAAATTTCATGTAAACATCTGGCTTTCTGGACTCTCTTGAGTGATGGGAATATGCAGTTGGCTTTCCCATATGGTTTCACTTGGCTGGGCTCATGCTGGCTGCCTCTTTGGACAGGACCAGTGGCCTCTTTGCCTGAGTCTCCACCCCTTCTGATTAATTATGCTTGGCCCTGTCTCCTGTTTCTGTCACCTAGCTGGTCCCTGTAGACTTCTGGACTTGTCATCTTTAGGGAATACCGACAGCATTTTCCCAAGAATCCCTCATATGTCACTTGGCCTCCAGGCCAGGTGAGGTGTCCATAGCCTTCTTGTATCTGCACCTCACAGTCGCTCAGTTAGGCAGGTGAGGACTCTCATCCCACTTTACAGATGGGAAGTCTGAGGTCAGGTGGCTGTGGCATCAGACCCACCTGCTTCTCACCTGAGTAGGGTCCTTATCAGTTGTGTGACTTTGCAGGTCTTGGAGCTCAATTTCCTAATTTGTAAATGGGCATAAAACAACACCTGTCTCTGCACCGGGGTTCTTGTCCAGATTTGATCATCTGGTTCTGCCGAAGCACCTAGAACATGCCTGGCATGTGGTCAGTGCCCAGGAATCTGTGAAAGGCGGGAACCTTCTGGTTTAGGAGTTAGTGATCTTTGCCTACAACATGCTCTTTAGTTTTATTCTTGCAAGTGATAGACTTTGTAATCATTCATTCTTTGAAATGATTGATTCTGTAACCTTGGGGCTCATACAATTTATATTTACCTCCTCAAAAGGGGTTGTTAAAAACCCCCAGTTCTGGGGCCAGTTCTGCCGTGCTTCCGATTCAGCCTTCAGACGGTATTTCCTGAAAAAGAAAGTTCCTGAGTGCTGGGCAACACGGAAAAAGGTTCAAGGGGTCTGTGGGGGACATTTCCATTCTCCACGAACATTGACTGGGCAGTGGTTCTGCACCAGGGACGGAGTGAGGAGCCAGACAGCGTGAGAACCTCTGATGCTGAGCACCTCCCACCAGCAAGGGAGACACGTGGCTAACGAAAGAGAGATGCTGGTTGGCTGTTACGGCTGAGAGGGAATGCCGGGTAAGGGCCAGTCTGGGGGCCGATTCTGCCTGAGGAGCCTTCTAGGTACCAGATCTCTTATTTTGGAGGCCCTTATGACTCAAAATTTGAGGAGGTGCAAAAGTGGAGGAGGCACTCACTCCCTGCTTCCTGCAAGTGCAGAGACAGCGTCTGCATGACCTTGACGTGGAGCATTTCCTAAATATTGCAGCGCAAGTGCCTCACTTGCCCCACCCTAATCCGACCTTGCTTTTGCTCCATGCTAATATTGTTTATATCTAACTACCCATGAGCTGAGTGGCATTGCAGTAGACGAGCCCACGTGCCACATTTTGCAAACATCAAATTAAACATTCAATCGTTTTGAGTTTTCTAGTTTCTTCTATCTTGGAATCAATATCAGCATATCCCTACCCCACAGTTTCGGAGACCCTGGTCAACTCTTTGCCCTGGGCAGTGAGCATCTAAGGCAGAGTCTATTTCAATCAAGATGTAACATAAGCCACAAACATGAGCTGCATACACAATTTGAAATGTTCTAGTAACTACATTAAAAAGAACATAAGAATAAACAGGTGACAGTCTTTTTTTTTTTTTTTTTTTTTTTGATGGAGTTTCGCCTTTTTTTTGCCTAGGATGGAGTGCGATGGCACAATCTAGGTTCACTGCAACCTCCGCCTCCTGGGTTCAAGCAATTCTCCTGCCTCAGCCTCCTGAGTAGCTGGGATTACAGGTGTGTGCCACCATGCCTGGATAATTTTGTATTTTTAGTAGAGATGGGGTTTCACCATGTTGGCCAGGCTGGTCTTCAACTCCTGGCCTCGGCCTCCCAAAGTGCTGGGATTACAGGTGTGAGCCACTGCATCCGGCTGACAGTCACTTAAATAATCTTTTTTTTTTTTAAATAAATCATCGTAATTTGTCACGCAGTTTACACTTAACGGCTGAACCCAATTTGGACCAGTTACAATTTAAGTGTTAGGTAGCCAAGGGCCCTATTCAAAGAGGAGGGGTCACTTAGATTTGGGTCTTGAAGGATGAGCAGAAGTTTGTATGGTGAAGAAGAGAGGAAGGGGCATTTCAGACAGAGGGAACAGATCCTGCTGTGGCAGCATCTCCTATTGGGACACTTGGATAAAGATTTAGTAAAAAATAGTTGTGTATTTTATGCCAAATGATAAAGGTTTTCTATTTATGAGAGTGATATGAAGTTTTCCATAAAATCATCAAGTGAAAACAATTTAAAGACACATATGAAGTGACTAATAGAGGTTTTACAAGGAAATGGTAAAAATTATAGAGAGGGTAAATAGGATAACTGAAGTTTAGAAGGTAAACAAGTATGTTTTATTGTTACTACAACTTACTTATATCTAAATCTGTAAATTCCCATATGAGTTAAACTTTCAAAGAGATGCAATAATACGTAGCAGATAGCATGCCAATTAAAATATCCACGACAAATGTCTGCTAGACATACATCTTTTAGAAAATGGATGTATCTTTAAAGTTAAAATATATTACTTAAAAACCCAGGAGAATCAAGGGATTTTCATGTACTTCATTCAAATTTAACAAATATTAGGATTTTTGCTTTCTTTTTTTAAAAAAAAATTTGGCCAGGCGCGGTGACTCACGCATGCAATCCTAACACTTTGGGAGGCCGAGGCGGGTGGATCACGACGTCAGGAATTCAAGACCTGCCTGGCCAAGATGGTGAAAGCCCGTCTCTACTAAAAATACAAAAACATTAGCCGGGTGTGGTGGTGGGCGCCTGTAATCCCAGCTACTCGGGAAGCTGAGGCAGAGAATTGCTTGAACCCAGGAGGCAGAGGTTGCAGTGAGCCGAGATCGCGCCACTGCACTCCAGCCTGGAGGATAGAGCAGGACTCCATCTCAAAAAACAAACAAACAAACAAACAAAAATCATCAGTCTTAAAAACATGAACACGTTCTGGTTGGATGCTGAGATTTGAAGAAAAAAAAAAAACATGAACATGTTAGTTGGATTTCAACAAGCCAATCTCTGCTGATTGTTGAAAGCCAATCTCCCACGTCTTCGTGGTGGGCCCAACAGGAGAGGGAGAAGGAGACGGAGAAAGGCCCTCCTGTCGCTCTCATGTCCCTAACATTGACCCCTTTCCTCAAGGCCCCTGACCATCCTCAGCGCACGCCCCTCTGCCCCTCGAGTTTAGTGGTCGATCACTTCCCGGACTTGGTGGGGAAACTGAGACCCCAGATGTGGACACTTCAGGTGAGAACAGGAGCCCACCGCGTTGCCCGATCCCAGGCGTTACCAGATCTCATCCTGACCCACAAGGTTCATGCGTTCAGCCGCCGCGGTGCTGAGAGGTTTCTGCGCCATGAGGCCTGGGGGCTCTGTGCGCCCCGCAAGCTCTGGCCCTGGGCTCAGCGTCTCGCGTCTCCTGGGAGACCGGTTGCCAGGCAACGCAGGACTCGGAGGCGGAAATGGCTCTGCACCTGGCGAGGGTGGGGTCGCTGTGCTTTCGCCGCGTCGCTTGGGTCCGGGCTTGCTGCCATCCTTTGCTCACGTCTGGGCCCTTTGTCCACCTCTAGGCCCATTTGCTCATCTGTGGAAAACCTTGGGGAAACCTCCAGACCTAACACCCTAGACTTCTTTGAAAGTTTAAATCCGCAGTGGAAGTATGCACACCTACGAGTGGACAGACGCTCAAGTGTACAGAGCTTAATTGAGTATGTCAAAGAGAGGACTCGCCTGTAACCGTCACCTGGAGATTAGAAAACAAAGCATTGCCAGCCTCCCCCAGTGGCCCCCAGGGTCACCGTCCTCCCTGGCTCTCATTGACTTCCCTCTGCAAAGATTAGCTTTGCTGTGATTTGAACTTTGTGTGAGTGGAACCATCCAGATGTTCTCCTTTGTGCCTGGCTGCCTTTGCCCAGTGTCATGATTGAGAGAGCATCCCCGTTGCTGTGAGTGGCCCTAGCGTCCATTTCTGCTCCTGAACAGTATTTGCTGATGGGCGTTGCATTGAGTTTTTGGCCACCACAAAAGTGCTGCTAAAATATTACTGCACATGTCTTTGGAGAAAATATGCGTTTTGGTTGGCGTCCACTCTTTGTAACAATCCCTAAATGAAATTCACGGATAATGTTACCTCCAGACCCCACCACCCCACACTCTTTTTCCCTGCCTATAGGCAGTAATCACTCTATCGCTGGGGTGCTCAGCCAGTGTTTTTTGACTGATTCATTGACCCCCTAGGTTTCTACCATACCCCCATTGTTGTGGACCCAGAGCTGGAAAATGGCTCTGAGACAACAGCAAGGGGATCATCTACACGATGTAGGAGGACATTTTTCTGGCTGAGCAGCCATGAGATGAGCAGGTGTCCAGAGCCTGCCTCGGGGGACTGAGAGAGGAGGAAGCATGACTCAGTTGAGCTACAGGTCACCTCCTAGATAATTACCAGGGCACTGGTCTGGGAGGATGCCAGTGTGTGTATCCACCAGTTAGGTATCTGAGACTCTCCCTAGTCCATCTCCATGGCCTCTTCCCTTATCAACAGATTTGTACTTATGTGTGGTGTTTAGAGGGGAGCTCAGCTAGTGTGTTTTCCCTTCATAGCACATGGTGCTTTTCTTGGCTGTTGGAAATGCCTGGCCCACGCCCAGTATTAGGGTGGTCCCAACTGTCCCTCAGCTGGATTAGTGAGTGGGCAAGCAGAGGCTGGCATCGGAGCTGAATTGATTAATTAATGAATATATAACATCCCAGGTCCACGGCTGAGCCAACTGCAAGCTAGTGGGCTAGCAAGAGGGTGGACAGATCTCTAGGCAGGAAGCTGGGATTTTCTTCCTGGACTGTTCTCCAAGGTCTCCATTCTTACAACAGAGGGGAAGATATTCTGGGAGGAAATAAGTGGATGGCTAGGAAGAAAGATCCATTATGTAGTAAGAACAAATTCTGCTTTCCTCCTTGGGAGGTTTTGAGACATTTCTGTTAAGATGATTAATTAAGACTAAATTCATTAACAGTGCCAGACATCGAGGGTTCCTTCATCCTATGGACGTGTGTTGAGAGCTTTTGATGTGTCTGGTGCCAGGAGGGAGTCAGACCTGCAAGGTCTCTGCTTCCCTGGAGCTGGCACATCGAGTGGGAAGACAGATAATGAAGCCAGGAAACAAATGCACGTGTGACCTGGTGCCAGGGAGAGAGGCATGACGTGCTAGGAAGAGAGTCACACCAGGGCATGAGGCCAGTGGGGGCAGGGACAGGCCAGGGGCTGTGGGGCTGTGTTAAACAGGCGGTCAGGGCAGGTCTCTCTGAGGAGGAGACATGTGGGTGCAGATCTGGTGTGGAAGATCAGAAGAATTTCCCACAGAGCGGGTGGTGTGGAGTATAGTTCCCGAGGCAGGAGCAGCATGGGGTGTTTGAAGAATGCAAAGGGGGCCGGTGCAGCTGGAGGGTTCCATGGAAATGAAATGGGTGCAGAAATGGAGAAGCAGGCACTATGCGTCCCCCAGGAGTTCAATCTAGCAGGTAAGCAGATGTGAATGCAACTAAATGATAACGCAGCCTTATATACGAAATGACATAGGGTATATGTGATTCAGAGCCAGCCCCAGATGAGACAGAAGAGGACAGAGGAGGTGATGAGTGAGTTGGGTTTTCAAGGATGAATAAGAGTTTGCTAGTCTTCTCCATTCTCCTTGGCAATATCTGCACGGGGTAGCCTGGGTCCAGGACTAGAAATGGGTAGAGTACCGGATAAATGTCTGGGTTTTGGGATCCGACGTAGCTCAGGTCTCGGGTTTGCTGTGTGCCATCTCAGTGACCTTGTGCATATTGCTTAACAACTCTGAGCCCCCATTTCCTCATCTGGAAAAGGGGATCATGACTACACCTCCCAATTTTAGGGATCTGCAGAGGCTGAGAGGAGCAAAGGCAGAGAGCTCTGCGGGAGCCTGACAGCGGGGCTCCCAAACAATGGAGGGCTTCACTCCTGGTTTATCACATTTGTTGTCAGCGTGCAGGCAGTTCCCTCAATCTAAGACACTACGATTTGGGGGAAGGCGTGGGGAGATGGAAATGTGGCTTTGGGTGGAAGTGGGGTTTGCTTCTTGAGGATGACAGTGTTGAAGGAGAGGCTGTGGATGGCCGGTGGCTGGAGGCTGTCCCCAGGGAAGGCTGGGTTCCCCTTTCTCAAGAGGTGAGAGAGGACCCAGAGCTGCACTCACCAGGGACTGCTCCTCTGGGCTCTGCCCTGAGTCTGAGGCTGTCCTGGTCACCCTCAGGGCACCAGCATTCCCCAGCCCCCGTGGGGCACTTCCCTGCATGCTCTGATTTGATGGTGAGATGGTCTGGATCTGTATTCCCTGCAAGTCTTATGTTGAATTCTAATCCCCAGTGTTGGAGGTGGGGCCTGATAGGAGGTAATTGGATCATGGGGGTGAATTTCTCATGAATGGTTTGGCACCTTCCCCTGGGTATTGTCATTGCGATCACGAGTGAGTTCCCGCGAGATCTGGTTGTTTAAAAGTGTGTGGCCCCTCCCCCGGCCCTTGCTCCTGATCTGGTCTGTGATGTACTTACTTCCCCTTTGCCTTCTGCTGTGATTGCAGCTTCCTGAGGCCTCCCCAGAAGCCAAGCAGATGCCAGCATTATACTTCTTGTACAGCCTGCAAAACTGAGCCAATGAAACCTCTTTTCTTTATAAATTACCCAGTCTCAGGGATTTCTTTGTAGCAATGTGAGAATGATCTCATACAGATGGTCACAGCAACCCCTTGCAGAGGGCTTTGTGACCATTTTGCAGAAGGGAGAACTGGCTCAGTGAGGAACCCTGGCCTTGGAGGGCAGCTCTTCTTCCTTCCTTCCTAGGGGCAGAACTCCTGAGGAAGATGGGGAGCAGACATTTCTGAGTCTTCCTCTCTCTCGTAACCAGGGAAGATGGCTTTATCTTCCGAGATGACTTTCAAGGCTGAAGCATGGCTGTGAATCTCAGCAGTACGTGAGGGTTGAGGAAGCAGTGCAGGTCCAGCTTTTTCTGAGGTGGTGTCTGTAAAAGGCAAAGTTTCCCCTTTTGGCAGCACTGTTGGGGTCACATAGAACCTGCCATATGTCACTACAGCTGACACGCAGACTTAGACACCCTGAGACGCCCACCTCCTGGGTCTCCCCTGAGACTCCTTCCTTGTTTCAACCAACTATGAACGGACCCACAAGCTCGCTCTGTCCAATCAGGATGTGCGTTATCAATCCTTCGTTAGCAGAACCACCAGGAGCCCCTCTTCCAACCACTGAAATGCCTCTCCCACTCAGCGGTATGGCCCGATTCAGCAAATAAAAATACAGGATGCCCAGTTAAACTCAAGTTTGCATGGGGGTGTACTGTACTTCTACTGAGAAATCACTCGATTCAAATTGATCTGGGCATCTTGAACCTTCGGTGCCACCCCACCCTCAGTGAGTTTCTTCACTGGTCCGTGCCCCATGCTCGGCAAGTTAAGACATTCACATACATCAAACTCTATTTTTAGTTTTAAGCTCTGGTGGTCTTTTTCTTTGTTTTGTATATCCTCCTCCATTTTCCTCGCTCTGGGGGTTGAAACCCCCTCCCTCTGATATATGAAACCAATTCATGAGTCCCTGGCAGACACAATTTCTTCAACCTAATATATTTTTTTTTTCTGGCAAAATTGTTATTCCACATAGATTTCCAACAGGAAGAGTGGAGAGAGAAAAAGAACTGCCGTACTTGCTGACTACACGTGGGAAACTAGGAAAATATTTACAGCTTGTAGAAGGTTCGCCATGTTCCCGTGTATTAATATTTTTGGCCCTCTCTCAGTTCTCTGGGACAGTTTATTTTTTATTTTTTTCATTTTGCTGTTGCTTTATAAAACATGTCGACAACTGGAGCCAACCGCTTCTTTTTTAGTTTTTAAGCTTAAACAGCTTTCTTTTTTATTTTATGATTTTTTTTTTAAACCAAAGAATGCTTTGTGCCATGAGTGGTTTCTGCCAGCCTGCATGCCTTTCTCACAGCACGGGTGATCATTACCTCAACTGCACAACAAAAGCATGGAGGCTGGAGCTGAAAGTGCCAATTTGTAGGGAATGTATTGGATGGCTTAACTGAGCTTCAGCTTAAGGGACCCAGAGGTTCTTCTCTTTTCACACTCATTATGCCCTCTTTAGTCACAGCCCACGAACTCCCCTCCTGCTTCACAAATAGTCTCCACTCCACACACCTAAAGTAACAATTAGCATCACTCTCTGGGTCTTACTGAAGAAGAACAAAGCTGCACCCCTCCTGCTGCACCCAGGAAGCTCCCTCGTAAGTCTGCCCTCTATTTGGCCTAATTATCCAATGCTGCTCCAATGAGAGGCTGCGCACCAAGCTGAGGGTGGATTTCATCCCCCTCTCTCCTCCTGACATCTCTCAAGCCAGCTCTTGGGAGGTGAGAAAAGCCCAACCCCTGTGTGAAGAGATAGTCAGCTGACGCCAGGGGAAAAGAACCAACTTAGATTTCCAAGTGTGAATCCCACTCAGTGGTCCTGGCCATTTAAGGTGGGAAATGCCTGGGAGCCCTCTTCAGGCGCCATTAGTGGTGAAGGCGGAGAGGGTATTCTGAGCTTTGGCAATGGGCAGCCCGTTTCCATCTGCCCTGAAGTTTCCATGCCTGGGAAGGAGCCTGGCTGGAAATGTGGACAGTTGGGGAATGGAGCTTTGGCTTCTGAAGGGTTAGATGTAGGTTTCAGTCACAAATACTGAACTTGACTGGGAATTTAAGTGCAGTAATTCTCTAGGATTCCAGACCATTTTACTTAACTGGGATGGCAATGGGGAGGACTCTGTGGCCCATGGAGGGTCAGACAGAGGGTTTGGAAGGAAAACTGGATCATTGGGTAGAAGCAGGTGGAAGGAGGTTTTTTCCATAAAATTACAACACCCGTTCATTCGTTTACTCAACTGGGTGGCACTAGGGAAACTTGTACTACTGTGTACATGGTTGAGCTGTCAATCTGATGATGACAGTAGCAGAAGTAATAGCTGAAATTTATTAAGCACTTCCAATAAGTATTTCCCAAGCATCATTGCATTTCATCCCCATAATAGCCCAATGATGTAGACTATGATCATTCTTATTTTGCAGAGGCAGATACAGAATCAGAGAAGTTGAGCCACTTGCTCATGGTCACACAGCTATAAAGATGGAAACCAAGGTCCAGATGCCCTTAGTCATCAACAAGACTAATTTCAAGTATGCCTGGACTATATCTGTCTAGGCCCCTTAGATGGATAGTGGACAGGAATGTATCATTTCCCAAAAAACAGTCTCAACAATTTGAATGATTATAAAGACAGTGAATGGCATTGCTATTTTCTGTGTTTTCCTACTCTCTCTCTCTCAGATTTGAGTGAAAGGTATTTCAGATGAAAATGTGTGGGTATTTGTTAAGGGCCTACTGTGTGCCTAGCTCCCTGTGTGGTGTAGGTCGGCACACAGAGTGAACAACGGGCAAGGCTGTCCCCGAGTGGATGGTCTGGGGTCAAAGTCTCACTCTTCCTTCCAGACCCTGCCACCTGGAGAGTGCTCAGCACATAGTGGGCCCTGCTTTGTCCAGTGAAGGCTATTCTATCCATTCTGAGGATGGACACTTCACCCAGGACATGAAATGGCATAAGTGGTTAAGAACTGTGGTCTCCATCTTCATGGCAAGGAGAGCTCTTTTCCTATCATGGACGTGGAGACAAGCCCACTGGGACCCTGTGTGTTTTATCTAAAAGGCAAATGGATTTGTGGATTGATCTCTTTCAGCAGCCTTCACACCGGTGTCTGGGGAGACATCTCTTTGAGACTCCTATTGTTCATTTTCAGATAACTTCATATAAAATGGATTTTAAATGAAAGCTTGGGGGCTCTATGAAATCCAGAAGGCTAAGTTGGAAATATCTATTATTTCAGAGATTTGCTGGCACTGTGATTACAGAGGAGCTCTGTACGTGCCAGGTCTTTTAAACTCAGTTAATGAGAATCGCAGCTGCGACGGCTCCCAGTTCCTGACCGTCTAATCATTGCAGAGGATTAGCGGGGGTGCTGGGATGGGAATCTGGGGGGACTTCAGCAGGTACAGAGTTAAGGGGCTGTGATCTGCAGTCGGCCTCGCTGACCTGCGTTTTTTTTTTTTTTTCCCTCTGTGATTGGGAGAGAGAAAAAAGGAGAGAGTGAGCAAGTTGAGATTCTTGGGTTTGTAAAATTTTTGTGATGCCTTGACACTGTCCATGATAGAAGAGATGTCCTGAGCTCCAAGCTCTTGGGGTCACCTAGACATACCCAAGGAAGTTGCAAGTCCTCCTGGATCAGAGGAAGTTTGGAATCTCCAAGAAGAAAGGAAGCCTGCTGCTGGAGTCTCCCAAAGACCCCCTGATGAATATAAGAACCCTACATTTGTCCTGCTTATCAGCTGGGCCTTTGTCCTAACTGGGTGCCTTTGAATGGCTTTGGTCTGGGAGGGGCACACTATGACCTGTTCTATGTATGTGCCTCTGGCCTGGAGAATGGGCTGGGAAGCAACACTGGAGGTTGGGGCCTAGGAGGGGGTTTGCTGATGTCTAGATGTGTGGTGATGAGGCCCAGGCCACAGAAGTAGCATTTGGGTTGGAGAGAAAGATACAGGGGGTATGGGAGAAATGAGGAGAATGTGTCAGCCAGGACTATCTTACCTGAAAGGGTTAGAGAGTCAGCTCAAATCAGCTTTGCATGAAGACAGGGGATTATTTAGCTCTCATGTTTGAAGAGCCTAGAGGCTTCAGATAAGGCTGCATCCAGGGGTTCAAGGATTGCCATCAGAACCAGATCTTCTTGACTCTGTGCTCCCCTGCATTGGCCCATCTCAGGCAGGTCACTCTGTGTGCCGACCTACACCACACAGGGAGCTAGGCATACAGTAGGCCCTTAACAAATACCCACAAATTTTCATTTGAAATACGTTTCACTCAAGTCTCAGAGAGAGAGAGTGGGAAAACACAGAAAATAGCAATGCCATTCACTGTCTTTATAATCATTCAAATTGTTGAGACTGTTTTTTGGGAAATGACACATTCCTGTCCACTATCCATCTAAGGGGCCTAGACAGATATATTCCAGGCATACTTGACATTAGTCTTGTTGATGACTGAGGGCATCTGGACCTCCAGGTTGGATGGAGGTTGTTGTCCTCCCCGTTGCTCCTCCGCATGTCTCAGGGTTTGCGCCGACTGCACTGTTGTGGGTCACGTGCCACCGTGGTCACCATGGTCAGAGGACAGAAGCTGACGGGCAGTCTGGGGCCCCATGGCCACTCCAGCCACATGGATCCAGAGTGAGGCATGTTGGTTCCTGAAGAGACGACCAAGGTGCGGCAGGCAAACCTGTGCTGCTGGGGTGTGGAGGCCTGGGGATGTTGGCGGGGGGTGGAATCCATGTCACAGGTGGCTCTGAGGTGGGACCAGGGGCTGGGCCTGGATGCCACGAGTGGAGCCTCCCAAGGGTCGGGGCAGACACCACAACGTTTGGACTGGATTAAAGCAGAATGACTCCGTGGCTCTGCCTGAGGTGGGTTTCCCTGATTTATAGATGCGCAATGATCTGGCTCTCGTTTGCCTGTAACTCAGCTGTCACTTCCACTTTATCTCGTATTTAAGACCCTGTCACGGTGCGATGCGTTCACTGCGCCTTGTTCAGGGAAAAGGGGTGACCCTGTGCAATTTTGCTTTTATCTCCTGGGACAATCAGCTTTATCACGCTGGCCGTAATCAGAACAGGTTTTACAGGAATATATTTTTTTTCTTTTGGGTTGAATGCAGAAGATGTTTTGCTGGTGAGTTCATTGTGCTGGGGGCCTGTGGAAACCTGGGCTCAGGGCTGTCCTTGGGGGCACTGAGACAACCTGGCCATTCAACTCAATTGTCCAGCCCACTCCCCATCCAGTGTGGGAGGCTCAGCCTGCCTCTGGCCCTTTGCTGGTTCTTCCCAAAACCCATTTTACGTCCACATGGTCCTTACTCTTCAAGACTGACCTTGAGTTCCTGGGGATCACAGGGTCCCCTGTTGTCCTTGAGGCCTCTGCTTGACGGGATGAGGGGCAGCCCCACCTGAGCCCCACTCCTGTCCCTATGTGACTGTGTGCTCCGGGAAGGCAGCTCCATCTCCTTGGTTCTTGTTTGGCCCCAGTGAAGGACCTGGGCTCAAAGGACCCTTGGGTCCCACTGCTCCTGGCTCTGGTCTCTCATCAGGATGCCCAAATAAACAGGATGCCCCCGCGGGAGCCCAGCTGCCGAGCCAGGTGGGGATTGCCAGTTGTCACTCATTGTCCAGGTGGCTCTCTGCCCTGGCCATGCTGGTGCTCCTGCTTTAGAACAGATATTTTGTATCATCCCCTTCACTGTCTTGTGATGACATTCAGAGATAATATAATGCCCTAGCTAGGAAATCAAGGAGAAATAAGAGGAAAGTAATATAAACTAAGGAAATAGAATGATGGGGATGGAATCCTCCAGGCTTTGCTGCATTACGAGACAAGGGGGGTGGGCAGGTGGCCAGGCCTGTGGGTGGGATCCTCCTGACTGTGCCACCCCCCAGACTGTGCCACCTCGTGACTGTGCCACCCTGACACTGTGCCACCCCAGATGCTGTTGACTCAGAGTAGAGCATATTGGCCACTCAGCTACCACAGTGACATTGCTGTTGGTGATGTGATTTTGTGAAACGACTCTTGGTTTTCACTGAATGCATCCAGCAGTTTTATTTCAGAGAAACTAAAGCCAAATAAAGTGGCACGGGAAACATTGTGGATTTTTATGTGTGAGAAGACCTTGTACTTCTGTGTGAAAGGGAAGGTGGTTCCAGGCTTAGATAATGTGAAGCAGGATGTTCACTGACAGGCACATCCAGTGGGTTATTCCCAAGTCCTTGGGGTGGGGACTTTGCTTTGGGGTCCTGACTGCCTTGTATGTTGTGGGAAAGCCTTTTCCCTTGCACACCAAGTGGTGCTAGCATTGTGATAATCCCCAAACAGCTCCCTACCCCAGCATTTCTAAAATTCTCCCCCAAACCTCTTGAGAACCCCTGCACATTATATTCAACACTCACAGCAGTCCCGGGGTGGGGGTGGATATTTCTGCTGCCAGCTTACAGAGAGACCTAGGAGGGGAGCAAAGATTCCCTCTTGGTGTTAAAGGCACTCACAGGCTGGGCAGGTTTCAGTCTTGTGACATTTGCTAGTAAGAGTCAGCACTTCTAAGCTCAATGCACGCATGTATCCAATTATTTATCAGACACTTAGTGACAGCCAACATAGATTAATCAGCACCAGCTCTGCTCTCAAAAGGCAATTATCTTATAAGGGGGTGGACTGGGTTGAATGGCGCCCCTCCCCCAACTCCTGTCCACCTGGAACTTGTGAGTGTGATCTTATTTGGAAATAGGATCTTTGCAGATGTAATTAGTTAAATTAAAATGAGGTAATACTGGATTATCAGGTTCCTAACCCAATAACATGTCTTTATGAGGAGACCATGTGCAGACACAGAGACACAAACACACAGGGAAGAAGGCCATGTACAGATGGAAGCGGAGATTGGAGTGAGTCTGCCACAAGCCAAGGATTGCCGGCAACCCCCAGAAGCTGGAAGAGGGTGGGAAGGATCTTCCCCTGGAGGCTCTGGAGGGAGCACGGCCCTGCTGAAGGCTGGATTTTGTACTTCCAGCCCCACGAATGTGAGGGAAGAAATCTCTGTTGTTTTGAGCCATTCAGTTTGTGTTAATGTGTTAGGGCAGCCCTAGCAAACCAATTCAGGGGCACACACGGATACTAACACCCACAGTACAGACTGCTGAGTGCCTGGACAGAATCTCATGGGCACAGTGAGAAGGGGCCCCTGGTCCAGGTTTCTAAATCCAGCAAATCTTCCTTGAGGGAGGAGACCTCAAACAAAACATACAAACCAAACGCCCAGCATAACAGGCTCTGGGAGGGATGTGAGCAGCCTGTGAATGGTTAGACAAACTCCATGACTGGGACTGTCCTGGCTCAATACACTCCGACCTCCCCCAGGAGCTGAGGGTGCAGCGTGGAGGAGGGGCTGAGTATGGTTTGATGGCTCCAGGGTGGGGTCCTTCAGCCTCACGAACCTGGCTCCATATCCCAGCCCTGCCAGCCCCTGGCTGCGAGCACTCAGGCCAGCCCCCTAGTCTCTTTCAACCTCGGTTGTCCCCA
The DNA here is from genome assembly GCF_000001405.40 of Homo sapiens. NCBI lineage: Eukaryota > Metazoa > Chordata > Mammalia > Primates > Hominidae > Homo > Homo sapiens. Next base: position 58,140,083 of record NC_000020.11, on the reverse strand, counting down.
TAACGTGGGCATGATAATGGTACCCACCTCAGGGCTCAGGGAGGAGCCAGCGACTCGGCACATGAAACGTCTTAGGACAGAGACCAACCCGTGCCACGGGAGGGTGGTAGCATCTTCCTGAACAGAGAGGGCCACGTCCTCACCAAGCCTCATGCATGTGAAGTGCATGGGTTATGTTTCACGAATGGGCCTTCCCTGAAGGTACAAATATTAGAAATAGGAAGGAGAGAAAGACTGAAAGATGGAGATGTTAGGGGAGAAATGCATGACTGTTGCCAAGGGAAAATTACGCAGGACTCTGAGATTTCACCTGCCTTGGGGATCTTCCCGGAAATATCTGCCTGGAATGTTGCGACTCTTCCTAGGAACCTGCCCAGCCTGGTGCAGAAAGCATCTCAATTTGCACTGGGCTCTCTTATGTCATTCATTTTACTTGTAAAATGGCAGACATTATTTCTCTGCAGAGCTTCCCCAGGATACAGGGATTTCAGAAAAAAATTCCGGGAAAGACTAGAAAAAAGCATTGGCATTTTCTATACAGGATTGCAAATTTTAATTGCTGCAGCCCAAGTTAAAGAAGAGCCAAGGGTTCTTCATCCAGGATCGTCAATATTGGTTGGGCACTTACTATGTGCCAGCATCGTGCACCTGCAATACTCTGGAGTTTTAAAATGAATCCAAGGTGGACATTATCCCATAAAGCAGATGAGGAAACAAGATGGCTGTGCTACTGGCCCAGGACAGCTGATTACTGCCTATAATAAAATCTAAAATGTCTTCGGTTATTAAACACTATTGCCTTATGTACCATAAAAATACCATGGCGTGGAAAGGGGGCTTGCATATTAGTGCACTTGAAGTTGACTTTGCTGCAGGAAGACTTGGTGGAGAAGTAGCCAGGCACACATGATCCCTGAGCTCCTGCTGCTGCATGGGAGGTGTGCAGGGCTGGGCACAGCTGGATGTGGAGCACCTCAGAAAGGGCTCAGGCAGAGGATCCTGCCCTGTAATGCTCTACCCACACATAGGGATGGAGGCCAAGGGGTGTCTAATCCACAATTAGTGACCTTGTAGAGCAGGCGGCCTCGTGCCCAGCAGCTGGTATCAGTCTGTTTTCCCTGGAGACAACTCAGTCGTGTGGAGCTAGCTCCTTACTCACCTCGAAAAAGAGGGAGAAAGTGAACCTCCCAGGCCATCCAGGTGTCTGTCATCACTTGGGCCTTTAAACCCAATATCCATCAATCAGTCATGAGTTGCATCTCAATCTCAGAGAAGTTAAATTGTGAAATAACGTGTATTTTAAAATCAGTGAAATAAAGGGTTCACCCAGGTCTGGTGAGCACAGGGAACCTGCCTCTACAGTGTAAAGGCACCCACCCTAGCCAGTTGCCTCACTGGCCCAGGAGGGCATCTCCGATCTCTCCCACTCCTTGCTCTTCTGCCAAATCACGTTGCTGCAACCTCACGGTGGATTTCTGGGCACCCTCCTGGGCTGTGACTGAATCTCTCTCTCAATGGGCTGCTAGTGGTGACAGTGAGTTTCAGGGTCTTAGTGGCAGGGAAGTGGGGACGATAGAGGACAAGACCCTGTGGGAGGTGCTGGAGATTGGAGGTTGGTGATAGCAGGTGCATGAAGAATTGGGCCACAGAGAGGGAATGCGTGGTGCTTGTGGTGCTGCAGGTGTGGTCAGGTGATCACAGGTGGCTCTGGCAACTTGGCAGTCTCCTAGAACCTCAGCTTCCTAACCAGAGAAGTGTCAGACATCCTCGCTGTCATCTGTTCTGGAAGCTTTAAAGGTGCACAACTCTGTGCTTTGTCCAGTTTAGTTCAGTTCACAGTGAAATTCATTCATTCATCCTTTCATTGATTCACGCATTCATTCACAAATATTTGTGAGTGTCACATGTGCATGTACAGCAGCAAGCAAGTTAACATGGTCCCATTGTTACGAATCTTTCTTTCTGTCAGCCCCAGTGGGTGGTGGGCCCCATGGGGTACAGGGGGTGATGAGGGAATGGTGGTATATATGCCCCAGCCTGAGACTCCAGGGGCTCCCGGCCTGCGGGGTGGAAGGTGGTGTCCAGTTCCACATGGGCATTGAAGGAGGGGCACAGAGCTTCCTTGAAGATCTGCCCTGTCCTGGCACAGCTGAGTGGTCAAGGGGACGTGCTGCTGTATCTGAGACACAAAGGATGGGGACTAGGAGGATGGAGGCCCTGGCAGAGGGAACCATGGACATAGGCACTGGCGTGGGAAGTAGCGAGTTCATACCCCCTCCCTAACCTGGTCAGCTTCCACCCAGCCCTGCATGGATGCACAACCCCTTCCACTGCCCTCCACCTGGCAGAGAGGGCTGGACAGTCATGAGCTGCCTGTGCTTGCTGAGGGCAACGTGTTTGCTCTTAGGGTAAGGGCGAGGCTTCTCATGGTGGACACAGGCCCTACCTGGGCTGACCCATTTACCTTGACTCTCCCTTCCACTCTCTCAGCCCCTCCTCACAATCTGTGCTCCTGCCACACTGGCCGCCTTCCCATCTAGGAAACACTTCAGGCAAATTCCCACCTCAGCGCCTTTGCACTTGCCACCCCCATGCCTGGCGTACACTCTCCGTTTCTTCCTCTTCCCTTAGAATACAACTCTGCTGTCACTTCCTCCAGGAAGCCTTCCCAGACCAGGCCAGATGCCCACCCCATTTCTTGGTGCCACCCTGTCCTCTTCCGACAGCGTGCCTTCCTAGCAGGTTTTCACAGTTGAGTTTTCGCAACACTGAACTCTCAGAATCCAGGACAGTGATGGCTCTTGGTTGGCACTCAACACATATTTGATAGACAGATGAATGAGACAACGAGTGAGAGAACGGGGGTTGTTGGGGAATTGTCAGGCTGCTGTTCCCAGCACACACTCATGCCAACGGGCTCCAAAGAACCCACGAATTAATTGGCATCCTGAGTGTTCAAAATGTTTGCAGAAATCAGGACAAGGCGGGAGCAAAACAAGGCCCTATCTTTGTGTCTTTGTCTTCCCTTCCTCCCTCCTTTAGGGTTTCTTGCTCACAGCCGTGAATGCTGCAGACCCAGGGAAGGTGCCCACCATACCTGGGCCCTCACAGCCCTCATTGAGCTGCTCCCCAGCTCAGCTATGCACAGTGGAAGCAGGAGAAATATAAAGACCCAACTTCGTGTTCCTTGGCTCCTGTGGATTTAAGTGAAACTCTTAGTGTTACTTCAGAGTAGATTTTTTTTTTGGGAGATGGTGAGGTGGGGTGGGTATATTTTATGCAAAGCCTGTTTCAAATCAGAGAGAGCATTTCCCCCCTTCTTCCTCTCCCATGAAAGGCAGGAGGTCTAAGACATTTTAATAGCTTTCATATTCCTTGCTCCAAATATATTATTTCAGCACAATAGTTTCTTTGCTTAAATGATTCAAAATGGATTTAAAAATATATTTCAAGTTTTAATTTTATGCACAGCACATTAATGAGCGGAGTGCCTTAGAGACTGCCTGTCAGTTCAACATATTCACAATATTCTCAGCACAGATGTTATTCCATCTAAATCCTTTTAGGGGGAAGAAACCAGTACTTTTTTTCTTGGGGGATGTCAGAAAATATATTATTTTTGAAATTATATTTTGATCCCAGAATTCTACACAAAATGTCATTGTTAGGGTCTGGGTTTGTCAAGTGACTTGGACACCAAACTTTTAAAAAGTGGGGGAAGGAAAAAGCAGCCCAGGATGTTGGATTTGTTTCTCGCCGTTGCCTTCTCTGGACGAGGACTTCGCGCTGCAACACACAGGATGAGACATGATGAAAACTTTCCTGAGCTGTGCACTTGGAAGCTTCAACATCTTTTAAACAATGGCAAAAAATTGGAAGGAACTGGGTTGGATACAAAAACATTTAGAAAGAGTGGCTCTCATTTTTTGTTTTGTCTGCTGGAAGACGCAAACTCTCATAGTTAATGCAGCCTTATCCCCTTTGGTTCTCAAATGATGAATCAGGCTCAGTCATTTTTGTGTATGTATTTGCAACACTCACGGCCGGGAGCGCTGAGTTCTTTTGTTTGTAAATACCTACTTGGGAGAGGTGCAGATTCAGAGCCGAGTATTTTCCTCCAGGGTGGGGCCGGCAGTGTATTGCCTTACTCTTGCACTGAGCAGTGAGAAGGGGTTGGAGCCGACAGGTGAGCTCCAAGTGCCCCCGTAAGCTGGGTGGTCATGGGTGAAAGAATTAATCTCTCTGAATAGTTGTCTGTAGAATGGGGGGATGACAGGAGTGCAGGCACAGCACAATGCCTGGGACATGGTCAAAGTCCCGTGAACTTGACCCCTTTTATCTGCGCTGTCAACGTTTTCCTCCCTCTGTCCTTCCTGACAGCGATTTCCCACCTGCAGTCCTGTGCATAGTAGAACGCTCAAAGAGAGAGCTCCACCTCACTTTGTCTGCAAGAATCAGCCAGAGCTGACTCTTATTCAAACTGGCACCACATCCGCGGGGTTCTAGCAAGAATTGCTGGGCTCCTAGCCAGGTAACTGGCTGAGAAGTGCTCACTCTATAGAGCCCCCACCGCCTCCCTGCTGGCTTACCTGAGGGGGCTTGGCAGAGTTGCTGAGCTCAGGGAGGTGGGGCTTCTGGAGTTTGAGACTTGGTCCTCTCCTCCCACTGCCTTCCCTGGCCACCAGTTCAGGGAGGCTGTGAGCAGAAGAGGTCCAAGTGACAGAGGTACCCTCAGCCACTTTCTGTTTCAGATGCTGGCATAGCTTAGCTTTTGATATACAAGAAAGAGACAATTTAAAAGATCCCTCCCTCCCTTTAAAAAAAAGACCTTATTTTTTTAAGAGCAGTTTCAAGTTCACAGCAAAACTGAGTAGAAGGTGCAGAGATTTTCCATAAACCCCCTGCCTCCACACAGGCACGGCCTCCCTCACTATCAACATCCCCCACCAGAGCGGGACACTCGCCTCCCTAATTGTGTTTGTTTTTGTCTTTTGCGCATCTTTTCTTTGTTTTGTGCCTCCTTAGTGTGGCCATAGAGTTGGAACCATACAGTGTGTGCTTTTCAGACTGACTTCTTTCACTTAGTAACATGCCGTCGGTTTCCTCCACATCTTTTCCTATCTCGATAGCTTGTTCCTTTCTTAGTACTGAATAAAATTCCAGTGCCTGGATGTACTACAGTTCATCCATTCACCAACCCAAGGACATCGCGGTGGATTCTAAGTTTTGGCAATTATGATGAAAGCTGCTCTAAACAAATCCTCTGGGTAAATATCAGGGAGCACAATTGCTGTGTGGTATGGAAAGAATATGTGTAACTTTGCAAGAAGCTGTGAAACTGTCTTCCAAAGTGGCTGCACCATTTTGCATTCCCACCAACCAGGGGTGAGAGCTCTCGGTACTCCAATCCTCACCAGCATCTGGTGGTGCCGCCTCCCCCCACTTTTTTTTTTTTTTGGACAAGGAGTTTTTTTTTTTTTTTTTTTAAAGACAGAGTCTCGCTCTGTCGCCCAGGCTGGAGTGTAGTGGCACAATCTCGGCTCACTGCAACCTCCGCCTCCCAGGTTCAAGCAATTCTCTTGCCTCAGCCTCCTGAGTAGCTGGAATTACAGGCGCTCGCCACCACACCCAGCTAATTTTTGTATTTTTAGTAGACACAGGGTTTCGCCATGTTGGCCAGGTTGGTCTCGAACTCCTGACCTCAAGTGATCCACCCGACTTGGCCTCCCAAAGTGCTGGAGTTACAGGCATAAGCCACCACACCTGGCCACCTTTTTAATAATAAAATATTTTATTTTTTAAATTATTGAAATAATGCATACTCAAATAAAAATATAATCTTAGAGTTCCTATGGAAGAAGAGATGCCCTCAGAATAGCTAGGAAATGTGGAAAATGAGAAGAGTGATGGAGGATTTACCTATCCAGGTATTAGTATAGGCTCTAAAGGTCCTGTAACCAAGTCAGTTTTGGTGTCGTGACAGGGACTAGATTAGTGAAGCAGGAAGTGAAGTGGAACTGTCCTTATAACTCAGAAGGTATATACGGAGAGAGCTGATGTTCAAGACAGGAGGATGGATGAACCCTTTGACAAATGGGAGAACATGAAAATGGAACCAATGGTCCATGGATACAGAAATCAACTCTAGAGGAATTAAATACTTACAAGTAACACAATAATCATAATAGTATTGCAAGAAATGTGTGATACTGCAGTTACAATCTAGGGGCCAGGGAGACTGGAAACCCAGAAGCTATAAAGAAAAGATGGATTTTTTATTTTATTTTATGAAGTTGAGAAGTTTTGCCTGCCCAAGAGATCACAAAGGCAATAAACAAAAGGCATTCCAAGAAAAACATTTATAACCAAGAAGTCAGACAAAGGGTTAACTTCTATGCAATACAAAAATTCAAATAATCCAGATGTGTTTAAAGCGAAATGTGAATGTGTTCCCCCTGCCTGCAAGCCCCTTCCCTGGGGGAGATCACTTTTAATGGTTTGATGAATTTCCTTCTGGATGCTTTTTTTCCCCGTCATGCTGCAAAAGGAATTAATTTTAGTTTTCCTCTGAGCTGCAGCGCTGGGAGAGCGGGAGAGCCAAGCTGCCTTTATTTTTATCGATTGCCCTTTTCCCCAAACCTGCCATTTGCATCTCACCTGCCATATCGTGCCATTATTTACTTAATCCTTTCTTTTACATTTACACACTTTTGAAAACATACAGTTATTTTAAAAAGGAAGCTTCAAGTCATGACCATAAGTGAAAAACCAGTGCCATTTGACCTATGTGGAAGGCAATGGTCATAAAAATAATGAAAGCTGATGTTACGAAATTCCAGTTTGGTGCTGTAGCTGCTCACTCTCTCTATTAAAAAGGGTGGTGGCAGCACTGGGGAGGTGCTGAAAATTGACTAGTCCCCACTGGGGACTCTCCTGGGCCAAGCAAAGGACTAAAAAGGAATAGCTCTGTCAGCGTGTGTATCTGTGGTTTTGATGCTACGTGTACCTCACAAATCACCTTGTGACCCCCCAGTTTGGGATGTGCCCTCCTTTCCAAGAACAGTTAATTCGATGGGACTGGATAGAAGGAGAAAAAAGCAGGTCTTCTTTTTTTTTGGAGATGGGGTCTCACTCTGTTACCCAGTCTGGAGTGCAGGGGCATGATCATAGCTCACTGCAGCCTCCACCTCTCTGGTTCAAGCCATTCTCCTGTCTCAGCTTTCCAAGTAGCTGCGACTACAGGCATGACCCACCATACTCAGCTAATTTCAACATTTTTCTTGCTGTGTTACCTAGGCTTGTCTTGAACTCCTGGGCTCAAGCAATCCTCCCTCCTCAGCCTCCCAAGGTGCTGGGATTACAGGCATGAGCCTCTGTGCCTGGCCAAAAGTAGGTCTTCCTGAAGTCAGCACAGTTTAGAAGTCAGTCTTCAATCTTCCAAATACCACAATTTTTCTTTAAATAAACATGCATTCAGAGGAGAACTCAAATGGAAGAAAAACATGCATAATCCTACCAGTAAATTTTCCAAAACTCCTAATGCAGTTTTTTATGACTTGAACTTATCAATATAGTATTTTGAGATGCACTGAAATATTTAGAGAAATTTGGTTGTAACCAATGACAACTAAATACACTTGCCTGTTTTTTCAAAAAAATAAAGGAGTAATAATTTGGTGAAGTTTTCAGAGTGGTTGCCAGTCACTGCTAGGAAAGATGTCGTTAGCTTCTGGCAAGTCAGAAAAGTAGGATGAAGAATCTGATCTTGAAATATCTTCTTTTTTTTTTCTTTTTCATCTTGCTGCTTTTCTTCCCGACACTAAAAGATTTGTCTTCCTGACAAATTGATGTAGAAAGCAGCACACCTGTGACCCAAAGAGAAACTTGAAAATGTGTGTCCTTACCATGCGTTCAGATATTGTAGCTTTAGTGTAAGTTTTAGAAACGATTTCAGTAAAACATGCCTCTTCTAGGTCATCCTGGGATCAGCTCAGGGTGAGGCCCTGGGGAACACAGGATGTGGTCTGTGAACAAAAGGAATATTTGTGCCCGCAATTGACTGCAGTGGGGAAGGGCTCTGATTTCAAACAGAATATTTCAAAAGGCATTGCTTACTCTTGGTCTTAGAGCTATGCTCTGACTGGCTGTATTCCAAAGAAGTCCAGAAAGAGAAGGCGATATTTCAAAGTATTATTTCTTTGTTGCATTCTTCACTCCCTGTAATCACATGTTTCTGTGTATTATCATGTGTTTAATGTCTGTCTGGCCAGCTGCTCTCCATAAGGGCAGGGCTCTTCTCTTGCCCACAGTGCCTCACTCTGCCTGGCACACACAGCAGAACGAAAGAAAAATGGAAATGAAGGTTTATATCCCAAGATATAAATACATAAAACAAACGAGTGTGTTCTGAGTGATTAGCTTGATAATTGCAGACAGTGCGTCAGCCTTCCTGTGGTCTCCTGAGGACAGTTCGGTAGCTAAAAATCTCCCAGCGTTGTCAAAAGCAAGTGCCCTAATTAAGTTAATTCAACTAAGGCAAAGAAGGGAGGAAAGACGGCTGCAGTTTTTTGCAAAGGAATCAAGGGGGATGGAAATAAGAAAATAATTCGCTAGGGGAATAAAAACTGCAAGCCCATCTGAATGAGATTCTCATTTTCTCATACCAGCTTCCCCTCGAGAAGCCAAGTTCCAAGCCATCCGCAAAATGATCACTCAGCATCCACCGGACAGATTGGTGGGGGCCGGTGGGGGGAGGAGGAAGGAGGAAGCAAAGAGACAACACCAGCACCACTCACTGGCTCTCTCACTCTCCGCATTCAACAAGTCCGGAAGGATTTGGTTGCCTGGTACAAAGCCTTTCAGGGAGAAAGTTTGAAAGGCCTTTGGAAATGTTTAGAAGCTCTTCTAAGATGGCATTTTAAAAATTACTTATTTGGATAAAATATGGCATTTCATAGTTCCATTTTGAACATATTTGGAATAAGTAAAGACAAAAAAGAAAGAAAAGAAACAGGAATTTGGATTCTCAGGGGAAGTGGACCGAGATGCTCACCCTTCCCTGCTTCAGTGAGGCCTGGGGAGCCATCAGGGGCCTGTGGACATCGTTCTGGATGAGTTTTGTTCATTTTGCACGAGGTCTAAAAACAAAAGCAAAACAATTGTGCTTTGAACCTGAAGGCAGCTCCTATTTCTTTCTGTGCCGCTCCTCCCTCCTGCGTCCTGGATCTGAGTGTGGGTTTCATCTGCGGCTTAGCAGTGGCGCATGCTGAGCGCGTCCTTTCATCCGTCTGACCCTCAGTATGCTCAGCTGTCTAGTGGGGATGGTGAGAGCCCTGGCTCGCAGCTCAGAGACTGCTATAGAACGGAATGCGGTGAGGTTTGTGAAGCCGTCACTCAGAGCCATGGCCAGCCACTTCTTAGCTGGGATTACAGCTCCGGCAGTCTTGCCACTTCTGGTAACTGATTGTGGAATTGACCTTCAGAAGAAGACGTATGGAGGGAAAGGGAACACAGAGGAGACACAACCCAAAACAGAAATGTGAAAATACGCCTCAGTTTTCTGTTGCAATTATTAGCGCAATAGCTCATACTGAGCCTCTGCCTCAAACTACAAAGCACTGTAACCCATTATCTCGGGCATGTGTGTGCGTACATGCACAATCATTCCTACTTTATACACCAGGACACTCAGACTCAGAGAGGTGAACTTACTTGCCTGAGGATCCACAGCTAGCTGGTTGAATTGTACCTTAGACGCCAGCTTTCCCGGCTCCTTACTCCCGCCGATCCCAGGACACCCCTGACAAGGGTGGCAGTCTGATTTCCTGAAGACAGGAGCTCAGAGGAAGATTAGTTTGCTTTAAAGGGGAAAAAAAAAGAAGCTGACAGTTTGGGGGCACTGGCATTTTGGCTGCAGATTTATACATGCGGCACAAGCCCTCAGGGAATCGGCTTAGAAATCCAAGGCGCATTTGTCAGTTAAATCCAAAGGGAGAGGAGAAAGATCTTAGTCCCTGCCCTAGCGGTGCTCTGTGTGTTGTAGGAAAGGAAAGATGTGGTCATGGAGGCAACAGGGGAGCAGGGGACAGGGTGGGGTGGCGCCAAGACGGGCTGTCCTGAGATGGAGGTGAGTGAGTGGTGGGTGGGACCCCGGGAGGCCAGGCTGTCTGCAGCTGGTGGCGCAGGCCTGAACTGGGCCAGATGAGAGGAGAGCGCTGGAGACGGCTGCGGAGGGCCAGGCAGGCCCCCAGCCAGAAGTGGGGGCCTCTGCTTGGGCGGCAGCTCCCCCTCCCTTCCTCGTGGTTGGCTGCTGAAGTTCCATGGCAACCCTCCTAGCCTGCACACGATCCCCTGTGGGTGCAGCAAAAAACCTTAAGGAACTTTGGCTCAATGAGATCCTTATTCACAGCTCAGAAGTCAAAACTTGAGTTTTGAGAGGGATTGGGAGGAAGAGCTGCACTTTTAGACTCACTTGTCCTTACCTTGAATTTCTTTCCAAGGTTGGCAGGTGGAGGCCAATGGGGTGATTCTGACCCGATATGATATTGTGCGCGATCAGCCTGCCAGTCAACCACAGGCTCCCACAGCCCTGAGGTTGGAGCTTCAGAGAGAAGCAATTTTGACAAACCAGGGCTGAAGGAGTGGAATGTATTTTGGTTGGAATCCATGACTTTTTATTACCACCGATTAAACAGGAAACAAACATTTTGAGCAGGTTCCAATCCTCAGCTGAATGTGGCTGCGCCATCCATGTATGGGGACACTCGGTCTCCAGCCATTCTACCGGGACACGGGAGGGCCCTGGGAGGCACCCACCTGCCTCAGTGTTCCAGTTACTAAAAATGAGACTGGATTTTAAGGCAGTGGATCTGGCCTGGCTTTCTGTGTCCAGGGTGGGCTGGAACTGGATCTGATTAGGTGGGTCTAGGCACTGACAGCACCTGATTTGGTGTGCACCTGCTGAGGACGTGTGCAGGTGGGGAAGGAGGGGCCCACATGGAAGAGGGGTGCATGATGCATGAGCTGAAAGGCGGCATGTGGAGGCTGAAGCCCAGTGGGCTGAGGATTCTGCAGTGGGGTGGCCTGATGAAGTGGGCACTCTGAAGTGTGTCCACCTGCCGTGACCTGCTAAAGCACAGTGGACCCACTGCCTCGGTGGACACCTTGAAGCATTGCTGTTCTGAAGGCACCTTGGCCTAACCAGATGATGACAGGGCCCACCCCAGGGGCCCCTGAGGCCCTGTGGTCACCCCTAACAAGGACGCTTGGGCTGATTATTTTCATGAAGTGTCGGGATGGGCACTGCTTCTCCTGCTGGACTTGAGGTGGTTGGGAAGGGTTTCCCCTAATGTTCTGCCTGAAATGCCCCAGCCAGATGTAACACCTGCCTCCCTAACTCTCTCTTCCTACTCCCATCCCTTGCTCCTTCCACTTGTGTAACTACAGTATAGGGTGGCATAAGCAAAGTCTTCCTAGAGGATGGACACCTTTGAGATGGCAACTATATCTTCTTTATAAGCCTACACCCTTCTGTGTAGAGCTTATTCCACACATCCATCCACCCACCTCCCCACCTACCCATCCATCCATCCATCTGCACATTCATACATTCATCTGTCTGTCATCAATCCATCCATCCATCCAACAAATGTAAATTATGCACCTACCATATGCCAAGCACTGGGCTTGGTACTGAGAGTGAAAGAACATAAATGGACCCTGCTAGAACCCCAGTGCCTGGTACACAGTAGATGCTCAGATATGTTCACTGAATAAATGCATGACAAAATCCCCATCTTCATGCTATAGCTCACAAAGAATTGGAAAAAGGAGGGCTTTGGAATTTTGGGAGCAGTCACTTGTCCAGCTCACATGGACTGCCTCTGGAGGCCCCTTTTTTGGTGGAACCAACAGGAGAAAAGAGGCTGCACCTCTGAGACCATGACCAAGTTCCGTGAAACAATGAAGCCAGCAGTAAGGCATTTCCCTTGCCACCCGTCCAGCTGCCAGAGCGTGGCTGAGACTCGAGAGTTTAGAATAATGAATTTCATCCCCACTGTGCTGGTGACAGACAGAGCCGGAGATCTCAGGAAAGTACATGTGAGGCTGAGAGTGGAGGTGGGCAGATTTCCAGGGGTGAGTGAGACAAAGGAGAGGTCTGTGTGAGGGGCCGCCCCTGAGGGAAGTGAATAACATCCTTGGCAGTGATTAGCTAACCACATCAAGCTGGGAGGAAGAGGGAGTGGGGAGGCCTTCTGCCTGCGGGCAGAGTAGCTCCCATCTTCCACCTGTGGCAAGCCCAATTACATTGTCTTCAGAGCCAGGAAAAAGCTGGAATGTTTCCCTAATGAAAATGCTTTTGCTATATTCATGCATGAATACAGACATGCACATGTCCCTGGCTTTGTGTGTGTGTGTGTGTGTGTGTGTGTACACGAATGTGTGTCTGTAGAAACAGTGTGGCAGGCCGGGTGCGGTGGTGCACACCTGTAATCCCAGCACTTTGGGAGGCCAAGGTGGGCGGATCGCCTGAGATCAGGAGTTCGAGACCAGCCTGGCCAACATGGCAAAACCCCATCTCTACTAAAAATACAAAAATTAGCTGGATGTTGTGGCAGGTGCCTGTAATCCCAGCTACTCAGGAGGCTGAGGCAGGAGAATCTCTTGAACCTGGGAGGCGGAGGTTGCACTCCAGCCTGGGAGACAGAGGAAGACTCTGTCTCAAAAAAAAAAAAAAAAAAAAGAAAAAGAAGAAAAAAAAGCAATAGCATGGCAGTGCACATGCAGTGAAACATCTCTGTGTGTGAACACAGTGGCCTTGGGTGTATGTGCAGAGGTCTGAGCATGCCGTATATACCTGTGTGATAATGACTGTGCGGTGCATCTTAAGAGTCAGTGTGGGGGTATGTCTGAGAGCTTAAATGCCAGACAGACTGAGTTTAAACTCAGCTCTAGCATTTATCAGCCGTGGGGTCTTGGCGTATGATTTAACCACTCTTTGTATTCATTTTCACCTTTGCAAAGTAGGGCTGATAGTAGCCCCAGCCCCGCCTCTCCTATAATTTCAGCTGGGCCTGCCATGGATTCCATGAACATTTTGACTCACCTTACCATCTTAGCATCTAACCTCAATGTGTCCCATGTAGCTTTAACTAATGCCTCCGCCCCAGGGATTCTTGGATGCTGCAAATACTGGTGGGAACCTGCCCATCAAGCACACATGTGCAGCCTGAATGTGCAGGGGAGTGAACACCCCAGGGGAAACCTCCAGCAATGGGGGTTGGGAGCCGATGGATAAAAAATTCTCCAGGTAGATCTTTGGGTAGACAAATCTGAGAGATGTTCTCTTTTAGCACTTTAAAGATGTCATTCCATTGTTTTTCTAGCCTCCATTATTTCCAAATGAGATGTCAGTGTCATTCTAAGCCTTCTTTCCCTAAACCCCAAGTCTCTGTTTTCTTCTGATTGCTTTCAAGATGTTTCTGTCTTTCATTTTCAAAAGTTTAACTGTGGTGTGACCATGTGAATTTCTCCTTGTGTTCATCTTGCTTGGGGTTTGCAGAGCCTCTTGGATCTATACGTTTATATTTTCTGTCAGCTTTGGAAGGTTTTAACCATTATTTATTCAAATATGTTTGCTGTTCTAGCCTCATTCTTTTCTCCTTCTGGGACACCAGATACACATATGTTAGACTGTGTGATCTTGTACCACAGATCAGAGACTCTGATTTTTTTCTTCAATCCCTTTTCTCTCTTTTCTTCAGATTAGATAATTTTTAAATTAATCCATCTTCACATTTACTAACTCTTCTGTCATGTTGAATGACAAATTTTTAATTTGAAGTTTTAATTTGAAATTTAATTGAAGTTTTATGTTCTAGAATTTCTATTTGGCTCTTTTTTTACAATTTACATTTTGCTCTTGAGATTGCCTATTTGGTTTGTTATTAAGGCCATATTTTATTTTAATTCTTTTAACATCTTTATAAAGGTTGCTTTAAAGTTTTGTCTACTAAGTCCAAAATCTAGACTATCTTGTTTCAGTTTCTATTGACAGATTCTTTTTTTTTTTTTTTTTTTTTTTGCCCTATGGGTTACATTTTTATCTTTCTTTGTGGTTCCAGTGGTTTTTGGTTGAATCTCAGAGAGTGTGGAAACAATAGGGTATAGACTCTGGATTCTGTTGTCTTCCTCTGAAGAGTGTTGATCCTTGTTTTGGCAGGCAATCTTCTTGAACTTTTTGTAGGTTTGGTTTTATGCTTTGCTGGTATGAGTCTGTGCAAAGCCTAAGGTGTTTCTCAAGCCTCTCTAATTTAGTAAAACTTCACCTCTAAACACTGCAGATCCCCTGCAGATTTTTGTCAGAGCTTGATTTTGGGCTTTGTTAGGCAAGTTCTCAAATAGGTCCTACTCTAGGATGTGGTTCGTACTCTTAAGAATAACATGATCTCTCAGCTGGATACCCGGTGTGTTAATGAGATGTTAGTAAGATTTCTCTACTTTGGTGAGGGCCGGAACTGCATCTCCAGTACTGTTCAACCTCTGATAGATCTCCACTCTCAACCACATAACAGCTACTACCTGGTAGACCTCAGCTAGGCCTACTGCCTATCCCTCAACTAAGGACGCATCACTGTATGTCCTGGGGCCTCTATGTGCACTGCTTTCGTATTTCTGATGCCCAGATCTATAGGCTGTAGCTGCTTCAGTTGCCTTGAACTCTGTTTTCAACTCTGTCCCATAGCCAATGACTGACTGATGTATGACTACAAACATCCAGCTCCTTTACCTAGAGACAGAACAAACTCTGGGTTGTAATTTATGTCCCAGAGCTCCCTGAGGGTCCAGGCTGTGCTGGGATTTCACTTGGAATCACTCCTCAGCTTGGCTCTCCCTCTTTTCTCTTTTGCTGCCACTCCTCAGCTTGGCTCTCCCTCTTTTCTCTTTTGCTGCCATTGCTCCTGGTAACTCCTGACAGCACAGCTTCAATAAATCACTTGACCTTGAATCCTCAATTGAAAGCACTGGAACTTGCTTCAGAGCCTTTGCATGTCTTATTATCTCTTCCTAGAATGTTCTACCCTCCCCTTGCCCAGATCTTCCCACATCTGGCTCTGTCTTATGCAGAGCTCTGCTCAAATATCACCTCCCTAGGGAGGGCTTCCTTGACCACCTTGTCAGAGCAGCCTACTCCTGTGCCTTTCGTCCCTGGTTGCTTTTGGCACAGCACTTTGTTTATTACCTTACCACGCTTCTATGCAAAAATTATATGATTAATTGCTTTTTGTGTGTTTACTTGTTTATTTTCTCTCCACCCTTCCCTTATTATTGCTTATTGTTACTGAGTTGTCATTGCTTCTAGGTCATCTCAGCTGATGGAGCAAGGAGATATATGTGTGTGTATACACTTATCTATAAATATTTCTGTGTGTAACCACCTGTATCCATACTAAGCTAAACATGAGTTCACGTTGATGCCTCCACATTTAATCCATCACCACATGGATCGTTCTAGTTTGCTCTTCTTGCTTAACTGTAACCTCTCACTCCAACAATGGGAAACTGAGATCTCACCATTCACCATTCATTTACTTAATTGTTCAATTACAGAATACATGTATATCAGCATCAGAATTCCTAACCTGTACCTCAGTGGGAAACAACTTTATCAAGTAGAATACACTGCTTATGTACAGTTTCATTTAGTCTTACAGATTCCACTTACTTCCAGTGTTACATAGGTCAGCACCTTATTTCCCTACTCCCTTCTGTGAGGCTGTTTCATCTGTAATACAGGTCGTTTCCCTTGTCACATTCATTCCAAAAATCTTCTGACATCCTAAATGAGTTATTTTAAAAAATTCCCACACATTAAAGTTTACTCTTTGTGCTCAAAAGTTCTGTGGTATTGACAAATGTATATTATTTACTCTTCATTATAGCATCATACAGGGTAATTTTACTGACCCCTAAATTCCCTGTGCTTTACCTGTTCATTCCTCTCCCCAGTCCCAAACTCTTGGGCAACCACCGATCATTTTATTGTCTCTACAGTTTTGCAGTTTCCGGAATGTCATATAATTGGAATAATACAGTATGTAGCCTTTAAAGACTTGCTTTTTTTTTTGTTTATTAAATGCACCAATGGTTCCTCTATGTAATTTTATGGCTGAATAGTTCATGTTTTAAATCAGTGAATAATATTCAATTTTACAAATGTTCATGGTTTGTTTATTCATTCACCAATCAAAGGACATCTTGGTTACTTCTGGTTTTTGGCAGTTATAAATATAAATGGTATAAACATTTGAATGCTGTAAACATTTGTGTGCAGGTTTTTTTTTGTGGATATGTTTTAAAATCAAATGGGTGAATACCTAGGAGCATGACTGCTGAATAATATGGCAAGACTATGTTTACCTTTATAAGAAACTGCCAAATTATTTTCCAAAATGGTTGTATCATTATACATGCCCATCAGCAATGTGTGAGAGACCTGTTGTCCCATGTCCCCAGCAACATTTAATATTATCAGTATGTTTTGGATGTTAGCCGTTCTAATAGGTGCATAGTGGTATCTCATTGTTGTTTTAATTTGTAATTCTTTGTTGACATATGATGTTGAGCATCTTTTCATATACTTATTTGCCATCTGTGTATCTTTGTTAATGAGATGTCTTTTCAGATCTTTCACCCATTTGGTTTGTCTCCTTATTGTTTTAAGAACTCTATGTTTTGGATACAAGTCGTTTATCAGGTAAGTGTTTTATAGTATCTTCCCCCTGTCTGTGGCTTGCCTTTGATTGTTTTAACAATGTCTTTCACTGAGCAGAGGTTTTTAATTTTTTTTTTTTTTTGAGACTGAGTCTCACTCTGTCGCCCAGGCTGGAGTGCAGTGGTGCGATCTCGGCTCACTACAACCTCTGCCTCCCGGGTTCAAGTGATTCTCCTGCCTCAGCCTCCTGAGTAGCCGGTGTGTGCCACCATGCCTGGCTAATTTTTGTATTTTTGGTAGAGACAGGGTTACACCATGTTGTTCATGCTTGTCTGGAACTCCTGACCTTGTGATTTGCCCGCCTCGGCCTCCCAAAGTGCTGGGATTACAGGCATGAGGTTAATTTATTATTAGACCAAAGAGTCTAATTTATTATTTTTTCTTTCATGAATTATGCTTTTGGTATTTTATCTAAAAACTCATTGCTAAACCCAATGTCACTTAGATTTTCTTCCATGTTATCTTCTAGAAGTTTTATAGTGGTCCATTTTATAGTTAGGTCTGTGATTCATTTTGAGTTAATTTTTCTGAAGGATGTAAGGTTCGTGTCTGGATTTTTTTTTTTTTTTTTTTTTTGCATATGGATGTCCAATTGTTCCAGCACCATTTGTTGAAGAGACTATACTTTCTCCTTAGAAGTGCCTTTGTTTCTTTGCTGAAGATCAGTTGACTATATTTGTGTGACTCTATTTTTGGTCTCTCTATTCTGTTCGAATGAGTTATGTCCCTATTCTTTTGCCAATATCATTCTGTCTTGATTACTGTAGCTTTAAGTCTTGAAGTCTGCTCTTCTTCTTTAGTGTCATGTTGGCTATTTTGGATCTTTTGTGCTTCTACATAAACTTTAGAGTCAGTTTCTTGATATTCAGAAAATAGCTTCCTGATTTTTAAATTAGTGTTACAATGAATCTGTAGGAAAAAATTCAGAAAAATTGACATCTTAACAATATTGAGTCTTTCAATCCATGAATATGGACTATCTGTCCATTTACTTAGGTGTTTGATTTTTAGTTCCACATACGGGACCTGTACATATTTTATTTGACTTATACCTAAGTATTCCACTTTTTTGGTGCTATTTAAAAAATTCTTCTGATCTTTTCATTTTTATTTATTTATTTTATTTTTAATTGACAAATTATAATTGTATACATTTATACGATACAATGTGGAATGATTAAATCAAGCTAATTAACATATTCATCACCTCACTTACCTATCACTTTTAAGGTAAGACATTCGAAGTCTACTTCCTAAGTTATAAGATATACATTATTATTGACAATAGTCATTCTGCTGTGCAGTAGATCTCAAAACTTATTCCTCCTGTCTAGCCGAAACTTTGTACCCTTTGATTAACAACTCCCCATTCCCTCCCTCCTCACCTCCCAGACTCTGGTAGCCATCATTCCACTCTCTATGAGTTTAACTTTTTAAAGATTTTTTGATGCTGTTGTAGATGGTAGTGTGTTTTTAATTACTAAAGTCTAACTCTTTATTGTTGGTGGCATATAGGAAAACAACTTTTATCTATTTATATTGTATCATGCAAACTTGATATCATCACTAATTAATTCTATGCATTTTTTGGTAAACTTTTTTTTTTTTTTTTTGAGGCAGAGTCTCGCTCTGTCACCAGGCTGGAGTGCAGTGGCACAATCTTGGCTCACTGCAACTTCCGACTCCCTGGTTCAAGCGATTCTCCTGCCTCAGCCTCCTGAGTGTGCTGGGATTACAGGCACATGCCACCACACCCAGCTAATTGTTGTATTTTTAGAACAGATGGGGTTTCACTATGTTGGCCAGGATGGTCTCAATCTCCTGACCTTGTGATCCACATGCATCGGCCTCCCAAAGTGCTGGGATTACAGGCGTGAGCCACTGCACCCAACCATGTTTTTGTATTTTCTACATAGACAATCATGTCATCCATGAACAAAGTCAGTTTTATTTTTTCCTTCCCAATCGGTATATCTTTTATTCCCTTTTCCTGTCTTATTGCTCTACCTAGGACTTCTGGCATAAAGGTGAATAAGAGTGGTGAGAGGGGACATCTCAGTCTTATTGCCAACCTTAAGGGAAAAGCATCTGTTTCTCCTCATTAAGTATAATATTAGGTGTAGGTTTTTGTAAATGTTCTTCTTCTTTCTTTCCTCCTCGTCCTCCTCGTCCTCCTTCTCCTCCTTCTTCTCTTTACTCTGCTTTCTTCTTCTTCTTTTCTGAGATAGGGTCTGACTCTATTGCCCAGCCTGGAGTACAGTGGCAATATCATAGCTCACTGTAACCTCAAGCTTCTGGTCTCAAAGTGACCTTCCTGCCTCAGCCTCCTGAGTAGCTAGGACTACAGGCCTGTGCTACCACACCCTGCTAACTGTTTTTTTACTTTTTGTAGAGATGGGGTCTTGCTATGTTGCTGAAGGTGGTCTTGAACTCCTTGCCTCAAGGGATCCTCTTGCCTCAGCCTCTCAAAGCAGTGGGATTACAGGCATGAGCCACCATGCCCAGCCTGTTTTTTTATTAAGTTGACAAAGTTTTCCTCTATTCTTAGTTTGCTGAGAAACTTTATCATGGACATTGGATATTGTCAAATGCTTTTCTGGATCATTTGATTATATTACATAATTGTTCCCCTTTTGCCAGTCATGGTGGTGGATTACATTAATTGATATTTGAGTGTTGAACCAGCCTTGAATATCTGGAATAAATTCCACTTGGACCTGGGGCATAATTTTAAAAATACATTGTTGGATTCAATTTTCTAATGTTTGTGCACAGTTTTTGGAGTTTTTATACATCAATAATTATGTCATTTGTGAACAAAGACACTTTTATTGAAGATTCTAATCTATATTCATCAGATAGATTGGTGTGCATCTTTACTTTTTGTAATATCTTTCTATGGTTTTGATGTCAGGGTAATTCTGGACTTATAGAATGAATCAAGAAGTGTTTTCTCTGATTTCTACTCTATTTTTTTAAATTGAAATTTTTTTTTTTTTTTTTTTTGGTACAGATGGGGTCTCCCTCTCTTACCCAGGCTGTCTCAAACTCCTGGCCTCAAGCAGTCCTCCCACCTTGGCTTTCCAAAGCACTGGGATTACGGGCATGATGATTCTGTTTTCTAAATGAGAGCATAGAGAATTTTTATTTTTTTTCCTTAAATGTTTGGTAAGACTCATCGGTAAAGTCATCTGCTCCTGGTGATTACATTTTAAGAAGGTTATTAACTATTGATTCAATTAATTAGATAGATATTGGGCTATTTAGCTGGTCTCCTTCTACTTGTGGGAATTTTGGTAGTCCATGTCTTTCCATCAATTGGTTATTTCATCTAAATGATTAAAATGAGGGGCACTGACATAGAGTTGTTTGTAGTATTCCTTTAACATCTTTTCAATGTCCGTGGGATCAGTAGTGATGACCCTTGTTTCATTTCTAATGTTGGCAATTTGTGTGTGTGTGTGTGTCTCTCTCTTTTTTCTTGATTAGCTAGGCTAGAAATCTATCAATTTTGTTCATCTTTTCAAAGAACCAGCTTTTGGTTTCACTGCTTTTCTCTGTTGCTTTTCTGTTTAAATTTTCATAGACTTTTGCCCTAATTTTTGTTATTTCTTTTCCTCTGCTTGCTTTAGGCCTAATTTGCTTAAATTCTTCCTATAATTTCCTATGATGTAAGCTTGGGTTATCAATTTCAAATCTTTTTTCTTTTCTAAAATCTACATGTAATGCTATAATTTTTCCTCTAAGCACTACCTTTGCTGCATCTCACAAATTTAGATAGGTTGTACTTTCATTTTCACTTAGTTCAAAATATTTCTTAATTTATCTTGAGACTTCTTTGACATGTGTTCCAAACATTTGGGGAATTTTCAAGCTATCTTTCTAGTATGGATTTGCAGTTTAATTTCATTGTGGAAGCATATTTTATATGATTTATGTTCTTTTAAGCTTTTTAAGGTGTGTTATGGGCAAGAAAATTTTCTATCTTGGTGCATGTTCCATGTAAGCTTGAGAAGAATGTGTATTTGGCTTTTGTTGGATGGAGTATTCTGTATATGTCAATCAGATCAAGTTGACTGATAGTGCTATTTATGTCAACTACATCATTATTGATTTTCCTCCTGCTTGAGCTATCAATAACTGACATGACAGTGTTGAAATCTCTAGCTATAACAGTGGATTTGTCTGTGACTACTTTCACTTCTATCTGTTTTTGACTCACGTATTTTGAAGCTCTGTTGCTAGTTGCATATTTAGGATTATCATATCTTCTTGGAGAATTGACCCCTTTATGATTATATAATATTCATTTTTAATCCCTGATAATTTTCCATCTTCTGAAGTCTACTTTGTCTAAAATTATTATAGCTGCTCTGGCTTTCTTGGTTTGCACGGTATATTTTTCTCTACTTCCTTACTCTTAACTTATCAGAGTCTTTATATTTAAACTTTGTTTCCGATAGACAATGTGTAGTTGAGTCTTGTTTTTTATTCATTCTGACAATCTCTGCCTTTTAATTGGTGTAATTAGACCATTCACATTTAAAGTGCTTATTGATACATACATTGATTAATATCAACCATGTTTGTAACTGCTTTCTATTTGTTGCCAGAAGCAATGTTTTCTGCCTCTCTGGTTTTAATTTAGCCTTTCATATGATTCCATTTTATCTCCTCACTTAGTGTATTAACTATGCTTCTTTAAAAACAGTTTTTAGTGGTTGCCGTAGAGTTTGCTATATACATTTTTAACTAATTTAAGTCCGTCTTAAAATAATACATTTACACTTCATGTGTAATGCAGCTATTTCATATCAGAATATTCCTAATTCCTTCCTCCTATCTCTTGTGGCATTGTTTTCATTCATTTCACTTATCCATATGCTATAATCCCCCAACACAATGTTATTATTTGCTATTGAATTGTGTCCCCTCAAATTCATATGTTGGAACCCTAACCGCCATTGTGATTGTGTTTTTAGGTAGGTAGGGCCTAGAAGGAGGCAATTCAGCTTAAATAAGGTCATAAAGATGGGTCTCTGATCTGATAGGACTGGTGTCCTTACAAGAAGAAATTCCAGAAAGCTCCTCTCCTTTCTCTCTCTCCACATGAATGCACCAAGGTCAGGCCATGTGAGGACAAGAAGCTTCCTGCTTCTGGCATTTCCTAGTAAGAATAAGAAGAGTCCTTACCAGAAAATGAGTCAGCTGGAACTTGATGCTGGGCTTTCAAGTCTCCAGAACTGCAAGAAAATAAATTTCTGTTGTTTAAGACACCCAGTTTGTGGTATTTTGTCATGGTAGCCTAGGCAGACTAAGATATTATTACTTTAAACAATCTGTTATTGTTTAGATTAATGAAGAATAAGAAAAATAAAAGATTTTATTTTCATTTGTCTTCTCTGATGATTTTTTTAAAAACGTATATCCAGCTTTCTGACATCTGTCATTTTTCTTCTGACTAAAGAAAATTTCTTGCAGAGCAGGTCTGAGAGCAACACATTCCCTCAGTTTTTATTTACAAAAGTCTTTATTTCTCCTTCACTTTTGAAGGATATTTTAGCTGGATATGGAAGTCTAAGTTGTCTTTTCCCCATTCAACACTTTAAATATTTCACTTGACTATTCTTCCTTGCATAGTTTCTGATGAGAAGTCTGCTTACAATTCTATCCTTCTTCCTCTAGAGGTAAGGTTTTCCCCATCTCTGCCTTCTTTCAAAATTTTCTCTTCATCTCTGGTTTTCTGCAGTTTGCATATGATATGCTTAGATGTAACTTTTTGGTGTTCTCTGAACCTCCTGGGCCTGTAGTTTGATAAATGCCATTAATTTTGGAAAGTTCTTGGCTATTACTACCTCAAATATTGTCCCCCATTCTCTTTTTTCTCCTTGCATTTTAATTGCATGTACCTTACATCTTCTGAAATGTTCCCACACTTCATGGGTATTCTGTTTTGTTTCTATTATTATTTTGTTTTCTCTTTGCATTTCGGTTTGGGAAGTTTCTATCGATGTATCTTCAGGCTCACTAATTCTCTCCACAGCCTCGTCCAGTCTACAGATGAGTGCATCTAAGGCAGTCTTCATTTCTGTTAGAAATGTTAGCATTTCCTTTTGATTATTTCTTAGAATTTTTATTTCTCTGGTTACATTATCAATCCGTTTTTGCATGTTTTCTACTTTTTCCCAATAGAGTCCTTAATGTATTAATCATAGTTATTTGAAACTCCCTGTCTGATAATTTCAACATCTGTGTCATATTTGAGTCTGATTCTGATGTTTGCCGTGTCTCTTCAGGCTGTGTGTTTTTTCTTTCTTCCTTTTGGGTGTCCTTTTAAATTTTTTGTTGAAACCAGACATGGTGTATCAGGTAGCAGGAATTGAGCTAAGTAGGCCATTAGTGTGAGGATTTATGTTAATTTTACTTAGAGTTGGTCTGTGTTTAATGTTTGCTATATCTGTAGGTGCCAGAGATTTCAAATTTCTTTAGGTCTTTATTTTTTCCCCACTCTTGACTTTGAACTTCTCCAAGCCCTCCTCAGAGAGAGTACTGCTTCTTGGAGCCCTTTCAGCTGTAATTCACTGCTGTTATACTGGAACCCTGTTGGTGAGGTGGTAAATTGCGGGAAAAGGGGAGTGTTCTATATAATCTTCAGATTAAATCTCAGTCTTCCAGGGGTCCTGTGTCTGGCCTGTGACCTTCGCAACTGTTTCTCCCACCTGTAGGTGAGACAGGAAAGCTAGAGGGGGCTGCAGTGAGAAAATGCCCTTCCCCAAGCTGGGATAAGCCTGGACAGTCTTTCCCCTGGGGAATGGGCCTTCGTTATGGAGAAGGCTCTGGTGGCTTTTTTTTTTTTTTTAAATAAGAATTACTCTTCCTCTCCTTGTCAGAGCCAGGAGATGCTCTTTCTAGAATCTTCTCAATAAGAACTTGGGGATTCCTGGAGGCAAAGCCCTTGACATTGTGGAGTCCCCCTAAGATTGCAGCCCCAGGAGTTTCTCACTGAGAGCTGGTCTATACTCACCCGTTAGCAATTTGTCAAAATTGCCATGTAACTGTTCTACTAGTTATGGCTCCAGCAGCTTCTGTTCTGGGTAAGTGGAGCTCAGCTGTTACTCTCTAGGTTCATCTGTGTCTCCAGATTTTGGGGTGGTAGTTTACCTTGAAAACTCAGTTCTCTGATGGGTCCATGAAAAGTCATTGGTTTTCAGTTTGTCCAGCTTTTTGTTGTTGTTGTTATATGGATGGGAGTGACAACTTCCAAGCTGTTTATGTGACAGAGCTGAAACTGGAAGTTTATGTATTTTTCATATCATAGAATGATTTTTCTCTTTTGATGTGTTCTCTCTCTCTCGCTCTCTTTTTACAGACCACAAGACAAATTTTGGAGGGAGGGAATAACTGTTATTCAGAGGTGGAGTGTCTGATCCTCTGTGGTGGGGCTGACATTTATTTCATTTGTCATAACAATTCTGTGCCAAAGAAATTGACATCCCCAGCCAATAGTAGAGACCGGCGAGGCTCAGCAAGGTTGGGTCATCAGCTCAAAATCACACCGCCTGGGAGTGACAAATCTGTGATTTAAACATGGCTTTCTTGGCTCCAATGTCAGGGTCATCCCAATGAATCTAAGCCACTAGCTGCTCTCCCCATTGTCTTTGGTTGAGATGCCACTGAACGAATAAAAATGGCCACCTTTCTAGGTGCTCCTCACATCCAGCCTAGCAGGTCATGTCTTGGGGTTTTTCAGTATCAACCACGAGACTGGGCCAAGGCTTCTGAAGACATTGGTTTTATTCCCTGGCATGGAGATCTGCAAACTTCTGTAAAGGATATATAGTAAATATCCTCAGTGTTGTGGGTCACATGGTCTCTGTGGCAACTGAACTCCATGGTTGGGTACAAAAGCATAGACAATATGTAAATGAATAGGCACAACTGTATCTCAATAAAACCATTTATAGACACTGACATTTATATTTCATTTAATTTCTACACATCACAAAATGATATGCTTCTTTGGATTTCTTTCCTTCTTTCCTTATTTTTTTGAGACAGTCTCGCTCTGTTGCCCAAGCTGGAGTGTACTGGTGCGATCTCTGCTCACTGCAAACTCTGCCTCCCCCATTCAAGTGAACCTCCTCCCTCAGCCTCCTGAGTAGCTGGGATTACAGGCACCCACCACCACGCGTGGTAAATTTTTGTATTTTTAGTAGAGACGGAGTTTCACCATGTTGGCCAGGCTGGTCTCGAACTCCTGGCCTCAAGTGATCTGCCCTCCTTGGCCTCCCAAAGTGCTGGGATTACAGGCATGAGCCACTGCGTCTGATGTTTCTTTTGATTTTTCCCTGATCACTAAGCTGTTATTAGCTTAAAAGGTGCACAAGCATAGGTGGCTTGCAGAATTTGGCCTGCAAGCAGCAGCTGGGCCATCCCTTGCTCAGAACCTCACAGAACTCAGTGCTAGGTTTAGGATGAGGGCTAAGGGCTGCACTGGAGGGACGACTAAAGCTTTGAAAGTATTTAATAGAATAGTTGCAGAGAAATAATGATGGACAGTAATAGACAATTATGAGACAAACACTGTGCTAAGTACTTTATAGATATTATCTCTCTCAATTATCGGCAGGGTCCTTAGAAGAAGTTGTAATCAAATGCCCATTTAACAGACGAGAAATCTGAAGCTCAGGGAGTCACATATGAAGTGACAGAGCAGAGATTCAGGCTGTCTGAATGGCTCCAGTCGGTTTCATTTTGGGGAGTGGGTGCAGGTGGGTTGGGAACGTAATGGGGTGTGAATCCGGAACAGGATCTCTATCATATATTAAAAGGATGGACATAGAAGCTCTTCTCTGAACTCGGAAGCTGGGGCACTCCTGTTTTGCAGATTTCCCGGGCTCATTCTCTTCTTGGTGACTCCAGGTTTGTGAGGACCACACCTCTCCTCATCTTCAAGACAGTCTGTTTTGTCTGAATGATTGTCTTGGAGCCTACCTGGTTTGGCTAGATGCGTGATAGCATGAGAAGCAAATTGCCAAGCCCCTGAACACCATTGTGAGCACTGGAATTGTGTGTCTTATTACTGTTAAACGGCGACTAAGCCACCAGCGCTAGAGAACGTGTAATTTCACGTATAATTTAACGGAAGCATGCATCCTGGTGCCTTAGTCCGGGTAACAGCTTCCTGCTTTTGTACAAGGCGCTTTGCACATTAAAGTAATTGCAGAAACTTATGAGGACGACAGGAAAGTTTACTCTTCCTCTTTACGAAGAAAACAAATGTGTTTTTCTGCAGATTCTGCCAAGGCTCAATTTTAATGATCTCGCAGATGGAGCTGGCACATGTGAGCCCGTGGGTGCAGCTGTCTGCTTTCTCCAGCCTGAGGGGCGTGTGACTGCAGCCATAGCACCGTGTTGGCAGCACTGCGTCTCTCCCGCAGCACCACTCTCCTAACCCACCATGTCACTTAAGGGGAGGAGGGTATGAGACCTGTTGTGAGACTAAAATGAGAAACACCCCAGAGGATACGCAATTGGCAAAGCTGACAGTTCTCTTGCTGTTTCACTGGCATTGGGGTTGGAGTCCCTTGCATGTGCCCTGCCCCTGCTGAAGTAGGTGTCCCTGAGCAGCCCATGACTTTGGTGGGAGCATTAGGACAGAGCCTTGTTTTTCCCCACTACCCCTGCCTGGCTAAACACACACTCCATCAAATAAACCACGAAGCAGCAGAGAGAGGGTTGGCAATTTGCTTTTGAAAATTCACACGTCCACGAGGGTTTCAACAACTTTGGCTGTATGTGCAATTGTTCTTTCCATCAATTGCTTATTGTTTGGAACTCAACCAGAGTTCAAAACTCAGGTGCATTCCTTCATTGACCCAGCTTCAGTATTAATAGTTGAGAGGAAAAGAAAGCAAACATTTAAACAAGTTCAGGGCTGGGGTGTATGAAAAATACACTATTCAAAGTTGTGTTAGTTTCCTATTTCTGTTACAATGAATTACTACAAACTGAGTGGCTGAAAACAACATAAATGTATTGTCTTACGGTTCTGGTGGCAGCAGGGCTGTGCTTCTTCTGGAGGCTCTAGGGGAGAATTCATTTCCTTGCTTTTTGCAGTCGGCAGAATTGCCTTCTTCTGAGGCTTCTCTCGTTGGCTTGTAGATGGCTGTCTTCTCACTGTGTCTTTCATAGTTGCCCCTCTGTGTGTGTGTCTGTGTGCAGATTTCCTCTTATTGTGTGGACCCCCAGTCATATTGAATTTGGGCCCACACATATGCACTCATTTTAACTTAATTACCTCTGTAAAACTCTATCCCTCAATACAGTCACATTCTAGGGTACTGGGGGTTAGGGCTCCAACATAGGAATTTGGGGGACACAATTTGACCCCTCACGCTAGTTCTGTCCTCTCCTCTGAGAACCTGACCACTCCATGGTGCCTTTTGTACATACCTTCAAGTAGCCAGTAGAGACCATCTAGGCCCTGAACACCATATCCACATTCCTAGGGGAGGATAAGGAGACCAGCCTCATGCTAGACAATGCTGGCCAAAAAGTTAAGGGTCCAATAGCGTGCCAGTCAGGGGAGTCCAAATGCTGTGACAGAAAACCCCCAAATCTCAGAGGCCAAACACAATCACCGCCCAGTATGTGGTGGCAGGGGTGCGGCTTCACGCAGCCATTCAGGGATCCAGGCCCTCACAGCAACTCTCTGTAGTAAACTGGGAAGTTGGACAGGCTTTGTCTGAAAGCACAGCTGTGCTCATCTTAGGTTTCACGAGATAAGGTCTTGAGAAGTGATGTTTGATTTTGACTCTGAGAGGCACAGTCCCCACTGCTATTTTCAGTTATTTCACAAAGGGTTCATTTCCTCTTCCAGCTAATGAGCTCCCAAGGGGGCACAACTCAATGGCTCACCAAGCATCCCTTCTTAAGGGTGACCAGCTATTCTGGTTTTCCTGAGACTGAGGAGGACTCCAGGAGGCAGAATTTTAAGTTTTAAAATTGGGACAGTCCCAGGCAAGCCAGGACGAGTTGGTCAAGCCACTGTTTGTTGAAATACATATTTTCAATAACTGAGATAACTCTGATTCACCACCCTGGAATTAAGGGGAAGCAGAAGGAGCTCTAGGCACAACCACACCTGCTACTCTGATGACAAATGCCTGCTTTCCAAATCTCACTGGTGAAACTCTTTTGTTTAAAAGAGTCTGAGACTCATTGGGCCAGGCACGTGCCTAGTGCTTTTTAAAAAATGTGAATAGGTCTCATCATTGAGAAATTGCAACTTAGAAGACAACCATCTAACTTCTATTGAAAAATCAAGAGAGCTGACAGTTCTGGGCTGTATTTCCATGTGGCAACAATTATCTGGAGCTGGGCAGAGGTTTCTACTTTAGATGGGGCCTGAGCTTCCTAGTTGCACCGCTTGCCACCATTTACTGTTTTCTCTCATGTCTAACCCACTGACTGTGACGTCACCAACCTGGCCGCTGAGGCCATTGAGTTTGCAGTGGATGGCGTTTTCTTAACTGTAACCCAATCAACCTTGGGAGAAGGAATCCCAGTCTTGATTGTCTCTCTGGAAACACTAACTCATAAACTTCAGCTCCATCTCAGTTCCTAGGATCTATTTTGCTTTCAAGGGGATAAAGAGGTCAGGAAAGAGGCCGCTAGCTGGGCAAAAGTTTAGAAACCATTTCCCGCTAGCGCTGTGGTGTCAATCAAGCCCACGGTCTCCTTCCGCCAGCATCGTGACGTGCAGCCAGCCCTGGGAAACCGGGGCAGTTCTGGGAGCTCAAACGGGAGCCGTTCACGTGTCATTTTTCTTAGCAACAAGGATTCCGCTTCATTTCGGGCTTGTCTTGAGAGGCAGAAGTTTCTATTTATCAGCCAACAAAGAGGCTGAAGGGTTTGATGCCTGCTTTGAAGCCGGGGGCTGGGGTTTGGATTGGGTTCTAGGCCCCACCATGTGCATGCCTTTCACTCCAAATCAAAAGCAAGAGGGAAAAAGGGAAGATTGTGGTTAAAACAAAACAAAACAAAACTGGAGAAACACTGAGAAAATATTGTGCTAGTTTATCTCTAAAGGATGTGCCCTTCAGGTAGTGCTCAAAGAGGCTGTAACTTTTCCTGACTCCAATTAACGCTCAGGGGACACTGACAGTCCAGGGAGTGCCCCAAGCACAGCTTTGACATAGTACTGTTTCATCTAGGGAGGGGCAGAATGTGTAGCAACAGGGGCTCTCAGCCAGTTGGGACAACGATGGTTTTGGGGTCGGGCCCGGTGGCTCACGCCTGTAATCCCAGCACTTTGGGAGGCCAAGGCAGGCGGATCACCTGAG
Organism: Homo sapiens; assembly: GCF_000001405.40. Taxonomy (NCBI): domain Eukaryota; kingdom Metazoa; phylum Chordata; class Mammalia; order Primates; family Hominidae; genus Homo; species Homo sapiens. The sequence continues at coordinate 58,110,962 of NC_000020.11, read as the reverse complement.
GTCAGGAGTTCAAGACCAGCCTGGCCAACACGGTGAAACCCCATCTCTACTAAAAATACAAAAATTAGCTGGGCGTGATGGTGCACGCCTGTAATCCCAGCTACTTGGGAGGCAGAGGCAGGAGAATTGCTTGAACCAGGGAGGTGGAGGTTGGAGGGAGCTGAGATCATACTATGGTACTCCAGCCTGGGCAACAGAGCAAGACTCCATCTAAAAAAAAAAAAAAAAGTGGTATTGGGAAATGTTTACTGACTGAACAAATGTTTTCTCAGCATCTTCCAGGTGCTGGCACCATGCAAGGCCCAGGGTTACAGTGGCATCTGGGGCAGGTGTTGTCCCAGCAGACTCTGAGGTGAGGATTAGGACATGTCCCAGGAGATGCCTCTCAGGGAGGGGAACCAGAACAGGGATGGAGAGGAAGCCAATCAGGGGGTGACTTCAGTGATTCCCATTCCCCTGCCTGATCCCGGGGAGAGCCCTGGTATATAAATTACCCCCACCCCAGAACTGGCCTGATCAGAGTGGGTGCTGCTGGCCTTGGTCACCTCACCAGTCAGTCACTGACTGTGGGCATGGTGGGGCAGCATGCAGGCTGCCCACAGGGTACTCCTCTGAAGTTTGGGTCTCCTTGGCAAGGCTCAGGATGTGAGGGGTGGGCACACAGAGGTGAGAAAGAGATCTGGAGGTGACTGCATGGGGGCGCCCATGCATCCCCAGCAAGTGCAAGTGAAAACAGCCATGGCCCCTGTCCTAGTCATTTCTGTTGCAATAACAGATGGGGCGGCTGAAAGAACAGACACATATTCCCCACAGTGCAGGAGGCTGGAAAGTCTGAGATAAGGGAGGTGGCAGATTTTATGGCTGGTGAGGGCCCACTTCCTCCTTCCAGTTGGCTGTCTTCTCCCATGACAGAAAAGAGTGAAAAAGAGAGAGAGCACTCCAGGGTCTCTTTATAAGGGCACTAATCCCACTGATGAGAGCCCCACCCTCATGACCTATTCACCTCCCCAAAGCCCCACCTCCTAATAGCATCACATTGGGGGTTAAGATCACAACATATGAATTTTAGGGGGACACACACATTCGGTCTATATATAGCATTCCACCCTGGACCCCCCAAATTCATGTCCTTCTCACATGCAAAATACATTTATCCCATCTCAGTAGCCCCAAGTGTCTTAACTCATCCTAATATCAACTCTAAAGTCTAAAGTCCAAAGTCTCCCCTAAATAGCATCTAAACCAGATATGTGTGAGACTCAAGATATGACTCATGGTGAGGCAAAATTCCTCACCAGATGTGAGCCTGTGAAGCCAAACAAGTTATGTGCTTCCAAAATACAACGGTGAGTGAGGCATAGTACAGACATTCACATTCAAAAAAAGAGAGAAAGAAATAGGAAAGAAGGAAGGGATGATGGGTCCTGAGCAAGTTCAAAATCTAGCAAGGCAAGCTCCATGAGATCTTAAGATCAAGAATAATTCTTTTTGGCTCAATGCTTTGCCTTCTAGACCCACTGGGGTGGTAACAACACCATCCCTACCAGCTTGGTGGGGTGCTTCCCATGCTGTGGCTCCCAGGAGGGGCCCCCTCTTGCTTCAGCTCTCTGTTGGGGTTGGGGGATCCTGCTGGGCCACTATGGCTTCACTGGGTGTTGGTTCCACTCTTTGCAATCGAGATGGAGGCAGACCTCTCCACCTTTGCAAACGAGGTGGAGGCCATGCACTCTGGGCCTGTGGTGGGAGTGGCAGCTCTAGTGACCTCTGAATCACCTTTGGGGTCCTTCTTTCCTTGTGTTGAAGAAAGCTGAATGTTCACATCTGAAGAATTCTATGGTCTGGTCCTGTAGGGTCTAAGAAGTCCTATAATCTTCATTTTGTCCTGTTACCTCTTTTCCTTTAGTCCTAGATAGCAGTGCTTCTGCTGGAACAATTCCATCTTTGCTTCTGGCTTTTATTGAGACGGTTGATCAAGCCCATGGTTCATATTTGTACTAATCTTCTTATCAAATAGTCACTGAGCCACATCCTTAGCATTCTGCTCCAAACAAGTTTTCTCATTTTTTTGCAATAGGGATAGGTTGGCAATTTCCCAACCCTTTAAATTCTGGTTCCTTTTTGCCTAATAACTCCATCTTCAAATTATTTCTTCCTTCACACATTTTATTATAAGCAGTCAGGAGGAATAAAGCCACTTCTTTAACAATTTGCTTAGAAATTTTCTTAGCTAAATATCCAATTTCATTGTTCACAAGTTCTACCTTCCACAAAACACTAGAACATGAACACAATTCAGCCACATTCTTTCCCATTTTATAACAAGAATGGTCTCTCCTCCAGTTTCTAATAACATGGTTCTCATTTCCATCTGAGACTTCACCAGAATGCCCTTTGCCATCCATATTTCTCTCAACATTTTACCCACGATTACTTAGGTATTCTCTAAGAAGATGGAAACTCCTCTTATCTTTCTGAGCTCCCATCAGAACCACCTTCGAAATTCCCTTCATGGAATTCTAGGCTTTTTCTAGCATGTACCTCAAAACTTTTCCAGCCTCTACCTATTACCCCGTTGCAAAGCTGTCTGCATTTTCAGATATTTGTTACAGCAACACATTGTTTTTTGGTATTTTTCTGTTCTAATGAGTTTGGGCTGTTATAACTGGGTGGCTTAAACAACATAAATTTATTTCTTATAGTTCAGGAGGCTGGGAAGTCTGAAATCAAAGTGTCAGCAGATTCAGTATCTGGTGAGGGCCTTCTTCCTGGTTTCCAGATGACCGTATTCTCACTGTACTCTAACGTGGTGGAAGAAAGCACAAGGCAGCTCTCTGGGATTCCTTTTATAAGAACACTAATTCCATTCATGAGGGTTCCACCTTCATGACCTAATCACCTCCTGCCTCCTAAAGCCATCACATTAGGGGTTAGGATAAATTGGAAGGGACACAAACATTCCATCCATTGCAGCCCTTGCCTCATGGGACTTGCCAGGTAGCAGGGGCAGGCAGATGCTCTGTAGAGGATGGAGGGATAGGAGAGCTGTTTTTTGAGGAGTGTGGAGTTTACAGGAGAAAGAAAATAGAGTAAGAGTTGAGTTAAGGAGCTGAGAAGAGAAGGCAGGGTAAAGAACAACCCAGATGCAGGGAAGAGTATGTGCCACCACTGTGTGGAGGGAGAGGGCTCAGTCGAAGCTCACTGGAGGCTGTGTGCATGGAGCTGGGCAGGGAGGCCAGGCCAGGAGGCTGAGGGGTCAGCAGGGGCCAGGCAGGCCAGGCTCTTGGGCTGCATTAGGGAAGCCACTGGATGATTCCAAATGGAGGAATCAGGGCTCCAAGGCCATTTTCAGAGATGATTCTGGGGAGATTGAATTGGAAGGGGCTGCAGAAGGGATGAGGGGCCTCTTCACAGCCATGACCAAGCTGACAAGAAGAGGGTAAGTTTCTGGTTTGGGGAAAGTGACATGATTGTCAGAAAACCAAGGGAGAAAACCCATCTACACATAAAGGAAGAAATGGTTTTAATTCATCTCTGGGGCTGGGGATGGGTCCACCCTTCTGAGATAAATTCAGGTACTATTGGTAGGGATAAGGTGGGGTGGGAACAGTGGGAAAGATGGGGGTGTATCAGTCAGGGAGGCTGGGTTATGCTGCAGTAACAAATGGCCCTAAAGCCTCCGAAGCTTAAGACAATGGTGATTGATTTTTTCCTCATATGGGACCATCCGTTGGCAGGGACTCTAACTCATGCCGTGATCCTCCTCTCTCTGTGGCCCAGATGAACAGAGCAGCTGCTCACTGTGGCGGAAGAAAAGAGAAAATAGGACTGGCTTTTATAGCTTCCACCCAGAGGAGACATCCGTCACTTCTGTTCATCTTGGGAAGGCAAGTCATGTGGCCACACCTAGCTGGAAGCCTGTGCCTGGAAGGAGAGTGAGGCAGGATACTCAAGCAGGCTTGGTGGCTTCCACAACTGGGATTGCTACCATCATAATTAGCAATCTGAGGACCACAAATGAGCTCGATGCTAGTTTTTTAGCTTCTGCTTTGGCATTTTGCAGAGCCCCAAATTTTAAGAAGCTTCCCGTTTAGGACGTGCATGCCTTCTGTTTGGCCCTGGCATCTGTTGCCTGTGTACATCATCACTCACGTTTTGTGCTGTTCTGTTTTCCTTGCCTGGCCTCTTACACCCCTGGAAGCTCCTGGGACCCTTGCATATCTTCAGTACCCAGAGAACGAGACCCTCCATTATGGGTTGAATTGTGTCTCTTTCTAAATTCATATGTTGAAGTCCTAACCCCCACTACCTCAGGATGTGCCCTTATTTGGAAATAAAGTTGTACAGATGTAACTAGTTAAGATGAGGTTGCTAGGGTGAGTCGCAATTCAGGATGACTGCTGTCCCGATAAAAAGGGGAAGCTTGAACACAGACAGGTACACAGGGAGAAAGCCATGTGAATACGAAGATGGCAGTCGACGAACCATGGAGAGAGACTGGGAACTGCAGGAAGCAGCCCTGCTGACACCTTGATTTCAGACTTCTGGCCTCCAGAACCATGAGTCAATCCATTTCCATAGTTTAAGCCACCCAATTTGGGACTTGGTTGTGGCAGCCCTAGCAAATTAACACATCCGCCAAGCGAGGGAATAATCTGAGTGGCAGAGAAGCCCTCCAGAGGGGCACTTCTTTCCTTTGCCCTGTGGACTCCAGGCTCTGTGCCTGGCAGCAAATGATACCTAATCACACTGCACTCTAAATCTACAGGGATTCTGTGGTTTCCCCCCGGCTCTCCATTTCTCTTGGCTTATCTCAGTCTCCTGTGCTGCCTCTAGCTTGATTAGCTTTACCCACATGTATTTGGCTTCATTCTTATTTTCTTTAATGTTTTGATAAGTGAGATCTCAAGCTGTGATTTTCTGTCTATGTTCCTAATCCTAATCTCTCTATTTCTTTCACCTCACTATTGTAAGAAATGTCTCCTGATTCAGTGTCCCATGTGAATTTAATTAACATGCTGCTTTTTAAGGAGTGGGTTTTGTTGACAGGGGCAAAGTGAGGTGAGGCAGAAGGGGAGACAGTAGTGTGTCAGTCAGGGAGGTTGGGTTATGCTGCAGTAACAAATATCCCCAAAGTCTTTGAGGCTTAAGTCAACTTTATTAAAATGTTACCCTCCTTGATGGTCCTGTAAATACGTGTTTGCGTGATATCAAAGAATGACAGCCTCACTTGTGGTGAGAGTGCCACTTTGCCAACTTACGCTATCCTTTGCTCTCCATCTCACATTATGGTCTTGGCTACTCTCTCAGTTGAAATTACCAAGAAGAGGGAAGGTCTCAGGTACAGCATGTGCAGAGAAGAATCTTCTCTCTGCTTGAGCTTGGAGCATAATGGTGGCTTGCACAAATCTCTGAACTACATGTTTCAGAGGAGCCATGCTGGGGTTCCCATCTCCTCAAACGAACATGGCAGGCGTAAAAGGAGCAAGGCGGGCAGGATTCAAATGGCTTAGGCAAGCAGAGGGCAGAAGATTGTTGCTTCTTGAGGGTTTCCTTTTACAACAAAAAAAATGAGTAATAAAGTTGAATTTGGGGGCAATTTGATTTGTTAAAATAAATTACTGGAAGTAATTGGATGAAGAAGGGTGCTGTTTTTAATTAGTTTAAGGGCATTGGCTGAGGAAAATCATCTTTCCCTCTCTCTTTTAAACATGGTTCTCCTCTAACTGGCACTGAAATTTTTTTTTTTTTTTTTTTTTGAGACGGAGTCTCACTCTTTCACCCAGGCTGGAGTGCAGTGGCATGATCTTGGCTCATTGCAAGCTCTGCCTCCTGGGTTCACGCCATTCTCCTGCCTCAGCCTCCCAAGTAGCTGGGACTGCAGGCGCCCACCATCACGCCCGGCTAATTTTTTGTATTTTTAGTAGAGACGGGGTTTCACCGTGTTAGCCAGGATGGTCTCGATCTCCTGACCTCGTGATCTGCCCGCCTCGGCCTCCCAAAGTGCTGGGATTACAGGCATGAGCCACCGCGCCCGGCAGCACTCATCATTTTTATAACATTTATCATGGGTTTTTTATGATTCTAAAAGTAATATAGGTCCACTAGAAAAATAGAGAAAAGCAAATTAATCTCACCTCCTAAAGACAACCTCTGTAAACATTTTGCTGTATTTTTCATTTTTTTCTATGTATTTTGTAAAGTTGGCATCATACTCTGCTTACAGGTCAGGCCTGTATTTTCTTTCATTTAACATCCTATTATAAATACCTTTCTCTATACATAAATGTTGGTAACATGATTTTATAAGGCTACATGAAATTCTGTTACATGGATGTACTCAAGTATATAAAGATAAGCCTTTATTGTTGGACAGTTAAGCTGTTTTCAATTTTTGCTGTTATAAATATCAGCACTGGATCAACATCCTTTGTGTGTCTCCAATTAAGAGGACTCACTGTTTAAAGCTTTGAATTTCTGGCTTTGCTCTCGCCAAAGAAATGTACTCCTTTACTTCTACTCTTTGGTTGTGAGGAATGGATGAGCTGAATGCCGTAAAAAAGGCACACGTGAAAGTCATGATATCGGCACCTTCTCACGTTTTACACACTTTGCGTGTATTAACTCATTAGCCCTTAGAGATGCCCTATGATAGAGGGGTTATCAGTATCCCCTTTTTATAGATGGGAATCAGAGCTGAACAGAGACCTGGAAAGAGAAGTGCCAGAACTGGGATTTGAACCAGGATTCAAACCTGGCAGTCTGGCTCTGGTGTGTGTGTTCCCAATCACCGTGCCACGTGGCCTCTCAGGACGGCTCCCCACAGGTGACACATCTGCAATTGATGGCAGTCTCACGTGTTGTGAGATTGAATTGGAAGGTTGGAAGGAGCCGCTGAGGACATTTTATAAGGCTTTGTCCCATGACCAACTGAGGTCGGATTCATCATGAATCCTAAGAGCTCATTCCAGAAGTGCCAGAAACGAACAGAGGTACAGAGTCTCTCTGAGTGCATGGTCACCGAAGAGCCTCCTCCTCCACTCTGGGAGGTGGGAAGCTTCATCCTCTTACCACCATCACCACCTTCATCATCGCTATATATATTTACATAAAGGAAGATCTATTAGGAGGGGTTGGATCATGCAATGATGAAGGCTCAGAAGTCCCACCATCTGCCGTGAATGACTCCAGCCTGATTCCGAAGGCCTGACCAGCAGGGGAGGCGGTGGTATAAACCTCAGCCCCAGGGCAGAAGGAGCCCATTGTCCCAGCTCAAGCAGGAAGGCAGGAAGAAAACAGGGCGGCTTTCTCATTCCTCCACCTTTTTGTTCTATTCAGTGGTTTGAATGATGCTCAGCTGCATGGGGAAGAGCCATCAACTTTACCTAGTCTACCAATTCAAATGCTCAGCTTATCTGGAAACACTCTCACAGACACACCGAGAATAACATTTGATCTGGGCAGCCCTGGGCAATTGGGTTGACCCATCCAGTTAACCATCACGAATCCTTTTTTCTTTCTGGAGGCAGGTCCAGAGTCCCCACTGATACTCCTGGCAAGCCCAGGCAGAAGCAGGTGTGCTTTTCAGGATGTGTCAACTGAAGACTGGGATTGTCCTGGACTCCCTCTTGGTCACATGCCACCCCTAGGTAGCCAGGGTTCTGGGAAGCTTGCCCACCCACTGAGTGGGGTGGAGGGACAGAGGAGCACACGCCAGCCCCACCCAGACCACGTAGACCAAAGGTCGGGGGGAGTGGGTCTCCACTAAGAAGACCAGGAAGTTGTTACCAGCGGGAAAATGGGAATGCAGCAAGCAAAACCAGATGTGCTTTGCATCCTTAAAGGGTTTTGAGTAGGTGAGGAAACCACTGAGTTTGCATTTTGGGTAGGATGACTCTGTGATTTCAAGTTACTTCAGATCATTAGGGGGTGCACCTTCTATTGGCTGAGCCCCTGAGGGCAGGTGCACCAGCTCATCCCTGACTCATGGTGGGGGCTCAGATGTTCTTTTTTGTGGTGGTGGTGGTGGTGGGTGGGAATGAATGGCTTCATCTTTGTGGCTCCATCTGTGACTGAGTCATCCATTCACCCTTTTCCCTGATCCCCACCTTTCAGCATCAGATAATATTGTAACTCTTCGGGTAGCTGTGTGGCAACAGTGGCTTGCCAACCATCACCGTGATTTATCCACTGCTGTGGGTTCCCTGGACAGACCCACAATTAAGAAGAGAAAGCGGCACAGCTAAATCTCTGCTGCCTGTGAAACAACATCTATTCCCACATTTTTTTTTTTAAATTTCTTGCCGCCTGTGAGCAGGGTTTATCTAAAGTGATTATAATGGGGTGGAGGGCGGTGAGATTCTTCTCTCGTGGAATGGTGCCATAGCGAGGCCAGCTGTCAAGGGGTTCAAATACTGGAGGCATTTTGCTAGGCCATGAAAATGCATGGAATCTGGAGATTCTTGAGCCAAAGAGAGCCCAGCTGTGGTCATTTGCCAATGACCTCAGGCACTTGGAGCATGCCTGGGCTGGACAGAGTGGCCTCTGCAGTTGTCAATCCAGGCTCTCCCAAAACACTGCCTGCAGCACACACTGTGTTGCCAAGTAACAGAGAACCACAAACTGAGAAGCTCATCCCTTTCTCCATTTGTCTTCTTCTTCTTTTTTTTTTTTTTTTTTGAGATGGAGCCTTGCTCTGTCGCCCAGGCTGCAGTGCAATGGTATGATCTTGGCTCACTGCAACCTCTGCCTCCTGGTTCCAGCGATTCTCCTGCCTCAGCCTCCCGAGTAGCTGGGACTACAGGCACCCACCACCAAGCCTGGCTAACTTTTGTATTTTTAGTAGAGACGGGGTTTCACCATGTCGGCCAGGCTGGTCTTGAACTCCTGACCTCAGGTGATCTGCCAGACTTGACCTCCCAAAGTGCTGGGATTACAGGCATGAGCCACCGTGCCTGGCCCCTTTTTCCATTCTTCAGAATCCCTCTAGTGATCTCAAAGAGAAAGTCTCGGCTTAGTGCTAATATGCCTTTAACCCCTAACATTGACCATCTCCATTGGCCACGAAAGCTCTGAGTATGGAGTTTATTTTGAAGTTGATTTGAACAGAGGGGGAGCTGGATGTGGCTCAGGACCATCAGTTGAGGATGTGCAACCAGGTGTAGAACAGTTTACTCTATTTATCTCCTGGGTATTTTCTGTGTATCAAAAGTGATGTTTCTTTTTCATTTAAGATAAGAATTTAAAATTTACCTTTAAATACATTTAGGGAACAAAGTGAGAGTTGATTGAAGGAACATACTAGCATGTGGGGCAGGAGGGAAGGATGGGTGCCATGCGGCCTTGCCTTTGGTTGCAGAGTGCAACACGTTGCCGGTAAGCACCCAGTGTGGCTCGGGGCCAGCAGGGCTGCGTCATCTGGGAGCTGGTTAGAAACGAAGACCCTCGGGGCCAGGCGCGGTGACTCACACTGGTAATCCCAGCACTTTGGGAGGCCGAGGCGGGCAGATCACGAAGTCAGGAGTTCAAGACCAGCCTGACCAACATGATGAAACCCCATCTCTACTAAAAATACAAAAATTAGCCAGGCGTGGTGGCACATGCCTGTAATCCCAGCTACTCAGGAGGCTGAGGCAGGAAAATCACTTGAACCTGGGAGGCAGAGGTTGCAGTGAGCTGAGATCGCGCCACTGCACTCAAGCCTGGGTGACAGAGTGAGACTTTGTCTCAAAATAAGTAGGTAAATAAATAAATAAATAAATACCCTCGGGCCCCAGCCCAGCCCAGCTGAGTCGGAACCTGCACTTTAACATGGTCCCTAGGTGGTTTGTGTGCCAATTAAAATTTGAAGTGCCCTGGTCCAGCACATTAGATGTGCGCTCCTGTCTCCTGGTAGGTGTCTTGAGGTCAGGGGCCCCACTTCTTAAGACCCAGAGCCCTACCAGTACTTTATTTAGCATAAAGTAAGTACCTAATCAATTTGGTTAACTGCTGCCTCCCAACCACTCCTCATGACTTAGCCATCAATAGCGGAGAGAATGCAGGCATTTCGGCAGCCAGAAGCAATGTATGAATGAATGAATGAATGAATGAATGCATGAATGAATGCATGAATGAATTGCCTTAAAATTCCTACCAAGCACCCACCATTCCCCAAACAAGATGCCAAGCTACAGGAATGCAGAGTTGATTCAGATAAGGCTTCTTTAGGAAAGTCACAGTCTCCTAGGGGAAACTGAGGCATGAACATGTAATCACAATACAGTGGATGAGTGAGGTGATAGTGCTATGCCGGGGACTCCTGGGAGTGAATGTTAGCTAATCCAGGATAAGGGAAGTTAGGGAGGGCTTCCTGGAGGAGGAGACTCTCCTTGCTGAGTTTAGGAAGATGAGCAGGATTTGCACAAAGAAGAGAAGGAAGAGAATTCCAGGCAATGGACACAGCACAAAGAGAGGCAAGCGGGTGGAAGCAATGCAGGGGTGGGTTGGGGCTGGACTGGAGGGGAGGCAGGGCCAGATGATGGGAGGTTCCACAGGCCGTGGTGTGGAAGATGAGATCTTTAGGGGCTTTTAAAGGGTTGTAAGCAGAGAAAGAAAGAGGTGAGCATGGCCATATGTTTCAGCAGGAGACAGCCGGGCTCAGGGTGGGAGATGGGGTGACAAGGGTGGAATGTGGAGGGGGCCGACCCACTGGGGCGTTGCTGCTGGTCCAAGTGAGAGGCAGTGGAGGCTTGAACCGGGCAGATGCAGAGCAAGGGACAGGGCTGGGAAATCCTTTCTTCTTCCCTGGGTTCTAAACCATGGGAAGTGCTCCTCTCTGCTTCAGCTGAGATGTATTGGCTTCTTTGCTCAGCCTGCAGCCAATCCCAAATGTCACAGGCGCCTCCTTGCAGCAGCCTACTCTAGTGGAGTTTTCTTGATGCTGAATGTTTGTGGGAAATAACTCCCACACGTGCCTTGAACTCCTGCCTTCTTATTGTGGTTTGAAGTTCAAAATTGCCATTGCTGTGAAGTTTGTATTATAGGGCACTTTAGGTTGAGTCTCCCCCAGATGCAAGCTCTGAGTGTAGAGTTTATGTTGAAGCTGATCCCAGGCAACTCCAGCAGGGGTACAAGCAAGACAGGACGTAAGACAGGTGCGGGAAGGAAGTGAAATGTTACCAAGCAGTTCATCGGTGTGGGAACTGGAACTTAGCTGGGCTGGGGAGCTCTCGGTGCATAAGGTGTCATTCCAACCCATGGGTACTTCCAGCTCCTGTTAGCTCACGCGATCCCGTTACACCCAGCAACCTGCATCCAGTGACGCACACTGGGAGCTTGACATGGTGGGAGTATTGACACCATGGAAACTGGCAAGCACTAAAATCAAGACTCCCCTCCCTGTAGATACTCTGTCATTAAGTGTTCCCAGCACGCCACTGGGAACCCCCGGCCTACCTGTGCCCTGGCAGGGCAGCGCTGGCTGCAGGAAAATGAAAAGGCCGTGGGAATGTGGGCAGCCATGTCTTCAGAGTCATCACTGTATCATCCCATCCATTTTCTCTTGTGCTTTTGGGGATGCGACAGTGCAGTAAACGTGTCAGGCAGGTGGTCATTTTAATTATGATTTTCCACTTAGTTGCAAAGGATTTCTAAGTCAATCTGACTTGTAAACCGTCCCTTCCCGTAGGGCAGAGCCACCTAGTACATTGGAAAGGACTGAGGATCTACCCCAGAAAGCCTGAATTGGAAAGGTGAAAACAAGCTCGATAGCCGACAACAGAGGATTGGTTACATGAATAACTACACAGCCTCACAAGGAAATGACCACTGAAACAGAGAAAATAGCAGTTATGGGATTTGCACCACTGGTGGCGAGTGCTTAATTTTACCTTTATTATTACTATTATTTTACAATGAATTTGTGCAATTACATCATGTGTATGTTCTTCAGGGGCTGGATAGCAATACTTCAATACTTTCCAGATGATGCTCTGAGATCAATCAACTCTGTGAGCCTGGGTTTCCTCCTCTGTAAAATGAGGACCAAATAGTACCTGATTCAGAAGTGAAGCAAAGGAAATGAAAGTGTTTTTAAAAATATAAGATGCAATATGAATGCTAGTTACTATTGTTTTGTCTTAGGGACAATGATCTCGTTTCTACTGCAATAAGCAGGATATGGAGGCCCAGAGGAAGACAGCTGGATCCCTTCAGCATAGAGCATTCAAGCCAGCCCTTAGCCAAAATCTATCCAGGTCCACACCATTTTGGAAATAGCAGCCCGCAGGACTTTGCAAGGGAGGGAATGGGGGATAAATTTCCAGAAATGAATATCCCTGAGACTATTTCCCTTGGACGGATTGTCTTTTCTGAAGGCATTTTTAAACGATAACTGGAAATGCTGATTTCACCAAGAACAAGCACCCCTGCCCACCCTTTTCCCCTCTGATGTGCCTCCAGAAGGGGTCTTTGTTGATGGCAACTTGTGAGGTAGATACAGCTGAGGTCCCACAGCAGAGCAGGGCTCTTCTCTGTTGATCCCCAAATCTGGAATGTATCTTTCTTCCAGGGATTGATGAGCTGGAAGCCATGTGACCATAGGGTGAGGTAAGGGAGGGAATGGAAGCACTGCTTTTGAATAACTGGACACCCGATGGTGCCAAGCTCACTTCCCAGAGTTAAAAATGGGGGCCTGGGAAATCTCTGATGTTCTCCAGAAGGTTCAGTCTGAAAGAAAGAGAAGGTTAAAATTTCATCACATGCTCAGATTACACGACCTTGAACCTGGGATTCCACGGCAATGGAAAACAACTGACAACGTTGTTACATCAAAGTTGAACCAGATTGGTCTGTGCAGTTGCAGCAGGCATCCCGATTCTAAGCCTGTACCCACCACGATTGGCTCGGGGCTATGCACATGACCAAGTTCAGACCAAAGAGAGGTCAGAACCTGGACTCTTGATAGGGATGTTGTGGAAGAAATAGCTCTTTCCTCTGGGACTGGACACTAGAATGTTGCTTCTCACTGCAAGCATCCTGGAATTCATACTTCGAACTTTTGGATGTGTCAATAACATATGGAGGGGAAAATGTCCCTTGAATTTTGTGTTTTCAATAATTTCTAATCAGTCATTTGATGTTACACTCTTGACTGTAAAGACTCTCTTTCTTCTGACCTTTTCTCCTTGCACCAGAGATGATGCTGTGCAATTTTCTTTTGGTCTCCATTTGCAGCCTGAGCAAGTTCTTCAAGCTCTTCCCTTCTTCAGTTGTCACAGGCTGCTTCCTAAGTTCAGCAGGCACAGCATGGGTGGCCTCCATCACCCCCTCCCCTGGTGCCCACTGGACTACACATTGCCAGCTTTTCTTGTCCACAGAGCCTGGTGCTGCCATCCCGGCCTCTTCATTTGTGCCAAAGGCAGTGTCCTGAACGAGCTCAGCACTGACGTTCATCTATTTGTCCTTTAAGTCCGTTGTCTGTGCAAGGGCCATACCATCTTTTATTACTTTGGGTCTGCCTGCTCCCACTTTGTTTAATAATTATCTTTCTTCTGTTTAGTCCCATAGCAACAGCTACAGAATCACATCTTGAAGCATTAGGCTCAGACAGGCACCAAATTTTAAGTCTTTGGTGTAAGTCCAAAGCAGATGAGGGCCAGGGAATGGATGCTGGCCTTGTCTGGTGAAGGACTGTGGGTGGTCTAAGCGTCTTGGGTGTTGGGGTGAGTGGCTGGGTGTTGGTCTGGCCTTGTTTGGTGAAGGACTGTGGCTGGTTGAAGTGTCTTGGGTGTTGAGGTGAGAGGCTGGGCATTGGTCTGGCCTTGTCTGGTGAAGGACTGTGGGTGGTCGAAGCGTCTTGGGTGTTGGGGTGAGCGGCTGGGTGTTGGTCTCGCCTTGTCTGGTGAAGGACTGTGGGTGGTCGAAGCGTCTTGGGTGTTGGGGTGAGCGGCTGGGTGTTGGTCTGGCCAGGGAGGCTGTCAGGATGAATGAGGGGCAGAAGGCAGGGCACCCACAACCATGAGTCCCTATCCTCTCAGTTCTAGATCCCTGCTCCTGGGTGCCTGGGTGAAGCATCCCCACCCATTTCACTGGCTTTCTTCATTATTCTATTTTTCAGAACTGTCTTAGTTCTTGCCATGCATTTTTTTTTTCTCAGAGCAGCTTTATACTCAGTTGTTAAAATCTGCCTTCCTCTGGCCCCCAGATCTCATTAGTATGGTGATTGGAATTATATTAAATTCACTTATTAATCTGAGAAGGGCTGGTATGTTTACAAGTCTCAATTTTCCCCATCCAGGAGCGTAGACTGTCTGCATATTTAGGTCTTCTAGAATGTTCTTTTTTAGAGTAAAATCTTATAATTTTATTTCCTGTAGATTTTCAGAGTTATTCCGTAGTTCACTCCTACTTTATAGTTTAAAAACTATTTTATAGCTTTTTTTTTTTTTAAACACTATTGTATCACTTCTTGGCCTTTTGGATAAGATCAAGTGTAAAAAAAAATCACTTGTGATGAGACTATTTATATGTTTAAATTAAAATTTCCACTTCCATGTCTACTTTGTTTGTCTTTCAGAAAACAAGCTCTTGAATATCATTATAAATTCTATGTTTTGTTCTGTTTTCTAATAAACTTTTATTTTATCTCTATTAATTCCCTCCTTCTGCTGTCTTTGGTTTATTTTGTTCTTTTTTTAGTTCTTTTTAGTTCTAGCTTTGACTGCTTCTTTCATTTAGTTTAGTTATTTGTTTTTTAAATATGAAAACATTTCAATCTCTCATTTTTTTTCCCTCCAAGTATAGACTTAGCCACATCTCATACATTTTTATGTGGATTGTTGTTGTTTATATTTTACTTTATAAATAATCTAATTTCAATTTTGGTTTCTTGTTTGACTGAAGCTATTTCATAAAGTAATTTTTAATTTCAGCAGGTTGGAGATTTTTGTTGGGTTTTTTTTGTTTATTCTTTTGCTATAAGGTCAGAGAATGTTACATTCTCTATACAATTTCTTCATTTAGACATTTATTAAAATTTTCCTTTGACCAAATGTATATGATGGATTTTTGTAAACATCCATGAATATTTGAAAAAAAAAGTGTGTTTTCTGTTTCAGGGATATAGAGTTGAATATATATCTAATTGTCATGCAGTCAACAAATATTTATTGCATGCACATGGGTTGTAGAGCACACAACAAATAAACAAGACAGACTGAGGCTTTCAGGGCTTCAATTCTAGTGAGGGCGGTGGAGAGGTAGTTAAGCGAATGATGACAAATACTAACCATAAATGTTGTGATAAGACAAGTGGAGTCCCCTGTAGAGCCCTTGAGGGATCCTGGAAGGGTTTCTTCAGGAAGAAATACTTAAGCTTAATGACATTTCAGACAATTTGCTTTACATATTTTAGCACTGTATTACTTAATGCATAAAGCTTCATGGCTATTATACCATCATTGTGAATACTAGCTAGCTCTTGTGTATGTAAATGTGAAATAAGCCTCTTTGTAATGTTTATATCTTGAATTCGATTGCTTAGTATTTCCAGTCATTTTTTTCACGGCTGCTTCTTTGAGTTCTCCCCCACCCCTCCCAACACACTACACATGCATGTATCTTTACATATCTTTTTTGCAAACCTCGGTATATTCAGTCTTTGGTGGGCATGGTATTTGATTCTAAGAGTGTTTGTTGTAAGCAGTATATTAGCAGAGGTTCTTTTTGGATTCAACTGAAATGACTTTAAATGCCCTTCATTCTCATTACTAGAAAAATGAGGGCTTGAGCCATTTTAGATGCATGTTTAAAGAAATAATTAATTTTATAGTAGCCAATGCACCACCTGCCATATACAGTTTAAAGCATTTTTTCATACATTTTATCATTGGATTCTTAAAGCACTCCTCTGAGGCAGGAACTATTGTCATGCCCATTCTGCAGGTGAAGAAACCGAGACACAGAAAAGCCAGGCAGCTCATCCTGGTCCCACAGCTTGGACCTGGCTCCAGAACACGTGTGTAAATGCTCCCATATGCCCCTCTCTGTTCTTGTTTATCGGCCATGAAGCTGAGGCCAAATCACTCAGGAAGTAGGAGCAACCAGGTAGGGTGGCCAAGAGTCTCAGTTTTCCCAGGGGAATCCTGGGTGAGGACTCAGTGCTGAAATGAGGTCACCTTAGATCCAGGGCCTCTGCTCCCCACTGCCCTTGGGCCTCCCACCTCCTCTGCTGCCTGTCAGCCCCTCAGAGTCCTGGCAAGACATCAGAGGTGTTGGGGGAGGACGTAATTGGAGGAAATAACTGGAATTTGAGCGACGTGCTCTCATTTATAGCACAGGGGGAACTGGTCAGTTCCCAGCTCCTAGGCTGAGGGTAGTGGGACAGGTGATGTGGCAGGATTTGGTGTTTTCAAAGATCACCCTGGCTACAACTCCAAGAGTGATCTGAGAGGGACAGGAGTAGTCACAGGGAGCCCCTTCTAGGCTGTGGCTGGGGAGCGGGGATGCACAAGGACGCCCCACTCATCTCCACATCCCCAGGGCAGAGCAGTTTCTGGCACGTAGCAATTGTCCAGCCAAGGTTTGTGGAGTGAGGGACACCTCACTGAGGTATGAAGCCCCCGTCTTCCCGAGCAGCAGCTCACGCAGGGCAAATGTGGCCTCACTGCGGCCTGAGGCTCAGTCAAAATCCCTATACCGGCTGCTCAAAGTGTGGTCCCCACAGTGGCAGCAGCGGCCCCACCTGGGAGCCTGCTAGAAATGGAGATCTCCATTAGAGAAATGCAAATCAAAACCCAGTGAGGTCCCACCTCATGCCAGTCAGCATGGTGATTATTAAAAAGTCAAGAAACAACAGATGCTGGAGGTTGCGGAGAAATAGCTTTTACACTGTTGGTGAGAAGGTAAATTAGCTCAACTATTGCAAAAGGCAGTGTGGCGATGCCTCAAAGATCTAGAACAGGAAATACCATTTGACCCAGCAATCCCATTATTGGGTATATACCCAAAGGAATATAAATCATTCTATTATAAAGATACATTCACACGTATGTTTACTGCAGCACTATTCGCAATAGCAAAGACATGGAATCAATCCAAATGATAAACTGGATAATGAAAATGTGGTACATACATGCCATAGAATACTATACAACCATAAAAAGGAATGAGATCATGTCCTTTGCAGGCACACGGATGAAGCTGGATGCCACTGTCCTCAGCACACTAACACAGGAACAGAAAACCAAATACTGCATGTTCTTACTCATAAGTGGGAGCTGATCAATGAGAACACGTGGACACAGGGAGGGGAACAACACACACTGGGGCCTGTTGGAAGGTAGGGTTTGGGGAGGGAGAGCATTAGAAAAAAATAGCTAATGCATGCGGGGCTTAATACCTAGGTGGTGGGTTGATAGGTGCGGCAAACCACCGTGGCACACGTTTACCTATGTAACAAACCTGCACATCCTGCACATGTACCCTGAAACTTAAAATAAAAATAAAAACTAACAAAAAAAAAAGAAAAAAAATGGAGACCATCTAGGTACCATCCAAACCTGCTGGATCAGAAGCTCTGGGGTTAGGCCTCGGCCATCCGTGTTTTAACAAGTCCTCTGGGCGAGTCCGTGATGTGGATGCAAGGTCAAGTTTGAGAGCCCCCACTAGCAAGGAATGATGATCATTTGGGTGCATCTGGCATTGGGATGCACATTTGAAGGCCGTGTACAAATAAACCATTTCTGAGTTGTCCGACAAATGGGCTCAGCCGTCACCTCCTGCTTGGAGGCGATTTTGCCAGAAAGGGGCAGCCAGAAAGGGGCGTTGACTCCACGTCTTACCTCCCCTGCTCTCCATGGGCCTGCTGAGCTCTGGCTTCCTCTCCATCCTCAATTCTAAAGAGAGGAGCCTGCTGTCCATGTACCCATGGTGGTGAGAGGGCCACCGTGTCCTTCTAACTTGCCCAGTACCATGTTGGCACAGCCTTGCCAGAACTTGAGCTCACCACCCCCACCCCCAGCTGCAGGCCCTTCCCCAGGCCGATGCTCACCTGTTCACCCGAGCAGGCTGCCCAGTGCCTCTTACTTCACCGAGTCTTCCTTTCACGGGAGAGGCAGGCAGTGGCACTCGCCACAACGCCACTCCCTCCTGGTACCTTAGCTTCATGGGCATCATTCCCTGATCCTGAGTGATTAATTTCCAGCAAATCCTGCTGTGAGCCAGGTCACCAAGGTGGTGACATTGCCTTTCTTTTGCCCAATCCTGAGGTCTCGGGGTGTTATGGAAACTGGAACTTAGCTTGACTCAGTTCACCTTTAGGCCTTTATTCAGCTCTTCCTGCATCCCCTGGAGAATGTTAGGTGCTTGGGAGAGGGTGGTTTATAAAAAGGCAGGAGTTAGTGTCCTCAGTTTGCTTCTAATCCAGTTGAGGTGTTTGTTTCCCAGGGTTGCTGGGTGACTTAAACAACAGAATTTATTCTCGCACGGTCCTGAAACCTGGAAGCTAGAAATCAAGGCATTGGCAGGGTCAATTCTCTCAAGCCTCAGAGGCAGAGTTTTCTCCGCACCTCTCTCCCAGTGGCTGGTGGCCAATCTCTGCATCTTCACATGGCCTTCTTCTCTCTGTGTCTGTGTTTCAAATCTCCCTTTTCTTATAAGAACACCCTAAATCCAAAGGACTTCTCCAAAGAGTTGTTCACATCTCCAAAAAGCCTACTTCCAAATCAGCTGTCATTCACAGCTGCAGGGGTTAGGATATGGATACGGCCTTTTGGGGCTGCTTTTCACAGTCCTGGGAGTCTGGGGGCTGCTTTTCACACTCCTGGGAGTTTGGGGGCTGTTTTTCACACTGCTGGGCTGCTTTTTACACTCTATGGAACAACGTTGGGACAGGCGAGGCTGGATGAGGCTGAAGCAGCTGTGCCCTGTTGAGAGAAGAGAGGACCATGGTTTTCCCTGATAGCCAGAGCTCCCCAAACACCCCCAGTGTGGGAACATCTCCCCCATCGGCAGGGAGTCCCCTACTCCTCAGAGCTGGTGCTAGCCCTGGTTGGGTATGTTCTGAGGATTCAGCGTCACGATCCCCAAACTCAGCGAATGATTAGAATCACAGGCAGAGAAATTCGAACCCAAAGATTGGATCAGTCCCTCTGGTGCAGCCCAGGGCTCGATCTTTCTCTGAAGCTTCCCAGCCAGCTTTGAGACTTCCTCTTTAGCATAAAATGGATGGTTCTATTAGATTAGAGTTGTCAGAGGTAAAACCCAGGATGCCAAGTTAAGCTTCAATTTCAGATCAACAATTTTTTTTTTAGTATAAGGATGTCCCAAATATTTAGTATACGTATGGCAGATACTCATACTAAAAATATTTGTTTATCTGAAATTTAAATGTAACTGGCATATTGTAGGTTTCTTCTTAAGTCAGATTTCTTGCATGTTTTCCCATGTGAATAGTCATTGACATGTTGAGCATTTATTGAGCACTTTCTGTGTTTCAAGCCACGTTCTAGGCCCTGAGAAAGCAGGTTCGTGGAATCCCTGCCCTGAAAGACCTTACATTCTTGTTGAGGGCAGGGAGTCCAGGAGAAAGCTGACAAAATCAGATAAATTAAAAAACAAGACAACTTCAGCTGGCGAAGGCGTTCACGAGGGGGCTCCTGGGCTGAGTTTTGGAGGAGGCAGAGTAGCTCGTCACGCAAAGCTCTTCCTGGAGAAGTCCAGGCAGAGGGAATAGTGGTCGGAGTGAAGTTGGTGTGTTCCAGGAAGGGAGGGAAAGCCAGGTGGCTGGAGCAGAGCGAGCAGAGGCCATGGTGGCCGCTACAGACTGAACATTTGTGTTCTCACTCTCCAGTTCATTTGCTGACACCTCATCCCCAGTGTGATTGCACTTGGAGGTACAGCCTTGGGAAGTGAGTACCAGAGAGCTGCCTTGCCCCTTCTACCGTGCGTGCACACAGAGAGAAGATGGCCCTTCATGAAGAATCAGGCTCTCAATAGACACTGAACCTGCCGACACCTTGACCTTGGACTTCCAGCCTCCAGAACCGTGAGAAATGTTTCTGTTTTTAAACCACTCAGCCCATGGTTTTGTTGTAGCAGTTTGAATGGACTGAGACAGGAGGGGCAGGAGGGAAGGGAACAAGATCACGTGGGCTCCTGGGTCCTGGGAAGAGGGAGCACAGAGAGGCCCCAGGATTTCCTGTGCCGTGAGAGCCACTGGAGGGCTTCAGGAGGTGACAGGTTTGGATCCGAGTTAGACAAAGTCATGCTGGCTGCAGTGGGGACATCAGTGGGAGGAGAGCAGACAGCCAGAGCTGCCTCTTTAACCGGGTGAGCAAGGCTGGTGAATTGGGCTGGGGTATAAGCCATGGAGCTCCAGAGAAGGGGAAGATTTCGATGGATGTTTTGGGGTAATGTGGGCGGAGTTGACACTGAACTGGATGTATAATAGTGGGGAGGTTAAGGGGGTTCAAGGGTGGTTCAGCCCACTCTTGGGTGGCAGGTACTGGTGCCCATTATGGTGATGGGGCTGGGGAGGGTCAGGTTTGGGACTGGGTTGGGGGCCAAGAATTCTGTATCTCTAGCCAAGGATGGCCCAGTGCAGCAAGGACAGAGACCAGGGCTGATTTGCGAAGGGAGTTGAGGGCATGATACGGAGCACACTGGAGTGCAGTCTGGGAGTTTGGGTGTGATGACACCAGAAGGACACATGGGATTCGGCTGCCCCTCTGGGTATGCTAACCCTACCCCTCTGAAGCATGATAGCAATACAATTCTGCAGCATGGCTCCCTCCAGCTCTAGGAATTTTGCAGCTCCTGTGGCTGGCCAACCACCATGAATTTTTAAAAGTAATAAACTGCCCAGGCATAGTAGCTTACGCCTGTAATCCCAGCACTTTGGGGGGCCAAGGCGGGTGGATAACTTGAGCCCAGGAGTTTGAGACCAGCCTATGCAACATGGTGAAATACTGTCTTTACAAAAAATACAAAAAAATAGCTGGGTGTGGTGCCACACACCTGTAGTCCGAGCTACTTGGGTGGCTGAGAGGTGGGAGGATTGCTTGAGCCCAGGGGGCTGAGGCTACACTGAGCCATGATCATATCACTGCACTCCAGCCTGAGAAACAGAGAGACACCCTGTCTCAAAGATAAATAAATAAGTAAATAAACAAGAACCCTGAACAGAGGGGTGGTAAGTCCTTCAGTGAAGGTAGACAGGAATTCGGGAATCCACCGTTTCCCAGAATTATTTTCTGTGGTCACTGCTATGCTGAGTGTTCTTTCTCTTCTCTTCTCTTTCTCTTTTCTTTTCTCCTTCCCTCCTTCCCTTCCTTCCTTCCTTCCTTCCTTCCTTCCTTCCTTCCTTCCTTCCTTCCTTCCTTCCTTCCTTTCTTTCTTTCTTTCTTTCTTTCCTTCTTTCTTTCTTTCCTTCTTTCCTTTCTTTTTTTCTTGAGATGGAGTCTCACTCTGTTGCCCAGGCTGGAGTGCAGTGGCACCATCTCGGCTCACTGCAACCTCTACCTCCCGGGTTCAAGTGATTCTTCTGCCTCATCCTCCCAAGTAGCTGGGATTACAGGCACTCGCCACCGTGCCTGGCTTATTTTTTTCTATTTTTAGTAGAGGGGAGTTCTGCCATATTGCCTAGTCTGGCCTCCAACTCCTGGCCTCAAGTGATCCACCTGCCTCAGCCTCCCAAAGTGCTGGGATTACAGATGTGAGCCACCGCGCTCGGCCTATGCTGTGTTTCCAATCATGAATCTTGGTGTGGGGGCAGGGATGAGAGCACCATATTTAATTTCCCTGATATCTTCTTTCAGGTTGGTCCAATGCAGGACCTGGGAAGGTAGAAAACGTCTAGGCTGATAGGTTCCCTCTTGATAAGAAGTTTCCTGTTCTTAATGGTCCATCCACTCTCTGAGCAAATAGAGAAGAATGACCTTCTCCTCTGGCTTGGAATTGGTCCTGAGAGGGAAGGGCCATTCTGAGAAAGGTCCCTGAGATGAGACCTGATACTTGAGACCATACGAAGCAAATCCCTGAAGATGTGTTCAGCTGCAGGCTGAGAACCTGAGATGAGACCTGATGCTTAAGGGCCACGCAAAGCAAATCCCTGAAGATGCATTCCACTGCAGGCCCTGGAGAATCCGCCTGCCCTGACTGCCTCACACAGCGAGGCCGTGGATAGGTGGGCTATTGGTTCTGGGCTCGGTTGCCCAGCACATCCTCAGGGATCCGGCCTTTCCTATCTTTTGTTTCACCCTTCTGAGCATATTGGCTTTCCTTCCTCATGCTTGTTGCCTCAGGGTCACATGAGGATGGCCATACCTCCAGGCATCACATCTGAGTTCAAGGTGGAAGAAAGGGGAAGAGCTGTGCTAGGCCCATCACTCCTTTAACAGAAAAAAGCTTTCCCAGAAAAGCTACCATCAGACTTTTATTAGAACTGAGTTACATGGCCACTCCCAGCTGCCAGGGAGGCTGGGAAAGAGGGAAGCAGGATCTCGGATCAGCTTAGACAGATCATGGCCCATGTGGGCCTTTACTACCCGAATCCAGCTTGGAACTTGTTCTCCAAGAAGAAGGAATCTGGATATTGGGCAGGACACTGATAATGTCTCCTCATGCATGGCACTGTCCTTAGTGCTGACCTACCAACCCTCCAGAGAGGACGGGGGTTTGCAGGTGTTACCCTGCCCTTGTAGAACACAACCCGTCTGCACATAAACGCTAGTGGGCCAGTTAGAAAGGATCCAGACCAGCTCCTTCCATGCAGCACCGCGGGTGCACATGAGTCAAATAGGAGCTACACTTAGTCAGTGCTCCCTGGGCATTAAAGTAAGATTTCATTTTCTACTCTGAAGGACCTTATGAGGTGGGCATTATTATTATTTTCATTATGCAAATCAGGATATTCTGGTTTTTCAGAATAACTTCCCCAAGGTCAAATAAATTGTAACAGGCAGAACAAGGATTAGAGTTTGCCCCCCGAGTCTGGGCTCTGAACTGCTCAGTACTGACCTCTCTTCCCAGGGAGATCTGACTGAGATCCAGCCTCCCATCAGAGAGGAGAATGGAGAGCACCATGATTTAGGGCAGTCAAGACATCCCTTGCTTTCTGTAGTCAACGGCAGGTTTCACAACTCACGATAATGAGCTTGCTTGCTTCTGGGGTTACTGGTTTAGTACCTGTATCCCCCACTAACATGTAATCTCACGGATACAGGAACTGTAGCTGCCCCCACACTATTGTATCTCCCAGAAAACAAAGAGCACTTTGAAATATGAGTGGCAAATTTGAAGTCACAATCACAGATGCTACAGATACAGACACTGGTTGGTTTGCAATTGAGCTGCATCAGACATGGGCAACTCTAAGTACGGCGGGGAACTCCAGGTGAACAGTAGTAGGGATTTTTAAAGAATGTAATGATGTCTAATGATTCATTGGCCCAACATTGGGCTGGCTAGCTGGGAAGGAAATCAGAGTAATTAGCTTTAGAGCTGGTTGCCTGCTGGTTGGAATTCCATGCTCTGGCCACAAGGGGACAGCACTTGAGAGACGATGTTCCCGGGCATCCATTGTTCCTTTCTCCAGGGGCTTTGCAGTCAGACTCTTTTATTTGGTTGGTGTTTCTTCTTCCATCCAAGAACAACCACACACTACAATTCATGGAATTAAATTTCACATCAGTTAAAGGCCAGATAAAGAGAGCTGGGGTTCGGCTAGAAGTAGTCCAGGAAGGCTCCCTGGAGGAGGTAGATCTTGGTCTGGATGGGCCAGGGCCATTGGTATTACACCTCAGCAATTCAATTCACCTGCATTGCTTGAGTGCCTACTGTATGCCAGGTACTGCCCCTGGTGCAGTGGGCAAGACAGAGGCATTAGATGGGGCCCCTCATGGAGGACACGGTTTAGTTGGTGAGCGGATGATGCTCACACAGCTGTAATGTAAGTCAGAAGTTGATGAAGGCAACAAAGAAAAGGTAACAAGGTCAGATTTATTCTCACCGACGGGACCTGAAGCAGTATCGCTGAGGAGGAGGCATTCGAGTTGGACTCTGAGGAAGGGGTAGCATCGGTCAGGATGGTTTCACGGGCCTCACCCCGTGTTTTCCCCACCTGAGCTGGGAGGTAATGCCAAGAAAGCATTTACAATGCCAGGTGTATGTGTGATCCAGACACGGAGGGTAAGAAGGCAAACTTTACTATTGGGCAGATGTGAGTTCAAGTCTCACCCTGGTCATTTCTAAGCTATGCCATCTTGAAATGATGTAACCTTTTTAAGTTTAAGTTTTCTCATCTACCAAATGGTTATAGTGCTTGTACTGACCTTGTAGCTTGTTCTATAAGTTACATAAACAAATAAAAAATTATTAATATCTTGAGATTGAAATTCCACATGGCTTATAACCTGGGAAGAGAGAAGAAAAGGCATTCAGTTATTCAACATATGCTTATAAAACACCTACTATGTGCTAGGCATTATGCCGGGCCCTGGGGCTATAACAGGCTCTGAAAAAAATAGATATTCTCACCCTCATGGAGCTAGTGTGGAGAGAAAGCAAACAAAATAAGGCAATTGAATAAAAAATAGAGAAATCATGTCTTTTGTAGAAACGTGGATGGAACTGGAGGCCATTATTCAATGTGAGATGACTTGGAAGCAGAAAGTCAAAAACCACATGTTCTCAGTTATAAGTGGGAGCTAAGCGATGTGTGCACACAGACATATGGAGCAGAATAATGGACACTGGAGACTGGGGAGTGTGGACGAGTGGGGAATGGATGAGGGATGAAAAATTACCTGTGGGGTGCCTATTTGGGTGTGGTACATGAAAAGCCCAGATGTCACCACTGTGCATTATTATATCCATGTAACAATCGCACTTGTAGCCCCTAAATCTAGAAAAATAAAAAAAATTTTAAAGAACAACAAGAAAAAATAAGGTAACCTACAGCAGGCCAGTTGGCCATAAGTTTTTTTGAGAAAGTAAATCAGGGAAGAGGGTAGGAATTGACAATCTGGAGAGGAGGGGGCCATTTTTAAACGATTTTCTTGGGAAGCTTCCAGAGGGCTTGCCTTAGGGGACAGTACGAAAGAAATAAATCTTCAAAACTTTTTGATAGCAACAGAGAACCATAGATTTAGATACGTTTGGTAAAGTTTTAAAGGCCAGCGGCGATCAAACTGCCAATGTCCAGGAGGAAAATGGGAGAAAATGAAAACTAACTTCAATGCAATTTTAAAAAAGGAAAAAAATAATAAAAAAAAGATGGTAAACATATATTATCAAACAGGTGGAGATATAGTCTCTCAGATTTGACTTAAAAAGCAAAAGCCAACTCTAAACCGTTCACAAGACACAGCCCAAATAACCTGACCCAGAAAGGTTCATAATAAAGAAAGGAGCTCTGGTAAGTGGGACAACATGAGGGGAGCCGAAAGCAGGGATGAAATGTGACAATGAGATTAAGCAAAACTGAAGGCCACAGGCAGGAAATGGTAAGCCGAGGAATACTTTCTACTGACAAAATCTATAATCCACCAAGCAGACATAGCGGGCCCAAATCTTAATCGGCCAAATGTTTCACTGGGCGCAAAGACTATAATGCACCATCTCGACAAAGCCCCAATCATAGCAATAGACTTTGACTTTCCCCTCTCATAATTGGATAGGTCACGTGGACAAATAAGCAGATAAGGAATGTGGGCAACACAATGAACAAGCTTGATTTATGAAATGTCAATACAACTCTGTTCCAAAGAAACAGCCCCATTCTTCTCCTGGGCGCACGGAACATTTTTGATATTAGTCGTGTTCTTGGCTCACAAGTAGATTATTTACTGCCACAAACAGAAACTCTGACTCAGGCAGTTTAAGTCATGGGGAAATGTAGAAACCCATGTCCAGGAGGTCAAGGGAGGGTGGGCACCAGGGTGGGCACCAGCAGGGGCCCTCGGCCTCTCTCTTAAGGCTGGCTGTGGTGAGGTGGAGCAACTGAGACAGGGCCTCCCTTGTTTTCTTCCACTGGAAGAAAAAAAGGAATTTCTTCAACCATGCAATAAAAGTCCTTCTCTTTAGTCAGATTGGGTTACTGATATCAAACGCCCACCCTTGAATCAAGAAGAGTTGCCCAAGACAATGCACAGATTGGTTTCACCTGGAAGCCATGGGCAAGACAGATCGAATCGTCATGATTGACCAAGACCACTCAAGTCCCACCCGGGGAGCTGGGGCAGGCTCCGCTTCCCCACGGGCTGTGTGGAGGGAGGGGATCTGGAGTAGTGTCAGGGGTGGGAGGGGAAGGAGGAAGGGGAGAAGGATGCTGAATAGGAACCAACAGAGTCCATTACTCTGGCCAAGAGGAGAATGTTAACAAATTCTGGAAAGGATGTAACTTACGGGCCAAATTTTCTGCCAATAATGCTTTATGATATTTGTAAGAAAACTAGATTCTTAAAATGGAAGCACATCTTCTGTACTGTAAAGTGCACAGTGTTAAGTATACACCTGAGTGAATTTTTACACATGTACAGCCACCCAGAACACCTCCTGAAGCTTCCCATGCACTGCTTCGCAGCTAATGCCTCCTTCCAAGAGGCAACCGCTGTACTATTCCGACTGCAGTCACTATAGATTAGCTTTGTCTGCTCTTGAATCTTTCACAGATGGAATTATATGGCCTGTAGTCTATTGTGTCAGCTTCCTTTACTCAATATAGTGTTGGCGACATTCACATATGCTGTTGTGTATATCAGTCCCATTGTTTATTGCTGCATAGTGCTCCTTTGTATGAATTCACCACTGTCCTTTCTCTAACAAATTGATAATTTCACTGGGAAATTTTAAAGCATACTCTTCTAAATAATTTTTAAATCAAGGAGAAAATAGAAACTTAAATTTTATATCAATATTATTTATCAAATATTGATATATTACAGCAACATCTTGGATGTAGCCAAAGCCATATTCAGAGGAAAATCTATATCCCAAAATTCTTTTATTGTTAAGAATGAGGGGCTATGAATGACTAATAATTAAACTAAAGAGTATAGAAAACACTATAAATAAAGCAGAAAACAGAAAGTTGTATTATTAGAGAGTAAAGCAGAAATTTATTAGGAAAAATAGTAAAGTTGATAAGTAAAATAAAGAGTTGATTATTTCAGAAGCCGAGCAGGGTGGTGAGTGCACATAGTCCCACCTACTTGAGAGACTGAAGCAGAAGGATTGTTTGTGCCCAGAACTTCAAGGCCAGCCTAAACAACATAGTGAGACTGTCTCTAAGCAAACAAACACAAAATAGTTGCTTATTTCAAAAGACAAATAAAATAGACAACCACCTCATACGTTTGTACAATAAAAAGAATAAAACAAATATTTGCATCATAAAAAATGAGAAAAGATTTACCATCACAAGTATGCATAATATTTTTAAAATGACAAGAAAATATTTAAAAATCTAGGGAGATCATAGATGACTTTCTCTAATGTTATAAATATGGAAAATTGACTCTGAACACTCAACTGTGATAAACTGGCTTGCAAACAACCACATTGGGCAAGGGAGGGGCAGATGGGCCCTGGGCAGGTATCACTACTTGGAAATACGGGCCCAAGCTGGTCAGACCTGACTTTTTAAAGGGGGGCCAATAATTGAACGTTTTGTGTAATTTCTGAGTTTTTCTATGCCAACAATGAGTACCTTTTTTTACACTTAACATGGATGAAATCAAATTTGCTGATAGATTTGGTCATCATTTTGTAAGCTTTATTAAAATGGACTTGGATGCATGGAAATGAAGAATCAAAGGAAAGAAGAGCATCTTTTTGCAAGCTTCAGTTTCTCTGAAAAGAAAGTCTAATTCTGCATGGTTCAATAGGAATATAATGTGAGCCACCATATAATTCTGCATTTTCTAATATCCATGACAAAAAAATTAGAAACAGGTGAAATTAACTTTTAAAATTTATCTATATCCAAAATATTGTCATATCAATATATAATAATTTAAAGATTATTGATAACATAGTTTATATTTTCTGTCTGTCTTTGAAATCCGGTGTATGTTACAGTTATAGCACATTTCAATTTAGCCACTATATTTTCATCAGAAATAGTTGATCAATATTTAGATTTTGTAAAGTTGAAATCGACAATTGAAAACGTGGATTCCTATATTTATGTTGTTCCAAACATATTTAAAGTTTGGAATTGTGCATAAAAAAACCATTTTCCTTTAACATTCCCATGCACATTGCCAAAACTGGTTCATCTTGTTGTTTAGAAGAAGTGATTTGACTTTGAAGCCAAAGCATATCGGTTTCCAAACTATCCAAGTTAAGTAAATTAACTAACTCTTGTGATAACTCAGTATTATTAACCTTGAATGCAAAGGGGACATCACATAAATTTGAAAAAAAAAACCTCAAAATTTATCAATATTAACCAAATGTTCTTCAAATTTTTCTGATAGCTTTTGCAGCCAATTTACATAATGCTGCCAATTACAATGAAAATCTACATATTGATTTGTGTTGGAAAAATGTGAAAATCATTATTATTGATTTGCATTATGAAAGGTTCAAATTTTGGCATAAATTCGTCTACCCATCTGACTAGGTCACTGATAAACTCTTTCATTCTTTGGGGCTTCAAATTTAGCTCTTTCATATGTGTGTGATAATAGTGAGAAAACGTTAAACCAAACTGGCGGGGGTTTTTGTCTTTGATTGCATATTTGGCAAGTATGTCCTTTGTTTCAAAGAAATCTTGAATTCAAGTCAACACCACAGTAAATCTTTGTAAAACTCTTTCATAACTCAGCCAATGAGCAAAGAAAGAACACAACATCATTAAATTCGTTGTCTTCTATTTTCAGCCATAAAGTCATGATGATTCATAGCCCTTGCACATAAAAATACTAAATGATTTTAACCACTATATCCATGGCACTTCCTAGAGTCTGTTTCAGAAGACTGGACACAAATGTTTTTAATATGTACCATACTGTGGAATGAAGCATTAAGGGAAATAGCAGTCTCTTCTTTCAATATTCCAGCAAATCTGGATTTTTGATCTAAGATAGCTGATCTGTCATGATAGAAACTAATTTTCTCATTTCTAGCTGAAATTCTTCTTTGACAGATGTAGAAGATACAAAATTATCTATGCCATGAGTTCAATGTTTTAAGCCGTGAATGGACAACATTCCCTCTTAAATTTGAAAATCCTTTGAGATGAAATTTACTCAAAGTGTTAATTGGGCAGTGCAACTATCTGAGGCTAAAATATTTTAAGTTTTTCAAATAATCAATTTATTTTTGATATTTTCAAAAAGATTTTGAGTCGATGGTCATTTGTTGGTTTAAGTGAAGATCTTATACTCTTCAAGAAAAAATTTTTTAGTCTGTTCTTTATACTGTAACAAAATTCTTATACTGAAATAATTTTTTTCAAAAGTCTCCATTTAAAAATGTTTTTCCTCTTGCCGGGCGCGGTGGCTCATGCCTGTAATCCCAGCACTTTGGGAGGCCGAGGCGGGCGGATCACGAGGTCAGGAAATCGAGACCATCCTGGCTAACACGGTGAAACCCTGTCTATACTAAAAAATACAAACAAATTAGCCAGGCGTGGTGGCGGGCACCTGTAGTCCCAGCTACTCGGGAGGCTGAGGCAGGAGAATGGCGTGAACCTGGAGGGGTGGAGCCTGCAGTGAGCTGAGAGCGCGCCACTGCACTCCAGCCTGGGTGACAGCAAGACTCTGTCTCAAAAAAAAAAAAAAAAAAAAAAAAAAAATTAGCCAGGCGTGCTGGTGGGCACCTGTAGTCCCAGCTACTCGGGAAGCTGAGGCAGGAGAATGGCATGAACCTGGGAGACGGAGTTAGCAGTGAGCCGAGATCGCACCACTGCACTCCAGGCTGGGCAACAGAGCAAGACTCTGTCTCAAAAAAAAAAAAAAAAAAAAAAAAAGTTTTTCCTCTTCTGAGCAAGCATTCTAACTATTTCCTAGCTGGCCAAAGTTACGAAGTGAAAATTCATTACAATTTTTTTATTGGCCATTTCCTTCTGATTTTAGTTGACTTGTTTTGTTGATTCTTTCTGACTATTGAAAGAAAACGTATTTTCAAATTCATTATGTATTTGATAAGAATGTCTGTGACTAGTGTTCATTTTATTATCTTTAATCCAACAGATAAAAAGCTATTTGTTTTCTTCCTGCAGAAACAAACTATAATTGCCACTCACCATGAAATTTGTGGTATCTCTGGTTTTCTTTATAGTTCTGCATCTCCATTTGATTCTGTATCAGTACCATTCCTGTATTTTAAATCTCAAATTTTGTCCATATTTATTTTTTGAAACTAGAAAAACAGTTTATATCAAAGTCAAAATAATAAGAATTTCAATTTAATTACACAGATATCGCTGTAACTTGTAAGTCTGCATAATATATTTAAATAAACATATTACAATGTTACATTTGTCCACAGAAAAATAATCATCCCACTGGAACCAATCCATTGACACCAACTAGGTGGGTGATGTGTTTATGTGAGATGCTAGAAATGGTACACTTGCCCAACACTTGCACAAGAACTCACAGTAATGCCCAATTTGATGCAAAGGTTACAGTGAACTGCAATGTGGTAGCGAGAAGAATGGCCTCCAACCATGACCTAATCCTGGGAACTTGTGAATATGTGACTTTATACCGCAGAAGGGAGAATTTGGGTTGCAAATTCAATTAAGGTTGCTAAGTGACCGATCTTGAAGTGAGGAGATTACCCTGCATTGATCCAGGTGGCCCAGTATAATCATAATGGTCCTTAAAAGTGGAGAATCTTTTGTGGCTGTGGTCAGATGGAGCTGTGGCTATGGTAGATATTCCGAGAGATTCAACATTTCTGGCTTTGCAGGAGGAGAAAGGGGCCATGAGCCAAGGAAAGCGGATGGTCTCTAGAAGCTGGAAAAGGCAAAGGGATTCTGTTCTGGAGCTTCCAGAGAGGAGTGCAGCCCTGCTGACACCTTCATTTTAGCCTGCAGGCCGCATTTTGAGCTTCTCACCTCCAGACCTGTAACATAAAAAGTGTGGGTTGCTTTATTTTGTTTTATTTTATTTTTGAGATAGGGTCTCACTCTGTCCCCCAGTTTGGAATGCACAGCTCACTGCAGCCTTGACCTCTCAGGCTCAAGCCATCCTCCCCACCTTAGCCTCCCAAGTAGCTGAGACTATAGGCACGTGTCACCATGCCTTACTAATTTTCTTAATTTTAATAGAGATGGGGTTTCACCATGTTGCTCAGTTGGGTCTTGAACTCCTGGACTCAAGTGATCCGCCCACCACAGCCTCCCGAAGTGCTGGGATTACAGGCCTGAGCCACTGTACCGAGCCTGTTGTTTTAAGTGACAAGGTTTCTGGTAATTCATCACAGTAGCAATTGGAAATGAATACAGTAAGTAGTTCTACAAAACAATAAAGTTGTCTTCATGGACAAATATGTTACTGTTCAGTTTTAAAGTTTAAGTTTATTAAACTTAAAAAATTCAATTCCTTGGCTACACTGGGTGCTGAAGAACCACATAATCCTAATGGCTACTGAATTGAACGGCTCAAGCCTAGCTGCTTTTCTGCAGCTAGTGGGAGGGCGGGTTGTGGGGGGACTCTGTCTGGGGGCATCTGACCCGTGTTTTAACTGCACGAGCTTTGAGAATGTGATTTGACTTTCAAGTTCTGCTTTAGAATTGCTTTTGGAGCCCCTTTATTTGGAAATGGTGCTCCACCAGTTGGCGAAGGGAGAAGGGAGTCTTAGAAGAAACTTTTGTCTTTGTTTTCTGGGACTCAGACCCAAGATAAAGCTTGTGGTTGCTGAGTAAGCATCTGATCTCCAGGATTTCCTGTGAACTTTTCCAGAGCCTGAATCTGCTCCAAGCAGGATGTTTGAAGGGGCTGGTGAACAACAGGAGTTTCTATTGGCTTTGATTTCCATCTCCTTGGGGTGTAACTGGCTGGAGATCCCCCCCGACCTCCGCCATGACCTGCAGCTCCCATCCAGTCCACCCTTAAGCCTGGGGTGGAGTTGGGGAGGGAGTTTGAATCAAGGCAGCTGCAGGAATTGTAGGAACCAAGGATTGCCAAAAATGAACCAAGGGAGGCTCTGGGGCACAGGGGCAGGGGGTGGCATGGAAGAGGCATGAGTCAGTGTTAGCTGTGGGGTCTGCTCCCTGGGCTTCTGTGATCCAGGAAAACACCTGAGATCCTCTTAGAGTTTGCTCTTGGTGGTGGTGGTGATGGTTGGGTGGGGGGGGGGGTAGTGCAGGGAGGAGTGGGGGGTGGGCGAGGACTCTGGGTGTTTTGGAGGAAACCCAACTCCTGTGCTCCTTTTAAAGTCCTTCCCAGCCATTCCTAGCAGAAAGCACGGCCTCTCTGGACTCTTTCCTCTTCTTTTTCCTCCCCTCTCCTCTCCTCCCAGACCCTCCTGCTTGTTCTCATCACTTCCCTCCCTCCCCTCTCTCTGCCCTTTCCCAACTCTACTCCCTCTCCTTTCTTCTCTTCTTCCCCCTGGTCTGCCCCACCGTGAGATGGCACAGAGATAAACCAGGAACGGGGATGCCACTCACTCTACTTGTTACTTAAAATTTTAAGCGACCAGGTGTGGTGGCTCATGCCTATAATCCCAGCAATTTGGGAGGCTGAGGCAAGTGGATCACCAGAGGTCAGGAGTTCGAGACCAGCCTGGCCAACATGGTAAAACCCAGTCTCTACTAAAAATACAAAAACTAGCCAGGTGTGGTGGCGGGCACCTGTAATCCCAGATACTTGGGAGGCTGAGGCAGGAGAATCGCTTGAACCCGGGAGGCAGAGATTGCAGAGAGCTGAGATCATGCCACTGCACTCCAGCCTGGGCTACAGAGCGAGACTCCTCAAAAAAAATTTTTTTTAAGCAACATATATTTGTCGAAAACCTCTGGGAAAAAAAGCATAAAAGGAAAATAAAAGCCACCTGTAACTGCCTAATTAGAGGAAAATGCTATGAATGTGGTGGTATATTTCTTTCAAGTCTTTGGTGTGTGTGTGTGTGTGGTTGGGAAGTGTGTTTACAAAAATAGAGGTCTTCCGTAGTTTTAGAGTCCACCTTTTTCATGTGACATTGTATCATAGGTATTCTCTAGCATTAGTCAGAGTTTTCTAAAAACCTGATTGTTAATGGCTGTGTAGTTTTCTTCTCTATAGTACTATCATTTTCTCATTTACATGGCTTCTTTTTGCCCCCAACAAAGATTTCTAGTTGCTTTCCAAGTTCCATCTCCATCCTTCTGCTTTAGTAGTAGAACATTGATCTTATTGGGATGGCAATGTGCCTATCTAAAAGATGTCATTTCCCAGCCTCTTTTGCAGCTGGGGTGGCCAATGAAGCGAAGGTAGCAGTTGTTTTCTCTTCAGGGAAAGCATTTGAGAGGGTCTCTTTATCCCCTTTTCTTGCATGGAATGCGGATGATGTGGCTGGAGCAACAGCAGCCATCTTGGACCATGAGAAGACCTTGAGGAGGGAATCTGTGTGCTGAGGACAGGGCGACAGCAGGACAGAAGGCACTTGGGTTCCAGAGAACACCATGCGTCTCCACACCAGCTCCGAACCCTCCAGATTGACGTATAAGAGAAAGAAACTCCCACATTGCTTGCCTTCCATCTCTTACTAGTGGCTGAATGTAGTTCCTACAACAGCTTGATTTACTCAATCAGACAACAAATGTCCACTGAAGGACTACTATGTCTCAGTTCCACTGACATGGGGACATATCAGTGAACAAAACATAGAAAAACTCCTGTCCTCAGGGAGCTGATTTTGTAGTGGAGAGAGACAGATCATACAAAAAACAAATGAGTAAGATATTTAGTATGTTCGAGCATAAAAACCAAGGAGAAAAAAAAAGTAGGGCAAGGGAATGTGTTATGTCATGGTGGGGCTGGGGTGATGTTGAAATGTGGGGTAAGGTGGCCAGAGGAAACCCCACTCTTCTCTATGAATTCAAAATGGCATCTTTGATATCACTCTAGCACTATTCACGGTTTTAATGTTTAGAAATGCATCGCAAATTGGGTTTGTAGAAGAATCAGTGACTATGGTGTTTCTCATGAAGGTGATCTCTGACATCACATCTTGTCAGTTGAATGTCTTTCCATTGCTGGTGAAAGAAATTCAGCTCAAATAGGCTGAAAGAAACAAGGGAACATGTTGACTCACAAAATTTAAGTATCCAGCACCCCTGGATTC
Organism: Homo sapiens; assembly: GCF_000001405.40. Taxonomy (NCBI): domain Eukaryota; kingdom Metazoa; phylum Chordata; class Mammalia; order Primates; family Hominidae; genus Homo; species Homo sapiens. The sequence continues at coordinate 58,076,705 of NC_000020.11, read as the reverse complement.
AGGCATAACTAAGTCCAGGTGCTCAGAAATGTCGCCAGGAATTCCCTTGTTCTGCTTCCTCAAGCTGGTTCTCAGCCAGCTCACCCCACCCAGCTGTGGGAGGGAGGCTGGCCCCCACACTGTACAGACTGAAATTCCACCAGCAAGAGGCAGGACTCTTCCCCAGCTGTAGGGGAGGAAAGGGAGTCACTGCTCCCCCTCACCGCACTCTGCAAGGTTTACGTCCAACTGGATCATTCCCAAGGGAATGACTTTCCCTCGGACCCCTTGGAAGTTCCAAGGGAAGGAGGGACCTTCTTCCTTTCTCTGCTGTTTTCCCCTTCACCTGCTGTTTGGAGTCATGCAGGTTTGTAATTACAGCAAATGTTTAGGGCTCACTGTCATTGGACTGCTTTGGGTCAGGTGCCTATTTTTGAAACAATCACTGAGTCCACTGGAGTCAGAACAAGCTGATGGTGGAGGCTGCTGCTGGCAGATGCCTTCTGAAGGTGGAAGAATGGCTCAACCAACCACAAAGGCCTGGAGCTGGGGAGGATCCTTATCTGGGGGAAACCCCAGGAGCTCTTACCAGGAGAAGGGACGAAGGACACTGAGCAGGCAGGAACAGTAAACAACCACACATCCAGCATCCTCCTCCTTTGACCTTGCTGCTCAGCCCTGCAGCACACCAGCCCTTGGGAAAAGTCAAATCCATTTCTTAAGCTTTGCTTTTTGCCCTGTGATTGTTTTCTCCCATTTTACAAATGAACAACCAAATGCATAAAGACCATAAATTATAAACGAGCAGTTCAAATGAGGCGAGTGATGACAATGAGTGAAATCTAATTAAGCAGTTTGAGATCTGAGTGATATTGTTATTAAAGTGCCGCATTAACGGAGCATCGGACCAGCTTTCTCAGCTGCGCTGTGAGTCCGTCGGAAGCGAGCGCCACGCTGATTGACATCGAGATGGATTCCTTTCTGCAGGAGGAGATAAAGTGCAGTTCCATTGAAGGGATGGAATTAATGAGGAGGGTTTGCCCTTGGAAACCAAGGTTCTGGCCCTGGCTGGTCTGTGCTCCTTCCATAGCTGTCAGGAACGATCAGGGCTGGAGCATTTGGGAATACCCCCCTCTTTTTTTTTTTTTTTTTTTTTTTTTGTGAGATGGAGTCTCGCTCCGTTGCCCAGGCTGGAGTGCAGTGGCGCGATCTCGGCTCACTGCAAGCTCCGCCTCCCGGAGAGAGCATGATCATCTGCTTTTTATGATCTCCTGGGACTTCCTGAGCTGAGCCCTAACATTCACTTTTTCCTAAATTCAAGCCCCTCCTACCAAGGGCATCCCAGGCGCCAGACGCTTGTGCTAATAGCTGCTGGCAATTCACAGAGGGAACGATGGGCACATTTTCTGTTCTTCTGGAGCTCACAGTTTGGGTCTATTCTGGTGGTAACTGTCTTTTGGGGTAAAATAGGAAGTGTTTGAGCCATTTATTTGTCGAGCATTACGCCTCTGGAGGATAATTCTTGTTTAAGGGGGCCCTGGGCACCCCCGGGCTGGGGTTCTCCAGCAGTGGGGAGTGGACAGTGTCTTGAATGGAAGCTCCTATCTGGAAGGGAAGGTCCCTTTGGGGGCCACTCCTTGTTTGTCCACTTTCACTTCTTTAGGTTTGGGCAAAGTCGGTTTTTACACTTCAGCTGGGGATGAATGAGTTCCCTCTAAAGCGACGGGGAGGAAGTAAGAATGCCACCAACGGAAGTCCTTGCCGAGTACTGGATGCTCAGGGCTCAAAGAAGCCTCAGGCTCGAGGTTCACAGTGCTACGATCAGGCAAGGGTGTTGCCACCTCCTCCCAACAATGGGGAGACCAAGGCATGGAGGGACTGAGCTGAGTTCTCAAGGCCACACAGGCAGGAAGTGCTGGCTATGTCAGCCCCAGTTCTGAGTCCAGAGCCTGGAGCGTGGTCAGCCTTGGTCTGGCTCTCCACCAGGCTACTCCAAAAAGGATGAGAGAACTGAGTCACACAGGCGGGGCTTACCCCCAAGGTCAGAGTTTGGCATAGTTTCCCAAGCTGTTTCTCTGCAGGGGTGCCGTGACTGCTCCCCACCACTCCCCCTGCCATCAAGTTCTGTGAGACCCAATTGGACCTAAACCTTGCAGAGTACGGGAAGGGGAAGCAGTGACCCCCTTTCCTCCCCTGCAGGAGAAAATGCATGGGATTGGGAATTTCTGGCAAGACTGGGAAATGTCTCCGGATTTCTCCCCGCTGTACTCCGCTTGGTCACTGCAGCTCCACTGAGCTGTCCCTTCCCTCCTCCCTCTCTTTCTGCTTGGTGGGTCTCCTTCCTTTCCAGGGAGGCAAAGACATTTCCTCCCTTTCATTTGTCCTTTGTCTCCATGTCTGAGTCATGAGGAAGGGGCTGAAGAGCTTTGTCTGGTAATTTACACAATTAGGGATTTCTTGGCCAGTTCACCCTGTCTTCCCTTTCCTGCCTGTTCTCTTAACTTCATTCCAGGTGGGAGATGATCCCTGGAAGCTGGTCGGCTCTCAAAACCTGTGATGTAATAGAAAGAAAGAAACAGAACTGTCAATCCTGCCACTTGTGGGCTCTGTGACCTTGGGCAAGTCACTTAACCTCTCTGAACTTCCATCTCCCAGTCTGTACGATGGAGATTCAAGCATGCATCTCAGAGGGTGCTCGTAGGTATGAAATGAGTCAATGGAGGATGACAGCTTATAGTATGTGCCCAACTAATGTTAGTTTTTCTCTCTTTTGGGGAGATAGATGATAGATTCTTCAGATTTGCTCACCTATGGATTAGTCTGGAAGTGCTTTTGGTGATACTGGTTGGAGTCATGCAGGTCCACCAGACGCACTGCTGCTCTCCCTCTCCCCCACCTGCCTGTCCTCTTCTTGCTGTTGAGAGTGTCCATGCTCATTTATCTTTTAGGCTGTTTGCACTGTGGCTCTGTCCTTTGCTAGAGAAGAAACAGGCTTCCCTATTTGAGTAAATCCAAGTTAAAGCCTGTGCACGTGGAGGTTGTCTCTCGACCTTTTAGGGTATATTTATTCACCACCGCCCTTGGAGCATGTGGTCCCTTCAGGAAGACCAGCTGGCCAGGGATGAAGGCACAGAGAGGCCTCTCCCGAGCTGTCCTGCCAAGCATGTCTTACGTCACTAGAGAGCTTGCCTGCAACGCAGGACCTCAGGCCCCACATGCCTCCTGCGACAAAGCCTGCACCTGGGCGGGGGCCTGGGGTGCTCCTGGGCACAGTAGATGTGGGCAGCACAGTGCGGACCCAGGCCCTCACCCCTGCCTGCAGCCAACCTCCCTGCTGGGTGCTGGGCTGCTCAGGCTGTCCTGGATGAGGCCTCTCATCGCGGGGGTGAGAAGTGAGAAGGAACACGGGGAGTTGCAGGGGGCAGTCAGAGATACGGATGGCCCTGCTGTGTACAGGGTCTCCCTGAATTTGACTCTTGACCCCACATGGTGGGCCCTCAGTGTACCTGCAGTGCGGCCTGATTCCAGCCCAAGAAGCATCATTGGAAGCTCACGTGTTGGTATTTCAAGAAGAGGACTTTGAGAGGAAGGGAAAGCAAAGAGGTGACATGGAGCCAGGGCCCTGAGAGCCCCCAGAGGGTCAGCTGGCTCTGGAGGGCCAAGCTAGCCGAGGGGTGGCTGGGGAGACTGAGGCAGCTCAGGGCACAGCCACAGAGCCTGGGCCTCCTGCTCAAAAACCACCACATGCTCCCATTCCTGGCCCTCACTTAGCTCTGGTGGAGAGGCTCTGGGGGTGGGGAGTGCCCTGGAGAAAATTCCAGAGAGCCTGTATGAATCTCCTGGGGGCTGCTGTGACAAATTACTGCAAACTGGCTGGTTTAGAACAGCAGGAATATATTATCTCAGAGTTCTGGAGGCCAGAGGTTCAAAATCAAGGTATACACAGAGCCGTGCCCCCTCCAGAAGAGCTAGGGAAGGGTCTTTCCTTGTCTCTTCCAGCATCTGGTGGTTCCAGGTGGCCCTTGGCTTGTGGCTGCAACACTGCTGTCTCTACGTGGCCTTCTGGCTTCTCTCCTTTTTTTTTTTTTTTTTTTTCAATAAGGACATCAGTCATTGGATTTAGGATCTACCCTAATCCTGTATGACCTCATTTTAACTAATGACATCTGAAAAGACCCGATTTCCAGACGACATCACATTCTGAGGTTCCAGTAGACACGAATTTTGGGGGACACCATTTGCTACACTACAGTGTCCAATGGGGCTTTTTAGAAATATTGGCCTGTCATGCCTCTCTTCTTCCCTCCCTACCTCCCTTTTCCCCCCTTCTGTGCTGTTTTCCCCTTCATCTGCTATTGAGTTTAAAGTTAACCAGGGTCTTCAGTAGGTTTGAACTCTCCCTCCTCCCACCCAAGACAGCTGAGTTTGAATTTTGGCTGCAAGATTATATTTAATGATCATGGACCAGGAAGGGAGACCTAGAGGGCAAGCCTCATTAAATATTTATATGAAGTAATAATCTGGTTTGCAAAACTGCCTGGGTGCTTGCAGAGCTGGGGCCACTCTTTATCCAAGGCTGTTGATACAAGGGACACGGTTAATTATCTCTTGCCAAACATAATAAACCTGTGCGAAGTCATTCTCTGAGCATTGCCTGGGTCAGGGTCTCAGAGTCTGCATGGCAGTCACCATTGTCTTGACTTGGGAAAGAATCTGACCCCCGCAGGTAAGGGGAAGAGCCAGGGTCTACGCTCATCTTCCGAAGGTGTTTTTCACCTCTCCAAGTCCCGGTCACTTCATCTCTTAGATGGGAGTTAATTTAGTCAACAAATATTGATTGCCATGTTCCTATGTGTTGGACACTGGGGTTTAGTGGTGAGCTAGATGGACATGGTCCCTGTTCTCACAATGCTCTCTTTTAAATAAGAGAGGTGAACAAGAAGTGAATAAATGAATCTACGCACAGTGCGATGGCTGTCAGGCAGAGAAAGGTGCTATAAAGAAAGGTAAGACCAGGTAAGGGGGTGGAGAGTTGTGAGTCTGGTGGTGGTGGTGGTGGTGGTGGTGTTTTGCCTGAGCAGTCAGGGAGGACTGCTTAGAGGAGGTGGCATTTGAGCAGGGTTGGAAGAAAGTGAGGGAGAGAGGAGCTGGGAGACTGTTTTGGAGAAGAGCCATCCAGGCAAAGGCACCTCAAGGGCAAGGGTCCTGAGAAGGGTTTTTGTTGGGGGAGCAAGAGGGAGGAAAAGGGAGCAATGAGATTCTTGGGGCTGGGCCAGGTCATGCAGGCTTGCAGGCTCAGAAGGGAAGGGTTCTTGGGCTGTGTGGCAACAGGCTCAGATTCCCATGTTAAAAGCATCATTCTGGCTGTGAACTGGAGAAGGGACAGTGGAGTGCAGGGGGAGAGGCTGGAGTAATGATGGCCCAAGCCAGGCTGGTGGCAGTGGAAGTGTGGAGAAAACAGCGCAGGAAATGCACAGGGCACCAGGCAGGGTGCTGATTCCTCAGGGGGTGCAGGAAGCTTTTGTTCCATGGTGGGCACGTTCCCAACGCTGTTTCCCTTGGAAGTTGTCCCTTTTCCACCCCCGAGCACCTCCAGGACATAGAAGACCTGATTAAATAGGCTTCAGCGCATGACATCTCCAGTTTCCCAATCTCTAGCTGCTCTCTGGAAACCCTATCTGAATGGAGAACATGCAGAAGGATGAAGCAGTTCATTCATGCATGCATTCATTCATTCATTCATTCATTCATTCATTCATTCATTCATTCATTCAGTGTTTGGTGAGCTCCGCTGTGCAGTGCTGGGCTCGCAGTGGTGCACAGAAGCACACAGCTCTGCTTGTGATGCTCACGGTCCAGCTCAGCCTGCACGCTTCCGTTTCCATCCCCTCTTGGAGTGGACAGGCCCCGGTGAAAGGGCTGGTCCCCCACTCCATCCTGGGCACAGCAGGACCTGCGTGTTGGGAAACATTCCACTCAGCCCTTCACAGTCAATTACATATTTATATCTTGTTTAAACTTATGTAATATTTATGCTCCTGCCTTTTTTTTCAAAAGGAGTTTGAGGCTTTACAATAAAAGGCAAAAGAAAGGACAAAACCCTTAAAACCAAGCAGACAGGTCAGGAGATCAGGAGACAGATGCATCACATTGATCCACGAATCTGATCGCCATTGGCCCCTCCCCAGCGGAGAGGATGGTGGCATGAGAGACAAAAAGACTGGGCCATGGGAGGGGGTGTGGGTTGTCTGTGACCCCATTCCCAAATCCGTTCTCCCTGCCAGGGGACTCTGGCTGTCAGAGAGAACGTCGATCTGTCCTTCTTTGGACTCCTTAATGGGAGAGTCAGGGATCTTTGCTTAAAAGCATGTCTGAGCCCACGGGAGGATTGGAAAGTGACTGAAGGAGCCAGGAAGAGTGGAGCGTGCCTCCAGAGGGCCATGCCTGGAGAAGGCATCCACAGCTTGAGAGCTTTGCTGAAGCCACCTGGCCATGTGGTGCCCAGCCCTTTCTGGAGGGCTCACTGGATACCTGCTATGAGTGAGGTCTCAGGGTGGCACTGAGGACACAGAGATATGCAGTCTGTGTCCGAGGGGGTGGAGGAGGCATACTGTGAAATGTGACAGTTTCGATGGGCAGCATACTTGAGATGCTGGCAGCTGCTCCTTCAGGGAGGGTCTTGAAGGCCATACTAAGTCCACAGGCCATGGTGCGGTGGGCGTGGAGGTTCTGCTTCGTCATCTACTCTCATTTCTTTTGGTGTGAGTCCCCTGATTTCCCTTCTCTGGACCTGCTCTCCCCTGGTTAGTGTTTCGGATGGACAGGGGTGGGAGGTTCAGCAGGCAGGGAGGCCAGGGCTGTGAACTTCCAGGAGACCAGATACCATCCCTGGTGGGGCAGGGGACGGAGAGCATCGAGTTGGGGTAGAACATTTGTGCTGCAGGGAATGCAGTCGCTCTCCTTGGAAGTCATTTAACTTTTACATTTTCATGATTGCAGATCCTTCAATCAGGGGCTGCTGCTGAGCTTATGATGATTTTTCTTCTAAAGGTCAGCAACTCATTGGGGCTGATGGCGTCCCTGCCCTGGGCAGACAGGCAGGACTTGCTCATGAGTCTCTGTATCACTCAGCTCCAGGAGACTCAGAATCTCACCAGGACACGTCCATCACTCTCTCATAGCTGGTACTTGGAAATGAAAGAGACTCGCAGTGCAGTCCCAATCAATGTCCGTCGGCCGTCTCTGTCGATAACTGCCGGGCTGTCCAATCTTTCCCCTGATAGAAAGGCGCCTGGGGGTCAGCCTGAAGAAGCTCTGGAGGGAAGAGGCGGCTGTTTGATTCAGAGCCTCCTCGCTGGGCTGGAATTAACCTGGCTCTTTCTCTAATGAAACTGACTCCAAGGGTCCCTGTGTGCTAGAGATTCAATGGCCCTTAGGAGAAGCAATGATGAGAGGTAATATTAAAGCAGTGTACACATGCAGCCTCGAATTCCTAACCACGCTGATGATGTTTTCAAGGTGCTTTGAGCCCTGTAGGAAGCAGCACCTGTCTGGCATGATGCTGAATGCACAGTAGAAACAGTGAATGCAGGGAGAGTAGACCCTGGGCTGCCTTTCCTATCTACTGATGAAGAGATCAGGCCTTAAGAAGCTTAGTGACTTAACCACGATGTCAGAGCACCTTAACCATGGTTCTTAGGTTTGCAAGTAGCAGAGGCTGACCTCCGAAGGGGAATTTACTGGAAGGTTGAGGGAGAGTCTCTCTCTGGGCAAAGCTTTAGACTGGAGTCTCTGAGTTCCACATCCAAATAACTAAGAGACACAACGTATTATGCAAGCACACACCTTGTTGCCTCTACTCACCCCTTCAACGGGGGTGGGGGGTACTGCCCCACACTACACGGTTTCCACCCATGAGAATTGTGCTCTAGTTTCTCAAGGGCCTTTGCCTCCCAAAGCTCCTGGGATCCCCTGTCTGGATGGATTCATCTTCCTCTGGCCAGCATCCTTCAATGCTTCCATCTCCTTTTCCTGATATTTCTTATGGCTATCTTATCTTCCTCCCCATCAAGCCTCATGAGCCTCAAACATGACCAAGCCTGGTGGAAGGGAGGACATAAGATTCCAATGGAATATGAGATTGCATTTTCAACTGGACTCCCCAAATTGTGACCAGAAAGTGATGGAATCTGCAAGATGTCATTAATGGATGGTATCTCTTGGCTTGGCTACAAAGCTAGAAAACCCACAAACATCGTTGGCTGAAACAAAAGTTGACTTTGGCCAGATGTGGTGGCTCATGGCAACACTTTGGGAGACTGAGGTGGGCGAATCCCCTGAGCTCAGGAATTTGAGATCAGCCTGGGTAACATGGTGAAACTCCATCTCTACCAAAACTGCAACAAATTAGCTGGGTGTGGTGGTGTGTGCCTGTGGTCCCAGCTTCTCAGGAGGCTGAGGTGGGAGGTTAGCTTGAGCCTGGGAAGCAGAGATTACAGTGAGCTGAGATCACGCCACTGCACTCCAACCTGGGTGACAGAGTGAGACCCCATCTCAAAAAAAAAAAAAAAAAAAGTTGACTTTTCTTTCATGTGAAAAATATCTGGAGGGAGGCATCCAGGGCTGATATGGTAGTTCTGCTCCAGGAAGCTACTAGGGACTCGGTTACTTCCAGCTTTCTACACTGATGTGAACTGTGTTCTCACAGTCCAATGTGGCTGCTGTTGCTCCAGTCATCATAGCTATATTCTTAGCAGTAGGATGAAGAAAGAGAAGACCCCCCATTAAAGAAGTATTCCCAGGCATACCCCAACACTCCCTCCCCTATCCCACTGGTTATAATTCAGTCTCATTTCCAGAAGACCTAGCTGTCGGGAACCCTGGAGAGCACAACTTCTAGCTGAATGGCAATGGTCAATGGGGCTCTGTTTCCAAATTAAAAATAAAGGCCAGAAATTCAGAAGCAACCCGCAACTTCTGCTTCAGATAAGGAAAGAAGACTTGAAAGAGCCATGTGATTGGAAAGACATCCCTATTTCATGTTTATTCCTTGCTGAGACTGTTGTTGAAGAATTTTGTCTATACTGGGGGCGTGATGGTTATGAGGAGAGTTTCAGGATAAAATACAGGATGTCCACCTAACTTTGAATTTTCAGATCAACAGCAAAAAAACTTTTTTTAGTATAAGTATGTTCCAAATATTTCATGGGCCATATTTATACTAAAAATCATTGTTCATTTGAAATTCAGATTTCACTGGGCATCCTGTATTTTCATTTGCTCAATAAATAAGTAAATATATTCACTCAAAAAATAGAAAATAAACTTGCTCAATAAATCTGGCAGTTCTGGTTATTAGGGGAGCTGGAAAGTCCTTAGGAGGTGAAGGAAGGGCCTGAGTGAAGGTAAAGCTATCAGGCCAGGGACGGGCATTGCAGTTTTGAAAGGGGCTTGCTCTGGTGCTGGGGAATCACCTCCTCCAGCCCTTCCTTCAACATGTTGGTCTTCCACTCGCTGGTGGTATTGTAGCAAGAGTCCATTAAGAATCGTCTTAGTTCCTTCAGCAGCCAGAAAACTTGGAGGCAGCCACATTGATCAAACTGTGGTGGTAAGTTACATATGCAAGTCCATTTACTTGGGACATGGTCTTATTCTTTTCCACAATTGATTCACATACTCTGCTGATGAATTATTACATTGTATAGTTACATTCTCCTAAGATTTATGCCCCCCCAACTTTTTTTTTTTTTGAGACAGGGTCTCACTTATTGCCCAGGCTGGAGTGCAGTGGCCCGATCTCAGCTCACTGCAACCTCTGCCTCCCAGGTTCGAGTGGTGCTCCTGCCTTAGCCTCCTGAGTAGATGGGATTACAGGTGCCTGCAACCACACCCAGCTAATTTTTGTATTTTTAGTAGAGATGGGTTTTCACCATGTTAGTCAGGCTGGTCTCAAACTCTTGACCTCAAATGATCCACCTGCCTCGGACTCCCAAAGTGCTGGGATAATAGACACGAGCCACTGCGCCTGGCTGCTCCCCTGACTTTCTTAAAGGATTTGGGGATATTTTAGCAGTTCATCCCAAGGAAAAACTAACAGGACTTCTTTTTTTTTTAAAGCAGAACAAAGGCCATCTAAAAGGAGCAGAGCAGTAGATAGCAAGTCCATGTGTAATGAGCTCCGTGCTGACAAAAATGTGATTTGCCAGTGGGATAGAGATAAACATTACAACTGGGCACATAGATCAGGATTTAGTGTATGGAATTTAGTTTGCATAAAAGATAAATCAGGGTGTTAGTGCACACTTTGAAAAACGATCCTGCAGATTCAAAACTCCTATGGGTTTTTACTGTATCCTGAGTTCTTATAATGGGAGGTGGCCACAGCATGACAAGCCCAAGGAGGTCGTGCTCAACATTGGTTGATCATGACAATCTCTGGGAGGTGCCTAGGCTCTACCCTAGGCCGTGACATCAGGATCTCAGGGGGTGGAGCCAGGTGTCAGGATGCTGCCAGCTCCCCAGGTGATGACCGTGTGCATTCAGGAATGGGAACTGCAGGTGGAAAGGATTCTCTTTCATTTTCTGGCTAGGGAACAGAGGCTCAGCCGCAGGAGTTACTTTTTTGGCACTAAATAGAGCTGAGATGAGAAATCTCACCCTTGACTCACTCCACATCCAAAATATTTTATTATTATACAACCTTTCAAGTACTGTTCAGAAAACCAGGACTGCTTACTCATCATGCTGCAGGGATGACCAGGCTAAGAGCTAAAATGTGTGTACACTTAGTACATGCCAGGTATTGTGTTAAACAATTTATATTGATGATTGCATTGAAGTCTCATAGCAGCTCTAGGGGGTAGGCACCTAACCAATGAGGAAACTGAGGCCCAGAGAGGTTAAGGGACTGGCCGCAAGCCACAGAGCTAGTAAGCGATGGAGCCAGGATTCAACCCCAGAACCTGTAGATTAACTGCCCTGTTCTGCAAAGCCAACATCCCTTAGAGCAGCACTTTCTAAACTGTGATGTGCCCCTGAGTCACCTGGATCTTGTGTAAAAGCAAAGTCTGATTCAGCAGGTCTGGGTGGGACAATTCTAACAAGCTCCCAGGTGAAGGGAATGTGGCTGGTCTGGGGCCACTGTTTGAATTGCAAGTATGTAAAGCATCACTAATATTTTTGGTGGTTGCTTTTTGCTCATTTGTTTCACTTTTAAAAGAACATTTTCAGGAAATGGGTGAATACTGTGGCACGAGGATGGATTTTATTGAATGTCCCCACCTGGGTTCCACAACAGGGATCACTATGACTTCATAAAGATCAAATCCAGCCACTGCAATGGCACTGTGGTTCTCCTGGTCACATCGCTTCATCTGGATTCAGGTTTCTCCTGGTTGCTGCTACACTGTCCACTTTACAGCTCAACAAACCTGTGAGACGTTCGCAGCTTGTGTCAATTTAGAGTAGATGCCCATATTAATGAGCAAATCAGCCCTCAGCTTTGATGAGTTGCAATTCTCTAGGAATACCCAAATATGCTAGTGAAACTTGTGTCTTAGCTTGGGTGCCCCCACTAGCAGACCTGAGATAAACTTCAGATACAAGTAGTTTATCTGGGATGGGATCCAGGAAGCATGGTGAGGAGCCGGGAAGGAAGAGACAGGGAAAAACAACGCACGGAGATAACGATGCTGGGGGCAGCTGGAGTGCAGTCCTTCTGGGGTCCGTCCAAGAGAATGTGGGCTGCTCTCTAGAAGGGTCCAGAGGCTATGGCATTGAGGCATAGTTCACTCCACTCAGGCAGAGAGTGCAGGTGCTTGGGGTAGGATGCTGTAGGGGGCAGTGACTGTCTCCTGTGGCAGCCTGGAGCTGCACCTCTGAGATGGGCCAAGCACTGGGGCCATGACAACATCTGCTACTTGAGGCTGCTTGAGGAATCAAAGGCATTTTCCCAGCCTGTGGGATTGGGCACTTTTCCAGGGGGAGGCTGAGTCTCTTTCTAGAGATTGAAAACTGCCAATGGGCTCTTGGGCAGCCTGAGAAAAGAGGGGACCATTTTACTGGTCCCATTTCTCAGAAGAGGCCACGGAGGCAAGGCCTAAAGGCTGCATGTGTGTGTGTTTGGGGGACATAAAATAATTCAGTGTTGGTGTCAACCGATCCCCAACTGTGGAACAAGACGTGGGAGATGGCACCTCAGTCTTCCAAGAGTGTTTAACCAATTTGGTGAGATGTCAATCTGATGCACCCTGAAGAGAGTAAGAGTTTTCATCCACCGTAACTTACAAGATCCCACAGTAGCAGGACTGGGGCTAGGTTGAGACAAGTGAGACCCCCAGGAGCTTAGATGTAAGGAGGTGCTCATTCTCAGGGGCGTGCAAGTGTCCCATTACATGACCCTGGCACCACTGGGAAAAGTCAATTGACTCTATAATTAAAGGTTTATTTTTTGACTTTATTCTATTGACCTGCTTATCTAATCTTATACCAATACCATACTGTCTTGAATACTGCAGCTTTCTAGTAAATTTTGAAATCTGGTAGTGTCAGTCCACCAACTTTGTTCTTCATTTTCTTTAAAGTTGTTTTGACTGTTCTAGCTCCTTTGTATTACCATATGAACTTTGGAATTAGCTTGCTCATTTCTACAAGAAGCCTGCTAGGATTTTGATTAAAATTTTTTTGAATTGGCATGGTGCGGTGGCTCACGCCTATAATCCCAGCACTTTAGGAGGCCAAGGCAGGTGGATCACTTGAGGCCAGGAGTTCGAGACCAGCCTGGCCAACATAGCGAAACCCTATTTCTACTAAAAGTACAAAAATTAGTCGGGTGTGGGGGCGCACGCCTGTAATCCCAGCTACTCAGAAAACTGGGTTTGCTGTGAGCTGAGATTGCGCCACTGTACTCCAGCCTGCGTGACAGAAGGAGAGACTCTGTTTCAAAAACAAACAAACAAACAAACAAACAAACAAACACTTAAAATAAAAGAATTGTATTGCATTGAATCTACGGATCAACTTGGGGAGAATTGAAAGCTTAACATTATCTCGTCTTTCAATCCATGAACACCTATATTTTTCTATTTATTTAGGTCTTTAATTTCTACTACAATATTTTGTATATTTAAGTTGATAGGTCCTGCCCATCTTTTATTCAACTGACCATTAAGTAGTTCATATTTTTGCCACTATTGTAATTGTCCACTCCTAGCATGTCCAAATGCAATTGATTTTTCTGTATTTACTTTGCATCTTTTGAAATTGCCAGATACTCTCTTTCTAGCTTTTTTTCGGTGGATTCCTTAGTATTTTCTACTTATGCAATCATATAATCTGAGAAAAAAAGACAAATTTACTTCTTTCTTTTCTATCTGTGTGCCTTTTATTACTTTTCTTGCCTTATTGCACTAGCTAGAACTTTCAGTACAAAGTTGAATACAGTACAAAGTGAGATCACACATCTTTGCTTTGTTCCTGATCTTTGGGGTAGAGTAGTCAGTCTTCTACCATTAACTATGTTGTTAGTAATACATTTTCCGTAGATGCCTTTATCATGTAGAAGAAATTCTCTTTTATTCCTAGTTTGATGAGAGTTTTTTAAAACATCAGAAATGATTGTTGGATTTTTTGCCTCTGTTGAAATGATTACATGTTTGTTTGTTTTTTTCTTTTTCAGAATGTGAATATGTCGAATTACATTGATAGATTTTTGAATGTTAAACCAACCCTGCATTCCTTGGATAAACTCTACATTTCCTAACATAGACTCTTTTATATATTGTTGGGTTTGGTTTGCCAACATTTTGCTTAGGATTTTTTCATCAATGAAAAAATATTGATCTTCCTTTTCTCGGTAATGTCTTTGGTTTTGTTTTCAGATGTCATGCTGGCCTCATAAAGGCTGTTGGAGAGTATTTCATCCTCCTCACTGTCTTGGAAGAATATGATAGAATTGGAAATTTTTTTCCCTTAAATGTTTGGAACAATTCACCAGTGAATGGACCTGAAGTTTTTTTTTGTGATAAGGTTTATAACTGCAAACTCCATTTCTTTAATAGATAGAGGGCTATTCAGGTTATTTCTTGTAGCTTGAACTTTGATAGTTTTGATTTTTCAACAACTTTGTTATTTCATTTAAATTCTCAAATTCATTGGCATGAAGTTGTTTATTCTATTCTCTTATTATTTTTTAAATAATCTATAGAATTTCTCATTTGTCTCATGTGTCCTTCTAATTTCAGACATTTGTAATTCATGTATTCTTTTTTTTTTTTCCTGCTCAATCTGGCTACAGGTCTTTTGCTTTTTTTTTGATCTTTCAAAGATCCAGTTTTTGTTTTCATTTTTGTTGATTGATTTTTTCTGTTTTCTGTTTCATTGATTTTTGTCCCTAGCTTTATTATTTCCTTTTCTCTGCTTACTGTAGTGTTAATTTTCTCTTTTTTCCCCTTACTTTCTTAAGGTGGAGGCTGAAGTCATTGATTTAGGAACTTTCTTCCTTTCTTACACACACATTTAATGCTGTGAATTTCTCTCTATGCACTTCTTTGGCTGTATCCTACAAATTTTGATACATTGTTTTTAAATTTTAATGCAGTTCAACATACTTTCTAATTTCCATTTTGATTTCTCCTTTTAATTTCTAGGTTTTTAAAAGTGTTTAATTAAGTTGCCAAATAATTTGTGATTTTCTAGGTATCTTTCTGTTACCAGTTTCTAGTTTAGTTCCATTGTGGTCACAGAACATAGTTTTCATGACTTGAATTTTTTAAAATTTATTGAGACATATTTGGTTTAGTATGTTCTATCTTGGTAAATATTTTGAGACCAGTTAGAAATAACATGCAATTTGATGTTGTTGGCTAGAGTGTTATATAAATATCAATTAGGTTAAGTTGGTTGATAGTTATATAGTTAATCAAGTTTTCTATTTCCCTACTGATATTCTATTTATTCGTTGAGAGAGGGGTATTGACATTTATGACTATACCTGTGTATTTGTTGATTTCTCTTTGCAGTTTTATAAGATTTTGCTTCATGTATTTGAAGCTCTGTTATTAAGTGCCTAAACACTTAGGATCATTATGTCTTCCTAATGAATTGATCTCTTCTATTGTTAAAAATCAACTCTATCTTTGGTAATATTCTTTGCTCTAAAATGAACTTTGTCATATACATATACATATACATATATATACACATATACATATATATATACACAAACACACACACATATATTTTAGAGAGAGGGTCTCCCTCTGTCACCCAGGTTGGAGTGCAGTGGCAAGATAATAGCTCCCTGCAGCCTTGAACTCCTAGGTACAAGTGATCTTCCTACCTTGGCCTCCCAAGTAGTTGGGACTACAGGCACGCACCACCACGCCCAGCTAATATTTACATATTTTGTGAAGATGGGGTCTTGCTTTGTTGCCCAGGCTGTTCTCAAACTCCTAGGCTCAAGCAATCCTCCTGCCTCAGGCTGCTAAATTGTTGGGATGACAGGTGTGAGGCACTGTGCCTGACCCCATCTATTGCTAACATAGCCATTCCAGTGTTCTTTTGATTATTGTTTGCATCATATATCTTTCCTCATCCTTTTACTTTTAATCTATTGTGTCTTTATATTTAAAGGGGGTTGCTTAGTGTCAGCTTATAGTTGGGGCTTGAATAATAATCCAATCTGGCAATCTCTGCCTTTTAACTGGGGTGTTTAGACAATTTAAAGTTAATGTGATATTAATATATTTGAGTTTAAATTTATCACCTTGCAATTTGTTTTCTATTTCTTATCTGTTCTTTGTTCCCCCTTTCTTCCTTTTCTGCCTTCTTTTAGATTGTTTTTTACTATATCATTTATCTCCTTTGTTGGCTTTTTAATCCATTACTGTTTGTTATTTTAGTAATTGCCTTAGCATTTATAGCATATATCTTCTACTCATCACAGTCTGACTTCAGGTAAAATGATATCACTCTACATATAGTATAACAACTTGAAATTTACTTTCATTTCTTTCCTCCTGGTATTTGAAGTATTACTGTAATACACCTTACATATATATATTGTAATATATATCATCAATATATGTATATATGATATACATATATAATCAACTCCATAATACATTGGTATTGTATTACTTTAAACATTCAGTTATTTTAAAAAGAAGTTTGAAAAATAAAAATGTTCTTATTTATCCACATAGTTACCATTTTTGGTGCTCTTCACTCCTTTGTGTGGATTTGGATTTCTGTCTGGTATTGCTTTCCTTCCACCTGAGGGACTTTCTTTAACATTCGTTGCACTGTGGATGTGTTGGTGATACATTCTTTCAGCATTTGTATGTCTGAAGAAAGCATTAGATCCCTTTGCCTGTGCAATATATTTTTTCTGGGTATAGAATTCTGTGTTTTATTTATTCTTCTTCCAGTGCTGTAAAGATGTTGCTCCACTGTCCTTTGGCTTCTGTCATCTTTATGTTTATTCTTCTTTATGGAAGGTGCTGTATTCTTGTGGCTGCTCTTAAGATTTTTTATTTATCACTTGTTTTATGTTATTTAATCATGAGGTGTCTTGTAGTTTTCTTCACATTTCTTGGGCTTGGTGTTGGTTGAACTTTTAGTTCTGAGGGTTTATATTTTTCATCAGATTTGAAAAAAATTCAACCAATTTTTTTTCAAATATTTTTTCTCTTCCCCTCTTTCTTTGGATATTCCAATTATACAAATTTTAGGCCACCTGAATTTGTCTCAGAAGTAACTGACACTCTGCTCATTTTCTTTTTCATTTATGTTTCTTTGTGTGGTCCTTTTTGGTTAGTTTATATTGTTATGATTTCAAGCTCACTGATTTTCTTTGTTCTGTGTTGCCTAATCTGCCATTAATCCCAGACAGTGTATCTAACAGATTTTTCCTATACGCTGTATATTGTTGAGAGTCTAGATTTTTTTGGTCTTTTCCTTTTTAAAGAGCATCAGGCTTTATTATGACAAGGAGTTAATTTCCTGGGGGATCAGCTTGAGTCACTATTGGCTTGATTTTAAGTTTTCTTGGGGTAGGCATAGAGTACCCTGTACTCTACTGCAGAAATGGATTGTGTGGGCTGTCCACTGACTAAGGGTGTTCGATGACGTCTCCACTCTGGCTGGTCTGAGCTCTAATGTCCCTTAGCACTGCACAACCTCCAGAACCTCCACTTCCCACCTGTGCCCCAGCTCCCCATTACCTGTTCCATGCTGGCCTCACAGAAATGTGCCCCGTGCATAGGCAGCTCAGTATTCAGCCAAACACTGAAGGAGTCCCTTGTGTAGATTTCTGGAGCTCCTTTGTGCAACTACATCCTCTGAAGTTCTCTGCCCTGCAAACTCCAGCTGTCTCAGGGCCCCAAATGTCAACTCCAGTTTCCTCTGCCCAGTGAGAGAACTGTTCTGTTTGGGCTCCACTTTCTTATACCAGAGTTTGCCAAGATCCCCCCGTGGGAGAGCCTGAGTGAGTGTGGGGTTTGCCTATGTGAAAACTTCTCTCAGGGATCACAGCTCTAAGCTGTGTGTTGGCAGCAGTTGCTTCATATAAATACCTAGTTCTTTCATTGTTTATGCTGAGAGAGTAAGTCTACTACCCTTACACCATGAGGGCTGGACCTGGAAGCTTGCTTTTCCATTTTGATATTTAATTGAGGCCGTGTGTTTGCAGCACAGGGAGCATGCTGAAGGATGAGCTCACTGTGCTGCCCTGCCTGGAAGTCCTTTGCAGTTTCCAGGAGTTTCACAGAAGCTTCTCAGAGGTGTTGGCTGAATGACATTTGGCTGCACAGAAGGGCCTTCCGTTTGCCTGCCCTGGGGCTCTGTGGTGTGCCCTTTCCTGCTTTTCCATGGCCTCCACCACTAGGGTCTTCCCAGGAGGGATGAGGCCACCTTCACAGTGTCACCAAGCTCACACTTCACCCACCCTTCCTCTGGTAAAGGGAGGCAAAGAGACAGGAATCTAAATCAGAAAGACAAAGAGTCCCCTGTGATTCAGGAAACCAGCTTTCTCCCAGAATCACCATCCTGGTAGCCTGCTGTGCATGGCTGAGACCAGCTGGTCCAGACCAAGGTGGGTTGGAGGATGACGGAGGAACCAGAACAGCAGTGATGGCTCCCGGGACAGGGCGATCTTGGAGTGTGATAGGGTTTGGCTGTGTTCCCACCCAGATCTCACCTTGAAGCGGAATAATCCCCAGGTGTGAAGGGTGGGGGCAGGTGGAGATAACTGAATCATGGAGGCAGTTTCCCCCATACTGTTCTTGTGGTAGTGAATAAGTCTCGTAAGATTTGATGGTTACATAAACAGGAGCTCTCCTGCACAAGCTCCCTTGCTGGCCACCATGTAAGACGTCCCTTTGCTCTTCCTTCGTCTTCCACCGTGATTGTGAGGTCTCCCTAGCGATATGGAACTGTGAGTCCATTAGACCTCTTTCCTTTGTAAATTACTCAGTCTCGGGTATGTCTTTATTAGCAGCATGAGAGCAGACTAATACAGAGTGTTTTCTCTGGCCCAGAAGCAGAGCAGCAGCTAGGACCACAGGCCACAGGTGGGATCTGTGATGGGGATCCCGACGGGGACTTTTGGATCTTTAGGGGATCAGTAGAAACCAGCTTGGTCAAGGTAAGTGATATTTCAAACCATTACTATTACTGATTTCTACTATTTTGTGGAGTGGCTACTGTTTGTGAACCACCATGCTAATTCCTTTTACCTGCATGAGGTGGGCACTCTTATTATCTCTGTTCTCCAGGTGAGGAAATTGAATCTGAGAGGTAAATTAACCTGCCCAAGGTTACTTAGCTAGAATATGGCTGTGGAGCAGGGATTTGAACTATTAGCCATGACACTGGGTTGCCTTTGTGTTCATTAAGATTAGAAAGGTTTTTAGGTATGAACATGTAGTTGGGGGAAAGGAGAGACAAGGGAATCAGCACCTAATTAACACCTGTAAGAAAACAAATGACAGTGTATTTATTGATCCTTTGGTACACTTTTCTTTTTCTTCACATTTTATCATTTCTGAAATTTGGATTTGTTTTACATAGCTGGTATGTCATGGTTTAATTGGTGAAATCTTTCTCTTTCCTAGTGATGCTTAAAATTACAGCATTTCTTACAATCTATGGCAGGATTGGCAAAACTTTTCTGCAAAGGGCCAGATGGTAAATGTTTTAGGCTTTGTGAACTAAATTGTCTCTGTCACAACTACTCAACTCTGCCGGCCATTGTAGTGTAAAAGCGGTACAGACACCGAGAAACTGAATAGGCATGGCTGTGTTCTAATACAGCGGTATTTGCAAAAATGGGGGAAAGGTGAGATTTGGACTCTTGAGCTCTGGCATCTTGGATTTGCTGAAATATAGGTGTAAAAATCATCATGGCTACATCAGCAACAGCAGTTAGTAGGCACTAAATGATGTCTGATCTTATCTGAGCTTCACTCAGCCCAATATTGCAATGCTATTACTATACCCATGCTCTGAATGAGAAAACAGCTTCAGAGAGCTTAAGGCACCTGCCTTAGGCCCCTCAGCAGTGAGTGGGAGGGAGGGAACTGGATGCAGCCTGTCACCAGCTGGCCCAGGTGGTGACCTCTGAGACTGAGGCAGGCAAGCCCTCTCCAGTAGGATCTCTCACCACGTTCCCCCACCCCAACATCTTATTTACATCCAGCATCTCATGCTGTCATATTCACTTAGGCGTCAGCTGACAATGGGACACACCACTTGTTTTTTTGGAAGAACCACCACCTCGACCCAGCACAGTGGCTCATGTCTGTAATCCCAGCACTTTGGGAGGCTGGGGCAGGTGGATCACCTGAGGTCAGAAGTTCGAGACCAGCCTGGCCAACATGGCGAAACCTTGTCTCTACTAAAAATACAAAATTAGCCAGGCATGGTGGCGCATGTCTGTAATCCCAGCTACTCGGATCACTTGAACCTGAGAGGCGAAGGCTGCAGTGAGTCAAGATTGTACCATTGAGAGCCAGCCTGGGCGACAAGAGTGAAACTCCATCTCAAAAAAAAAGAAAAAAAAAAAAAAGAAAGAAACAAGAACCACCACCTCTTCATCTTTTTGGATTAAGAACCGTGTATGGAAAAAGAATAGAGAAAGGAAACTGACTGTATGCAGATTAAGATGCGCATAGCTTAATCGGCTTGAGGCTCTGTTAGCCTATCACGCATTTGGGTTGGTTTCCAGTCTCCATGAGCCAGGCCTCGTGCTGGTGCTGAAGACGCTGCAGATCCATAGGTCTAGGCCCTGACTGTCAGATAGCTCAGGCCTTTTGGAAAGCAGACCCAGAAACAGGATCTTTCTCTTTGGTGATGGTAGACTCTTGTACAGTCTAGGGAGAGTGGCAAGAGGGGGCAGTGTGAAAACCCCTATCTCAGAGGAAGCCCTTTGCTACGTAGTTTACTTTTGGCTCTGAAGCAGCAGGTGAGGGTCCACGAGGTGATGCAGGACTTGGGCTCTGGGTCCAAGTGTCTGTCCTGCTACTTACAAGCCGACCCTGGCAAGCCACTTTAGCCCCTGTGCTGAGTTTCCTCATTGGTAAAAAGGGCATAGTAATAGCATCTAACTCCTAGGATCACACTGAGGATTCATTGCAAGAAGGTCCTGAGATAGCTCTTACTATCCCAGAGGGGCGGCTGTGAGCTGTTTTTGATCGATGAATTCTAGTCTGTGATTCTACAAGTTCTTTTCTAGATCACGCACCTGATGAATCCAGTTTTCCAGTCTGGGGTTCCACTGTTGTGAAACTACAGCATAAAATAGAAGGAAAGTGCAACTGATTATAAAGGCAACCTCGACCCCCATGGACGCTGTTACGAGTCTTGGGCAATCTGCGTCCGAGGCCAAGGTTAAGTACCTGAACTGGGTCATCAAAGTCAGTGGCTTTGAATGCAGTTCTCTGTCCAGCAGTGTGCTCTAGGGCAAGTTCCTCGGTTTCCCAGAGTGTAAAAGGAAGAATACAAAAGTCCCTGCCTTAGCAGATTGCTATGCGGGTAGATGAGCTAATTCATGGGGAGCCACACTGGCCTGTTGGGAGCGACCCCAGCATGAGCTCTCGGGATTGTCATTACTTTTGTTTGTGGTTGTTCCTGTTGATGATTTAATGAGGTACTGTGCAAAACCACAGTGACCCGCACTGAATAAGTGCTTCATAAATGGTCACCACCACTGTCATCATTACGACTGTTGCTCTCTGCAGTGGGTGTAGTCGCAGCCAGGCACTAACATGTGGGTCTAAGGAGAAGAGCCTTAGATCCGTTTAGATGTGCTGTGTTCCTAGGTTAAGCCAACATGGTAAATGGAAAGTTCCACCAGGAAGAGCCTAGCATTGGAGCAGGCAGCTTGAGTTCACTCTGGGCCTTGTTTCCCCGGGGGTCAGCCCAGCCCAGCTGCTCTCAGCCCTGTACGCTGCCCTGCTTCCCTTGCTGCTGTCTCAGATGCCCATGTCCCCTCCTTCCTCAGCCCCCAGGCTGCAGACCCGCCTCTCCCTGTTCCCTCATTCTCACCATTGTTCCTGGGCCCCAACCCAGCCAGGAGGACAGCAAACAGGATGCTCTGGCAGGAGCAGAGATTAGGCTGGGATTAGGAGTCCTCAGCCTGGAGGGCTTCGGGCTTGTTTAAGGAAAAGGCGGGGGAGCCTGGGGAAGTTCATTGCCCCTGGAAGGAGGCCCACGAGCTGGGCTGAGCCTGGGCGAGTTGCCCTGACCCAGAGAAGAGACTTGAGAGAGAGCTTTGATCAGATTCTCTGGAAGTCTCCCCTGGAGAAAGCCCAGCTCCTCGGCCCCTCCCGTCTGGCCCCGATGCCTCCTTAAGGGCCAGCTCAGACTCCCAGACTGGTTTGTTCTCTGTGGCTCTACCACTCCTCCCAGACCGCCTGGGGGCCCTGCTATCCTCAGCCTCCTCCTAGCCTGCCTCTCTGTGCAGTGACCCACTGCTTCCTCTGCCGTGTGTCCTTCCCGGAGCCTGTGGTGCTGTGGAAGGGGATTTACCTGCTTCTGGTTGCTCTGACTGGGCTGTGTGCTTCTGAAATAGGAACTGCTGAGGGAGGATCTCCTCGTGGGGAGAGTGGGGGCTCTGGAGCCCAGTTTGAACCCTAGCTCAGCTGCTTCTCAGCCTTTGGCAAGCTGCGCTCTGCTCCTCAGCTCTTCTCTCTGTAAAATGAGGATAACATACATCCCTGCCTGGTAGCGTTGTGTGAGGACTTTGATAGGTATAAAGTGCTTAGACTATTACCTGGCACATAGTAGGTGCTCAACAAATGCTGGTTGTTATAATTATTATTATTGCTGCTGCTGTTATTATCATGTCTGTATCCTCCAGAGTCCAGCACAGGCTTGGCCCAAGGCAGGTGTGTGCTATGAACTCGATTAGTAAGCTTGTGCCTTCCTAGCAAGGACCTTCAGCTGTTCACCCCAAAATAGCCTCTGGGTGGGGTTTGTGGATATTAGAGCCAGGGACCCTTACATCTTTTCAGTTATCCCTGCATCCCCAAGGGTTCCCAAGGGCATTAAGTTTTCCACCTCTCTCCCTCCCTCCCTCCCTCTCTACTCTGGTCTTCTCTTTTCTTCCCATTGACATCCTTGTGGGTGTCTCTGATTCTGTCTTTGGACTTAGTTTCTAACAGAGAAACTGATCTTTAAAAAGTAAATAAACTAACTGCTAACTGCCCTTAGGAAGCCCAGGAAGCCCTGAGTGGTGCTGGGGCTCCTTAGCCTCCTGGATCACAGGGCTGAGGATCCTGGCCTGTCCACCAGCGAGTGCCTTCTGCCCTGTCTTCCACGGGACACACGCAGTGCTCTGGGTCCCAAACCAGCCTCATGAACCCGTCTCTCACTGACTTAGGAATGTTTCTTTCATGAGGACCACTGATTTTGCCCAAGGGTCCTGTCCTTGACAAACAAGTCATTTGGTCATGTGTTGGCCCTGGTGAACCATGACTCCTGCAGGATCCAAAGGGGCTGCCCCAGGACGGGCACCTTGGGCAGTGACGTCACAAGCTACCAAATGTCAGGAGACTGGGCAGCCTCAGACAGCGCACTTTGGACTTCATTCTCCTTGGTTCCTAACAATTAGAAAGCTGCAGAAGCATCCACTTGTCTCCACTGGAAGACCTGAGCTTTATAAATAGGTCTTGAAAGCAGCCCCAGGCTCTATCGCAGTTGCCCTTGGGTGGGATGCACACGGAGATGGTCCCTGGCCATTGGGGTTAATCCAGGACAGCTCTGGGAGGAGCCTGTTCTCCACCTTGGTGTTAATATCCATTCCTGGAATCACTGGGCTGGTCACTGACCGGGGCTCTGTGTGAGGCTGTGCTGCTGGGTTCGAGTGTGACTTTGCCACTTACCAGGTAGAGTGACCTTAAACAAGCCTCTTAACCTCTCTGAGCCTCAGTTGCCTCCTATGATACATGGGAATAATAATAGTATTTGTCCTTTAGGATGCTGAGGAGAGCTGACACATAAATAAAAATACATATTATTACTTATATTACTTCTATTATCATTCTAAATTCAAGACCAAACTGGCTATTTAAAACATATTTTTATTAGGAAACTGAGTTCACTTATAATAGTCCTCCTATGAATGGTCTAGCTATAGACCAATTACTCTTTCCAATTCCTTGACCTAGGTGGGGTTTGCCCTGAGTCAGTCTGTAAACGAACTGCATCGCAATTAAACGTTATTATCCAACCACTCAGAGCTGCTTGAGTCAGTGACAGTCACTTGTTCCTCACCCCTACCACCTCCACAAATATCTTTTCTCTTTTCTCATTAGCAGAATGTTAGCTGGTTACAGAGCCATCTGGGCTAAGACTACATTTGCTAGGCAACCTTGCAGCTGGGAGTGACCATGTGGTCATGTATTAGCCAATGGGCATGAGCAGAACCAATGTGGACAAATTTCTGGTTAGGTCCTTAAAGGGGTGGAACCTGCTCTAAACTACTTTTCCCCCCTCCCCAGGAAAGGGGACATGGTGGTTAGTTGTTTGGGGCCATGTAGAAAGGGCTACACCCTAGTGGGGGTGGAAAAATAAGACAGAGGGAGCCTTGGTGCCCAGCACCATAGAACTGCCTTATCATCCATGGATGGTTACCAGGGAGAGAAAGTCACTTCTCTTTTAAGCCACTGTTGTGTTGGACATCTCTACCTTAGCCTGTGTCATGGCTATGTATATTTTGTCCTTTATGACCATATACATGGATGAGCTGAAATTCACAGTGCTGGTTAACAGCTGCACTAAATCACAGAGTTGGCATAAAACTTCATCTTAAAAAAAACCACATTTGAAACTTTTATGAGTGATTTATAGTAAATAGTGTTCCTTTCTCATTCATAAACTTATTTTCAGAAATATATTTTTACAAAATGATTAGACTTATTTCTTTTTAAAAATTGTATCATTTTAAATTTTATGTTTTAAAATACGGCAAATATTTCCTTGTCAAGGTACTTACTTTTATGATTGCCTTTTAAAAAATACTAAGATTTAATTTACGTATATAAAATTCACCTTTTTAAAGTGTATATACAATTCAGTGGTTTTTAGTTTATTCGCATGGTTGTGCAACCATCACCTCAATTCCAAAACTTTATCATCCCTAAAAGAAACTCCGCGCCATTAGCATTCTTGATTTTCTCCTTCCCCCAGCTCCAGGTCAATACTTTTCTACTTCCTGTCTCAATGGGTTTACCTATTATGGACATTTCATATAAATGAATCATATAATATGTGGCCTTTTGTGTTTGGCTTCTTTCACTGAGCATGTTTTTAAGGTTCATCCATGTTGTGGCATGTTTCGGTGCTCCATTTCTTTACATGGTTGAATAATGTCCCATTGAATGGCTAGATCACACTTTTTAAAAATCCATTCATCGATGATGTACAATTGGGTTCTTTCTACCTCTTGGCTATTGTGAGTGAACACTCATGTACAAGTTTTTGGGTGAGCATATATTTTAAGGTCTCTTAGCGACCTTAGGAGTGGAATTGCTGTGTTGTATGGTAACTCTATATTTAACATTTTGAGGCATTGTCAAACTGTTTTCCAAAGGGCCTGCATCCTTTTAGATTTCACTAGCAAGGTATGTGGGTTTCAGTTTCTCCACATCCTCACCAACACTTGTTATTGTTCATCTTTCTAATTACAGTAGGTGTGAATGTGTGTGGTGTGAAGTATTATCTCATTGTGATTTTGATTTACTTTTCCCTAATGACTAATAGTGTTGAGTATATATATATATGCTCTTTGTGTATTTTCTTTAGAGATATGTCTATTTGATTCCTTTACCCAAGTTTTGATTGGGTGACTTTGTTGTTAATTTGTAAAGAGTTCTTTGTAGATTCTGGATACAAGACTCTAATCCAATACATGATTTACAAATATTTTCTCCCATTCTGTGGGTTGTCTTTTCACTTTCTTGATCATGTCCATTGAAGCAAAAAAGGTTTTAATTTTGATGAAATACAATCTATTTTTTCAAAGGCTCGTGCTTTAGCTGTTAAAGCTAATAAACTGCTGCCAAATCCAAAGTTAGGGATTGTGTTGAATCTGCATATCAATTTGGGGGGTATCACCATTTTAGCAATATTAAGCCTTTCAATCCATGAACATAGCAACTATTTAGGTTTTAAAAATTTTCTCTAAGTAATATTTTATAGTTTTTGATGTATATGTCTTGAACTTTTTTGTTAGATTTATTTATAAGTATTTTATTTTTCTGATGCTATTGTAAGTGGAATTATTTTATTGGATTCATTTTTTGGATTGTTCATTGCTAATGTGTGGGAGTACAATTGATTTTTGTATATTGATCTTGTACCTTATAATCTTTCTGAACTTGTTCATGAACTCTCATAGTTTATTGGCAAAATTCTTAGGATTTTATATATGCAAGATCATGTCATCTTCAAATAGAGGTGGCTTTACTTCTTTCCTTATAGATGCCTTTTATTTCATTTTTTTGGTCTAATTGCTTGCTAGAACCTCCAGTACAATTGCAATGGCAAAAGTAGACATCCTTGTCTTGTTCCTGATCTTATGGGGAAAGCACCCAGTCTTTCACGATTAAGTATCATATTAGCTTAGACTTTTTCATAGGTGCCCTTTATCCAGTTGAAGAAGTTTCCTACTATTTAAAGTGTGTTGAGTATTTTTGTCTTGACAAGTATTTTTGTCTTGACAGGAGTATTTTGTCTCAATTTTATCAGATACGTTTTCTGTATCTACTGAAAAGATCAGGTGATTTTCCCCCTTAATTCTATAATATGGTGTGTTACATTGTTTTTCATGGGTGGCCACTGAAATGTCTGCTCAGTTAGCTTACTGGGGAGCTCAAGAGTGGACAGACATTTCCTCAAATGCCTGGACTAATAAGTCTCCCAATTTTTGCCACAGTACTCTGTGTGCATGCTGGGCATACTTTCAATACTTGGTCAGGAAATTGGCAACTCTGCCCTAACTTTCACTTTCTACTTGCGTAGACCCTCAGGTCATACAGAATTGAGAGCACAGAGCCTTCTCAAGTCTCTCCTGAGCATGCCTACAGCCCTACACATGCACGGGGCTTTCTAGATTCTCAGGAATATGTTGGAACTTTGCAAAGCCCCTACGGACATCTTATTTGCCAGTTTTTTCTTTTTAAATTTTTTGGTTAGCCCACACTTTTCCCAACTGTTGCTCACCATCTTAGGCAGTCAGAAAGCTAAGCAGTTACTTTTAATTGTTTTCAGCAAATGCTTAGACTTTTCAAAGTGGGCAAAATTCAAGTAAGACCTACAGTTTACTTGCTATGGGTTGGCAAATACATGTCAGTTATTCATCATTACAGTATCTTACACAATAGTTTCACGACCCTAAGAATGCTCTTCATTCATTCCTACCCCCTACCTTTGAACCTCTGGCAACCACTGATCTTGGTCAGAAGGCAAGACAACCTTGCAAGTAGAGTTCTCCAGGGACCCACCAGACAAGTCAAGTCGTAACAGTTCTCTGGGAATGAGGTTTGAAGGGGCTACAATCTTGTTTTGTCCCCTACAGTAGCTGTCAGGCCACCGGTTTTTACCCTGATTGCAGGGCTGATTTCAACCTGATTTCAAGGCTAACTCAGAGCAGAAGAGAAGGGGATGGAAATACGGAAAGTTAAAATGCCATGAAGCTCCCTGTTCTTACTGAAATTCAGCCTTTCTTCCTGAATGCATGCAATCTAGATTGCTTCAAGCCTTTGGTTAATTTCCAGAATTCTGAAAAAGTTGATTCCGGAATTTTTGCCAGTTTTTGTCATGAGTTTCATGGAATAGAGAAGTTTCCATTCCTGCTGCTACTTCTATGATTTCCTTTTATTCATGGTAAATGAATCTGAATATCCATTTTTGATGATTATATCAAGCTTCCCTTTTAAATAAATGTATGTATGTTTTAAAAAAGTGAGTGGAGGAAGCCAGTCTGAAAAGGCTACATACTATGTGATTCTGACTCTATGACATTCTGGGAAGGCAAAACTATGGAGACAATAAAAATATTAGTGGTTGCCAGGGGTTCAAGGGTAGGGGGTAGGAATGAATGAGTGAACAGAGAGCATTTTTAGGGTGGTGAAACTATTCTGTAAGATACTGTAATGATGGATATATGACATGAATTTGTTAACCCATAGAACGGTACAACACAGAGTGAACCTTCAAGAAAACTGTAGGCATTAGTTAATGATAATGTATTAGTCTTGGTTCATCAAGTGTACCACATGTACCAAACAAATGCAAGATGTTAATAATAGGGAAAATGTGTGCAGGGAGGAGGTATATGAGAACTCTCTGTACTTTCTGTTCGGTTTTTCTGTAAATCTAAAACTGCTCTAAAAAATAAGACCTACTAAAACTTTTAAAAGGGTTGATTTTAGGAAATATATTTGGCATAGAATGATAGGTGGTGTAAGAGTATGGCAAAAATCATGTGGGAGGTATGTGGGTGACTGACATTTGGGAAACATGATGTAAGAAATATGTGTTAAGACTGGGGTCTCTGTAATGCAAGAGAATGGATAAAGGACTTTAACACATGAATCAAAACAAAGATTATTTAATATGCAACACCAAGTACAGCTGGTTGTGAGTGTTCTCTGCTTCCAAGGTTAAGAATGACTTGGGAAAATAACAGGAGACCAGAAAAAAAAAAAAAAGACAAACATCTAATACAAGGCATCCACTGGCCAACAGAAAAGCTCACCGGGAGTTGAGAGAGGAGACAGGTAAGACTTGTTGGAAAGACCCAGTGAAAAACCAAGGAGGCTGTGAAAAGCATGAATTGGACGATAAGAATCTTTTAGCTTCCCAAGAGGGCTCTAACCACCTGACATTGGCAGGCTTCATGCTTCTTGCCAGTACCATGGACAGCAGCCAGAAATAGCTTCATGACCCAGCAGGCCAAGGGTTTCTTGTCTTCATTCCAGGTTGTCTGGTTTTGTGTTAGTTTCTGCTTGGAACACAAGGATGAGCAAGGAGTTCATCTGCTAGTGGGCGACCTGACCCTCTCACAAGGAGCTAAACATGAGGCCAGGAAGCATGGGGTGCCCTGGATATAGCTTAGGAATGCTCAGTCCAAACTACCACTTGCCCAAGGTCACAGATCTAGGGACAGAGCATTGCCCCTCTTGGAGTCTCCCTTTCCTCTTCTGCAAAAAGAGTTTGATCCTCAACCAAGCCTGTGAGTGGCACAGAGTAGGTGAGGACAGATATTCAGTGAAAGGCCTTCCAAAGCATCCTTCCTTGGGAGCAGGGCAGTGACCATGCTTATCTTGTTTGGTGCTGTATTTTGCTTCCTAGCACAACATCTGGAACATAGGTGACACTTCAGCAAATGTTCAAGGGAGAAAGAAAGGAGGGGAAGGAGGAAAGCTTGCTCCTCTCCCTGTGCTCGGCCTGTAGTACAGGACCTGACACCCAGGACTCCACCGCCTCATCCCTCCTTCCTGCACAGCCGTGGCTCTCTTACAGACAACAGATGCGAGGCTTAGGAGGCAGCCTTATCTTGGAGATCGAGACCATCCTGGCTAACACGGTGAAACCCCATCTCTACTGAAAATACAAAAAAAAAAAAAAAATTAGCCAGGCGCGGTGGCTCACGCCTGTAATCCCAGCACTTTGGGAGGCTGAGGCGAGTGGATCATGAGGTCAGGAGATGGAGACCATCCCGGCTAACATGGTGAAACCCCGTCTCTACTAAAAATACAAAAAAAAAAAAAAGCCAGGCGTGTTGGCTGGCGCCTGTAGTCCCAGCTATTTGGGAGGCTGAGGCAGGAGAATGGCATGAACCCGGGAGGCGGGGCTTGCAGTGAGCCGAGATTGCACCACTCCACTCCAGCCTGGGCGACAGAGCAAGACTCTGTCTCAAAAAAAAAAAAAAAAAGGAGGCAGCCTTATCTTGCTATTTGACTCATCTTTGGCAGTGGATGGAGCTCACGAGGGGCTGTAGGAGGCTTATCCCCAGGGCAGGGCCCACTATGAGGCATGGAGGGGAAGGAACCTTGAGCATGTCCCTTCACTCCGTCTCTCAGCCCGGGAGCCTGCCTTTCAGAATCGGTTCAGAAGCATTGCTCCCACTGTATTTCTAATTGAAGACACCTGGTGAGGCCCAGTCCCTGGGGAGTCTGGTTTGCAGGAGGCCAGCCCGCCAGGCTTTTGTGATGAAGTCACAGACCCTTGATGTATTATTCAGCCTGGCTACCAATCAATGCCAGATGCCATCCATCCTCCGCTGGTTCCCCTGCAGGGCCCTCTGCTGTTTTGGAAGCAAGTGCTAAAATCTAAGGAGAAAGAGTCTGCCTTTGTCTCATCGCAGCATAAATACCTGGCCCCAGTTGCCGGGGAGTAATGTTTGTTCCACATTGACTGATTTTGTTATTTTCGGTTTTCTTGCTGGGTGTGTCATCTCTTGCCCTTTTAGCCTTGGTGAGGGAAGAAGCTAACTTTCTCAGCTGCAGGTAAAAGTAAGGCTAGCTCAGACTTTCAGCAAAGTTGTGTCTAGTTTTGTTCCCACATGTAGAAGAAAATGTGATCAAAATGGACATGCCGTGGAAAAAAAATCAGAAATGTCTCCCAGGTACTGGCCAAATACCTGCAGTGTACAAGGTGTGAGAGAAGTCATGTGTGGTGGGGGTTGGGCACTGCAGGAGGAGTCAAGGCCTGGATTCCCATCCTATCTCTGCCACCTCTGAGCTGGGGTGACTTTGGCCAAGTCATTCAGTTTCGTTTTATAGATTCAGCCACTGAGGCACGAAGTAAGATGAATCCTATCTGCCCATGGGGCTTTTGTGCAGACAAAATCCAGCAGCAGCTTCTGCAGCACGTGCTGGGTCAGGCTGGCTTGGCTCTGTGGTCTGGCGGCTATGTGACTCTGGGAAAGTGACTTCTCCCCTGTGTGTCTCAGTTTCCTCATCTATGAGACAAGGATAATTATTGCACCTCCCTTCCAGAGTGGTGAGGGTGAAATGCATTACTCTCTGGAAAGCACTCAGAACAGTGCCTGGAATACAGTAAGTGCTTAATAAAGGCTGGCTTCCGTGATTAATAGTAGTATTAATGCTGCTAGTTAAAGCTACTGGTAGACAATTTCAATAACTGTTCCACTCACGGCAGTGAATGTTATATTCATGATCGAATCCCATCTTCACAACAACCCCAGAGGGAAGGAAATGGGGCCTCAGGAGGAGGAAGGTCTGAATTTCTTGCTCCTCATTGTGTAGGTGTCAAACAGCTTTCCTGGTCTGGCCGGAAAAATAAGCACAAAGTATGAAAAATAATGGCACTGGACTCTGCATTATCTAGGACCATAGGTGCTAATATGAGCCCGCACATTAGCAGTGGCCCAGCTATTGGAGTGGGCTCAGTACGCCCAATCCTGGCCCTCTGTCCCGTGCTCCTGTCTGCCAGGAACCTGCAGGGGCTGCATCCTCTGGCTCGTCAGGGAGACGCCTGGCCCCTGGAGCTAATGTGTCCCTCCTCATCCCTCCCATATGGACTTGCTTTGTTCCCTTATGCAGTTGTATTATCTGACTGTTCTTTCTCATCTATGTGTTTAGTTGTTTATCTTCTATCTTCCCCGTGGCCAAGTTTCATGAGAACAGGAACCATGTTTTATGTTTTATTCCCCTCTGTATCTTTAGAGCCCAGAAGCATCCTTGGCACACAGTAGGTGCTTATGAAACTGATTAAACGGATGCCTGACTCTCCTGGGAGTGCTGTGTAAGCTGCTGTGGGTGTGGCCTGGCGAGGAGGGGTAGGGTCTGGAGAAAGCAGGGGACATTTGGGCTGTTCAGCTTCTGCCGGCCTGTCCAGACCCTCTCGCCGTCCTTCCTCATCCTCCTGCTGCCCTGGGAGGAGGCTGGCCTGGGAGGACCATGTCAATGGGTTCTTGTGAACTCTGGCCTTCAGTGGCATTTGGCCAAAGGCCTAACATTCATGTGCAGGCTTAGCTGTGATTAGCAAGAGGAACAGGGAAAGGCATGCATACTCTGTCTTCCCGAAAACAGAAGTCATTATTTTAAGATTCTCATTCTTTCTCCCTCCCTTACTGAGTTGAGCAACACAGAGGTGAGAAAGTAGGCATGAAGCCACTTTGTAAATGGAGTGCCCCATGAATGTACTAAGTTATTACCAATGATAACATCGGTCACACTGCTCAGCATTTAGCTACTGCCTGCTGTTTACCTAGTGCGTGGTCCTCCTCCCCACGACTGCTACTGGGGCCCTGTCTTCTGCCCCTGGGGGAGGCACCCTCAGGGGATCATTTGCCTTTGGGCTGGGGGCTGGGGCAGTGGCTTTGGTGCCCCTAGACCTGGGTTTGAATCTTGGCCTCACCTCTGTCACCGTGAGGCCTGAGGCACGATGTTTTTACCTTCCTCTCCATCATTTCCCCTCCTGGAAAATGGGAGCCATGATAGTCCATTGTCATGAGCTTGCAAATGGGTTGGCCTGGAGGTGCAGCCTGTGGAAGCCACCTGTTGTTTCCTGTGTACCCTGGTCGACAGGCCCTGCAATGCACAATGCTGTTTTCCATTTTCCCCTTGCCGGTCACTTCTGTATTTTTCCAGAAAGAGCCTAGTCTGCTTTGACCCTCAGACTCTGGAACCCAGAGCTCCAAATGCAACTGCCCTCCGTCCTTCCCCTTCTCTGCTCCCCCAGTTTCCATCTGCCTGATGAATCCTTCTAATAAGCCACTGGGGAACACCGGCACCTGGGGCTATGGTGACTGCATCTGCATTTGCCTCCACTCGTCTGTACTCTGCTGGTGCCTCTGGGCCTCGGAAGGCCCCCAGGTTTGGAAAAATCAATGACAGCACACTGCTTTGCCCCTGGCACTCACAAACTCTGGTGAATATTCCCTCATGGACTCTCTTTGGGCAGAAGCCTGATAGCTGAGCTCTTCTGTGAAACACTCACCCCGGGGGCTGGAAGGCTGCCCCCAACCCAGGCAGTGGGGACGCAGAAAAGCTCTTGGCTGTAACCCCTCCCTCTGCTGCACACCCTCCTCAGATGGCTCTTTCTTCTCCAGGAAGGACTGGGGCTCCTTGTGGCCCAAATAGTCCAAAACACCCCTTTCAGCACCACACGGCCTCTGTGCTACTTCCCAGAGGGCTGAATGACCTTTTTACAATGCAAATCTGATCCGACCACCCCAGGTTTAAAACACGTCAATCTTAGGATAATGACCAAAACCTTTGCTCTTGCCCAAGCGTCTCTGCACAGTGGTCCACCCTGGCAACTCCCCAGCTCCATGACATAAACTTTCCTGCCCCCTACCCCCATGCCAGCCTTCCCTCTCCTCCCCAAAGCCTCCCCGAGAGCCTGCACCTGTGCCTTCTCCTCACCCAGGCAACCCCACCATCCCCCCGGATCCTAGGAGCTCATCCTGGAGGAACACCCCTTCCTGACTTGCTGCCCGGGGCCCCACCCTGCCCTGACATCCTCTCATGGGTTGGGGCAGCTCCCTCTTTTAGCAGGGATTTCAGCTGCAATATTTAATTTACTTCTTTGATCCCTGCATTGATGTCTGTCCCTCTCAGCTGGACTGAGAGGGAGAACGTGGAGTCGTCATCGGGCTCTTCAAAAGCAGCTGCTGAAGTGGAATTTGGGGCCTGACATATTATTAGGGACCAACAGCTGTCAAAGGAAGTGGACGGGAGAAGCAGGAATAGCAAGAGGGCCGGGGGGTGGGTGGCTGAGGCCAGCTGGCAAGAGGCTCAGCCGGCAGCTGATCCTGCCCTCCCAGC
The DNA here is from genome assembly GCF_000001405.40 of Homo sapiens. Taxonomy (NCBI): domain Eukaryota; kingdom Metazoa; phylum Chordata; class Mammalia; order Primates; family Hominidae; genus Homo; species Homo sapiens. The sequence goes on along the minus strand of NC_000020.11, from coordinate 58,043,427 downwards.
CCAGCCTTCGGGCCCAGCCTGCCCCAGTCTGTGCCCGGCAGCCCCAGGAAGGGGTGACCTTTTGAAGGACACTCCCACAGTTGGGCAGTCCTTCCTTGAAGGGGGCCTGGGGCACATGGCCCTGCATGGCACGCATGGTGGATCCAGGTCTGCATCCATAGCTCACAAGGGGACGTCAGTCCAGCTGGGTGCCCCTATTTCTGCCCTGGGGTGTGGGGCAGATGCCTATTTTCTCATTTCCTCATGGGCACCATGTGCTCTGGCAGCTGCCTTGGTGTCCTGGTGGAGAGAAGTGAGCAAAACCCTTCACCCCTGTAACTAGGGTTCCCAAACCATGTCCAGCTGCCCAGTCTGCCCCCTCTTGCCAAGAGTTGATATCCAACAGGTTGGTGGTCAGTTACAATTCCATGCCTCTGTTGGTTTCTTTGATTAAAAGGATCTTCACTCTTGCTTCATTTTTCAAATCTATCAGTTTCCTTGCCCCAGCCCCACATCTGCCTGTACACTAGGGACTGGCTCATCCCTGTCACTCTTTCCACCACCAACACAAAATTCTTCTTGTCTTTTCAGATGTGGCAATAGAACTTGCAAAAGTATGTGTTTGTCTTTTTCACAGTTCTGGGGAGGAGCAGAGTGGGAAAGCCCAGGAGCTCAGCTCTCATTTCCCTCTGCATTTTCAATTTGCATCATAAGCATCAAAGGACTTTTTCCTTCCCAAGGAGATTTCTGTTAGTAATATTATCTTGGCCAGCCAGGAAAGAGGAGAGAAGATTTCTCTAAGCCCAAACCCAAGTATATCTGAGTGTACTTCTCTCTCATCCCCCTACGGCTCCCCACTAGAGATTTAAATGCAATATATGCCAACTTCATTTCTATTTGAAAAGTGACTTTCATTCCAAACATATCCCATAACACTTTACACAGTTAAATAATCACATTTACAAAAATGTGAAATGGGAGATAAAGCAACCTGGATCAACTGTAGCATATCATAGAGTGAAGCAGGAGAGAGGAGGGTGTTTTGCAAAAATTGCCAGGTAGAAAACAGAAAAATAGGAGCTGATAATTAACTAGAGATTAATTTTTTTACTGGCCAATTTTGAAAATGTTTTAAATAGCCAATTAACTAGCTTAAAAGAATCCCCTTGTTTAGCTAAGACATTTCAACCCCTGCAGAAGTTGGGAATAGTAGCCACATCAGCTCCTATTGCAATAACTACTGTTTGTTGAGCACTTACTGCATCCAGGTTCCTTATACATGGTGTGTATTCCGTTTTCATGCTGCTGATAAAGACATACCCAAGACTGGGCAATTTACAAAAGAAAGAGGTTTAATTGGACTTACAGTTCCACATGGCTGGGGAGGCCTCACAATCATGGAAGAAGGCAAGGAGGAGCAAGTCACATCTTACGTGGATGGCAGCAGGCAAAGAGAGACTGCAGGGAAACTCAGATCTCATGAGACTTATTCACTATCACAAGAACAGCACCAGAAAAACGCACCCCTATGATTCAATTACCTCCCACCAGGTCCCTCCCACAACACATGGGAATTCACGATTTGGGTGAGATTTGGGTGGGGACACAGCCAAACCATATCATGGTGCAACCCTCAAACAACCCTGTGGAGTTGGGATTCAATTTCTATTTTACAGACAAGGGAACTGAGACAGGGAGCTGGCACCTGCCCACTGCCAGCATGGCTTATGTCCACACTCCCTCTTCTGCTCCCCCATTTAATGTTTGTCTGAGCCTAGAAGAATCTACCAGTCTCATTCCTGATTGTCCGTTCTGGCTTGGTCCTTATTCTAGACTCATAGGAAGCCATGAGCCCACTGAGGAGCTCCTCCAATAATTTCCTTGGTGGGTGACACCTGGGCTGAAATCCAAGGTCTGGTGTTTGCATGCCATGTGATCCCAGGTAAGGAACCTGGGAGATGGAGACAATGATCACCTTGTTGGGTTTTTCTCAAAAATGAGATGAATAATAACCATGTCTGGTACACTGCTGGCAGTAATTTTTATTAATATGGCTCTTCACATGTTGAAAGATGCTTTTGACTTCAAGGAAATGTTAGATACGTCATGATATTGAACAGGAGCATCCCAGCTACCCTGGCTAGTGTTTTTCACAGTATGCTGAGAGTCCCATGAAAGGCTTGGAACACACACAGATTCCTAGGTCCCACTCGAGGCCTCTGAGTCTCAATAGTAGGGGCAAGGCCCCAAAGTCTGCATTCTCAAGGGTCTCCCCAGGCTGGTGATTCTTATGCCTGCCCAGGCTGAGAACCCTGCAGCATCACAGGTCCGTGGGGACAAGGCCAGTGCTGGGTCAGTGGGTTAACCTGGCAGAAAAGAATGCTGAGTCGAAGGGCCTTGGAATGCAGAATCTCCTTCAACCCCCGTAGCAGCTGATGTCACAGGTCTTAGCCCGGCAGAAGGAGGATGGAGCAGGCCAAACAATGCCCACTGGGCTGAGGGCTTTGCTTCCCTTGCAAAGCACAAGACGTGAAATAATGATTAACTCTTCCCACAGCCAGGGAGCAGGTGGTGACCTCGTTACCCCATCACCTTCCCCAAAGTCAGCCTCAACTATCCAAGCCCGCTCTCCATTTAACTTCCAAATAGTCACAGAGCTGCAAGTTTAGATGGAAAAAGTTAAGCCCTCAGTGCAGCGAGTTATCAAGTGAAGGCAGTGAGGTGTTGAGGAAAGAACGGGAACTTCAGAAGCAGCCCCCGTCACTGCCGCATCAGCACACATGCCTCAGGTACCTGCTATTGGCTCCGTGCAGGCCTCTCAGGAAGGAGTGGTGGACATGAAAGATGTGGTCCCTGCTCTCCCTGTGGGATTTAGAATCTAGTGTGTGCATGTGTGTGTGTGGGGTGGGGGGTGGGGGTGTGTAGGGATACCAACACGTCACAGAGGACTTACGGCATGGTCTGATAAGTGCTAGGAGAAAGATGGAAGCAATAGAGACTAGGATGCTGGAAGGACCAGAGGCGAGGGAGAGAGGGAGGGAGAGGGAGAGAACGTGAAGGAATGAGAATCACTGGGGCGTGGTTGAACATCAGGCTGCTAAGGCAGGTGAGGGTGGGTGATAAGATCCTTTGGAAGCCACATCAAGGAAACTGTACTTTCTCCCCCAGAGCACTGGGGAGCCACGGAAGGATACTAAGCCTGGCAGGGGCATGATCAGATTTGAGTTTTAGGAAGGCGCCTCTGACTGCAGGGTGGTGTGTGGATTGGAAGAAACAAGGGCAGAGGCGGGGTTAGGATCTTCTAGGTGAGTGTGGGCATGTCCTGCCTCCCTTCTCACTGGCCGCCTGGCCTCAGTTCCAGGGAAGGTCACTCGCCTCACTCGGGCATCACCGCCTCTTCTGTGCAGGAGTTTTGGGAAGACTAAATGGTCACGCATGTCCTGGCCTGGCACACCATGTGCGTCATAAATGGCAGCGATTATTCTGTGGCTGCTCTTGGCTCCGTTCAGGGCCGGGCTGTCTGGGGGACCTCCTTGATGTCCTTGTTTGTGCCTCGGGGGCTGGACACGGCCAGCCCACGCTGGCGTCGGGATCTGCCAGCTCTTCTGTGCCCAGATAATCACTTCCGCACCCGAGGGCTCGGCGTTGGTGGTGGCTGCTCTCTGCTCTCTCCTGACAATGGCCTTTCTTTGCAGAAGCCCCTGTGCGGCCCACACTCCCCCGGGAGCCAAGCCCTGGCCATTCTCACAGAAACATGTCTTTAATAGCTGGCTGTGACACTCGCTTCTGGAAGGGCCGTGAACTTCCCGCAGTCCAAGGGCAGGGTTTATGAGACAAAGGGGGATTTTAGAGCCGATGGTCAGGCATCCCACAGCCCTGCTGTCCTCTTCCCAGGCCCTCCCTGGGTCCGTCCTCTTTGTTCAGGGTTCAAGACCAGAGGCTGCCAACTTTCTAACTGAAGCTCTGGCAGTGGCAGCTGGTCAACATCCTAATAGCTCAACAAGCTGGAAAAAAATGAGAGAGGGGCCACGCAGAAGGCAACAGGACTGAACTCAATTAACTGTTCACTCAACAACCCCCTGGCAGAGGGTGAGGCGGGATTTCAGGGGTGCTGGAAAGAGATTCTGTTTTTTTAAAATCTGGATAACACTGGGCTGCCTGAGACCCTCAAAGGGTGGGCTTTCACAGGGAAAAATCTCTCAAGTCTTCAGACACTTCTTGGGAGCTGGGAACTTCAGATGAAGCTGGCCAAGGAAGAGGAAATTCACCACTTCGGAGAACAATGCAAATAATAATTTATCAGCACAGAGGAGGCTTCCATCTTTTCCCTGGCTCACTGACTGCTTGTGTGGCCTCAAGGTGTTGCTCACACAATTCCAACCTGAATCCACAGTTCGGATTCTGGCTGTGAGCTACCAGGTGAATGATGCCAGGGAGCCGGCCCAGTCTTGAGCGTCCGCAGCCCCTTTTGCTGGCCGAGGTGTTGAAGTGAAGATGAAATGCACTAACGAAAACCAAGAGCTGAGTAGTAACGATGTGATAATAAGTGTCATGAATGCATGGGTTCACGTTGGCATATGAAACAAATATGGAAGGGCACCTCCCACGTGCCAGTGGAATCAAGACCTGTGCCAGGTGCCAGGAAGTGCCAGGTGCCAGGAAGAAGCATTGGTAGGAAGAAGTGTTGGGGTGGAGGAGGGTGGTCAAGGATGGTGGTCGGTGTGGTTTAACTGAGGAAGGGACCCTTGAACTTGGTCCTGAAGGCAGTAGATGAGGACAAGCCATGAGGACCCTGGGGAGAGATTGTTCGGGGCAGGAGAGTCTGCAGGTGCAAAGGCCCTGGGGTAGGAGAAAGTGTGGTGTGTTTGAGGATCAGCAAGGGGGCTGAGGGGCAGGAGTGGGGTGAGTGGGAGAGCATGGAGGAGGTGAGGTCAGAGAGGTGACATGATGGGGAGCGTGGGGGTGCAGGGCCTGAGAGCCATGATGAGGACTTTGGCTGTCAGAGAGAACGGGAAGCCAGCAGGGGTTAAAGACACTTGTCATTGAGCACCTGCGGTGTGCCATGCCCCAAGCCAGCCTCTAGGGATCCAAGCGTGGGCAGGCAGAGCCCAGGGGGTACTTTCCTCCCAAGGCCTCCAAGGCCATCTTTGAGCACTGCCTCACTGGATCCTCCCAGCCCCTGTGCAGCAGCTCACACCCATTTGGCAGCTGAAGAAACCGTGGCCAAAGGGGTGGGCTGACTCCCTGTGCCCGGTGTTTGGTGTTGCCCCCCAGACCCCAGTTTCTCCTCGTGCTCCATGTCCTCGAGTCTATTTTGGTGCTCTGAGAACAGTCTTCCCTGCATTTCCTGTACTGACATCCTGTATTGTTGCTCATGATTTTTTCTGCCTCAACACACCTGCTACTGGTAAATAGCACTTTTTTGTTTTTGTTAAAGGGAGGGGTGTTTAGGAGGATCCTGTTTTTGTGAATCCAACACTGCTCTATCTCCAAATCCTATACTACCTGTGACAAGCTGGGTGGCGTTCTGTTCCAACTCACTTCAGGGGCTGGTGGGTGGTTGTCGTAATTTGAGGGGCATGTCCCAGGACTCTCAGGTAGGAGAGCAGGTTGCAGCCTCTGTATTTCTCCCCAGACCAGCAGGCTCCATGGTGATGAAACACCAGTGGGGTATACCCAGCAATGTCTCTGCCCACTTACAGGGGCCATGAGGATGCAGCCCAGGGGCCTTAGGCCAACAGGTGGGAAGGGGATGATGAGGTTTAATGAATGAGTCTATTGCTTTGTGAAAGAAACTGAGGCAAAAAATGCCAATTATTTCTCCCCTTGTGGAATGTTGGAATGTTCTGGATACACATGCCGGCTGCTTTATTCGATAGGTACATATGGATGCCCTTTGTATTCCAGTCACTGTTTTAGGTTCTGGGAATATAGTGGTTAATAAGACAGAAAAATCCAAATGTAGACATCTTTCTCTTCTGGGACATCCAATTAAAAGCTTTAAGATTAAACAAGTAAAAAATAGACATACTTCTTTTTTTCCTATTAGAAATACCACAGTGGAAAATATGGAAAGACACAAAGGAGAAAGTGAAAGTCATTCAGAATCCTTTTCCCCAGAGATGACTACAGTCACTGTTTTCAGCATTTTTTTTTTTTTTTGAGACAGGGTCTTGCTTTGTTGCTCAGGCTGAGTGCAGTGGCATCATCACAGCTCACTGCAGCCTCGACCTCCTGGGCACAAACCATTCTCCCACCTCAGTCCCTAAGTAGTTGGGACTTCAGGCACACGCCACCCAAGTCCGGCTAATTTTTGTATTTTTTGTAGAGACAGGGTTTCGCCATGTTGCCCAGGCTGGTTTCAAACTCCTGAGCTCAAGACATCCACTCGCCTCAACGTTCCAAAGTGTTGGGATTACAGACGTGAGCCACAGCACCTGGCCTATTGTAGCATATTGTCTTTTATTCATTCAATGTATGTATTTTCAGTACCATTAAGATAATTCTGTGTATGTAGCTTTTAAACCTTTTATTGTAAAACAAAGCATTAAGAAACCCACATGAAACAACTGTATAGCTAAAGAGTTACCATAAGGGGAACACCCTTGCAGTCTCACCTGGGTCAAGAAAGACAACTTTGCCTTCTATCCCCAAAGACCCTCCAGGTATCTTAATCCCAATCCCATCCCCACTCCTCCAAAAGTAACGATTATCCTGACTTTTACAGCAATCACATTCTTGTGTTTCTTTTTGGTTTTATGACTCTAGTGTATATTCCCAGCCATTATAGTTTGGTCTTGCCCATTAAAAAAGGTGTTTTTTTTTCAAGTCTCTCTTCACCTGCAGTTTCCTCCTCCACTTCCCCAGCTCTTTGCCCATCTATAATTTGTTAGAATCTACAGAAGAGCCCAAGAAAATTGACCTGTAGAATTTCCCATGGTCTGAGGTTGGCTGATTGCAGACTGCGGGTGCAGTTTAACATGTTCCTTTGTTCTTGGTGTATTCTTCAGATTGGCAGCTGGTCTAGAGGTTTGATCAAATTCAGGTTCAATCCCTCTGGCAAGACCACAGATGACGTGTTCTTTCATAAGAGGCACGCGATGCCTGTCTCTCTTTCTCTGATGTTAGAGGCTATTGATACCCGATGTTTAGATCCATTAATTCATTGGGGGTTGCAAAATGGTCATCTTCTAATTTTATCATTCCTTTTTCACTTAATAGCTAGATTATTTTTAAAAAGAGACATGCCCTCTCATCTACTATTTGATTGCCCAGTGACACAGCTCACAAGAGACAAGCAAGATAAATGCTCGATTCTTTCTCTTCACACATCAATTTTCAAAATAATGAGTTGATTCCCTATCATCCTCCACAGATTTACTTTTATACGTATTATAAATTTAAACATATTAATGTTTTTTTTTTCTCGGAGTCTCACTCTGTCACCAGGCTGGAGTGCAGTGGTGCCATCTTGGCTCACTGCAACCTCTGCCTCCCCGGTTCAAGAGATTCTCCTGCCTCAGCCTCAGGAGTAGCTGGGACTACAGGCATGCACCACCATGCCCAGCTAATTTTTGTAGTTTTAGTAGAAACAGGGTTTCACCATGTTGGCCAGGATGGTCTCAATCTCTTGACCTCGTGATCCGCCTGCCTCAGCCTCCCAAAGTGCTGGGATTACAGGCGTGAGCCACCGTGCCAGGCCTGATGGGTTTTAATCAATTACAAATGTATCCTTTTTGAAGCTCAACCTGCCGTATCTTCACCTTCTGGAAGCTTCTCCAAGTTGGCTCTGTTTCCCTTTGATATGAGCTTAGTACACTCAGATTGTTTTCTTACACTCTGGCAAGTCAAGAGTTCTGGGCCCATTATACACATTTCCCGCCCTGGACTTCAAACCAGCCATTTCTCCAAGAATCCCTGGTTTCTTTCAGTGGGAAATGGTATTTCAACACCACAATCTGGGAGCCTCAGATGCTCATGGCTATTAGGTTGGTTATTGGTTTCAGGGCATTTTGGTGCTCAGAGGAAGGAGATTCTGTATTGAAATATCAAATTTAGGACAAAAATTTTTAAAATGAGTATCTTCATATTCACGGGCACAGGTAATGATAGAATCAGAATATCCCACAGTTATTCTTTTTGTTTTTCATATAACACCCACAACAGTCTCAGAATACTAACATCATCAATATAATTACTGAAGACACTTTAACATTTCTTTGCATATATCGTCCCACACCTGTGTATAAATGTACTATATCCACATTGGCTGAGCAGATATAACCACAGTATGCTATATTCTCTTCTTTTAGCCCTTTTTTACTATTCGTTTAAAAGTAAGCAAATATTTAATGCTCATCATCAATCTTTCTGTCAACGTTTCCTCAGTCATTTTGGTTGCCTGGATCCCATTCTTGAGTAGATTCATTGAGAAGAACTCATAGGAACAATATTCCTTGAGTTCTTGCATGTTGCTAACATGTAAAAAAGTTTGCGCCCTTTATACAAAAATTTCCGTTGCTGGAATTTAAAATCTCTCATTCATGTTTTCTTCTTTTGAATATCTTAAAAATATTACTCCATTGTCTTCTGCCATAAAATCTTGTTGTCAAAAAATGTGATGATAATCTAATATTCTTTTCCCTTATGAGTCACTTATTGCTTTTGCCTAAATGTCCAGTGGATTTTTTTAACTGAGTAATTTTACTTTAGAATAGGACTCGATGATGGTCCTTCTATCTAGGTCCATATTTTCAGGTAACTACATTGTGTACTCTTGCAGTATGTAAATTTCAAAATCATGTTTAAAAATTAAGGTATAGTTTATATACAGGGAAAGTCATTCTCTATATTGTAAAGTTCTATCAGTTTGACATTGTCATATAGCCACCCCCACACACAAAACAGTCCCATCACTCTTTTAATATGTAGATTGAAATATCCTTGCATTCAGCAAAGTTTTCTTGAATTACTGTTTTTTAGTATTGCTCCTGTTTCCTGGTTTTGGTGGTCTTCCTCAGGGACTCCTATGATCTGTCCATCAGATCGTCTTTGTCCATCTTCAATATTTGTCACAGCTTCTGAAATCCTTTTCATCTCCTGTTTTTGCTGTTTTCTCCTCTCTTTTCACTTTGGTTATTTCTCATTACTATGGCTTCAAGTTCAGTAACTTTTTTTTTTTTTTTTTTGCAGCATCTAGTCTGTTAATTTCATCTAGTATATTTTTCACATCAGACGTTGTTTCATTTCTTTACAAAATCTTGACTGGAAATTCTTTCTTTCTGAGTAATTTTTTTTCACCTTTTCTTTCATTTCCTGTGTTTATTTGCTCATGTTTTCTTTCTAGTTTAGTTTTTATTTCTGTAATAATTATTTTCCTTAATTACAATTTTTTCCCTAAGTTCTATCACTTCATCTCTGACTCTTTCTTTCTCTTTCTTTCTTTCTTCCTTTCTTTCCTTTTCTTTCTTTTCTTTTCTTTTCTTTTCCTTTCCTTTCTTTTCTTTTCTTTCTTTTTCTTTTTTGAGACGGAGTCTCGCTCTGTCACCCAGGCTGGAGTGCAGTGGTGCGATCTCAGCTCACTGCAAGCTCCGCCTCCCGGGTTCACGCCATTCTCCTGCCATCTCTGAGTTTTTCTAATTCTAGTTATGCTGTCCTGTATCACTTTTTAAATTATCTTTTGGCTCATTCTGACACAGGGTTAGAGTTGGCGTGCTTTCATTTCTGTGGGGATGTTATTCTGCTTGTTAGTCTATGTCAATGTGTTATAATCCACATGGGATTTCATCTTGGTGCTTTTTTGTTACTCATTTCTACATGAGATTATTTTTCCCAATCTTTGAGAAAGAGGTGTGGCTCCCAGATCTTCCTTTTCTGTTATTTCCATGCTCTGTTAAAAATCATGGCGGCTTCTTCTTTGAGAGTTCCTGGTTCTGTTCCCCATCCCCAACTTTATATGGACTTTCTTTCTCTTTCTTTTGTCTCTTCTGCTCCTGTCCTGGTCAAATTTGATTCTGCTCCTTGCAGTTTCTCCTCAATCTGGCTCCTACCTTGGAAGGGAGTCCCAGCAGGTTAATTTCAAGAGTTCATGGGGCCAGACTGCTCCACCCTCTTTAGCTCAGCCCATAAGGCCCTGGCATTCACTTACTCTTGAGTGGGCAAAACCACTTTCTGCTCAAACAGCTGCTCTCGATTGGCCTGTCCGTTCTCCTGTTGGTGGTTTTCGAGTCTCCTGTCTCAGATCCTTTGGGCTCCCTGTGGCTCCCCTCTGCTTCCCCCTCACAGACGTTGATGGCAACTGGCTCTGTGGTTGCCTATGGTTTCTTCTCACCTGCTTATATTTTGGTGTTTGTGGGAATATCTTTCAGAAGTTGTGACAGTTTTGCTGTAAATGTTGTCCATGGGTTCTTGTTCCAGCTATCTAGTTGCTCTGTGGGATTTGGGGAAATTAAAAATCTATGTTGCCATTACCCTTGCCATCTTCCCAAGACCCCCCAACCCTCCACCCACCCCGCTTCCACGTGCAACATGAGTCTTGCTTTTTTCATTCAGTCTGATACCATGTGTGGTGATGAACCGAGACAGGGTGACAGTTGGTGGAAGCAGTATATCCCTGCTTTGAGGAGTATTTTGTCAATGACACTGTTTAGAATTGCTGACTCATGGTAATAATAAAAAGCAGCCTGTGTTTGGTTGGTTTTATTATTAAAAAAATTATTTACAGAAAATGCACCTTTTATTGCCTGCACACAGGTTGGGCTGCTGTCACCACCTATCGTGTGTTTGCCATTGACATGAGTGGTTTTCAAAGTCATTAAAACATCCCTATATCTGGGAGCTTTACTGGCTGAGAAATATTTCATCATATTGATATCACAATTTTTTTTGCTCATCTTTTTTATTGCATATTGAGATACTTTCCAAAATTTTGCTATCATTAATAATGTAGTGTTAGACATCCATGTACACAAATCTTAATCTTTAATTTTGTTTTTTAAGGATAGATTGCTGGACATTCAATTATTGGGTCAAAGAGACAGTAGTGTAAGAGTAGGAGATCATGGAACCCTTGTATGTCAGGGTTGTAAGGGATACAGCCTTTGGTCCAGTGGCCCATTTTACAGCTTATTTTTTGGAAAAAAAATGAGTCTCAAAAAAGAAAAGAAACATGGTAAAATTAGAAAGTTTCTAAAAAGCATTGCTTTTCATTTCACTGTTTCTATTTTTGCTGCAAAATGCTTGCCCTTGCTACATGGAGAGGTGGGGCCCAGACGTTTGCTTCCTGTTGATGGCTGGGGGCACCTTCTCCTTGCTTTGATCAATAGCGCACACTCATCCTATCCTACTGGTTGTCTGGACCTGGTCCAAGGCTGTCTGAGTTACCTTGTGGTACAGCAAACAAGAGTGGAATTGGAAAAAAAGTTTACACTCAGTATTGAACATGGGAGAGGGAGCACCACACTGAGGACATACGTTATGACTTACAGCTCTTCTCCTTAGATCTTAGGACACGTGTATTGATCATTCCGGCTGTATTTAATTCCCTTGAATGATTGTGCCATATTATCTCACACTGTGTCCTCCTTTTCAAAATAACTGAACACTCTTTTCTGATCTCCGTGTTTGTACCTGATGACTTAAGTTGTTCCTGTGACAGATGTTTAGTTTTCTTGTACCAGGTGGATTCATCAGTGCACATCTTGTACTTTCTGATTACAATTCTGCAATTGCAAACAATGCAGCAATGGACATCCTTGAACTTACCTCTGATTTTGTGAAACCCTGTCTCTGGGGTTTCCACTCATGTCCCAAGGCGTGCGTATGCTTAGAGTCACTAGCTAGTTCTTGAGAATACCTGGCCCAGTTCCTACGCCACCAACAGCACATGAGGGCTCCCATCCCCCTTGCTATGGCAGCAGGTGATATTAAGACCAATGTTTGGCCAGGGGCAGTGGCTCACACCTGTAATCCCAGCATTTCGGGAGACCGAGGCAGGTAGATCACCTGAGGTCAGGAGTTCAAGACCAGCCTGGCCAACATGGTGAAAGCCCGTCTCTACTAAAAATACAAAAATTAGCTGAGCATGATGGCGGGTGCCTGTAATCCCAGCTACTCGGGAGGCTGAGGTGGGAGAATCACTTGAACCTGGGAGGTGGAGGTTGCAGTGAGCTGAGACTGTGCCACCGCCCTTCAGCCTGGGTGACAGAGTGAGACTCCATCTCAAAACAACAACAACAAAACCACAAACAACAACAACAAAACAAAAACAAAAACAAAAACCAATGTTAATGTTTCCCAGTGTTAAAATGTGTTCCTCCAAGGGGTACGAAGTACTAAGATATTGTCTCAATTTTCATTTCTCTGATTATTAAAGAGGTTGAACCTCTCCACACATTGCTTATTGGATACCTGTGCTTCCCCTTCTGGGAGAAGTGATTGTCTTTTTCTCACTTGGGTTTCCTTTTATTTTGCTTGCTGATTTTGCAGGAGTTTCCTATATGTTTTCATTTAAGTTTCATTAGTTTTAGATTACAAACATTCTCTCAATCTATCACTTATCACTATTTTTGTGATGTTCTTAGTTGAGCAAAAATATTTAACTTTGGTGTGATCAAATCTAAGAAATTTCGTTTTCTACTATGTTGAGGGCTTTTTTGCACTGTATTAAAAAATTTTGTTCCCACTCCAATGTCATAATGATAATTCTCCTGCATTTTTTTCTTATAGTTTCAAAGCTTTGCTTTGCCTGTAAATCTCTTTAATCCTTCATTATTTTGGGATGTGATGTAAAGTATATATCTAATTTTTAAAATCTATGCTTTGAATCAAGTTTCTTAACATTGTTTAGTATATGATACATTGCTTCTTCATTGATTTTTGATGCTACCTCTTGAGTCTGTTCCTGGACTTTCCATTTTGTTCCATTTTGTTTGCTGAAGGTATTAATTTCTATGACAGACCAAACAATTTAAATTATGATCACTTTGTAATGTATTTTAATATATCATATCTTTTATTTTTGCAATTTTGCCTTAGCTATTGTTTTTTCATGTACATTTTAGACTCAATTTGCTTCATCTCATTCTCACCCCAAATCCTGCTTTTTCATTTGTATTAAATTTATTGAAACATACAGGGAGATTGACATCCTTATAACATTTAACTCTTCCTTTCCTACACGACCCATCACTTCTCTTATTTATGTACTCTGCTCTTTGAGTTTTGAAATTTTCTCCATAAAGTTCACCTGTACTTTGTATGTTAATCTCCAGATAAGTTATAATTTTTGTCCTGTGGTATGCAGGGTCTTTTTCTGTACATTGCTGATTTCTCAATTAGGACATGAGATTGTGATCAACCACTCATAGATTTAACTCTCTTATTGATTCAGTTGCCTGGGCTCTTAGTGTTGATGGCACTACATCCTTCCTTTCCATGCAGATCAGATTTATCCAAGCCTATCTCATGGTTTGTTGGCAGGAAGTGAGGAGTCTGGCAAGAGAGAACTCACCCTATGGGAAGAAGGAGTTGGATACATTGACAAGGCTCTGGGCATCACAGGGACATAGATGTGCAAAGAGTTCTTCTGGCCAGAGGCAGCCTGGCACCAGGCTAAGTAATCAGTCAAATTTGGATTAAACCCTGCTTCACCACTCATCAGCAGTGTGACCTTGGGTTAATTACAGAGAATCCCTTTGTTCGGTTTCCTTACCTACAAAACAAAGATAATGATAATACTAGCTAATATAATTTTTTGAGGATGAGATAATGTATGCAGAATGCTTGGCTCTCAGCAAGTGCTCACTATGGACAAAGAGGAGAAGCACAGAATTCGAATATTGTTGCTGGAGCTTCTCAAATGCTGACTCTCTGAGAGCCTGTTGGTAGACTGGACAATGGCAGCCATGCCTTATACCATTTTTATTTGGGTTTGTGAGGCTGACACATTTTCTCTGGTGCACTTGACCTTAAGGCTGCAGCATCCAAATGGCACTGCTCGGCTCAATTTTATAGAATTGAGCTTCAAGTGTCTAACCAACTGCATCTGGGAGAAGAGCATGCTTTTCCACTCAATTCTGCTTTTTCCAATAAACCAGCCTTTTAAAAACCATTAAGATATCCTTTAAGGAAATCCATAGTCTTGCTTAATAGAAATGCCCATTTCCATAGAGAAACATAAACACCTATGTACAAAGAGCTGCCTCACCTAAGCCTCAACTCTTCTGAACTTTAATCCTTTTCCATTTTCTTCCTCACTTTAAGAAAGGGGGTCTTAAACTCCCAGAGTCATCAAGCGGTGTACGAAATTTGGCAAGTTTTTTCAAATCCAGAAACTGAGTCATAGAAATTTAGAAGTTGTCAAGCCCTGGAACGTTCCTTCATGGCCGCTGAACTAGCAAACATCCGAAACGATGTCACCTTAAACGAAAGTAGCTCTCCTGCTGTGTTCCCCCTCCCTTCTCTCTAGACCCCAGTCTTTCTCTTTCATGCCCATTGGCTGTAAACACAAGAGTTGCTGTTTATTTATGTACCTCTCTAGTAATGTGATGTTTATTTATTGAGCACCTGCTGCATGCTGGCCATTGGGCTGGTACTGGAATACAGAAGGAACAGGGAAGATGAGGTGCAGCCCTGCTCTCATGGGGCTTACATTCTGCTACAAGAAAACAGAACATTTAAAAGGGAAGCAAATGCATAACCAGAAATATTGACAATGCGATGAAGGAAGTAAATTTAGGGAGAATGCAGGAAGGCTCTCAGGGGAGGAGACACTTAAGCTGACCTTGGGAAAGCAGGAGGAGCCAAATATGTCAGCAATGGGGGCTGAAAGGGATTTCAGGCAGGGAGGATGGTTCAATCAAAGACCTTGAGGCACAAAAGGGGACTGAACTGAAGCCAGCATGTGGGGAACGACATGGAGAGAGGATAATGGCAAAAGATGAGCTTGGAGGATTTTGTCTTCATCCTAAGAATGAGAGGAGATCATTGAAAGACTGTAATCAGGAGAGTAAAGCAATCTATTAGTTTCTGAAAAGATCAGTTGTGGCACAGATGATGGGTTGGAAGGGCGAGTGTGGAAAACAGTAAGGCCAGCTAGGCAGGGGGCGCCATTGCTCAGAAGAGGGGACACTGGCCTTGTCCAGGAGCCAGTGGGAAGTGAAGGACCCAGGGTGGGTTTTGGAGGTAGAGAGATGGATTTGCAATGTCAGGGGAAGGAGCACTGAGTTGGGGGCAGGAACCTCAATTCTGTTCTTGGACTCCCAGTGGTCACGTGGAGGGACTTGGGCTTCTCTCACCTCCCTCTTGAACCCAGTTTTCCTGTCTACAAAACGCAGGGCTGGGGATGGATGAGGCCATCTCTACATTTCCTTCAGTCTGTTGCTGTCTGACTCCAGCCCCGTTTCAACTGGGAAGTTGAAGAGAGTCACCAATCACCTGTCGGGTATTGGCCTGGAGTGTTTGTTCAAAGCTGGACTTCATTCACATCTGGGTTTCTCTTGGAAGTTACTACAGTCCTTTTCCAAACTGTACCACTGAATGAGTTTCAAAAATATGGGTAGACAGAACTTGAATTTTCTGTGACTAAAAAACTAAAATCTCAAGCTGATTTTACTCAGCTTGTCTAGCTCTTAAATAATTCACAAGTGATTTAACATGCCTTTAATAAAGAGTACCCAAAGATATAAAACAAATCCCCTAACACAAAGCCTTACCATTCAGAAATGTAGTAAACTCCATGGCAAAATATAGAAACAATGAGTTTTAATCAATAATTAATATTAGTACCTATTGTACTCATTGTATGAATATTGGATTTTTCTTATTATTTGTATTTTGTCAATATACAGAGGACAGGGACATACAGTTAGTTTTCTGCTGCAGCATTCTGGGCCAGTCCCTCCCACGGTGCCTGGAACCTAGTAGGATCTCAATGGGTATTTGCTGAATGACTGGGTGGATTCTGACTTCTCTCCCAGTCCTGCAGAATGCTTGCTACAAACAAACTTGCATTGGGTACTAAGTGGGCCACTGGCAGCCAGAAGTCCAAAGAGATTCAACCTAGTCAGACTGAAATCAAAGGAGAATCTGATGTTCTTTCCCAATTTCCTCCTCACAACGAGGTGGAAGCATCACATCCAAGGCAGACAGCACACTCATTTTTGAAGCAAGGTGCCATACATAACTTGGGCCTTAGTTTTCCCAGTCTTACCACATGATAGGTGTGTTTTTTGTGCTCCATGAATGGATAGATGTATGGATGGATGGAGAAATAAATAGATGGATTTTTGGGTTGCTGCATGGATGGGTGGTAGATGTATGGATGGGTGGATAGATAGATGCACGGATGGATGGATGCAGAGACAGATGAATGTGTGCATGCATGGGTGCTTGGATGTATGTATGTATAGATGGATGGATGGGTGAGTATATGGATGGGAAGATGGACAGATGCATGGATGGATGGATGCATGGATGGATAGATGAGTGGATGAATGGATGGGTGGGCAAATGGATGAATAGAATTGCTGCATGAACAGCCTTTTTGTAAGAGGCATTTTCTGGAATTTGTTGGCTTTCTCTAAGGCTCTTCAAATGTGATGGTGTGAGCTACAGATAGAGAGAATGTGGTTTGCTAGATCCTAAGCAGTGTAGGATAGGGGATGAGGACTCAAACCAGAGGGCTGGGGCCAGTCAGTCTGCAAGTGGCATGTATTTTCATCAAATTAGTTGTCAACCTTAAAAGTGAGGTTATGTCCTGAAAATCCAGATTGCTGATCTCTCCTGGAAAACTTTTAAGCTGTGACCTCACTGGGCCCACATTTCTGCCCAGAAACAAGTGGCTAGAGCTGGATGAAGGATGTCTTCTCTGGGGGTCTGTGGGCTGCCCACTTCCCCTCTATGGCCACCTCCTTCCCTCCCTCGTTTTTTATCCACAACAGAATTAGCCCCCCATGGAGTGGCGGGTTTGGGGTCAGAAGGCTCTGGGTCCAAGTCTAATCCCATCATATTTCCTGTGTGTCCTTAGGTGAGTCATTTCCCCTCCTCTTTTGGGGCAAGTGGAAGAGAACAGGCAGCATTAGAATCAGATTTTGCCAAAGTGTATTTCTCTTGCTGGTTACTTGTCCTTGCTTTGCCACAAATTCTTCATCTGTAATGTGACAGCAATGACAATGGCATGCATTATGATTTTAAAGCATGTTGAGTTCTTTATATATATTAGCTTGCAGTCATCCGTTGAGATTGGCAGGCTTATATCCCTATTTTATTTTATTTTATTTTTTTTGAGATGGAGTCTTGCTCTGTCACCCAGGCTGGAGTGCAATGCTGTGATCTCGGCTCACTGCAACCTCTACCTCCTGGGTTCAAACGATTCTCCTGCATCAGCCTTCCTAGTAGCTGGGATTACAGGTGCATGCCACCATGCCCAGCTAATTTTTGTATTTTCAGCAGAGACGGGGTTTCATCATGTTGGCCAGGCTGGTCTCAAATTCCTGACCTCAGACGATCCACCCACTTCAGCCTCCTGAAGTACTGGGATTACAGGCCTGAGCCATACATGCCCAGCCTGTTATATTCCCACTTTAAAAGGAAACTCAGGCTTCCCAAACTCCCTTCTCACCTAGCTAGAAAACAGGCCGGGAAAACAGGCAGAGCCAGGATTCAGGTTGAGCCTCATGTGCCTACAGTCCCTGTGCTGCTTCCTGCACGGAGCAGAAAGCAGGGATCAGAACATCTACTTTGGAGCAGCCCCCACTGCTGCTTATGGGACATTTGCTGAAAAACCTTGGGACAGGTTGCTTTGACCCCAGGGCCCTTTCTTTGTGGAACACCCCAATATAAAATATAAAATCTCTGGAATGTGGTTCTTCCTCTCTCATCTACACTCCAGTTGCTCTGCTGCTGGGCTGTCCCTTCCCACACAAAGGCTTGGGGAGTGCTCTGAACAGCTTGTCAGAGTGGAGGCCTGTGTCCCCAGCCTTGGGAGCCCCAGGGACTGGCCAGCATGTTGGATGCTGCCCAGCTTCAAAGTGCTTCCCAGCCAAACGTGTCCAGCTGACCATATTCCCAGGGTGGAGTGTCTTTCCCACGACCATACAGGGTCCAGGAGCAGCCTTGGCCACCAGCCCCCCTCCAACGCCCCCTTCCCTCACCACAGTCCTCTGATTTGTGACCTACTCCTCTTTGGACTTTAGGCAAATGCTTCTCCACTGGTCTGAACTTCATCTTCTCCATCTGTAAGTTGGGTGTTTGATAATGTCCCTCAAGGGGTATCAACTAGGGTGCATTCAACAAGCCTGTCCACCACGCCACCCCGAAACTGCCTCTCCTCCAGGAAAGGCCCCTAAATTCACAGAGCCTCCTCAAATGTTTGGTTACCATGCCCTACAGACTGCAAAATTACTGAACTGGTAAGCTCTCTTCTGGGCACAAAAGCCAGAATCCAGCCACCTAATGTGACTGTCAGGGCCACAGTAACAAGAGAAAGAGGACACAGAGCCTCTCTTAATGGGGCTCTCTGTTGGTGAAGCAAAGGTAAGTCACTTTAAAAAAAGCATCTGTGGCTTGAGGCAAAGTTCACGAAGACCAAGAAGATCATCTCTGAGCAGAACGCAGTGCAGAAAGTGCAGTGCACCTCAACTGCAGTCCTCACGTGGATGGGTTTGAAGGGAAGTAAAAACAAATAGCCCCCAAATACCATTGGTGTTATAGAAAAAGTCCGTACATGGTGGTGATGGCAGAGGTGGCCCGTCTGGAGCAGCTGCTGCCATGACGCAGGCTGCAGTAGGGGAGGCGCAGCCAGGGCTGCACATTCCAAGGGGTCAGTGGGAGCTGGAGAGGGGTGGGGGCCCTGCCCTCCTGGGCGCAGCTGCAGCTGTGGACTCAGGCATCTCTGCATTTTCAGGGGACCAGGAAGTCCCTCTCCCCCCGTAGGCTCAGAAATACCTGCTCCCATTGCCTGGCCTCTCCCTGCTCCCTGAGGAAAATTGAGGCTGAGCCCAGGTGCTGTTGCGACCTAGCTGGGTGTGCACGTGCTTGGGGGCAGTGCTGACACACCAGCCCCCTGCTGCCCTCAGCCCCCTCTGGACGTTGGGTGCCAAGGGGAGGCCAAGGGGGAGCTTAGGGCAGCTCAATGCCAGCCTGCGGGCACCCCTCTGCATGAGCAGCTTGGGCACCATGGGCACTGTGGATGGCAGGTTGATGGTGGTGGAGGCAGACAGTCTTCTGGGTGGAAAGGGGTGGGTCCCCGGTGAAGACTTGGGGCTGGGCTGCCAGTTCTGTGGACTGGAATGAGAACTTTTGGTGCATTTCTCAGACTCACCCATGGCCACCCATGGACAAATTAGTATGCACTTCCTCCCTTCTGAAACCCATAAAAGCCCAGACTCAGTCAGACTAGAAGAGATGTCAGGACGCCCTGCCTGTGGAGAGAAGCTACCCACTGTGAGTCTCCTCTCTGCTGAGAGTTGGACACTCGTTCAGGAGACCCTGCCTGTGGAGAGGAGCTATCCACTGTCGGTCTCCTCTGTCTGAGCTGTTCTGCTGCTCAATAAATCACCTCTTTGTCCTGCTCACCCTCTACTTGTCGTCATACCTCATTCTTCCTGGATACAGGACAAGGACTTGGGACCTGGTGAATGGTGGCGCTGAGACATGCCCTTTGCTCACCATGTTGTGGGTGATGAGAAGGAGAGAAGAGACAAGGAGAGGAGAGCTGCAGCCCTTTGGGGAGCCCAGTCCTAGGAGCTCCCCGGGCCAGGGCTGTGACACCCTCTTTGGGGCTGTGTGGTTCCTGGCACCTCCAAGCTTCTGGGTGCCACCATGTTCCCCAGAGCCAGCGTGGCAGCTGCTTGCAATATGCCTGGTCTAGCCGCAGCCTCACAATAAGCTGGTGCCTGTGCCAGAACCTTAGCTGCCTGTCTTGCAGCAGCTGGCGTGCCTAGCTGTGTGCAGTGGTTGGACCCCACGCTCACTCACTCACACACCTGTCGCCACTCTGCCCCTGGCTCGCCTTTTGCAGGCTTGGGATCCAGACTGGTGGTGCAAACCGAGCACAGCCTGCCAGGGTGGGTGGGTGGAATGAGCCCAGCAGGCCCGAGCAAAACTCAGGCAAAGGCACCATTGGTCACAGAGGTTTCCGGCTGGAAAAGTGACACCCCAAGGAGAAGGATCCTGTGACAGTAGAGAAGTCCTAAAATTAAAAATAAACAAACCAATAACTAGACAAATATATTACACAAGTTCCAGATCGGTTTACGATTTGGAAATGGAAGTCTTTAAATGGCCAAAGAAAAGGTAGGCTCATCTGGAAACAGCAGGTCCTGGTTCTCACTACACTAAATGTTATTTTTCTGGAGCATTTTATGGGACCTCCACACCAAATGGTCTTAAAACTAAAGGCCATCAGCTTCTTTAGTTGGTTTTACATTAGTGGGTTGGATAAAAGAATATTTCTCCAAATTCCTTGAGGATATCTTGCCCATCTGTTTTAAATCAACAGATAACATGCATAACAAACATGAAAGTGTGGGCTTTTGAGGAAGAACTTTTCTTTGTTGACCTGTGCATTGGTCAGAGTTCTCCAGAAAAAAACAGAACCAGGATTGACTGCAAGCTGGAGAAGCAGGAATGCCAGTGGTGTGGTTCCAGCTCCAACTCGAAGGCCTGAGAACAGGGGCTCCAATGGTGTAAATCCCAGTCTGAGTCCAAAGGCTAAATAAAGCATCGGGATTCTAACGTCTGAGTGCGGGAGATGGTGGACGTCCCAGCTCAAGGGAGACAGTGAATTTTCCCCTCTTCTACCTTTTGCTTTACTCCAGCCCTGGATGGATTGGATGCTGCCTGCTTGCTTGGGAAAGAGCAAATCTTTTCTCAGTCTACAGATTCAGATGCTCCTCTCTGATGCTCTGCTCGTCTCCCTCCCAGACACACCCAGAAATCATGTCTTACCAGCTGTCTGGGTCTCCCTTAGCCTAGTCGAGTTGACACATAAAATTAACCAGTGTACATCTTCTGAGAATAATCTGAGAATAATCTGAATGTTGTCAATTCAAATAATATTTAAGAAAACTCACACCATGGCAAATCTGAAATGCCCTGAAATCCTAGCTCAGCAAGGAAAGAAACTCAATAGAGGTTTCCCCAAATTTAACAGCAATCGTAAAAATTACATTATATTGCTAGTAAAGAGTTGAGAATTTGAAAGAAACTCCTATAAACTATCAAAACTAAAAAGCAAATTTCCATCAACTACGTTAGAGGATACTCTGAATTATCTTTAAATTCTTCTATGGGAAAGGATATTACAAAATTGCCAAATGAAGAGACAACGTGATACAACCAAAAGAAAAGTAGGAAAAAAGCATTACAGAGCTGTAATTAAGAAAAATTGTTCTTTTTCCCCACTACATTTTGTGATATTGCTAACTTGTAAATATTGCAAAACATGTAGTGATTTCCTCTCTTGGTCTAAATAAATATTTCAAATTGTAAAAAAAAGTAGCCATTACAGTCTGAAACTCCTCTAATCTCACCATCAAATTCATGAGTTTTCCCTCCACCATGGGAAGCATCAATTTTCTATGATTCTTAAGAAAGTCCCACTGACAGTGATGAACATGTTTTCCAGAATATTCCAGCCAAAGCCACGTGGAGGGCTTGCTGGCATTCCTAATGTGACCTCAGGGGAACTGGACAGCCCCACCCCTGAAGCTGCCTCAAAGGAAGTCACAGGGTGGGGATTGGTCCCGGCCCCTGCCTATCATTCTGCCTTGTGGGTGGGACAAAGGGCAGATGCCTCCCCACTGGAGGAAGTCACTGACCCGCGGCGGGGCGCCACTCCGGGACCTCTCCAAAAGGGAGGTCCAGAACAACTTGGACTTTAAAAAGAAGGTTGAAACCATGTGCATAATTTCTGAGTGGTGTTTAATATTGCTCTGGGCAGGTAATTGTGATGATCAGCTTGATATGTGAATCCTTCGAGGCCACAGTCATGTTATTCAATGAGTCCCTCAGCTGAGCATTGCAGGGAGAGATGTTAGAGTTGTGGTTTAAGCCCATAATCACTGACTTCAAGTAAAGGAGGTTGTCCTGGATGACCTGGGTGGGCCTGATCAGTGGAAAGGCCTTGGAGCCGGCAAAGGCCCCTGAAGAAGAACAAATTCCTCCTGTGACAGTGGCCTGGGCCCATGCCTGTGAGTCACAGCCGTTCCTGATAGCCTGTCTCATGGACTCGGGACTTGCCTGGCCAGACCCCATGGTCACCAAAGCCAACTCCTTGCATAAATCCCTTAATATCTGCCTCCTACTGACTCTTTCTCTGGTCAAACCCTGACTGATACAGTAATAAGGGGGCAATTTAAAAAATCTTTTCATCTGAAGTTTTCATCTCATCACAGCCCAGGCCTTTCCCCTGCAAGCTCTCACCTCATCACCCCACAGTCTGCCTGTGCTGGCTGCTTGGCCTGGACATCTGCCACTGCGGGCTGGGTCTTCCCCTAGCCAGCCCTCTCATCACTCCAGCTGCAGAATCACATTCCACCTGCTTGGAGGAGGCCCCCACGATGGGCGGCTAAAGCAGCCCCTTCCCCGTGGTCACTCGGGCCGCACCTGTGTGCTTCCTGCGTGGGGTTTGCTTTGCCTTGCTTGCTATTTTTTTTGTCAATGCATCTGCTTCCTGATTACTGGCTGTTGCCCACTCCTGCAGCATCTACATCCCCTGGGGCTTGTCTGTTCTGCTTCTGCTTTACCCCAGTTGCACATCCTGGAGTTTTGCTCAATACATGTTGTAGCATCCATGGATGACCTGAAGGCTGGACAGCCAGGGACTGGGGGGTCACCGCCTTTCCTGTCTCATTCCAGTTCCTGCTTTTGTCCTGGATGACCTGGGTCTCAGGGAAAGAACTTCACTAAGACATGACCTGTCTTCCAGCTCCAGAGGCTGCAGCTGGGATTTGGGATTCTGAGACTTCTTGAAGGGGACACATGGCTGGCTGGCTCCAGTGCCCGGGCTTGAGAGCTCCAGGATGGCCCTGCCCTGGCCGCTGAGCACCTGGTCTTCCTCCTGCTCCCACGGTTCCCATGGAAAGTTTCTGGTCTGCAGTGTGATGCCAGTGGCTCTGGAGCTGCAAAATGTACACAGCCCCAGGTTCTGAGGGGGACATTCTGCTTCATATTGAAACAATGGGCTGGACGTGGCAGGAGGGTGTCCAGCCCAGCTTGGGAGATATTCAGTGCACTTGGACCTGGTTCTTGGCTATGGCTCAGGCTGGGCACACACTGAGTTCAGAGTCTGCAGAGAATTCAGGGCCAGGAGCCAATCCCTAGTTTAGGCCAGGCTAAGGTCAGGGATGTTTCTGTTCCTTTACCCTGGAAGGGTCCTGAGAATTCCTTCCATCCTCACACCATGCCAACACCACACCTCCGCTAATAATAAACAGGACATGTGTGCGTGCACGTGACTCCATCTGGCCCCTCAGAGCCTGGTTAGGGCAGTGCCATTCCCTTGGTATAGAAGTGGAAACTGAGGCTCAGAGGGGTGGAAGGCTATGCCTTGGTGTGGGCAGAAGGGATGGGAACCCAGGTGTCCTGATTCTGTGGAGATGGGAAGAAGGTTTTGTGAGTTGCAGGAGCACAGAGCACTCTCCGCTCCAAGGAGGGAGGGTGGTGATCCCCTCACTTCATACCTGGCGAGGGTTTTGTGGGAACATGCAGACAGCTCTGTCCGCGCCCGGCCTTTGGAGGGCTCAAGGGACTCATGCCTGAGGGCAAAAGGGGCCTGGGTTGAAGAACTGCGGCTGCTTCTGAAAAGCTGAAACTCCTCCAAGAGACGGTCAATGCTGCATGCATCCTGGGCAACTGAGCCCCTTAAAGAGAGGGGCTCCTCTCCGGGACAATGGCCCACAGGGGTGCGGCCAGGTAGGAGAGGCCCTGCTCATCCCCACAGAGCCGTCAGTCCATCGGAGGAGGCTCTGCTGCGTCCCAGGCAGTTCAGAGCTGTCACACACGGGACTGGGGGGGAGCAGCTGTCCACCTCGTCTCCCTCCCGACCCTGCCTGGCTCCTGAGCCCGAGTGAGGAGGCTGTGTCGGAGTGATGGACGAAAGCCTGTGGGCAAAGAGAGGAGGTCCAGGCCACTTCCCTGCAAGCAGTCAGCTTACCGCAGGCACCCGTCGTGCAGCAAATTGTGCTGAATCAAGGAGCAAGTTTTGATTCTTACTCAGGACAGGACTTTTTCCACTGCTAGACTGAGGCCGTCTGTGACTCACACTGACCACAGGACTGTCTACTGCTAGAAAGCGACCAGCAAAGTCATGGTCATCGCCTGAGCTCCCATCTGGTCAGGGACAAGGCTCCTTCCCAGTGGACAAGTTTAAAGGGCCAGTGGATGACAAAAATCAGATTGGCTTCCTGAACACATGGGCTGACTCTCATCTGTCCAGTATGTTCCCAGCTCCACTGGCTGGGGGCTTGCCACAGGTGGGGCCACGTGTGACTTTCCTGCCTTCATTGATCCGGAGCCTCGCCCCATCCATGGGGCATCACAGGCCTTCAAAAAGATGTATTGAAGAGATGAAGAAATGTGATGGTCCCACAGGTCCTTAGTCATGGACTATCTTGAAGCGAGGGAGGCCCTCACTGTGGATCATGGAGCAGGGAGAAGAGCTGGACGTGAGGGTAGGAGAGGGGATGGTACCTCCTGCTGCTCTGGGTGCAGCCCCGTTCCTGGAATGCTTTGGCAGTGGAGGACGAGATGCTTTCAGCCTTGGAGAGTGGTATGGGCGTGTACAGGGGGCCCATCCCAAAGGGGGTCCCAGGTGCCTGTTGGAAGGCACCCCTTTCTCTGTTCCACTCCCCTTGCTGTCTCTGAAGTTGCTGCATGATAATTTCTCTCCACCGTTTCCTCCCTTCTGTTTTCCCCTCTCCCTTCCATATTTGCTGAGCACCTAGTATGTACCAGGCCTTGCTCTAGGCGCTGGGAAGTAGCCTGAGTGAATGTCTCTCCAGTGCCTCCTCTGGGCAGGTGCTACTCCACGTGTTAGGGTCCGAAAGTGAACCAGGCAGCCCCGGCTAGGAGTCGGCCATCAGAGCTGGTGCCGGGGTGGACCCAGAGATCCACCCAGGCGGAAGGAGAGGCTTGAGGAAGGACAGACCATGGTGCGTCCCAGGGCCAGAAATTAGGCAGGTGTGAGCAGAACACGGTGAGCAAAAACGTGAGCGGGAAGATCTGTGGTCAAATCACGGAGGGCTCTGTGAGAGGCGTTTTGACTGTCTTCTGCTTGTGAGAAGCCACTGAAGGTTTTGATCAAGGAGTGATAACAGCAAGCAGGATCATTCTCACACAGGGGTCTGTCCCAGAGCGGGCTTTCCACAGGAAGCCACCGAGCCACCCCTTTCATCAGCCTTGTCTGGGGCACCTCCTGGGGGGAGGATGCTGTCATTATTTCCCTTTGGGGGTGGCCTCTGGAGGGGACCACCCGGCATGACCTCCCATTGACCCATCTCTGCCCAAGTCCGTGGCTGTTGGGTTCTCTGAATGGCCAAGAGATGAATTCATCGACCACCTCCTGCAGGGCCACTGTCTGAGCGTGTCTGCTGCTTAATCAAGGGACAAGGACGCTGTGTTCCGGGCTGGGCTCGCCAACATCCTTGATGAGTAACTGGGACAATCAAGAAACAGGGAAGTGGTGACAATGCCACTATTGTGCTTTCATTCCAGAGCCCAGAGCACCAGGTCTGCATGGCAGGCTGGGCTGGCAGCCGCAGCTGCTGGCAAAATCCCCTTCAGCCTCATCAGTCACCCTGGTGGGGGGCCCAGGGGAAGGTCCAGCTGCCCCCAGGGGCTGCCACCTCCGCAGACCCACCAGGGGCTCACAAAGCAAACATCTCTTCTTGTCTAGACAACAAAGGCGGCTTTCTGCAACAGACCCAGGCACATACGCACATTGGAGGGCATTCGGATTCATTTGTTCATTCATTCATTTATTCCTTACTCACTCAGTATTCATCCAGTCCCTTTGAGCATTTCACCCAGAAGATGAAAATGAGCAGCCGGTGCTTAACAGGCAATCATGTTTTCCACGTCAGGCTGAGTTTTCAGATTCCATGATCATGTTTCATCCTCACAACAGCCTCGGGCGCTGGGTTCCGTTAACCTCGGCTGCCCGGGGCCGGGTGGCTGAGTCCAAACGCCTCCTGACCTCTCTGGATAGTGTGGTCTTGGGCCGACTCCTTCACCTCTGTGATACGATACAGTGGGAGATTTTAGATACCTCTTTCCATTTTAATTTTCAAAGATCTAGAGACAAAACTATGAAAGTATACCTAGAGAAGCTCTATATAATTTAATTAATAAATTTGATCCTATAGATGGGTGAAGATGAGACCACCCAGATGGGTGATACTACCTAGATTTTCATCAACAGTAAAAGGACAAATACATTATGGGTTTTTTCATCCACCAGAACACAATGCAACTACTCAGGAAAGTTGACACACATAGCCACATCCAGCAATGTAGGGGAATCTTGCCTGCGTAGGGTAGATCGAGAGCACCAGACACAAAAGCATTTGTATTTTAGGGTTCTGTTTACATAAAGTTCAAAAACAGGCAAAACTAATCTATGCTGTTAGAATTCATGATAATGGTTATCCTTGGATGGGGTATAGAGAATTTCTAGAAGGGACACCAATGGGGTTTCTGAGGAGATGGTGATATTTTATTCCTATATCTATGCACCGGTTATAAGGGCATGTTTATTACATACAAATTCATTGGGCTGACATTTATGATTTGAGGAAAGTTTTGTAACTATGTTAATCTTGGTAAGAAGTATGCTAAAAATCTAAGATTTATAAATAAAACACAACAAACCAAACTAAAAAATTATGTCCTAAACAACTATTGGGCCAAAAAGAAAAACCATAAAAGACCTGGAAAATACTATTCTTCCAAGAATTTGTCCTATGTAATTAATCATGGGCATGTGCAGACATTCATCAGAGAATTTTTATTGCAGAATGATTCAGAATATTCAGAATAAGAAATTGAGTATTACCGAAGTGTTTAACAAAGGAGATTGGGTGTATATCATAACACAACCAGACAATAGAATATTGTACAATTATTAAAATTATATCGTACAGAAAAATACGTGATGATGTAGAAAGGTTTGTATTGTATTATTAAATGGTTATGATCATTTTTATAAAAAAATTCTTGTGTCCTTGTTTATTGGACAAGGAAAAATAACTGAATAGAAACACACCAAAACATCAGCCGCCATTATCTCTGATAATGGAATTACAGGTTATGAGATGATTTTGTATTCTTTTTTACATTTTCCAAATGCTCATCTGTGAATATGTATTATTATTGTATTCTCCAAAAAGTTTGTTTAAAACAAGATAACTCTATTTTTGCTCTAGCAGTTAGCACGTGCCCAGTACAGAATAAATTTCTAGTTGACATTTCTTGAATGAATGAGCGGTTGGTCTCTAGGGTAAAACCTAGAATGCTGAGAAGGAAGACAGGAGTGACTGAGATATTTACCACGTCTGACTGGATGAGGGACATTTTCATGGAGGATGTGGGGCGGCAGAGTAGCGGCCTAATAAATGTTTGTAAAAGGAGGGAAGGATGGGCAGGAAGGTAGAGATGGTGAAAAATCACTTTCCAGGTTTAGGCACCAGATTGAACAGAGCAGAGCAGAGAGGATTTTACAAATGTGATTTCTGAGACGAAGAGACCCTACACCACCCTTTCCATCTTTTGAGCCTCCTGGTATATTAAAACCATAAAGAAATACCAATGCACGGTTGCAAAATTGCAGCATACTTCATATGGTCACATTTAATAAATAATAACTTATATACAAACTGAGATAATGCCAGCTTGAAGAGGCTTATGAGAGTCGATTATTAAATATTTAGGAAACTTTTGTGTTAGTTCTTAAACCATCAATGGCCTGCAATCAGCCATAGTGGCAGTATTTACACCATGGTAATTGGCAAACAACACAAACGAAGGGGGATCTCCCCTTTCTTGATTGTGGAGAGCTGGTTCACCAGCACACCCCTGGATATAATTTGCACTGTCCACAAGATAATTGCAGCACTCAAAAAAAAAAATGAATTCTTAGCAAATACTGGTGTGGGATGGAGTTTAGAGATGTTCATACTATACACATGTTCTTCTTCCAGTCCTGCCAGGGTGGCTCTGTGACTGTGTGCAAAGCTTCAAGTGGAGAAGCTTTCCAGTGTACTCTGGGACTTTTTGGGCATGGAGGCTTGGGCCAAGTGTCTATTTTGCACATCATACCTCCCACTTACCATGGCCTCTGCAGGTGGGAGACCCCCCTCCACCAGCCCCTGTTATCCAAAGCCTCCTGGCATTTCTTCCTACACGAAGCCCGTCTGCCAGTCAATTCCTGTGATTAATCTGTCCTAGCTGAGATTTTTTTAGGGTGGGGTTGGGGGTAGGGGAAGACCATGGCTTTCCATGCACCACAGCCATTGACCCGAGCCCCTCAACTTCTCTGGTTCATGAAATCATTCAGGGCAAATGGTGCCTCTCTGTGCTGTGGGTGAATGCACCCAATTAGTCACTTGGGAAAGGTAAACCACAGGAGACGTCATCAATCATTCTTCAAACAGTAACCTCCTTTTAAGTTGCATCAAAAGAGGTTATGTTAGCTGTGCAATTGTCTACAGATGAGGAAGGAACTTTCAGAGCGAGAGGAGCTCCTCTCCTCCCTCTCCTCTGCTTCCTCCCTCCCCTCTCTTCTTTCTCCTGTCTCTTTCTTTCCCCTTTAGCAAACTGCATGTGTCCCCTGCTCTGTGTGGGGCTGGACCTGCAGGGGTGAGCAGTCTCTTCTCAGCCTTATGTGCTACACTAACATTTATTGTCACAAGGGCCAGTTATCTCACCGCGAGGGCCCTGTCTGCTTTGCAGTCACGATGAACGGCAGGGTCTTCCCTTGGCCTAGAACATTCTTCTTCCATCCCCATGCCCTGACCTCAGCTCTCACCTGGGCAGCTGTCACTCTTCCTTCAGAGAAAGGGTCCCTGAAAGACACCCCTCTCCAACAGTCATTTCTATACCTCATAAGTTCAGCAATAATATTCCAAAAATATTCATTGAGCACTTCTTCTGTGCCAGGGCCACATGAGACATAAGAAATGATTTTTGTGGGCTGGCACAGTGGCTCATGCCTGTAATCCCAGCACTCTGGGAGGCCGAGGTGGGTGGATCACTTGAAGCCAGGAGTTCAAGACCAGCCTGGCCAGCATGGGGAAACCCAGTCTCTACTTAAAAAAAAAAAATAGCCAGGTGTGGTGGCACGTGCCTATAGTCCCAGCTACTTGGGAGGCTGAGGCATGAGAATCGCTTGAACCTAGGAGGCGGAGGTTGCAGTGAGCCGAGAGTGTGCCACTGCACTCCAGCCTAGGCAACAGAGTGAGACTGTCTCAAAAAAAAAAAAAAAAAAAAAAAAAGAAATCATTTCGTTTTCCTGCAGTTCTTGCCCCTAAGGAGACTTTCATTACTTCCAGCACCTCTAAGAGCCTCTCTTGTCATATTCAGAGCTTCTTGCTTACAGAGTAGGGGTGCGGTTTTTATTGAGTGCCTACTATATTCTTTTCCTATTATTCACTGAATACTTATTCACTGGCAGCCATTGCTGACAATCTCTGTTTCTGCTGAAAAGTTGTGGATTTTCCCCAACAGGGGGTCTGAGACTTCTCTCTTCCCTCCACCTTCCTCCTTCAGCTCAGCTCCATCTTCCCACAGAGTTGCATTTTTCAACTCGATTAAAAGATGCCATTTTCACCTTTGATCAAGGCTAAAAAATACAATCGAGATGTCTGGTGGCAGCAATCAATATTGTAATAAAATTACACCTAATTTACTCAGTACTTCAGGTACAACAGGGGTCATTTATCTGAGTGGGGCTTTTTAAAGTTTCAAAATAAGGAAGACGTATTTTGCTCATGAAATTTTTATGCTCTGCCTTCACTAACTCAGCCATTAATTGCCAAGAACTCCAAGCTCTGACCCACTTAGGAAATCGATGCAAGAGAATGTGAGTTTCTCAGACGTTCCCAAATTGTCTAGTCATGAGACCAGAGCACGGGTGGCAGGCAAGGTGGCCGCAAATGCCTGATAGTTTATCTGGACTACATTGGGATGAAAATTACTCTGATTTCCATAGTAACCCCTATTGTTGTTTAAAAAGGGGAAAAGAATGCTTACGGGGAGAACTGGAACAGGAAGACGAGTGGTTTCCCAGCTAAGCAAACACCAGTCCCAGAATGGAAAAGATCCAACCTTCATGCCACAAAAAGCTGCTGCTGAGACACGTGGCCCAAATCCATTTTCTGCCAGCGTTATTTATGATCCCGGTGGGTCAGCTGGGGGCTTTCATTTGCCATCACATAATTAATACAACCGCAGCAGGTTGCCTGCTCCGAATGGCAGAACGTGGAGAGTGGGAGGCCCATCTTGAAGGACCCAGCTCCAGAAAGTTCCTGCTCAATGGGCGTCCTGGGAAGGAAATGGCCATTTTCCTCCTGGAGACAGACAGGTTGTCCACCCCGCAGTCTTCCAAGCAGTGCCACCCACTTAGCGGCTCTTGTTTTCTTCTCTGTCATCATCCACCCACCTCTACCCCCAGCAAGTGCTGTTAATTTGACTGCATGACAGTGAGCTTGGGGTGGCTAAATACGTGGTCCTTTGATCCTCTGGCCTAGGTTGCAATCTGTGCCTTGCTGCCTCTAGCTGTGTGGTCTTGGGAGATGTTAACGAACCTCTCTGTTCCTTTGGTTCTTCGTCTATAAAATGGTGATGGTGATGGTCACTGACACCTGGGTTTAATACAGAATTAAATATGAAAATCTGAATAAGGCCATTACAGCAAGGTGCTGGGCAGGGGGTGGGGATGTAAAATTTCAGCTTCACTATTATTGAGGCATATCTCCATCTCCACTCTCCTCCCTTCCCCGTCACTGCCTGGATTCCAGCTGCCATCCTGCTCCAGGGGTCCTGGCTTCGCAGGCGGCTCCCGCTTCCTCCCCTGCCCCACAACCAATTCTGCCTATTTCAGCCAGAGCTTTTAAACATCGTTTTAGCTTCCAAGACTGCATAAAAAATGTCCACAAACTGCGTGGCTTAAAACAACAGACATTTGTCCTCTCACAGTTCTGGAGGCCAGAGTCTGAGATGAAGGTGTGGGCAGGGCCAAGCCCCCTTCCGAGCCTCTTGGGACAGACCCTTTCTGGCCTCTTGTGGCTGCTGGCCTGTTCTGGCGGCTGCATCACCCCAACCGCTGCTCCCATCGTCACGAGGCCTCCCTTCTCTGTGTGTCTCTCCTCTTTTGTCTCTTACAAGGACACTTGCCATTGGACTCAGAGCCCACCCTGAAGGTCAGGATGATCTCCTCTTGAGATCCTTGATTTAATTCCATCTGCAAAGACCCTATTTTCAGGTAAGGTCACAATCACAGGTGCTGGAGGTTGGGACTTGGACGTCTGTTTGGAAGGACACGGCTTAACCCACTGCAAGGATGTGCATTGCGTTTCCCACCCTTCAGGGGGCTTCTTTTGTCCTTGGCCTGGAAGGCCCCTTGTCACCTCCCCTGCCCTGTGTCCTGCCTCAGTGACCTCCTGTTACTTCTCCAAATGCATCACCCTCTGCTCACTTTGGGAGCCTTGCACTGGCTGGCCCTTGGAAACAGCTTCGCTGCCTCTGCTGAGCTCATTCTTGTTCCTCCTCCAAATGCCACCTCCTCAGGGGCCCCGGCCCTTCTTTCCAAGTGGGTCCCAAACAGCCCCTCTCTACAATGGCGCCCACCCCTGCTCCTCCCTTTCATCTCCACCTGCTTATGGCCTTCAGCACATACTCACTCTAGTAAGTGTCCTTAACTCCTAATGTGTCTGTCCCAGCCCAGGACGCTGTGGGAGCAGGCCCCTTCTGCCCATTTCATGTCCTCAGCACTGAGTTCAGAGCCTGGCACACAGTAGGGACTCAATGAAGATTTTTGACTACATCGAAGTATTTCAGAAACACCACAGCATCAGGGAGCCCAGTTACCTGCACAGTGACAGGAGAGAGGAAAGAGAGCCCGGGGTCTGGGAAGCGGGTCTGTTTAGAGGCACCCAGAGCCAGGCCCAAAACCCTCGTCCTTGGCTCACCTGGCACACGAGGTCAATCCAGTGGCGGGGGCAGTGCTTCCTGGTGGGGGGTGCATCTGGCTTGGTGAGAAGCTCAGTCCCTAGCCTGGGACTCTGCATTCTGACCATGGACTGGGCGCCATGCTGTGGCCACAATTTAAGAGAAAGGGAAGGAGTCGCCAGGGGATTCTAGGCTCCCCAGGAAGAGAAGCTCAGCCTGTTGGGAGAAGGTCAAGGGACCCAAGCAGAGACCGATTGAATTCCCCGCCAGCCCCCTGCCCCTGATGTAAGGATATCCACCCGGAGCAGGCAAGCCAGGAACACAGATCGGGGAGGGACGGCTGAAGGCTGCAGGCTCCCAGGGAGGCGAGGGGAGGAAGGAAACTGTCGGCTGGGCCCTCGACCACCTTCTCCGTCTCAATGTGCTGCTCCACCCTGAGGCCATGGGGGCCACAACTGGGGCAGCTGGATTTCCAGTAGAACCACCTTCAGCTGAGCAAGCTCTGTTTGCGCCCTCTCCCTGGCCCACGCCTGCAGTCCTGCCTGGCCTTGAAGAATGAATTGAAAAGGCTGGGGTTCGGTTGCTCCCTGCTAGGTGCTGCCGCAGCTGATGTCCAGGTGCGAACTTGGTTATCTCACAACAGCCCTGAGGCTAGTTAGACACCGCCAGCATCCCCAGTTTGTAGATGAGGAAACTGAGGCACAGAGAGGTAAAGGTCATGTCCAAGGTCACAGGGCTGGTCGAAGTAGATCTGGGCAGTTGGCTGCCGCACAGGATGGAGTCTGGACCAACCCCCTTGCCACTCGCTCCAGGCTGGTGGTCCAGCTGCTACAGTTTCCCATGCAAGCGGAAAGCTGGTCTGGGTTCCACACCAGGATGGGACGCACCTCACAAAGCCCCACGGTCTCCTGCCCTGTGGTCCTTGCTGGCTTCATTTTCTTATTCTTTGATCAGTCCCCTGGTGGGGAGCAGGCACAGTGTGTGACCTGACAAGGCAATGCCTGGCCACTGATGCTGCTAAATTGTTAATAATAGTCACAGGAAAAAAAATGGCCCACAGAGGCTGGGCCAGGTTAAGCCCTGCATGTCGGGACAGGGTACAGATTCTGTCCTAACTGTGCCAAGAACTCAATGCAGGTTTGAAGCTAGGAGCAAAACGATCTGCTTTCTCCCTGGCTTAAGGCTGCAAGATTTAGCAAATAAAAATACAAGGTGCCCAGGTAAATTTGAGTTTCAAATAAATAACTTTTTAGCATAAGTATATAATGAATATTGCATGGGACATACCTATGCTGAAAAATATTCACTGTTGATCCAAAATTCACATTTAACCGGGTGTCCTGTATTTCATCTGGCAGTCTCATCCTGGCTGTTGCGTGGAGAATGGGAGAATGGAGAGCAGTGCAAGGTCAGAGGAGGGCCAGGACACTACAAAGAGTCTGGGATATGGCCCAGGGGACCAGTGACAGTGGCTCAGATGAGGTGGTGGCAGCATAGATAGAGAGAAGTGGACAGATGCGAGATATATTTTAATAACAGCTCACATTTTGAGTGCTTGATGTATACTACCTCATTTACTCTTTATAATAACCCTCTAAGATTGGTACAGATACTGTACCCAACACACAGATGACAAAACAGAGGCACAGAGAAGTTAAGTAACTTGCTAATTTGTGAGAGAACCAGGATCAACACAGGTCCCAAGCGTCCATTCGTAAGCCTTCTTAAGGTACTGTTTACCTGGATTGAGTCTCACCAAATCCTAGTCCCCAAACTGCCACCTCTGTTCAAAGACCTCAGCTGGGTGGAGAAGGATGTGCGAAGAGACTGGAACTGTGAGATGGGTGAGGGCCCCTTATGTAGAAACCAAGGGGTGCCCCAAGACAGAGGCAGTGGGGTTGTGGAGGGGCTGCTCCATGTGAGAGAGATTTGGGGAACTGACTGTTATCAGGGAAGCAGCAAAGAACGAACACAACCAACTCCATTTTTGCTTAAGGGGCTTTATCCATTTCTGCGCGGAGGCTGGGATAATTTTAGAGCATTGAGATAATATGCAAAAACAGCAATCATGGAGTTTTAAAAACTAACTCTGGGATTAAAGGGAAAGTATGTAAACAACTGACTATGTTTTCAAAAATAGATTTATAGGAGCATCGTGACCTGACCAAGGACAAAGCAGTTCCCGATCTCCTTGGACCCGCACTGGTGCCAATGTCTGTGGTCATCTGTTACATCTCCACCCCAATCCCCTCCTCCTCCCCTGTCCTGAACATAAAAAGAGCCTAAAATTTGTATGGACTTAACTCAAGATGGTATTAATACTTCAGGAGGCTAGTTCATCATCTCGGTTGGCTGGCTCTCCCAATAAACCTGCTTTTCTTTCCACTAACTCCCATCTCCTGAGTTTTGGCTTTTGAGCTGCAAGCAGCGGAACCTGGGTTCAGATACAACAGGGAGTGTCCTCCAGAACTCAGCAGCACGTGGGCGCTGCGGCCTGTACCATACCCACTCCCCTTTCTTCTAGTTAAAACCTCTCCTGTTTCCATAGGGAACCGTCTCTCCTTTCACTCTCTCTACATGTTTTGGGAACCAGCTGTACCCCAGGCTTCAGGGGTGCCCATGTGGCCAGGCTTGGCTGTCAGCCCTCCCACTGCTCTGCCTGGTGGGTGGTTTGCACCCGGCCTAGCATCTGTCCCACGGGAGTGCTGACATCGGTGGTCAGTGGAGAGAGAGGATCTCTTTCCAGCGGAGCTGCCGAGGTGGTGAGAGGGAGGCACGCTGCTCCTCTCCCGATGCACAATCGCTGCTTCGTCCCCAGGAAGCAGCCTGGCTCCTCCATTCCTAAATATCACCAAGCAAAGTAGGGTTTTGTTTGATCTCTGTGTAGTCAAAGACCCATGGAGATGTGTTTTCCTTTTTCTTTTCAAACTAGAGCGGTCTGACCTCCAATGCCAAATTCAGTCCTTTGCTTTTGCCAATAAAAAGAGTCTAAGAAATTTTGAAAATAGAGTTTAGAGTAGACAGTAACTCAAAAGCTTAGTGTAGGGCAGGACTACAGAGCAAAGCCATCAGGTATCCCCTGCATGCCGGCCATGGTTATGAGTAGTGGGTCACTTTCTCCACACACATCGGGGTCCTGCCCTGACACTGGGGCCTTCAGAAGACCCCTGTCCTCACCCAGTGAAAGCTCCAGGACTCCTGATAAACTGGTTCTTGTTTCTCTTTTTAACCAAGAGCTAACCTAGACTGCCATTTGCAGTCAGTAGACAGGTCCCAACTCTTGGTGGGAGGACTCAGTTCCACCATTTTTGCATCCCTTTAGTGAGGAACAAACCTTTAGCGAGTGTATTAGTCTGCCTGGGCTGCCCTAACAAAATACTACAGACTAGGTGGCTTCAACAACAGTAATGTGTTTTCTCACAGTCTTGGAGGCTGGAAGTCTAAGATTAAGAAGTCACTAGGTTTGATGTCTTCAGAGGCCTCTCTCCTGGGCTTGCGGACAGCCATTCCCCACTGTGTCCTCACGTGCCCTCTCTGTGTGTCCTTCCCTATTCCCTCTTCCTCTTCTTACAAGGATGCCAGTCACACTGGATTAGGGCCCACCTTATGAAATTAGTTAACTTTAATCATCTGTTTAAAGGCCCTACCTCCAAATACAGTCACATTTGAAGATGTGGGTTAGAACTTCAACATACAAATTCCGAGGGGACAGAATCCAGCCCATAACAGTGAGCGACAATGGCGTGTAGGTCCTTGTGCTTAATGGACATGGCAGGAGTGGCTGGGGTGCACAGGACAAACAAGGCAACAGCCCCTGTCTGCTCAGAGCGCTCATTCTAGAAACTTCTTGAAGAAGCATATCATATTGTCATTACAAGTTTTTCGGACAGATTCCTTTGAAGCTGGGTGTGCTGTGAGGTCTGGAAATGTACCAGGGAGAGAGAAATTCATAACCTGAGTTGTGGAATGGGGTCTCCTGGGGAACACAAGCTTGCATTGATGGGAGATAGCAGTTTGGATGGGTACCTCTCAGAACTCTCTTCCTTATACCCACAAGGGAGGCCCCAGGAGCCACAGTTGTACCATGACCTCACCCCTCCTTGGCCACAGCTGATTGGACCAGAGCTGTGCCCCGATCCAAATCAAGTTCTTTCTCAGAAGAATTTAGACCTGGGAGGCACACAGATTCTCAATGGGCTGTGTTGGCTGCTTGAAATCAGGAAGTCTCCTGAAGCCAGTGCACAGGGGTGGCAGGGCCAAGGAGGGGAGTCTACAGAGAGAGAGAATGAGGCTGGCTTGGGAAGGGTGGCAGAAAGGGAGTCTCCAGAGAGACAGAATGAGGCCAGCTTGGGAAGGGTGGCAGAAATGAGGGGCACCAGACAACGAATGTCCCTCCTGTGATAAGAACTACCTGCAGGTGCTTGTTACAAACACAAATCTGCCCCTTCTTTAGGCAACATGTGGCCAAGTATCCCCTCCCCGGTGTCCCTGTCCCGCTCTGGTGGCATCTGGTGGCAGGCAGCTCGCTAGGTGGCATGGTGGACAGATAGCCAGGAATTGGCACTTTGGTCCCATTCCTACAGACACACACAGACTCCAGGGGTCCTTCTGTTGGAGCTACTGGGGTGCTGCAGTGGCCGTGGGAATGAGCCCAGCAGAGAAGGAGGAGAGGAAACAGCCTTCGTCCCCCTCAACTCCTCTTGCCCCTCCTCTTATATTTCTCCCTTTAAGTCCACAAAACCGCAAGCCGGATCAGCCTTTCCTGTTTAGGCAGCTTCGTAGGCATCTCTCAGTAGGTCCCAGGAACACATCGGGCCTGCTCAGAGCACTCACCCATGCCATCCCTCTGCTTGGTGTGTCTTTCCCTGCTAGACACTAGATGGTGAGCACCTGCAGTTTCAGAGCAAGGTGACCTGTTTGCAGCTGTGTCCCCAAGCACCAAAAACTGCCTGGGCACCCTGTGGACTTATTAAAGACAGGACAGTGGCAGGAACTCCCAGGAGTGACATTATTCCTTTCATACTCGTGACTGCTTAATTTCTCTTAAGTGGAACAGGCTCCAGGCACTGTGAGTCCTGCATGAAATCCTCTTCCTGTTGCCCCCAGGAGCTCACAGCCCCGCCGACTGGTCCTTGGGAAGGGTCCTTGCTGAACCCACGATCCCGTTGTGGGTGGGGCCTTGTCTTCAGCTGCTCTGATGATGGCTTGACCCTCAGACACTTTCTTCAGAGGGTCTCCCTAGAGAAGTTCACAAGCAATGGTCCATCCGTCTGTCTATCTAGCTGACTATATGCTACTAGTCAAGATTTGGGGTTGGGTACAGTGGCTCATGTCTGTAACCCCTGCACTTTGGGAGGCTGAGGTGGAAGGATCCCTTAAGCCCAGGAGCTCAAGACCAGCCTGGACAACATAGGAAGACTCTATCTGTATAATTTTTATTTTTTTTTGATTTGCCAGGCATGGTGGTCCATGCCTGTGGTCTCAGCTACACAGGAGGCCGAGATGGAGAATTGCTTGAGCCCAGGAGGTTGAGGCCGCAGTGACTCATGACTGTACCACTGCACTCCAGCCTGGCAATAGAATAAGACCCTGCCTCAAAAAAGAAAAAAAAAAAAAAGATTTGGATATCACATCTAATTTCTCTTCCTGCAACTTACAGACTGCTGAGCCAGTGGGTCTCCTGTAATTAAGATCAGGGCAGGGAAGTGGCCACAGTCATCAACCCCAGCACCTCTCTCTCCCTTGAACACAGGCTGATGAGGTGGACGAGGTGTTTCTGTTTCCCTTGAGTCCCCTGTGTTGGAACATCTTTTCCACCTTCCCTTGCTGCTTGTGTCTGTGATTACTGGTGTGAGTGTTGGGAGACAAACCTCCTCTCATTAATTCATTCATTCACACACTTGTATTAGACAAAACCAAGTCCCCTTGGCACCCAGTCTCAGAACTGGGTCACAGTCAAAGAAACAACAAGCTGAGGGTCAAAATAGTTGAACAGGAACTAATCTTTGCTGAAATCTCTCAAAAACACTCAAGGAGCTTTCATTTCTCTTCTCATGTGCATCAAAGCTCCTCCCATTCTCCGTCCCAGGGTTCTCAGCCCTGGCCTCATAGCACAGGATCACCTGGGAAGTTCCAGGCCCCACCCAGACAGATGAGGTGGGAGTCTCCAGGGTAGGGCTCAGGGTGCTTGTTTGGGAACCCTTGCACCCAGGTGATTCCAGTGCCCAGTCAGGTGTGAGCACCTCCATGACCCGCCCAGCCCATCTGTTCTCCTGACCCCCCAACCCTTGTGTTTGTCTTCATTCCCTTTCACTTCTACTTCTCTCCACCTCCCGCTTGCTCATTATCCTATTTTTAGGATGAGAGCCAGAAACGAGATGGCAAAGTCAGAGTTCTTGACAGGTAGAAGGAAGAGCAGAAGATATAGATTTGCCTGTTCATTTTTGGGGGCACACATTATTCAACCGACATTCTCTCAGGCTCATTACATGCCAGGCACTGTGGGGTCTGGAGAACCAAAGGTATTGAAAGAAAAGAGAAGGGAAAGGGCTTGTGGTTTAAGACAAGCAAGTAAAAGGCAGTTATGGCAAAAGTGATACAGAACATAAAAATGATGGCCAATACAATTCATACCTGAGGAGTAGCCATGTGCTGGCCTCTGTTCTAACTCAGTGACAAATCTCACAACAAAGTAGGACTAGGTAGAGAGACTGATGTTAATTTTATAGGTGATGAAACCAAGGAACGGATAGGTTACTCGTACGTTCAAGGTCACACAGCTGGCAAGAGCTGACATTCCAATCAGGGACATCTGGGTTCCAGAGTCTAGCCCTTATGCATGGTGCTGCCCTCAATAAAGGCTGTGGACCAGCAGAGATGGGCTATGAACCAGCCTGAGAAGGCACACTAGGGCACCAGGCGAGGCTTCCTGGAGGAGGTGGTGTCTGAGCTGAGTCTTGAGGTGTTGGATGTTCCATAAAGCTTCCTGCGTGCTTGTCACTCACCTCTACCTTCCAGGCTGTGCCTGGATGAGGCAGGGCATGCGAGGCAAGGGAAAGGAAGGTGGACACGTGACACACAGTGATGTTCCTTGGTTGACTTGAACAAGAGAAGGAGACATAACAAACTAACTTAACAACAACGAAAAAAGCGAAATTTGCTGGCACATACAACTTCAAACTTGGGCAGTTTGGTGGCCTTCGGGCACAGTCATACCTAGGGCCTTACTGCACAACAGTAGGACTTATTTTCCTCCTGACATCTCTTGGCTCTCCTTTTTGCTAGTTGGCTTCATGATCAGGCAGGATGAGTTCTAAGTGACAGCAGGGGTGGTCTCCAGCAGCCTTGAGCTTCCATGACCTTCATAGCTAAGAAGCCTAGAGAAAAAGATTACAATCATTTCTTACACAGAAGCCATTTTATTCCTCCACAGGACACTGGCCCTGCTTAGGTCATGTGACTGCTCCTCGGCCTATCTTGCTGTCCCAGGGCATGGACTACTCTGATTGGCCAGTGTGAGTCACATGCCCGACCCTGTAAAGGATTCAGGGCCAAGCTCTTGCAGACAGCTCCAGGTGGTGAAGGGCTTTCCTAAGAGGAAAAGACAGCAGGGATGCCAAACGAAGGGAGTCCCCAGAGCCCAGGGCCTCCAGGAGGCAGCGGTTCCCTTCTTCTGTAGTACAGGCACCCACCTGGATGTGGAAATGCTCCTCTGTCCCCCACCTCCCGAAGGGGCCAGGTACCTGCCTGCCAGGCCCGCTCCTCATGCCCCCTCCAGCCTCAGCCTGGGGTGTCCAGCGTGGGTACAGTCAGGAGGAGGAACGGAAAAAAGGACACAGACCGGCCATACGTTTACACGTATTTAAAACCAAACACAAACAATTCCTGATTGATTCCAGAAAATCACTGAAACTGCTAGAAAAAGAAGAAGGCAGGGTGATGGGACCCTTGAAAATGAAATGGAATTAATTGACTGTGGAACGGAGCACCATGAAATTAAAAATAATTTAATCTGAAGCTCATATACTGCGGTTGAGCTTTCTACTTAGCATTGGAGGAATATCTGATATGTGGGACCTCCACTGAACAGAGGATGTGGCGGGAGGGGGACAGGCTGGACCCTTGTGGCTCAGCCAGGTACCTGGGAGCTCAGTGATGGGTTGGGTCGAGAGCTGATTGGCCCCATCCCCATGGAGACAGACCTGCCAGGATGAGTGAGAAGGTCAGGATAAGGACAGGTTCAGGTAAGCAGACCCTGAACCAGCACCCAGAGCTCCTGGCAACCTGAATGACCCTAGGGAAATCTTGTCCCCTCTGAACCTCAGCCTTCTCATGTTGTAAATAAAGAGGTTGAGTGAAGGCAGTGTCGTCCAACGTGCGGCATACATATCATTGGCAAGATGATCTTAGGAGGCACACAAGGACTTTTTTTTTTTTTATACTTTAGGTTCTGGGTTGCATGTGCAGAATATGTAGGTTTGTTATATAGGTATACACGCGCCATGGTGGTTTTTGCTGCACCCATCAAGCTGTCATCTACATTAGGTGTTTCTCCTAATGCTATCCCTCCCCCAGCCCCCCACCCCCCTGACAGGCCCCGGTTGGTGATACCCCCCCCGCCCTGTGTCCCTGTGTTCTCATTGTTCAACTCCCACTTATGAGTGAGAACATGCGGTGTTTGGCTTTCTGTTCTTATGTCAGGTTGCTGGAATTTTTTAAAATTAATAATGATGTGTTTATCTTTACAGCCACCTTCTGGTTTTGATTTTCCCAACTACAACTGTGATATAAGGTTTTCTTTTAAAATCAATTTGCTTTTGTGAAAATCGTGAGTCAATTTAGAGAATAATTCTAAGTAAATTATAGTGTGGTGGGCAAAAGTCATGAAGGTGGTCCCTGCGTGACTGGCGTTTGGAAAATACCAGCTGGGTGTACTGGAATTTGGAGCAGGGAAAGGACGAGAACCTTGGTGTTGGGCCAGCTGGTGCAGGGTCTTGGTCTAGTGTCCTTGGTATTTGCACTCCAACCATGAGTGGGAGCGTGCAAAGTGCCCTGGTGGCCAGATATCATGCCCAGAGATAAGCACTGAGCTTCCTAGGTGTGCTTGTCTAATGACTCGTCTGTGCACCTATTAGAAAAATGACTGCAGTCCCTGATGACATGCCATTTTGAATCATGCTTTTTAGAAACTTAATATTTTATGACAGTCACCACATGCCATCAGACCATCTCCTTCAACACAATTGTCAGCAACCACTTGCTGGTCCCTCTTGTGATGGCCCCATAATATGCTTAACTAACTCTTTTTGAAAGGCTATTTCCCATTTTTCATTATTACAGACAGCAGTGCATCAAGCTCCCCTGTAGCTGGACCTGGGCTCTCTTGCCTGATGATTTCCTGAGGAGACTTTCCTTGGAAGGCACATGGCCGGAAGCTCCCGTTTAGGGTGGGGAGGAACGATCACTGCTGCTCATCTTCTCAGGGGTCTCTGCCCCAGTGAACAGGAAAAGCCTCTCACCCCACCTCAGCTGTCCTGGTTGCAGCCCCAAGCAGCCTACCTCCCCTGGCGGGAGGCCATTCAGCTCCCAGCCCTGTCTAGACAGCGAGCGTGCCAGCTACAGCCAGGCCTGAGCCGTTGTGTGTGTGTGTGTGTGTGTGTGTTTCTGTGTGTATATATGTCTATATGTGTGTGTGTCTGTGTGCATGTGTTTGTTAATTACCCTGGAATGTCTGCTCCAGCCGCCACTGTGGAAATGTAGGTCATCCTGGCGAGGCGGGCGGTCACCATTAGGGGGTCAGGCCAGCCACTGGCTCACACACCGTATCGAGGTCACGGCCATCTGGGAGCCAGTGGAACGGGGCCCAGGCATATGAGAAGCAGACAGGCTAGGTTCTTTCTGCGGCTGTTAGTACGTTTCATAGCATGGCTCACAGCCTAAGGCAGGCGGCTTTCCTGTCACAAAGGTAAGAGCCAGGGTCCCATTGCATGCCTTATGAGCTTTCACAAGCAATCTTTGATTGAGCCAGGGCATTCTGCAAGCAATTTCCCTGGCATGGTCAGTGCTGTTTCATCCTCACAGCAGCCCTAGGAGGAGGGTCCTATTATTACCACAATAACATCACACGTTATCTCCATTTACACTTTACCATTTTCATAGTAACCATTTAACCTTTTCATTTAGCCATTTTCATGGTTTCCTCCATGATCTCGGAAGAGTTACTAAGTTCTTAATCATAATACAGTCATGAGTTGCTGAAGGACAGGGATACATTCTGAGAAATGGGACATCAGGCCACTTCCTTATTGTGCAAACCTCAGAGAGTGCACTTGTACAACCCAGGTGGCACAGCCTGCTGCACACCCAGGCTGTAGGATACAGCCCATGGCTCCCAGGCTGAAAACCTGGACAGTATGTGACTTACTGAAACTGTAGGCCGTCGTAACACAATAGTAAGTATTTGTATCTCTAAACATGTCCAAACATAGACAAGGTACCATAAAAATACAGTATTATAATTTTGTGGGACCGCCATCATATAGGTGGTCTGTCCTTGACCAAAATGTCATTACGCAGCACATGGCTGTAAGTAACAACAATCTGTTACTATGTGCTGGTCTCATCTACTCTCAGCTCTTGTAATATTTTTGTTAATTCACTAAAAAGCCGACAATGATTGCTCCCATTTTATAGATGGGCACAGAGAGGCCAATTACAAAGCTAGTGTGATTCAAACCCAGGCAGTCTGGCTCAAGGCTGAGCTCTCAAACCCTGAGCCCTTCATCACTGTGTTAACACCCCCAAGTTGGCCGGGCGCGATGGCTCACGCCTGTAATCCCAGCACTTTGGGAGGCCGAGGCGGGCAGATCACGAGGTCAGGAGATCAAGACCATCCTGGCTAACACGGTGAAACCCTGTCTCTACTAAAAATACAAAAATTAGCCAGGCGTGGTGGCGGGCGCCTGTAGTCCCAGCTACTCGGGAGGCTGAGGCAGGAGAATGGTGGGTGAACCCAGGAGGCAGAGCTTGCAGTGAGCCGAGATCGTGCCACTGCACTCCCCCCTAGGCGACAGAGCAAGACTCCGTCTCAAAACAAAACAAAACAAAACAAAACAAAACAAAACAAAACAAAACCCTAAGTTAGGTTGGAGTCAGTCATGGGCTTAGACACACCATTTGGATTTTTTTAAAAAAAACTCTAGCGCAAGAAAGGGGCTATTGTGCCCACGGCAAAGAAGCCTTTGGTTAGAAAGAGTTAAGCTTGTGTCCTGGTGAAGGAAGGTGGCTCCAGGGGAAGTTTCTGAAAAGCCAGATTTTCTCAGTGTGGCTGTTCACAAGCCCAGGCCAGGAAGCCTTTTATCAACACCCCCGTCCCCCACTCTTCTCACCCCAGGTTTAAAAAATAATCTAATCTAACAGATGTTTCCATCTGCAGAACAATAGGCTGTGTGTGAGGGGCTTGTTTGTGCACCTGACAGTCATAATTGTTCAAACGTTTATAAGCTGTGGGGTTATGAGGAAAAGGTTTTTAAGAGACTCAAAGAAATGAGGAAATGGTGCTTGGAACCACCCTCTCCTGCAGGGTTGGGACTGGCTGCATTTCCACTTCCCCTAGCGTTTTATTATGAAAATTTTCAAAAATACAGAAGCATTGAAGGAATCGGCGAGCACCCAGACACTCCCTGCCGAGGCCGCCCTGACAGTCGGCTGTGCACGTTGTCACTCCTCCATCCGCCTGTTCTCTGTGCCAGCTGCATCTGAAACGACACTCGCTGTCGGAGGTGGCTTTCCCTCCACAGGGAGGGCATTCCCACCGCCGTGGGGGTTTGGCCGTGACTTTTGAAGGATATTTTTATGCAGAATGTGGTATTTGAGAAGGAGTGGGCCAAGAAATGTGAGCCACTGTTCTTTTCATTTTCTTCCAGGCTCAGCGGCACTTTCTGCCTTTGCATAAAAGCCAGCACAATCCTGCCCGAGGTGGTCCACGCCCTGGTGGCTGCGCTAAGTGCTCCCCACACACCGTGTTCAGTCCTTACAGCTGACCTGAGCCCCAGGTATTATTATTATTCTCCCCATATTCCATGGGCAGAAATTGAACCTCAATGAGGTAAATGGACATTTCCGGGGCCCCCTGGCTTGGAAGTGGCAGGAGGA
Source organism: Homo sapiens (assembly GCF_000001405.40). Classification (NCBI taxonomy): domain Eukaryota; kingdom Metazoa; phylum Chordata; class Mammalia; order Primates; family Hominidae; genus Homo; species Homo sapiens. The sequence continues at coordinate 57,999,129 of NC_000020.11, read as the reverse complement.
GGGCGTAGACCCCCAGTCCCAGCCACGTGCCACACCACCAGGACCAAGCCTCCAACTTCTCTCCACCTAGTCTGATGCCTGGCACACTGTAGTCACTCCACAAATGCCTGTTGAATGAACTGAGTTAAAAACCCCCTTTTACAGAATGTGTTGGAAAAACTGAGGCTTAGAAGTCAGATGGGTAGAGGGTAGGGGAACACCATCAACAGCCCCTGGTTGTCATCACTTCTTGTCTCTGACTGTTGTGGGGCAGGAAGTTTCCTTACTCTACAGGTCTCCCCCAGGCTATGATACTTCTTCCTGAGCCCTACCCGGAAGCCCTTCCAGCTGCCCCCATGGAAGACACACATTCTGCTTAAAGCTCCTCCAGGATGACAGGCTTGTGCTGATTTCTGTCCTGTTGAAAGGCCATGTGAAGAAGTGGAAAGAACCCAACCTCCCAGGGTCCTACAAACCTAGAGCTAAACCCAGCTTCCGGCCATGATTAGCTGTGTAAACTTGAGCAAGTTATTTTTATCTCAACTTCTCTGTGTGTAAAAAGATGGTGACCATACCTCCTGAAGAGAGCTGACGTGGGTTTAGAGACAGAGAGAGGAGGCGAGCAGCATGGAGTACCCAGCCGGTGCTCAAGGAGACGCTGTTCTCCAGGAACCTCTGCTAGGCTTGGGGCTGTGTCACGTGATTTTCACATGAAGGGATTAGAACTGGGCTGGGGCCTCTGTGATCTCTGACCATGAGGATAGTTGGATCCATATCTTCTGGGCAATGTGACAGAAGGGCCCCCTCCCCACACACAGCTCTGTAAGGTGCCTTTTACTCTGCTGGTTTGCCCAGGGCATGATTTACTTGGGCAATCCCACCAGAATTCAACAATGAATCATATATGATTCCTGTCTGTTTCTTTTGTATTGATCCCCCTTTCTGCCCTCAGGTTGCTGAAAGACTATAAAAGAGACATTTTTTCGCCCTCTGTTTTGGGACCAAGACTACACAGCAAAGGGCTTAGTGTGATTCAGTGCTACCAATGCAACCCATGCAAACTCAACCTAACCTAACCCACCCAGCCCAACCCTCCCCACCTCAAACCAACTTAACCCAACCCAACCTAATCCAACCCAGCCCTACCCAACTCAAACCAACTCAACTCTAGCCAACCCAACCCAACTCACCTCAACTTAAACCAAGTCAATTCAGCTCAACCCAACCCACTCCAACCAACCCACCCAAATCAAGCCAACCCAATTCTAGCCAGCCCAACCCAACTCACCTCAACTCAAACTAACTCAACTCAGCCCAACCCAGCTCAATGGCAACAGTTGTTCAATGGAAAGCACATGGGATTTGGAGTTAAATAGACCTAAGTTGAAATCTCAGCTTTTCCAGTTACAGGCTATGTGACCTTGGCCAAGTCACTTCACTTCTGAGTCTGCTTCCTCATCTTAAAACAGAGGGGAAAATCTTGTATTTGCCAGTATAGAAGATTCATTTTCTGTTTCTCAGATGCCTCCTTGTGTGACACCATCAAGTCCACCATAAACCAATGGATGGAATAACTCTCAGCAACTTGTCCCTTTCCTCCCCTGCTCCCCTTGGGTAAGAAACTGTGCAAGCTTCAAGAACAGCAGAAAGAAGAGGCATCTCCAAACCAGTCTTCCTGGCTACTTGGCAGTTCTCCAAGAAGACTTGGCTAGTCTGGGGTAGTAGATAATATCTTTCAGAAAAGCTTCCTGGTAAAATTGAGTGACTTATATACTAGCTAATCTTTAGACTGCAAATACAGTAATTTCTAGGCATTGTAGTGAGGATGGATAGTAATACGTGGCACTCACACTAAATACTGAGAAATCACTGCAGTCACCACTGCTACTGTTACCACCATTGAGATAGTAGAATAGAAGCTTTCTTCACCTGTCTTCACATCACTGAGCCACTAACCAGTGCTCTCCCCTGCCACTGTAAACATTCTGTGGCCGCCCACAGTGCTCTGAAAGTTGGAGGCTGGTCAGTGACACCTCAGTGAGCTCTCCCACATCTGCCTTCATTCAATGAGTCATTTGATTAACAAGAGTCTGTGGATTGTTCCCATGCCTTCTAATGCCAGTTATATTTGTAACTTTAATTTCAAAATTCAACTGAATTACTTACTATATAAACTAAAAAACTATGAGTGTGAAAGCAAGAGAATAGTTGCTTCTGTGAAAAATAAGTCAAATGCTGTGGAATGACTTGAAAAATATGAGTTCCTAAAAAATATGCTGAACAATGCAGTGAGGAAGAAACTACTGTAAAGATGAAAAAATACACAAACAATGAAGGATTCTGCATTCAGATATCTTTGTAAGTGCCCTTTAATTTTTACTTCACTTTAAAGGATTGGAAACTATAAATGCTGGTGACTGTAAAAATGGGTGTGGTTTATGTAAAAGATTACTATGCAACTCCAAACAGCAGAAATAAAAACACCTTGGTGTGCTCACAAAGATTAGTAAGTGGATGTACCAGTGGGTCATTAAATCATCAGTTTTAACTGCTTCGGGTTAGAGGGATTTGACGGCACTGGAACTGCCACATGGGCATTAAGGAAGCCACATGTGAGTCCTGGGGCTTGGTTCTGCAGTGGGCTTCAAGCACTGGTATGAGCCGAATGTGAACAAATCATGTGTAGTGGGAAAAAACACAAGCTTGGCATATAGACAGATGGACTCACGCCCTCCACTCCACTTGCTTGCTGTGTGACCTTGCGTGCACCATGTCATTTCTCAGAGCCATGATTTCTTCCTTGGCAAAAGGAGGTGCTAATATCTATCTCACAGGCTATAGAGGCCGAGGGAGGGTAGGGGAAGCCCTAAGCCAAATTTTGGCCCAGAAGAGGGACTGCAAATAGCACTCACATTCCCCTCTGCAGTGTGCTTCCAGTTCCATGCATCCAGTGTGAACCTGACTTTCTTATCTCCCAGGGATTTCTCAGCCAAGCATCAATGAATCTTGAATCTCAGCTGATGACACTCCTGGGCAAAATGGCTATGAAACTGGAAAGATGTCTATGAAACACACAGTCCCTCAAGCCAGAAAATGCACTTGACACATCTGTGTCCCTTGAGGAACCTGAAGTTTTGGTGAATCCAGAAAGCCATGGATGGCAGAACTGGTAAGAGGAAATGGGAAGTCCCAGTAAGAGAGAGGCTGAGGCCCTGCCTCCTGGCTGTGTGTAGAATTAAAGAAGCATTGCCTCCTGGCTTAATCAGGGATGGCAATCTCATTAGCCATTGTCTGACCTCTAATGGGCAGGCCCTGTGGGTGGGCTGTGTGGTCCAGGGTCATTAACAATGATGCACGTGGATTTATTGGAGAGACAACCATTTTCCTCCAGACCCAGTTGCAAACTTGGCTTCTAGGTCTTCATTGTTCTCGGCATATAAACAAGAAGGGCTGTGGCCCTTGGAAGGGCCCCTCCAGGAATCCTGAGAGAAAAATCTCTACCCAGCAGCAGATGTGGGCTTGTGACAGCTCCATTGTTGGTCGGGTGGAGGGGGGTTGCGGAGGAGAGGCCCACTCTGTGTGGCCAGGATTCAGGGGCCCCGAGAGAGGCCACTGGCTCTCACCCCAATCCTCTCTGCCTGTTGAAATACAAATAGCCTGCACTTGAGTGCTCACCTGTGCTACTCCATTCCACGCCGGACAATTGCGAGAGGGAGGCTCCATGAGGTTCCCATTTTATGGATGAACAAATGGAGGCTCAGAGAGGTTTAGAAACATCCCAAGATTGGTAAAGAGGTGAATCCAGGGCTGAACTCGTTCTGATGTGTTTCACGGCTGATATTTTAACAATGAAACCTTACTGTCTTCATTACGATAAGTCTAATAAATGGCATTTGTCTACTCACAATTAGCATCTGGGTCCTTAATGTACATTAAATTACCAAGTCATCCAAAAATGCTATCGAGATGGTAGAATAATTATTCCTATTCTGCAGAGGGAAAAGGTGAGGCACAAAGAGGTTGGGAAACTTGCTCTCACCTGATGTTCAGTAGTATTTTCTCCCCTCCACAAAAGTTGGGGGTGGTCTGTGGCCTGCCAGGGGGGACCTTTTTAAGCAGTGAGAGGCAGTGGGGTCTCCTGGTGACGGTTATTGGCTCATGTGTCAGACAGACCTGGACTGCAGCCACATGCTAGCCCAGCAACTCTCTTCACCTGCTGGAGCCTCGATCTCCTCTTTTGCAAAATGGGATGAGAGGGCGTGGGGGCCTTCAGGAAACTGCTGCTGAAGCTGGGGAACGGGACACTCTTGTCCAGTCTTCTGTCATTTCATTAGTTTGCTTATCGACTAAAGGAGGCTTTTTTCCCCCCCGTTTAAGCTTTGAGAGTTGGAGTTCATAGATCAGAAATTTTAATTTGAGTGCACAGAACATAGGTTCCTTTAGTTAATTTGACCACTCGACTCAGCCATCACTGACATTGAAATCCCTTCTTTCATCTATGGCTGCACCTAAGCTCACCCTGTAGGGTTGCCAGAAAAAACACAGGATGCCTGGCTAAATTTGAATTTCAAATAAAAAATAAATAACTTTTTAGTATCAGTATGTCCCATGAAATATTTAGGGGCATATGGATACTAAAAAAAGATGATTCATTGTCTATCTGAAATTCGATTTTAACTGAGTGTCCTGTATTTTTGTTTGCTCAATCTGGCAACCGTACCACCTGGCCACAGAGGGAGGGGGAGGCCTCAGGGCACCCTAGCTGGGACTTGGCCCCATTAATGGCTATGATTATGATTTGTTTATTGGCAACCGCTCTGTGCCGGGCACCGTGCTGAGCTCTTGGCCTCCACCTTCTTGCCTTTCATCCTCACAAGCATTTTTCACATGTGGAAACAGAGGGAGCTGAGAGGGGAAGCGACTTGCCCAAAGATGTGGGTCGCTGAAGCCCAAGCCTGTTATGACTCAGCCTGATGCATCTCCAGCACGGAGACATGTGGCCCCCACGTCCTGCCTGCCCCACGCAGGGTCCTCGCCAGCCACTGAGCTGCTTCACCCTCCACCTGGCGCTGATTAGATTCTTGAGATTTTCAGTCCAGTGCCTGAGCCAGCACATAAAATCTTTATTTTTCCCATCCAAATTAGTTCCTGGGGAGACCCTGTGCCCTCCCTGGCTTTTATATGCCTTGACTTGGCTCATAAAATGACAGACGTCACCCTAACAACCCCCTCCTGTTCTCCAGCGAGACGGGAGGAGTCTCTCTGCTCTTGGCTGCATTCCCCTACCTGGATCACCATGAAATGTTATTTCCAGTAGACCGAGCGACTTAACGGCTGTCATATGGCACATATCAGGCGGAATCGTCTGACTTGCTCCATCCCATCATGTTTCATGGACCATGATTAGCTGCGACATTCTAAGGCACACAGTGCAGCCTTGCCTGTGACTCCCCTTAAGAACAAATGGCTTCACCTGACTCCAGAGGCTGGCTTTTATTTTGTTCCTTCTTTTTATGTAGTCGGCCTCATGGGAGTGGGTGAGTCTGGCAGCTGCTGACCACCTCTGATCGCACTCCTAAGCCAGGCTCCATGGAACTGAAACTTCAGACTCAAGCTAGATGATTCTCTATGACTTTGCCCCAGTTATCTGAAGCCTGGTTCCAGTTTGAAAAGATAAGTTATTATGGAGATAAAGCCAATTGTGAGATAAAGCCGATGCCACCATCTCGAGACATTTGGGGATGAGTGGCTCTGGCTAATGGGCACTGAGGGCATCCTCATTCATTCATTCTGTAAATATCCACTGAGCATACTCTGTGCCTGGTATGTTAGCACCAGGGACGTATTGAGACAACTAAGACATGTTCACTGCCTTTAAGTGTTCCATCACCTAGAAGGGGTCAGAAATGTAAATGAACAGCCAACATGATCAGGGCCATTATGCAAAGACCAGAAGACCTACAGGAGGCGTCTCCGGGCCGTGGCTGGCTCCCTCTTGGCTCTCTTTGGCTCTAGGCAATGGATCAGGATTGATCTGAGCTCCTCACAGCTGCTTGTCCCTCTTGTCAGTGACTTATTTCCCAGACTCTCTTCGGTCCGGATGGCATTGCGGCACCACAAACAAGGCTTGAGCTGAAGTAGGTGGTCAATTTATAAGAAATATTTTGCTCTCCTGAAAAAGAAGGTCATGTTCATTGGCTTTCCCCTTTTCCTTTCTTGTCTTGAAAGCATCAACATGATGCTTCAAGCTGCAGCAGGTCATCCTGAGGCCATAAGGCCACCAACCTGAGGACAGAAAGTGGAAGTGCTTAGAATTCTAGAGGGGAAGGCAGGGAGAGCCTCTGTCCCTGCCGGCATGGCCAAGCCATGCCCCAGCCACACAGCACCCACCCCTCCCTGCTCGTTGTGTGAGAACAATAAACTTCTATTTGTTTAAGCCACTGTTAGTTGGGTTTCTGATACCTGCAGCCCAAAGCATTCCAATCTAATACAGAATTTAGTACATTTTATCTGGAAGGTCCTGGAAAATCTAGGCAGAGGGGGTAATAAAAAAAATGCACAAAGTCCCTTGTCCTCTAAGGTCTATAGTCAGGGGACATGTAGCCTGGAACTGTTGTCACTCATTTGTGTCCTTCTATCCTGGTAGACAGACCTCCTTGCCTTTCTGGGAGCTGAACAGCTTTAGCCTCCAGGAACCCAGGGAGGTGAAATGAGACTTCTTGCACCTGCTCAGGTTCCCGACACCTCTCTGGAGCCCCATTCTCTCCTTTCACCAAGTTAAGCTGTAAGAACGCAGCACCCACAGACAGTACCTCTCCAACCTGTGTGCTATGTGGCACCCAAGCATCTTCTCAAAATGCAGATTCTGATCTAGTTGGTCCAGGCTGGGGCCTGAGAGTCTGCATTTCTAAAAGGTTCACAGATGGTGCTGATACTGCTGACCTGGGGACCACACTTTGAGTAGCAAGGTTGTGGAGGGTGGCCAGCTGCTTCTAGGACTATCCTGCTGTGGTCAGTACTGCCCTTCTACCCTTGGAAGCAAAGTCCAGTCGAGTATTCTTTACTCCAGCCCACCTAGCTGGAATGCCCACGTTCTGATTTTTTAAAATTATGCCCTTCTGCAGTCGGATGGGACTTCTCAATTTTGGATTCAAAATCAACTCCCTGGGCTTTGCATAGACTCAGAGTGACCAAGTGTCCTGGTTTGCCCAGAATGAAGGGCTCCTGGGGATGTGGGACTTTTCAGTACCAAAACCAGGAAAGTCCCCTGTGAACCGAGAAGAGCTGATCATCCTATATAGGTTGAAGGCTGTTCAATTAGAGGGAAGGCAAGATGACTCAGGAAGGCCTTGGCACCCAACAGTGTGAGCGCCCAGTGGTATCAGCCAGGGCTTAGTGAGCACCAGGCTAAGTGTGGGCATTAGTCACAGTGCTCCACGCCAGTGAAGTGCGGCAAGCCTACTCTTTGGGATTTTCTCTGTCATCCCAGACCTGGGTCTGGAGGCTTGGATTGTGGGGAACAGAAACAGCGAGCTCCCCACCTCCCTGGCCTTGCTGTTGCCATGTGGGGCTGGAGAAGGCCACGCTGTCACAACTCCTCATGAAGCAGTGAAGACTTGGGCTGGGACAGAATGAGGTCATGGGTCCTGGGCACCTCCTGGGTTTGCTGGGGCCTCCCCCGCCTTCCACCAGCCCTAGGCGGTTAATGACTCGCTCAGCTCCTTAACTAAAAAAATGTGTGCTGGCTCCCAGCTGAATGCCTTTAATTTGTCTCATTTGTGCCTGAAGCACTGGGTGTGGACAAACCGAAGTTAAGCAAAAAGGCTATTACCATAATGCGATGGCCCTCTGGCAACGTCTCTTCTGAAACTCCGTCCTCTCCCTAACAAGACAGGCTGGCAAGGAGGGCATGCTAACTCCAAGCACTGGCCCGCCTCTGCCTGTGGACTGGTTTTATTTTGTGGCTCTTAATAGTGGTTTTGTGGTTTTAAGAAGTGGCTGACCTTTAAAAATGGGAAGATTTCAAATAAAAATGTATATTTCTAATCACTCTTAAAAAATCCAGCAGCACTGAATCCACCTTCTGACATAGGAACAATTAGCTGGGGAACAAGGACAGGCTGCCCTGGTGGGTGCAGTGGGGGTAGGGTGGGGTGGGAGTCCCTCAGGCAGCCTGGCCCCTGTGACTTGGCGCAGGTGCTTTTCCAAATCATTTCTTGTCTTATTTTATTAAGTGAGAAATACTAAGGATGCTATTCGTTCTGTTATCAGCACATTATCAGTATTGGAGTCAGTTTCAGAAGTAATTTCTGATTCACTTGCCTTCCGAAGACAGGGCTTCCCACACACGCAGGACCTTGGACCAAAGCAGGACAAGAAGCATTTGAAGTCCTGGAGTAGAACTTCAGAATTAAAGTCTTACATCATTTTCATCATTGTAAAAAAATGTGCATTCATTGTGAAAATGGGTGTGAATTTTTCATAGCAGTATTTGGAGGAACATAATGAGTAGCCGTTAAAGGAGTGACTATCCCATGTTTCCTCTGGGCATTGTAAGAAGCTCTCCAGAAAACGTGAGCCAGCAGCTCTGACGTCTTTCCCGATGCAGTTTTTCAACAGGAAATGTTCATTCAGGCATTTGTGGGGGTGATGTCTGCTCAAATAAGTGTTGCAAAGACACAGTTCTTGGAAGGCAAAACTGAAGCAAGTGAAGGATCAGGCTCATCTCATTACCTGATTTGTTATTTTTATTGTAGAAGCAAAATTTAATGGCATGAAAAATATGGTAATATACAGATACATGAAAATTAACAGGTTATAAAACCATACACAGTGCACGTTATCATTACAAGTAGGTGTATATTTAAATGTGTTTGTAAAAAGAAACATGAAAAGCTGCATGTCAAAATGCATTTAGTAGGTTTTATTGGTGGATAGTTGGATTATGTTTTCTTTTTATTCTCATTTTTTAAAGGAGCTTGATAGTCAATTCTGTTTCCCAGGTTAAGTTTCCTTCAAACTGTTCAACGGAAATTAGCAAATGCTTACCAAGGACCCAGGATGAGTCCTTAGTATGTGCCAGAGATGGTCAGGAACAACAGCTATCATAATGATGACAGCGTTATGATGACGGCATTACTAGTTAGGACTATGTTGGGCTGTATGTCAGAGAAATTGATCTTTAATCCTCCCACCTGCTTCATACCATGAAGCCCAGACACAGGCAATCCAAATAGTGGCTCCACAGTGCTACTGAAACCCAGCCACCTTCTTTCTCTCCTCTTACCCATCCTTCCACTGTGCTTTTCATCCCCACCAGAACAAAATGGCTGCTTTGTCTCCAGACATCACATCCAGAGTCCAAGAAGAAAGAAGGGAGGAAAGGAAAGAAAGGACATTCTAAAATCTTTTTTTTTTTTTTCTATTGAGGAGAGAAAGCTGCCAAAGGATTGTGACCATGGTCACATGGTCATTTCTGGTTTCCAGGAGGTCTGGGAAGGCGAACGTTGTTGAACAGGCACATCTACTAAGGTGCCTATTGTGAAACGCAATTTACTGCTTGAATAAAATTGAGATTCTGTTAGTGAAGAAGAAAAAGAAAGTGGATATTGGTGGAGGACCTTGCAGTGTTCACCCCAAATAACAATGGTGGTCATATCATTTTCTGTGAGTTTTACTGCATGCTAAGAACTGTGCTGGATGCATTAATGTTTTGTGTCAAACATTAATAACTATTATTATTATGATTTCAGACCACAGAAAAAGAAACAGAGGCTCAGAAAGGTGAAGCCAATTGCCTGAAGCCACACAGAATATCAGCTGGAGTCAGGATTCTAACACCATCCCATGTGAGTTTAGACATGTGCACGTAATCCCCAGGACATACCAAAAGAAACAGGCATTCAATATATCAAGGGATAGCCATTTCTCCCAGAGCCCAGTGGGCTGTGGCTCTTGTGTCCCTTAAGACCAGTGCTTCTCGAACTGTAATGTGCATCGGGTCACCTGGGCATCCTATTAAAATGCAGGTTATGGTTCCTGGCCGGGCCTGAGATTTTGCATTCCTAACAAGCTCCCAGGCGATGCCCATGCTTGTAGTCTGTGGACAGCACTTTGAATGCCTGAAACCACCTCCCAGACATGTCCCGCCTTCCTGGAGCTGGCCTCCTGGTTTCAGACGTGTGGGCAATTGGTGCTGAGATCATTCAGGGCACGTAAGGAATGCGCACAAATGCAGAGCTCCAGGGAAGAAAAGTCACAGCACAGGACCCAATAGGAAAACTGCCATTTGGGGAGACCAAGCCAAGGAGCGCTTTGCTCCTGCTGCTTTTCTCAAGGAAGAGCTTGCTTCCTGCAGTAAGTGAAGTCTAGGGTGCAAGGACAAATGATGTACCTCAGACCCAGAGGATTCATTAAGATTTTGATGCTCCTAGAAAATTGGCTCCATCGTCCATGTCTCAGGAACTGGGGGGTTGTGACTTTTTTTCTTTGGTGGTAGGATGACGATGGTGATGATGATGATGGTGATGATGACAAAGATGACTATGAAGAAGCAGTAGAAGGAGATTTGGAAGAGGGAGTAGAGGAAGGGGAGGAGGAGGAGCAAGGTCATCAGAGTTTGTTGAACACTTACTACATGCCTGATCTCATTTAACCCTTAGACTCACCTGGTGAGGGTTGTACTACATTTATTCCCATTTTACAGACGAGGAAACCAAGCTTCAAGGAAGCTGAGTCTCCTGTCCAAGCCCACGCAGTTGGCAAGTTGCAGATCTGGAGTAGAGTACAAAACTCTCTCATCTGTGTCTCCAAGACACCATGACCCATCATGGCTTCCTTCTGCTGGTTCAGGCGTAGTCTCAGAATTTTTCCTGCGCCATTGCCCGCGCCACCCCATCAACCCCATCTGTTGCAGGTAGCTGATGCTATCTACTGCCAGCCTGGAGCCAGGCTAAGAGGAAGAGAAAGAAGAAAATGCCTGCAGAAACATTCTATGTAAAGAACACTTTGGGATCAGAAAAAGAAGCGCGCCCGTGTTTCACTTGCAGCCTCACCCTGCACTAGGTACAGCCAGTTCTGCTCTGAGGCTTGTCTTGAAAATACAAATTTGTTCTAGTGTGATTGACATGTTAGTGGTAATTTGAGCGTGATGCGAATTTGGTTTTTACCTATATGTGATTTTGTCCTCAGGAAATGCTAGGCCAATGCAGAAAACTACATCCTGCTTGGCAAGCCCTGCAGGACACACACACACACACACAAGCATGTGCACACACACGTGGCCCTTCAACGTCACCTCAGCTGTGGGTTAGGAGCCACACCTGTCCACACCTGGTGTTACAACCATCTGCTCCATTTCAGGTAACCCTCCTTCCTCCACTGCACAATCACTTAGAAACTGTAACTCTTCTTGGGCCCAGGTGCACAGGTAAATTCGGATCTTTCCCAAGGTAAGTGCCATGTTTACCTTCGTGTTTATGCATTTCCTATGCATTTAACGTGTGTAAAATGGTGCTATCATTTTATTCAGCTTCTGTCTTTGTTTTCAATGTTACTGGTAATATTTTGAGTGTTGTGCTCCTAACCCCATTCTTGCCACAGGCCCTGCATGCTACCGTGATTTTTAGGAACCCTATGTCACCTCACAGATCTGAGCATATATGAGTTGGGCTCGTCACCCGGCCTTCTGGGAGTCTCAGTTTCCCTATTTGTAAAATGGACATAGTAAACCCATCTCCATCTCACAGAGGATAGTAAAAAGAGCCCTGGCCTTGGAGTCTGGGGGCTGGGCCACAGGTCAGGCTTCAAGACCCCCTGGGCCACGTTGGGGACTTGGGTTCCTGAGATCCAATCTCTGAGCATCAGCTTCACTGTCTGTCGCAGAAGCACCATTTCCCCACCTTGTCCACCTCACAGAACAGCCAGGTGGCTTAGAGGTGAGCTCTCAAATGTCAACAGGCTTTGCAAACTCCAGTGGTCAGCATTATGTGAGTAGTTCAGTCTTTCCACAGGGATCTCTGGGGCCTCGGGTCACAGCAGACCAGAACTTGACCTGGAGGCTGGTGTCCCCCAAACTGCTGTATGGACCCTGCAACAGCTGGGGAGTCCTCGTCTCAACAGCCCTGCTGTCTCCCACTGAGGTCATCTGCTGGCCCTCCTGGTGGCCCTGTGAGGAAGCCAGGAGTCACTGATGCTGCTCTATCGACGGCGACAGATGGATCACAGCTGATAAGTGACTTGCCCAGAGTTTTGCAGCTTGGAACTCACAGAGCAGAAGCTGGGAATCAGGTGGGGAAGCACCCAGCTCTCTGCTTCTCCTAAGCCAAGCTCTGCAGCGAGGTCCTGCTTCCCTCGGGACTCCTCTTTCAGCATGACATGAACTCATTTTGAATGTAAAGGCAATGTCAAAGCCCTACAGCTATTTATACCAGAGCATGTGTTTATTAGCTCACTCTCCAGGGGGAATATTGCTGTTGTGAATACACAACTACTCATAACTACCGTCTTAAAAATCTTCTCTACCCCAAAATATTTACTAATGTATTTAAGTATTTATTTTCTTGTAGTGAAAGGAAATCAAGATAATTCTAAAATTGTGGAAGAAAACAAAAAAAGTATAAAGGAGAAAACAGAAGCTTCACATATTCTAACCATTATTAATCTCAAAATATTTTATTCCAGGTCCTTGTCTATGGTCCAGGTCCTTGTCTATGGTCCTATAGCCTATGCTGAGTGACACTGTGCTATGTGTATGCCATTTGCACTCACCGTGGGGTCATAAGCGTGCCATTTCCTTTTTATTAAAAAAATACTTTGCATACATGAAAGTATGTTTGCATTAAAACTATGCAAACATCAGTTTTAATAACTGTATAAATATTCCATCACAAGGACATTCCATAATTTATTTAATCACTTTGGTAGTGTTGGACATTTAATTTTTTAAAAAGTCAAATAATGCCAGGATTAATGCCTGTTTATATGAACCAGTTTTCATTTCCTGATTATTTTCTTCGGCCAGATCCCCAAAAGTGGAATTACTGATAAAAGTAGGTGAGTGTTTTTAACACATTTCTTCTTATACACACACACACACACACACACACACACACACACCCATCAACAAATAGTTTTTCCTGGAAGGAACTTCCAGTAGTGTATGAGAAAGCCTATTGCACCACACCATCCCCAGCAATGAGAATTACTACTGTAAAAAAATCTTTGTTACATTAAATTTTTGGAGGACATCTCATTTTCTTGATTGCATTTGATTAACTCAAAATGTATTTCTACAGGGTGGGGAACATCACACACTGGGGCCTGTCGTGGGGTGGGGGGATGGGGGAGGGATAGCATTAGGAGAAATACCTAATGTAAATGACGAGTTAATGGGTGCAGCAAACCAACATGGCACATGTATACATATGTAACAAGCCTGCATGTTGTGCACGTGTACCCTATAACTTAAAGTATATAAAAAAAATAAAATAAAACATAAATAAAAAAATGTATTTCCAAACAGATTTTTCACTAACAACGTGTTAAAGCCTCAAAGTGAATATCACAGCTGGATTTTAAGGCTTGTTCCTTGTGAACGAAGACATAAGCTCTGCTGAGCCATTGAGCAGTCTAGCAGCCTTCACAGTTAGGTCAGCTGGTCGCTGGCCCCAGGGGAAGGGAGATTGCTTTCCCACTTTGCAGCAATCTGAGTTCTAAGACTTCACTGGCATTGGAGGAGCTGTTCAAGGAGTGCCGGTCTGGGTTTTTAGGCCAGATGATTTGAGGCTGCTGTGATCTGGATGGTCCCAGCTGCTGGTTCTGGAGTGCACTGTGCTCAGAGGAGTAGTTCAGGTTCCACGAGGTGTGACAGGTCCATCGTGTGGGCCAAGAAACATCTGGGGCCACATACAGGTTTGAAAATATTATAAGAACAGGTCATAGTCCCAGCATGTCTTTTCAAGGGTTACACTAAATGGCAGAGTCAGGGCTGAAAAATGAGGGATGACTGGCTGGGTCTCGTGGCCCTGGATAACTTTTTTCTTTTTTTAATGATGGGGCCTCGCTTTGTTGCCCAGGCTGGAGTGCAGTGGCCATTCACAGGTGCAGTCCTAGCATGCTACAGTCCCAAACTCCTGGGCTCAAGCGATCCCCCGCCACAGCCTCTTGAGTAGGTGGGACTGCAGGCACATGCTGAGTGCTCAGGTGGCTTTCATGACCCCATTCGACACTAGCGTGGCTGTCGCTCGCAGTCAGCTGACTCTCCAGGCATGCTTTTTCTTCCCAGGACTGCACCCATCTCTTGCCTCAAATCAGGAGCAGTCTTGGCATTTATCAATCAGCAGACAGCCGAGCCAGCACCTGGAATATATCTCCCTAAAGCTGCAGATTTGAGGTATTCACTTTTAAAAGTGGATTAGAGTCCATTGCAAGGGGGATAAAAGACATCAAACAGTTAAAGCAGTTGCCTCTTGGGGACAAGTTTGAGGTTTGTAAAATGGTAATTGTGTGCCACCGGGAGGCAACAGAGCTAACGAAAAGACTGTGACATTTGGAGTGAGGAGACCTGGGTTCAAGCCCAGCCAGGTAATCTCAAGTAAGTCACAAGGGCACTGACCTTCAGTGTCCTCACCAGTGGGTGATGATTAAAATGTAGCAGTGTGGTAGAAGCCACCTGTGCTCAGTGAAGCAGCATCCAGACATGAGGAATCCCAGGTCCATTGCCATGGTGATTACCAGGCTGACAGTGGAGTACTGTGGTCCATCTTCCTTCCTTTTTTTTTTTTTTTCCAACTGAGAGAGAGTCTCACTCTGTCACCCTGGCTGGAGTGCAGTGGTACAATCTTGGTTCACTGCAACCTTCACCTCCTGGGTTCAAGGGATTCTCCTGCCTCAGCCTCCCGATTAGCTGGGATTAAAGGCACCTGCCACCACAGCCGACAAATTTTTGTATTTTTGTAGAAACAGCATTTCTCCACGTTGGCCAGGCTGGTCTCAAACTCCTGGCCTCAAGTGATCCGCCCACCTCAGCCTTCCAAAGTGCTGGGATTACAGGCATGAGCCACCATGCCCGGCCAGCCTTCCTTTCTTTGGTTTCGGTACAACCAACCTTGTTTGTAAAGTTGTATAATATATATCAAAATAGGTATATTTTGTATATGTGAACACACTATGCATATATTGATATTTATCATATATTGATATATGTAAACATACATGTGTATATCTCTATGTATATGATATATTGATATATATGCATATATATTGATAATGAAATACATATATATGTCAAAAATACATTTCTTTCCCATGTTTTGTTTCTCGCTCTAATTATAAGTCACAGGCAGATCACTTTCTATAATGAAAAAATACTTTTTTTGTTTTTTCAAAATAAATAAACCTAAAAAACCTGTTATTTAATTCTGTGTTGCTTCCCCCATCAAAATACTATTTGAAGAAAAACCTAAACGTGAAATAAAAAATCTGATAAAACTCTCGTTCCTATCACAAGTCTGGTTGGGCTGGAATAATTTCAGTGGACAATGAGAGCAAAATAGATGCTAGGATTAAACCCACCCTGAAACGAGCACCCCCACGACAGGATGAGGAACGGCTGCTGGTGACAGGCGTAGCATCGAATCCATAGCTTCATGCCCGGCGAATGGCTGTGGGCTTTTCTCTGCATTTGCTGTGGCCTCACCAGCTTACTTGGGTTTTCCTGGTGATGATAACATTGCCCTCTCCAGGCAGATGGCCATGTTCATGTTCGTTTAGTCACGACAGCCTGTCCAGCACGGGGTGGACTCGCCTCCTTCCCAGCCTGATCAGCTTGGCCTGCTGGACTGAGCCAGAGGAGGTGACCCGGGGCAGTTGCTGGCCAGGTTGGGCGCGAGACTAGCCCCTCAAAGGCAGGGCAGAGTGAGCACTAACGCAGGGCAGCTCAGCAGGAGCCCTGGGCAGGGCCTGTTTCTCCGGGCACACTGCCTGTAAGAGACTTTCAGGGGTCCAGGAAAAGGTTTCAAGTTATTTTAAAATCAGAAGAATAGTGGCTTGGAGGTGAAACAAAGCAGGGTGTCTGGGTGGTGGTGTGGGAGGGGTCGGTGAGGGCAGAGGAGGAGGGTCCCACAGGCCATGCTGGAGATTGGGGGGTCTATCCAGGGAGAACAGGACACTGGGGATGTACAAAATGACACCAGCAGGGTGACAGGAGAGAATAGGTGGTGATGAGTTGGGAGGGGTTGTACCAGAAGCCCTGAGAGACCAAGGGCACTGTCCAGGGAGAGATGCTGGGGGCTCCTGGGCTGTGCATGGAGAAGGGGACTGATTCAGAGACACCAACAACTCACACCTGGACGTGCTCCCATCTCCACCTGTGCGCCCACCTCCCTCAGCCACTGCCCTGACTCTCTCACCTCCGCATGGCCAACTTGCTCCTGTCTGCCTCTCCTTGTGCCCCTCGCTGCCCCTCCCATCTGGCTTCCTGCCCTCTGCAAAGAAGCACCCGGTGAGCGACCCCATGACCTCCATATGCCCAAGTCCAAAGCACTCTGCCTTCAGTTCTCATTTTAACTGGTTTTCAGCAGCTTGACACAGTAACCAAATGACCTTTCCTTCTGGCTTCTGCAAAACCAAACTCTCCTGGTTTCCCCTGCGGTCCGGGAACTACAGCTGCCAGACTCCCCAGCAGCTTCTTCCCAGGCCCCTTCTCCTCTCTACTTGCTTTCCAGGTGAGCTCACCAGAGCCTGTGGCCCCAGTCACCACTGGGGCTACTGCCAGGCGTAGCAAAGAAAAACATAAGACACCCAGTTAGGCTTGACTTGTAGATGGACAGCAGGTCATTTTTGAGTATATCCCAAATATTGCATGAGCCACTGCATGGAGGTCCCCTGTATGATGTGACTCCCTTAATTACCACCTCTGCACCGATACCTCCCAAACCGATTCCTTCAACTCAAACCCAGCCAAATCATCCTGACTGCATACCTGCCTGCCCACCTTCTGCTCATCATCTTACTAGAATGCTGCAAATGAATGGGGCTTCAATAGGCCAAAAACCAGACCCATTCTCTACCCCCACTCCAAGCTAATCATGGCCGCAGTGAATTGCACCATCAGAAAATTAGAAGTGATGCTCTTGAATCCATGTGTCCTGGCCTTTATCTTGCTGATTTCACTGCCTGATGCTCTCCAATTCATTCACTGTTTTCCCACCAGTCTTCTCCAGATTATTTGCACCTCTTGCCTGGATACTCATGACTCCCTCCTAACTGCTTTCACCCCCTTCTTTCTGGTCCTCCCTCCCCTCACTCCAAATTCTTATCCCAAGCAATCTTGTCACATAAACATGTTGGATATGTCATTCTGTGACTCCCCAATGCTGCTGGATAAAGCCCAGGGTCTGGAGCATGACCCTTGAGCCTCTGCTGTGGTCCGGCCCCTGCCTCCTTCCCCAACCCCTCGTCCTTGGAGGGTGGGACCAGGGTAGGGAGAGTCAGGCATTGACCACAAGTGCAAAAATGGAAAGGGGTGGGAAATTACTCAGAATCAAGATCAATAATGCAATATTTAAAAAGTAAAAATTAATGCAAAAAATATGTGATATAAAAATTTTAGATCAAGATGGGCTTCGACCTGCACCTGCATGACCCGCCTCACTCACCTTGCCCTGACCTTGGCCTTGTGGGACCCTGTCCTGATTTTAAAATTTTGATATTTTATTTATCATGAATGTTTCACATTAATTTTGATTGTTTTCTAAGTATTGCATTAAAATCATTAAAATATTCTTTATCTTGATCACTGAGTTTTTTTGTGTTTCCTTAAATTTTGGGGTACAAAGTGAGTGCCTCTCTCCACTCTTGTCCTGGACCTGTGACCTTGCTTTCCAAGCTTCTCCCAGATTCTCTCCCAGATCTCCAGATCCTCTTCTGCTGAGCACTTGTTCAGTGACCTGCCCCAGCAGGCTGTCATCCACTCATGGAACAGATCTCACTGTCACCCTGACCCTGCAACCGAGCTCTTGTCCCTCAATACCGCTGGCTCTGTGTGAGACTCACTGGTTCTTGTCTGTCTCCACCACTGGATGCATTGAGCAGTACCTGGGGACTGGAGAATCTCAGTGCCCCAACAATGCCAGACACGTGGAAGGATGAATGAAGAATGAATGAATGAACAGATGAGGCAGCATTGCTAGAACTCAAGGTTTTATCAGTGAACCCTCATGGTGTTGTCATGTTCAGATAATTAAACTCAGTGGAATTTAGAATTTGAGAATCTAAGCAGTGTTGAGTTGTCCTTGAGGCATATCTTGCCTGGTCTAATACATGGAGCTTATCGTGGTTTATCTGCAATTCAAAAATCTTCTTCTTACAGGCTTTTAGTCACCACTGGGTCTTGAAGGACGAGTGAAATGGAAACTATCCGAACAGGACTGTCACAGCTCTCTTCCTCCAGGCACTCGCCTGTGATTTGCCACTTGATCTCACAGCTGCACGTCTGCCCCAGCACGGAGCCCAGCACTCGGAGGCTGCTCAGTCATATTCCTTAGATCAATGCCTGTGCAGCTAGCTTTGCTTTTAAGTGCAGCGTGGAATTTTAACCAGGACAAAGGCCACCTTAGTGCATTGTTCTTCTCTGCTCTGATGTTTAGGAATCTTAAGATGATGAGAGCGCATGTCTCCTGCAGATTCAATAAGCACATATTCTGTCTTCTAATCTTTTCATCAACAGTTTAATTGGAACTTCTTTCAAATTTCTACCCAGATCCCACTAAAGGTGAAAACAAGGGCTTGTATCCCCAGAACCCGGGGCATGTTTTATCTTAAAAACTCTTCAGTTTTGCATTCTTCTCTGATCTTTTTAACAGAAAAAAATAGTTCCCCTGCCAAGTCTTTGGGCAAAATTTACACTCCAGGAAGAGAAGCTCTGTTTTCCTGGTATTGTGCCTGCTGCCTGAGACCTGCAGGGCCAGGATGAGGGTGAGACAAGTGCCGTGCTCAGGGCTCAGAATGCAAGGAGGCCTCGCTCTTAGAGACCAGCCCTGCGCTTGCATGAGTCTGGAGGTGACATTGCTGAGCATTTTGCATCCTTGTGCCTTGCTTGCCTCATCATATTCTCAGTCCTGCCTGCACCCTGCTGTGAATCCCATTGTCAGAGATGGGAGCAGACCCTCGAGCTCAAAAGCGGTGTCAGAGAGTTCTGTCTCCCTGACTGCCCCGGCGGCTGCCCCAGACGTCAGTCTCACGTGCATCAAAACAGGCGATTCAGACAAAACACCTGCCTAAAGATCTGACCTGTGACTGCTGTGTGGACAATGAAGTCATTCACAGTGTTATCATCCATTCACTTATTTATTTATTTATTTTTATTTATGTTTTGAGACAGAATCTCCCTCTGTCACCCAGGCTGGAGTGCAGATGCCATGCTGGACACTGAGACCACAGTGGGGACCAGACAGACGGGATGCCACGCTGGACACTGAGACCACAGTGGGGACCAGACAGACCGGATGCCACGCTGGACACTGAGACCACAGTGGGGACCAGACAGACCGGATGCCACACTGGCCACTAAGACCACAGTGGGGACCAGACAGACCAGACGCCACACTGGCCACTAAGACCACAGTGGGGAGCAGACAGACCGGATGGCACACTGGACACTGAGACCAAAGTGGGGACCAGACAGACTGGATGGCACGCTGGACACTAAGACCACAGTGGGGTCCAGACAAATCAGGGCACTGGGCAGGGCCCTGCATTGCGGTGGCTTTGCTGTATTTGCATGAGTACAACCAGCCTGGAAAAAAGGAGTCTGTGTCTCAGTGAAGCTAGGCTTGTTCCTGGGGTATGCCCAGGCATCCCCTTTCTGCATTTGCAAAACTAACTGGTCCTTGAGAGGTGCTTGCTCCAAGAGTTAAACAGACTTGGGAAGAGCGGGATTTGGGGCTCTAGAATAGGCTTGGGATGCACATTTGCAGCTTAGACTCAGGGGAGTCCTGCGGGTCAACCCTGTTCAGCCTTTCCACGTTTGGCCCTTTTTTCTGCAACATCTGTGAACATCTGGCCAAACAGGTTCTGCCAAGCCCACTTTCTGACATGCTGATCTCAAACTTTTGTCTATAATTTGTTGGGCTCAACGTCATCATTGTCTATATTTGAGGGGTTGGAGGGCTTACCTCTCTTCTCCTTTAGAAAGCGTGCAGAGCCATGTGGACATGGTCTAAACATGTTTGGGGGGATGTGTGCTTGTGGGCAGAGGTTGCTGGGTGCAGGGCCTGCCCAGGGCTGCCTGCCATTGCTGGGAGCTTAGGGATGATTTAGAGATAAGGAGGATTTTGCTACTTCAGAGAGCTTTGGCATAGTCCCTGAAATGGCAATAATCAGTCAGAAACATTAAAAATGAAAAAAAAAAAAAAAAAAAAAAAAGCAGAAGGAGGGAAATCACAGGAAAGAAAAAAGATGCCACATTTCCAAGCAAGACAATTTAGAAATAAAATGGAAACAGCACCAGAGACTCACCTGGTAGGTTTTCGAGCTTTAGAAAATGCTCATTTCTGGGGCCAGGTGCCGTGGCTCACGCCTGTAATCCCAGCACTTTGGGAGGCTGAGGCGGGCAGATCACCAGGTCAGGAGTTCGAGACCAGCCTGCCAACATGGTGAAACCCTGTCTCTACTAAAAATACAAAAATTAGCTGGGCGTGGTGGCATACTCCTGTATTCCCAGCTACTTGGGAGGCTGAGGCAGGAGAATCGCTTGAACCCAGCAGGCGGAGGTTGCTGTGAGCTGAGATAGAGCCACCGTACTCCTGGCGCGACAAGAGCGAAATTCCGTCTCAGGAAAAAAAAAAAAAAAAAAAAAGAAAAAGAAAAAAAAGAAAAGAAAATGCTCATTTCTTTGCAGGGACATGGATGAAGCTGGAAGTCATCATTCTCAACAAACTAACGCAGGAACAGAAAACCAACCGCATGTTCTCACTCATAAGTGGGAGGTGAACAATGAGAACACAGGGAGGGGAACATCACACACTGGGGCCTGTTGGAGAGTGGGGGGCATGGGGAGGGAGAGCATGAGGACAAATACCTAATGCATGCGGGGCTTAAAACCTAGATGACGGGTTGATGGGTGCAGCAAACCACCATGGCACATGTATCCCTATGTAACAAACCTGCACGTTCTACACATGTATCCCAGAACTTAAAGTAAAATAAAATAATAAAAAAAGAAAATGCTCATCTCTGGCTGCATGTCAGAATCACATGAGGCCTCTTTAACAAGGCAGGCCACTGACACCCTCAGTGGGACTAGGGAAGGCCGGGGCGTGTACCATTTGAAAGCACTCCCGCCTCCAAACCAGGTGACTCTGGCAGGCACCCAAAGCTGAGAAGTCCTCGTTTTCAGGCTCATGTCGGAGCAGGAAAGTGTCCTCAGTCAACACTCTCTCATCCTTTCCCATACTCCTTTGTTCTGCTGAATTTTTTTTGGCATCTTATTAAAAGATTCCCCAATGATGAAACAACTATCCTCTCATCTTCGCCCTTCCCGTATTTCATATTATACTTCTATTTCTCTTCCCATTTGGATCTGCTTTGTGAAGGTTTTTGTTTTGTTGTTTTTCTTTCCTAATTTCTCCCCAACTTCAACTCCCCCCCACCCCCCACCCCACTTCTGTGGGGCAGCTCAGCTCATACAAACAGCTCCAAGATCCACAGCGGCATGGATATTTTTGACTGTGCAGCTGCAGTCTCTCTGGGAACTCAGCTACAGAAATCCCACGAGGATAGCAGGATCCGAAAGACATAACAGTGCCTGCATTTCTGCTGCTTACTGCAAGGACTTTGCAGGTCCTGGAGGAACCCGGGCCAGCTCTGAGGCCGGGGAGGTGGGTGGATGGGACTGTTGCTCGCCCTCCTCCCTTTGCAGCTTTTCCGCTGCGTTCCTCTGCAGGTCGACAGCCAGAGCGGGTGTCTGAGGCCTCCTCAGGGTGCCACCTGCAACTAGGTCAGCAGTTCTCAACCAGGGACATCGGGCAATGACTGGAGATATGTCTGGCTGTCAGGAGAGGGTGAGGGGTGCTCCTGGCATCTAGTGGGTAGAGGCCAGGGATGCTGCTTGACATCCTACGATGCCCAGGACAGCCCCTGCCCACCCTTTAAAGAGAATGAGTTGGCCCCAATGTCAGTAATGCCCAGGTGAGAACCCTTGAACCAGAACATAAAGTCCTTGAAGACTGGCAAGGTTTCCCCCTTCCTTGGCAGCCGATAGTTTATTATTGCTGAATTTGGGCTAGAATAGAGTTGCATCAACCCCAATTATTTTTATACCATTATCACTTGTTTCATAAATTTCTTTAAATTAAGTCACTTTGCTTTCTTAAGTCCAATAAGTGTATTTAACATGGGAATTTTATATAATTACAGTATTTGGGAAACCAGTATCACATGCCACAAATAGACAGTACCCCTAAAAATAAGTGAAATGAAGACAAAGCCGAGTTATGCGTGTGGCTGGCTGGAGATGGTTGCCTGCAAAGGTTCTGAACATGAGGTTCCCTTTTTCATGTTTGTTGCAATTCAAATGTCAGAAAAGGGTTAAAATATGCTCCCACTCCATGGAGACTTTCTCCTTGCAGTCGTGGAAGGGCCTGGGGAAGCGAATGAACTTCCAGCTAAGTCTTCTCAAACTAGGGGTCACTGGAGCCTGCCTTTCCTAGGCCAACCTGGGAGCTGGGCTCCCTGACCCAGGGGCAGCCTGGGGTGGCCATGGTGCTGTGGATTCTAGAGGGGAGCGGTTTGAGTTCCAGGCTCCGTGCTGCCCGTCACCAACTCTGCAATCTCAAGTGTCATTTACATTTCTTGGCCTCAGTTTCTTTCTTCGCCTGTAAAGTGGGGTGTTGTTGTGGCCACTCCTAGTGTGGTGGTGAGGATGGCAGGAGAGAATGAACACACACTCCACGCTTGGCACAGTACTGCACCCACTTCCTGCTTAGTAATCCCAAGTCTTCCCGTAATGCATTGTCAAGAAACATGAAGACATTTTCCACTACAATGTTAAATAATTAATGCCTGCATATCTTTAATGAGGTTTACATATTACATTAACTTATACACATGCACATGCACACAGACACACATGCAGGCCGTCAGTGTTGCAAAACTCAGATCACCGCGCCTGGTTTTCAGACACCTCAAGGATGGCAGATAAAACTTGGGTTTCCCAGCTGGCTTCCTCCTTTCCTTCATGGCCTCAGATGGCCCTGGAGCACAGCTCCCTTGGTGCTCTGGATGGCCTGGAGCTCTCCTCTCAGCTTTGAAGAAATTCCCAGGAGGCCTGAACAGGTTTGGAGTATGTGAGTCTGGAGAGGTGCTGGCCAAAGCCACTGAGAATCGAGACTTGGGGGCTGGAACATCACACCTGAGCTCTCTCAAGTGTGTCGAAAGGGAGGCCTCCATCGTGCCCAGCCCCCAACACCCTAGCTGAGCCTTGCTGCCCCAGGAAGCTCAGATCCCAGCCTGTCCCAGCCAGGGGGCCTGGGCTTAGCCTGGTGGAGGCAAGACTTTCTCCTGTGGTCACAAAGGGCTCCCTCCCTGGCTCTGAGGCTGGTAGATGGCATGTTGGACTTGAGGTGCAGGGAAGCCATTCCACTGCTGTGGGTTTGAGTGCCTGAGGGTTCAATGTATTTCACAGATGGTGTCCTTATCCACAAACCCAGGATGATACTCCTCGCGACCACTCAGGACTATGGCGAGGACTTAGTGGGACGGTTGGGGCAGGCACTTTGTGTAGAGGCTGGCACTCAGGGAACACACCATCAGCAGCTGCTATGAAGATTCTCAGGTCACATGGACATTTACCCTTTGTGAACAGACCCTCCTGGCCCAGAGAAGTTAATAAACAGGAAAACAAGAGGAACCTCGAGTGTGAATTTTTTCCTAGAAGTGAGCATTCATGTGGCGACTGGATTTTCTCTGCTGTCAGGTGGTGGAAGTGTTATCAAGAAAAATGAAGGTGGGGAGACAGCATGGTGGTGATGGTGGTGGTGGTTATGATGGTGAAGAAGATGATGATGATGATGATGATGAAAGTGGTGATGATGGCGATAGTGGTGGTGGTGGTAGTGATGGTAATGGTTATGGTAATGGTGGTAGTGGTGGTGGGGATGTGATGGTGGTGATGGTGATGATGTGATGATGATTATGGTGGTGATGATGGTCCTGGTGGTAGTGATAGTGATGGTGATAGTGATGGTGGTATTTGTGGTGGCTGGTAGTTGTCATGATTATGGTGGTGATGGTTGGTGGTGATGGTCTTGGTGATGGTGATAATAGAGTGTGTCTAATTTAAATATAAGGTGGTCAGAAAAAGTCTCAAAGAGAAGGCAAAATGCTTGTACAGATCTAAAGAAAACAAGGGAGTAACCCGCTGGTCTAACAGGGAGCCTGTTTCATGTGGAGGAAGAGCAAGTGTGCAGGTCAGGAGGGGAGAGTGGACCCAGCATCTGAGGACTGGCAAGGAGGCTGGTGGGCTGGGACAGAGCACTCTGGGAGAGTGCAGTCAGAGTGTGGGAAAAGGCAGGGGGTGGGTGTCATGGGACCGAGGCCATAGCCAGGACTTCAGCTTTTATACTGCATAAGATGCGGATGCACGGGAGCATCATGAGCTGAGAGGTGACATCTGGGACTTAACTTCCATCTGCAAAGGGCCCCTCTGGCTGTGGAGATGGCAGACTCGGGGGTGAAGGACTCACATGGACACCTGGGAAGAGGCATCTGCAAGAATCAGGGTGGGTTCTCCTACAGGAAGAGCTCATATCCAGAATCTATGCTGGAGGACAAATTGAAAAATTTACAGCCAAATAAATGTGGGGAGGGAGGGAGAGGGAGACCCTGCTCTGAGTCAGGGTTTGTTTTCTGCCCTGGCCACCACGTTCCCTCTGCCATTGTGGGTGGGAGGCTGAGAGAGTGGATGGGAAGGCAGAAGCTGGTTGGATGCACTGGAGAATGGCCTTGAAGGGTTTAAGCTGGCAGAGGACAGGCCCCTGGCCTCAGGCAGGACAAGCTGTGGCTTTGGCGAGGCTGATGGGCCTGGCAGGAGCCAGCACCTGGTGGCCTGACCCTGGCCGGCTGAGGAGGATAAACAGATTCAAAGGCTTCCTGGGCAGAGGAGGCAGGGCAGGACCCAGACAAGGGCCCTGGCTGTCTCCATGTCCCCTCTCCTGTGGATGTTTGGCTTCTCTGGGAGAGCAGGAAAGAAGAGGCAGGCACCTGTGTTATTTCAGCTGAAGGCGCGAGGAATAGTGCAGCGGAAAAACCCAAAATGAGTGTGGGGACAGCACTCCCAGAGGTGGGCATCTCCATGGGGAGTGGCCTGGCAGGATGGATGCCCACGACCTGCTTGGACTGGACATCACTGCTGGGGAGGAGGAGCTGGGGGCAGTGTCTGGCTGCCCGAGGGGCCAGCAGAGGCTTTGTACAGTGAGAGATCCTTGAAGTAAGGTGGCGTCTCCAAGATCAGGGTCCTAGGAAGCACATGTTTGGGGAAGCCCTCCTAGGTGACTATTCCTAAAAGGGAATGGTGAAAAAAAGAGATGGGGACATAAAACAACAGAAAGGGAAGGGATTGGGCCAAGGCAGAGCTAAGCATTTGATCATGGACACCTCTTCATAATGACTCAGCCCAGAGCTCCTGTGTCCCGACTTGGGGTGGACACTGCCAGCAGCATGGATCCCCACCCCACCCCGGCTCCTGTGCTCTTCCCACAGCCTGGAATTTTTCTCTCTCCTCCTCCTCACCTCAGAAATCCTACCCAGACCTGAGGGTAGGCCAAGGACTGCCTCTCTGAGAAGGCCACACGTCTCTCCAGGGCCTGCCCTGTGTCTTGGTCTGTCTTCTGCCAGAGCAGTTGTTTCTCCATCAGGGACCATTCTGCCACCCCCACAGGGGGCATTTGACAATGTCTGGAGACATTTTTGGTTGTCAAAATGGGGGAGGTAGGGGGTGTTCCTGGAATCTCTCGGGTGGAGGCTGAGGATGCTGCTAAATATCCCAGGATGCACAGAGCAGCCCCCACAGAGAGTCACCAGCCCCAGATGTAGGAAGTGTGGTGAGAGAAAAGCCCTGGAGGCTGTCGGGGGTGTCTTGGGTGGGAGCAGATTCACATCACTGTCTGCTATATGTTGGGTGCTTATTTCAAGCCAAATGCTGTCCTGAACTTCTCACATGCACTGTCCCCTCTAACTCTTACTGTCCCCTGCAAGGAGGCCATGTAGACAGCACTGATAGGTGAGGGAGTGGCACTCTCCAGTACTTGGTATGTAATAGATGCTCAATAAAACAGATCTCTGGCCTTGTGGGGTGCAATTGCCTAGAGAAGAGAGACAGAGGGAGGTGGAAATTTCTCCTGCATGAGAAATGGTTGCAGCTGACATTGAAAAAGAACACATCCATCACAGCACAGGTCTGGACAGATGCCATCTGGACACAGCCAGGTCCAGTGGATGCTTCTCTGGGCTGGGCTTATCCAGCTCACAGCTGTCCTAAATGCAGGACTACTCCTGCCTTTGTTTTACTCTGGGCAGCTGTGTTACCTGTGGTGGGTATGGAAGTGTATCCCCAGATCCCACCCCCATGAAGAACTAACTGCTCCAGCTGCTGGGATGTCTATCAGCAGCCAGCTGCAGCAGTCAGAACTTGTGGGGACTGCCTCAGTGGCAGGGGCTGCCTTCCCCTAGGCCATGTTTCTTCTAGGGTGACCACCATCAGACTCTATCTTAGCAGACTGGAGAGAGAACCTCTTGCTGGTCTTGAAGAAGCAAGTTGCCACGTGTGAACTGCCAGCAAAGCCAGTTACATGGAAGGGAACTTTGGATGCCTCTAGGACCTCTAACTGATAACCAGTAAGGAGCTGGGAAAAGAAATGAGTGCTGCCCACAGCAGGAAAGAGTTTGGAAGTAGATTCTTCCCCAGTCAAGTCTCTGGTTGAGAATGCAGCCCAGTCAACACCTTGATTGCAGCCTGTGAGACCCTGCATAAAGGATCCATCTAAATCATGCCTAGACTCCTGACCCATGGAAACTGTGAGATAACAAATGTGTGTTGTCTTAAGCCACTAAGTTTGTGGTAAGTTGTTATGCAATAATAGAACACTAATTATTGCTAGTGATAAAGAAAGTAAATGCTGCATGTACACCAGCTGACATTCGATGGATGGTAAGTTTGTTATTAGGTTCATCTATCTATCCATCCATCCATCCATGCATCCATCCATCCATCCATCTGGCCATTTGTCCATCCATCCAGCCTTCCATTCATCCATCCATCCATCCATCCATCCATCCATCCATCCATCCTCCATCCATCCATCCTTCCATCCTCCACCCATCCATTCTTCCATTCATCTTTCCTTCCTTCCTTCCTTCTTTCCTTCCTTCCTTCCTTCCTTCCTTCCTTCCTTCCTTCCTTCCTTCCTTCCTTCCTTCCTTCCTTCCTTCCTTCTTTCCATCTATACAGCCACCCATCCTGTAGAGTGAGGGCTATCACAAGGAAGTTCTGTACTTTGCAAAAGTGCTGGTGCTTTGACCAGCTGAGTCTGGGATCCCAGGGGTGTATGGGATTCTTATTGGGATGTCATTTATCTGCACTTATTAACATACAGTAAACATCGACCATCTTTGAGAAGGCACTGAATTTTTTTTTAATTTTTTGAGCCAACCTTAGGACCAAGAGGCACTAAAGATCTTGCATCTAAGTCTGATCTAAGGAAAATTAAACTCGTGTGTTGTGTGTGTGCATGTGTGTGTTTACCCATGAGGTTTGTCAAGGGCAGGGTGGGCAAGACACCCAGTCTATCCTCCCTCCCACCCACTTGGCCCAAGCCCTGAGTGGCTTCAGGTTGTGAGTGATGAGTGCACAAGGGAGCAAGGGAGCTTCTGCGTGGATCCAGCTCTCCATCTGGTCGTCAGTGGGGAGACCAGACACAGATGTCAAATATCTACAGCAAATGTGAGACTATTTGGGTACAATTTAGCAGAAACGAGTCATCCTGCAGACATAAACATTTTAATCGGAGTGACAATTTATTCAAACAATTTGACAATGCTTACACATGCTGAACAGATGGGCTGGGGTGGGGGGCCCAGCAAGAGAGCTGGTGGGGGAGGGAAGCCCCCGGCAGAGACTGGCGGGACTGCTGGGAGGGGCAGAGTGGAAGATGAGGGCTCCCTGCCCTTCCCATCCCCAGACAGGCTCCTGGAATGACCCTAGATCCCACCCCAGGAATCCTGCCTGTGCTTTCTGACACCTCTGTTTGATGTCCTGAACTGCTGGGGACTTGAGGCACATGCTGCAAAAAGGAAAGCCATTCATTGATTTATTCATTTATTAAAAAATATTTGCTGAGCGTCTGTGGAGGGCCAGGCATTGTGCTGGATGCTATGTGCTGTACACATGTATGTGCATGCATGTGTACATGTGTGTAGCCTCATCCACTATTCATATCTTCTGATTTCTGAATTTGGAGCTTGTAGTTGTCTGAGTCTGGCCCAGAAGTAGCTCCTAAATTGAGGCTTTTGGTGCAAGCAGTTTGTTTGGATATTGATCCCAGGAAGCTCCTGTTGGGGTGTTAGGAACAGAGACAAGAAATGGAAGGAAACATACACAGGGAGGTAATGAGCTGGCTGTGGAGTTGCTACCTCCGTGGGCAATTTCACTGGGGACCCCTGGGAGATGGTGCAGGGCATGCCTCAGACATGCTTTCCCAACCCCCATGTCCTGTTGACTGAGGACGTTGGCTCCTAGGCACTTCCTAACCCGTCCCATCTGGGCTGAGGAGGGAAGTTGCTTGCCGTGGCTCATGGTACTGCACTAGCTGGTGAGTATCCAGGGAACATGAGCTCACAGATGGTGCTTTTGTATCAATATTGCTCTGCTAAGCGATACATCAATTTTACTCTGGCCTGGCAGATGAGGGAAACTGAGGCCCACAGACTGAACCTATGTGCCCAAGGTGTCTAGCTGGCTAGCAGTAAAGCCAGAGTAGATCTCATGTTTTCTGAGCTCCCATCCACTGCTCTCTCCACAGTACTAGATTGCGATTGTCAGTGCTTCTTTGGGACATTTAAAATAGAATTAATTCACAATAAAAAATTATGTCAGTGGAACAGCCCCTGGTATTCAGGCTATTAGCTGCCCCTTTGATGAACTTATTTGATTAGAAGTGCGTGAGCTCTTTGATCCTGTTTGGGAAATCATCGTCTGAGGCCCTGGGCCAACTACGGTCAGCTCCTCGGCTCTTGACGCACTTGGGGTTTCTTTCCCTATGGCAGCGGGCAGAGTTCGGAGCCCTCGTCCTCTCATCTTCTCAAAGCAGCACCCTTCAAGCTACCTCCCCTTCTCGCTCATTTCTCACCCCAGTCCACACTGTCCAGGAGTGAGTCTTCCCAACGAACTTCAGGCACAATTTCCTCTTCTCTAAAACCACCATGAAGGCCATTTGAAGTCAGTGATAAGATCCAAGTCTGAGACCCAGGCATCCACCTGCCCTCTCCATAATGCCTCTGGCACGCAGCAAGGCCAGCATCCAAATGGTGCTCTGGGGTTGCCTCCAAAGCTACCCTTGCCCATCTCAGTGGGCATCCCTGCAGGGCACAGCAGGGCAGAACCTGACCCTGGGGAGTCGTTTTGATGTCCCAGACCTTTCCTCACTTGCTCTTCCCATCCATCAGCAGGTGACATAAGATCTTCCTCCAAAACGCATCTTGGATCCCATTCCTGGACTTCATCTCCTCCCTGGTCCAAGGTCTCACCACATCCCAGGGGTCTGTCTCTTTCATCCACTCTTACCCACACCTTGATCTGTTTTCCATTCAGCAGCCTGAGCCATCTTTTAAAAACTTAAATTGGATGGCATTGTGACCAATGCTCCAATAACCCTCAGTGGTTCTCACTGTGACCACAAAGGACCCCCATGATAGGCCCTGCCTGGCTTTGTGTTCCCCACCCTCCCCTTCCTCCAACCCACTTTATTCCAGGCACATGGGTGGCTTTCGGTGCCTTGCCCACTCCTCTCTCCACATCCCCTCCCACTTGGATGCCTCTTCTAGCTGATCTCCACCCACCCTCCCTTTTATCCTCCAGAACTCAGCCAAAACGTCAGCACCCAGGAGGCCTTCCCAGAGTCCCTTACAAGGTGTCTCCCTGCCATTCTCCATGCCAACACTCAAGAATCTGCCATGGTATAATAATTCGCCTATTGCTTTGTCACTGTCTCTTCTGCAAGACTGTAAGCTACGCAGGCAGGCACCATGTTTATTTTGTTCAGCAGTGTATTCCCCAATATCTGGCATGTACTAGGGACTGTTTCATGGAAAATTGTTGAATGAATAAACAAGAGGTGGAATAAACCTCTAGGGCTGCTTCTCACTCCAAAATCAGAAAGGTTTTTACAACAGATTCAAAAACTTTCCCTTCAAGGGCTCCCTCCAAGGTCCAGTCCTGGATGCCTGGCCTTCATGTCTCCTGGAAATCTCTCACCCCACATTCCATAGTCCCGATGCTCCCCACAGGAGGGGCCATCAGCTTCTGTCAAGCCTTTCTCTCTGTTCTCTCTTTTGTTCATTCTGATCCCTTTGCCCGAGGTGTCCCAAGTCAGCATCTGCCTATGGAAATCCTCACTGCTCAAAGCCCAGTCCAACACCATCCCCTCCAGGTGACCTTCCTCGTCCCCCAGGCAGAAGGAATGGCTAACATTCATGGTGCTTCTTGCTATGTGTCAGGCTCTTGTCTAAGATGTTATACCCTGGGGCAGATTGTGTTTTTCAAAGAAAACACATTCCACCCCACTTGCTCTTCTAACAAATGTGACATTGACACTCCTCCCATTCAGTAGTGGGAGGAGCTTGGGTGGAGTGTTAGGGAATGTGGCAGAAATGATGCTGTGTGGCTCCCAAGACTGGTCATGAAAATGCTATGAGCTTCCACCTTGTTCCCTAGGATTGCTCATTATTCAAAGTGCCATTGAATTGGATATACAGTCAATTCAGCCTTTATTTTTCTTTGCCTTAATGACAAATCCACTGAGAAAAGGCTGTAACTGTGAGACCCCAAAGCATGAGGGCACATGTTCTGTAATAAATGTTTGACAAGACGGCCATCTCCTTCGAGTAGGGATGAACTGTTTCCCTCCTCCTATCTCAGGTTTTCTGAGTGTAGATGCTTCCCAATTTATCTCTTAATATAATCTCCAGTTACTCACTCCCCTCCTCCCAAGCAAGTGGAATGGTTTTGCAATTTAATTTAATCACCCACTGAGTTTCCAAAATTAATTTCCTGTTAGAAATAAATATTGTACTATGAATTATAAATCAGACCAGGCGGTAATTTGCAGACAACCTGTAAATTACAATTTCTACTGTTGTTCTCTACAGCAAATAGAAGAGGGAGCACTTAGTGTCCCCGAGATAAGCCTGTGTAGCCACTTAGGAGGAAGGTCAGGTCTGAGTGGACCTGTCATCCACGGAGGAAGGCTCTGGCTGCCCGGGGTCGGGGGGCTTCCCACCATTAGCTGCTTCTGCTCCTTACGATTCTGTAGCACCAGCATTTGGAGAGCTCCCCACTGTCTATTGGCCCCCCGGGGGTAGAGCTCTGAATGACAAGGTCCCTGATCCAGGACGTCAGCGCCTCTTAGTCGTGCCCCACATGAAGAGGCAGTGATAATAAAGATGGAGGGAAGCACTCACACCGCACTCACCATGTGCTGATGGCTGTTCCAAGCATTTGCATATATTAATTGATTTGATCTTCAGAATAGCCCTATGAGATAGGCTCTATGATCAGCATTATATTAAGGATGAGGAAACTGAGGCACAGAGAACACGAGTAACCTGCCAGTGATGGTGAGTCAGCAGGTGGCAGTGCCCTGTTGTGTGAGGCAGGCTGGGTCCAGAATTGGGGTACTCCTCATCCCTCACACTCATGTCCTGGCTGGCCCACTCTCATCCCACTGCCTTCTTCCCAGCCAGGCCACTTTCATCTCTAAGCCTGACAGCCTTCGAAGCTCCCAGCCAGTCTACAGCTTCTGCTTGTCTCTACAAGGGCCCCTCTCTCACCAGGGAACTCAGAGAACTCCTTAGAAATGGGAACTCCGGGTGAAAAATCCCAGGACTGCCTCGTGCTCTTAGGATGAATGACACAACACCCTTGCCTCCAGACAACTACCAGGTGGGCAGGAAAGATGGAAGCTCTCAGCACCGGCAAGCTGGGCCCCTGACAGAGGTTGTTCACTGTGCCTTCTTACAGAGAAATGATGACCTCATAGGTTGCACTGGGGGTGGGAATGAAAAGATCCTGGGAAGGGCACGTGTCTGTGTTTCTCTGGTGAGCAAACCACTTGCAAATCCATGAGGCAAAGTCCCAGCATCCATTCAATATCCATTTAGCAAAGTTGTTATTGACTAAAAGCTAAGCCATCGAAAGTGGGGTGACTCCATGGTGAGTGGCACAAGGAAGACCCTTGGCCCCAAGTAACTCCCAGTTCAGGAAAAAGATGGACAGTAAGCTGGCAACCCCAGTGCTGCACGGCCCACCCGTGCTGGGAGTGGGGGTGCAGGGCCGTGCATGGGCCTGAGGGGGCTTCTGGTGGCTGTCTTTTCCTCCCACAGCCTACGAGCCTGAGGAAGCTCCTCTCATCTACCCAACTTACAGGTGGGGAAACTGAGAGGTGAAGTGACTTTGCCCAGGTCATAGGGCTGGTGTGTGGCAGAGCCAAGGGCATCAGGCAGCTGGCTGCAGAGCCCATGGGGTGACTCTCATGAGTCCCAGCTGTTTTTTCCTGATTCTCAGTAAATTGTTGAATGAGAATGTCAGGTCAGCCAGCAGAGGCAGCTCATGGGGGTCCTGCCTAGAGTGAGTTCTCTCACCCACTCTGGGCAGATCATTCTTTCCTCCCAGACAATCTTTGGATCCATTAGTCTTTCTGTGGCAGGTTCAGAAGCCCAGTGCAAAATAGCTAAGAAAAAAAAGAAAATGTACTACCTCATTTTCACTAGAATTCTGGGAGAGTGCTAATTGCAGGCATGGCTGGATCTAGGGACTTGAGCTGTGTCTTCTGGATCATTCTCTGTCTCTCCTCACTTGATTCTAAGTGGCTTCTGTTCCACTTCTAGCAAAGAGGCTGCCTTGCCCTGCAGTCAGGGGGCACCCCAGCTGTCCTCCACGGGTGTCCTCACAGCTCCACACCCAAAAGGAAAAGCCACTTTACCAACAACAGCAAACACAGCCATTTTCAGAGAGGGCCCCAAATGGCCTGGCTGAGGCCAATTGCCCACTCCTGAGCCTACCACTGTGGCCAGAGGAACGGGTGCTGTGACCACCTAAGGCATTGATGAATGCAGTGAAAATGTAGGTTGATGAATGCAGCGAAGATGTAGGGCAGGAATGACATTCGATGTCGGCCACAAGGTGCTCCAAGCGCTCCAAGTGTTGTGCTGGAAGTGGCTTCCGCTTCACAGGAGGCTTGGGTTGGGCTGCCCCCGGGAAAACCTTGGGGTAGACCAAGGGAGACCCCCAAACCACCTTCCCACGGTTTTCCCAGCCTTGACCTCCAGAGCCATTCAGGATGAACGGTGGAGGTGCTTGTGAGCATTCCTGGTCTGGAGCAGGCTCACTGGGACGGTGTAGAAAACAAAACACAAAGCTGGCCTCCCTTCTCGATGAAATATTCAGCCACATTCCAGTATCTCCTCCATTCCCTCATTCCACTATCTGAACACCATTTAACTGAGAGGGATGAGAGCAACCCCCTGAAATGAATTCACTTGAAGGTACAAATGGCTGGTAAGTCATTCAGGTCCTTTCCCACCTGGCAGTTGGTCACCTGATGGTCTTAATGGTCTCTGGGAAGTGGGGTGTCAAGGGTGGGGCAGTGGAAGGAAGAGAAAGGAAAGGAAGGGTCTGCCCCTTCCTTTGCATGATGTAGGACCACGTCCCTTTCCTTTGGAGAACAAGGATGATTCTTCTGGGACTGTCATCACAGAGCCCGGTCCCTGTACCCCCTGGGATGGCAGGTGACCTGACCTAAGCCATTATGGCCCCATCCCTCTTGTCAAGAGGTTGGGCCAGAAACAGTATTCCCTGAAATTGCTGTGCTTGGAGACAGACAGGAAGAAGCTTTTTGTGTTGTTCCTACCACTGGGAGGACACAAACCTAGAATAGCAGGGGCTGCTGTCTCCGCCATGGGGCCGAAGGACAGGAGCCTTTTTGATGGAGGAGAGCCAGAAGCTGAGTACAAGTAGGTAGAGGCGAGAAGGAGAAAGACCCCAGAAGACAGAGCCTGAGTTCCTGGATCCAGCTGTGCCTGCAGCCAGACCTACTTCTGAAAAATGCCTTAAAATGAACCAGTAAACTCCCTTTTGCTTCTCAGCTACTTTGGGTTGGGCTCCTGTGACCTCAGTAGCCAGCTTGACTCATCTGAGGGTTGGCTGAGAGAGTTGTTACCATTTCCATCCCCACCTCCTCCTCTGTCTCCTCCTTCTCCCCTTTCTTCTTCGTGGGCATAACCACTCATTAAGTGCGTATTCTGATCTGTGTGCACACAGGCAGAGCCTCTGTGTGGACTGTATCAGCAAATCCTTCCAGCGAGTGTCCCTTTATCCTTCTCAGTCCAGTTCAGACAGAGCCAGCACCCAGGCCTCTGACTCCAGGTCCACGTTCTTCCCAATTCTCCATGCACAAGACAGTCTAGCACTCCTACACAGTGACCGGACCAGCACCATCCCCAAAGATGGGACAGGCTGTGGCCGGAACAGCTGGCAGTCCTTCTTGCCCCAGTTTTTTCAGTGCATAAATTCCCTTTTCTTTGCTTCTTTCGTCTGGCCCCAGGCCTGGTTCCCTGGGGGACAGGGAAGAAGCAAGTATTTCCTGGAGGCATACTTGGCTTAAGTTTAGGCTAAAAGCTTTTTTAACACAGAGAAATGGAAACTGCCAGAGCCCTGGGGTTAAACCCGTCCAGTCCCAGTTCTGTTGGTAAAACAGAAAAGAGAGCTTGTGTGGAGCTGTTGATGGCTGGTTCTCGAGAGCGGCAGTGGGGACGGCGCCGGGCCGCTGTGGCTGTGGGCCTAGTACTTGGAGGGCAGTGTTAGTGGGAGCAGTAATAGGCTAGTAAGGGTGGGGGAGCAGTGAAGGGGTGACAAGAAACTGAGAACCTCGGACCCCAATTTTTAGTGGTTGGGGCTTCCAGACAATGAGGTGAAACTTCCTCACTGTAGATGGAAGCTTTGTGCAAATCTCAAAGATGTCATGTTTGTAGATTTGGGGAAGGTTTATTTAAAAAATTGTGGTAAAATACGCACAGGATTTTACATATGGCTTAGGGTCACTAAGTACATTCACATCATTCACATTGTTGTACAACTGTCACTGCCTTCCATCAGAAGAGTTTTTTGTTGTTGTTGAGACGGACTTTTGCTCTTGTCACCCAGGCTGGAGTGCAGTGGTGCCATGTCAGCTCACTGCACCATCCATCTCCTGGCCTTAAGCAATTCTCCTGCCTCAGCCTCCCTAGTAGCTGGGATTACAGGTGCCCACCACTACGCCTGGCTAATTTTTGTATTTTTAGTAGAGATGGCGTTTCACCATGTTGGCCAGGCTGGTCTCAAACTCCTGACCTTTAGGTGTTTTGCCCTCCTCGGCTTCCCGCAGTGCTGGGATTATAGGCGTGAGCCACTGTTCCTGGCCTAGTAGAACGTTTTCATCACCACGAATTGAAATTTGGCCTGGCTTGAATACCTCCCCGTTCCCCCTCCCCCAAGCCCTTGGCAACCTCCATTCTACTTCCCGTCTCTGTGACTCCGGCCACTTTAGGTGCCTCCTCCAAGCAGAATTATCCCGTCTGTCCTTTCATGAGTGGCTTATTTTGCTTAGCCTAATGTCCTCAAGGTTTGTCCATGTTGCAGCAGGTAACTCTTTCTAAGCCCTCCCAGCTGACATGTGTAGGCAGAGTATTCTGAACTTTCCAAAAACATGCCTGGGCCTTTCTGATCTCATGATATAGGATCAATCATTTCTTGGCCTAAGAAACCCATGAAGATGATTTGCTCATTTAAGGACCAAACAGAATGATTACGGTGTATTTAGAGTGGGGAACAGCCACATTCTTGAAGGATGAACATTCAGAGCTGACAATGTGACAGATTTTCACTTATGCCACCAGAAACAAGCTCTGAGCTTCTAAGGAGAAATTCCTAGCTCTGGTGACACTAACATTAATTGGCCAGTTTTATGTAACTTTTATTGTAACAACAATAAAAGTTTTAGAAACTTCTTAAAATCTCCAGCCTGCAGATCTTTGC
The DNA here is from genome assembly GCF_000001405.40 of Homo sapiens. Lineage (NCBI taxonomy): Eukaryota > Metazoa > Chordata > Mammalia > Primates > Hominidae > Homo > Homo sapiens. The sequence goes on along the minus strand of NC_000020.11, from coordinate 57,962,810 downwards.
TCTATGGTTGATGCCGGCATCTTCCTAGGACTCCCCTTCCGGCTAGGTTCTTATCAACAGCTCTGGGCAGCATCCTGATCTTTGGTGAGTTCTGACACGCTGGTTTGTTTTAAATGCTGTCCAGCCACGCTTCTCACAGCACCTCACGTCTAACACATCAACAACCTCTGAGTGACTTGACCTGGATCTGACTCCACTCTGGGTCCTGTCCCAAAGCAGAATTTCTGAGCTAAAAGAGGATCCTTGCAGAAAGGCAGGACGTCAGGCACAGGCTCCTGCAGTCTCTCCCGGGGGTCCACCATCCTTCCAGTCTTTTCTTGGTGGAACTTTCTCTCCCTGCTCAATGCTTCTAATTGGAAAGGAACGGCACATATATATACATAAATATAGACGTATATATACATGTGTGGATTATACAGGCAGGTGGATTGCCTGAGGTCAGAAGTTCGAGACCAGCCTCAAACTTCTGACCATACGTATATATGTATGTGTGTGTGTGTGTGTGTATATATATATATATATATACACATATATATGTATATATATGTGTATATATGTATATATATGTATATATATGTATATATAGATGTATATATATGTATATATATATACACACACACACACACACACACACACACACACACACATATATATATATTTTTTGGAGACAGAGTTTTGCTCTTGTTGCCTATGCTGGAGTTCAGTGGCATGATCTCAGCTCACTGCAACCTCCGCCTCCCAGGTTCAAGTGATTCTCCTGCCTGGGATTACAGGCACCTGCCACCACACCTGGCTAATTTTTGTATTTTTAGTAGAGACAGGGTTTCATCATGTTGGCCAGGCTGGCCTCGAACTCCTGACCTCAGGTGATCCACCCGCCTTGGCCTCCCAAAGTGCTGGGATTACAGGCGTGAGCCACCACACCCAGCCCGGCACATACTTTCTATATCAGCACTTCTAAGCGTGCACCCCATAAGCCGCTTACCCTGGAATCACCCCAAGACAGGACCCGCAGAATCTGCATTTTAAATCATCTCCCCACTAGGTTCTTATACTCACCAAAGGCTAAAGACCAACTGATTGTCTTATGCTTGAATTTTTTAGAGCAAACTTGGGTTATTTTTATAATCAAATAAAAATCAAGATAAATAGCTGTTTTCTTTCTTGTTTCTTTTTCCGGCTGTTTTCTTCCCTTCCTTTCTTCTCTCCTTTAGAGAACCGAAGTTAAGACCCTGCGCAGACATCACAGCACCTCGTCTACCAGACCTTCCGATTCAGGGGCTGCGTCTTTGAGAACTTCCTCAGGGGTCAGCTTTGGAGATCAGCAGGGAGGAGGGTGCTCACCCCAGGAAGCGGGGACGCTCTGGAAACCAGGCTCCTGGCTGTGGTCCTGGACAAGATTCCCAGGCTCCGGGCTGGCTGTCTGCACCTGCTACCTGTTCCCAGGGGAGTGTGGGAGGCCCAGGCTGAGCAGCACAACCTCTTCCCTGGAGGAGCCGTCGCTGTGGGGCCCCCGCTTTTGTTGCCAAGAGCCCAACCTGGAAGTCCCTGGGTGCAAGGTCAGGTGTCTTAGAGGCCAAGGGAAGAAACCCAGACCTCCTTTTATTTTTTTCTAAAGAGTAAACAATACAGCTAATCAAATGGATGAACTCTTAGACTTTTATAGAATCTTCTCAAGACAGTCTGCTCTCCAGGCCCTCACAGTCCTGGATGCAGCACGGGCCCTTGGAGAGAATCCCAGGCATCACAATGACACCGTTTCTGTCACACGGCGTCCTCAGCTCCTCTGTGCTGCTTTTCCCTGTGAGGTCCTTCCCAGCACTCAGCACAACGACCGGCACAGGAACCACCTGCTTTCTCTCAGGGTTCACCTCCTCAGTGTCAATGTCCCACTGCTGGACTGGGAACTCCACGAAGCCAGAGCCATGACTGTTTTATTTGCTGCTGTGTCCCTCGTGCCTGGCACACGGCAGGCCTTCAATATACTGTTTATTTACTAGCTCAGTAAAGAGCGTAAAATTCCCAAATCCTCTGAATTTACAGAATCACAGAATGCAGTCACTCCACTTTTCTTTCTTTCTCTCTTTCTCTCTCTTTCTTTCTTTTCTCTCTCTTTCTTTCCTCCCTCCCTCCCTCCCTTCTTTCCTTCCTTCCTTCCTTTCTTCCTTTCTTTTTGACAGAGTCTTGCTCTGTCACCCAGGCTAGAGTGCAATGGCACTATCTCGGCTCTCTGCAACCCCTGCCTCCCGGGTTCAAGTGATTGTCGTGCCTCAGCCTCCCAAGTAGCTGGGACTATCGGTGCCCACCACCACGCGCGGCTAATATTTTTGTATTTTTATTTTAGTAGAGATGGGGTTTCACCATGTTGCCCAGGCTGGTCTCGAACTCCTGACCTCAGGCAATCCACCCACCTCGGCCTCCCAAAGTGCTGGGATTACAGGTTTGAGCCACCTTGCCCAGCTGCAGTCATTACACTTTTCTTGAGGGCCTACTATGTGCCAGGAACTTTGCCAGGTGTGAGATCCATTAGAAAACAAGAGCCCTACCCAGTTCTTGCCTCATGGAGCTGAGTGATACTAGAACAAACAAGGTTTTGGAAACAGAGAGACAAGGGTTTAAAAATTCCAGGTCTGCCACTTACCTGGGTGCACTTGGGCAGCTGAGCACCAGGGCCTCGGTTTCTCCATTTGTAAAACAGAAGTGATGATAGCATCAACTTCCTCAGGTGGGTGGATTGGAGATAACGTCTGTAATGTGTTTAACAAAATGCTTGGTGCCTACTTCATGCTCAGTAAATTAGCTTCTGCATTACTATCCTAGGGCTGCTGTTACAGAGAACCACAGTGAACGCAACAGAAATTTGTTCTCTCACAATTCTGGAAGCCAGAAGTCCAACATCAAGGTGTTGGCAGGGCTGGCTCCTTCTGGGGACTGTAAGAGAAAATCCATTCCACGCAACTCAGGAATCCTCCACGCTCCTTGGCTTATGGCAGCGAAACTCCAGTCTGACTCACTGCCAAGTGGCTCCTCTCCTGTGTGTTTTCATAGCTCTGCAGCCCTTTCCTCTCATAAAGGTGCCAGTCACTGAATTTAGGACCCACCCTGATCCATTATGATATCAGCTGACCTAATTACATTTGCATTTCTACATAAGCCCACATTCTGAGGTTCTGGGGAGGCATGAATTTTGGGAGGGACACTATCTTTCCCAGAACAGCTTCTATTATTTTGTGTGTGTGTGCTCAGTGCTTCGTAGACTTGACTTTATCCCCTCCTCCTAGCCACCTTATGAGGAAGGGACAATGGCTACCTTGCCTCACATGAGGAGGCGAGGCACAGAGACTTGGAACCTCTCAGGATACACGATCATCTTTGCCCTTGCTTGGAATTCATCTGATTTTCAAAGAGGCGGCCTGCAGCAGAGCCTCCCAACCTGACTTTTCTCTCCAAATGGCAGTCCCTGCACGACAATGAACAAGGAGAAGCTGGGCTCCACAGTGCCCTGTGTTCACAGGCTCCACAGTGAGACGAAATGTCCTGGTTTAAAACGGACATTGATCAGACCTGCTGGGAAGGCAAGCGGGAGGCAGAAAGGCACGGCTGCTTCCAAGTTTCTGTTGGCAGAGAGGGCAGAGCTGACAACTCCCAGTGAAAGATGTTTTCACCGTGGCGCAAGAGCAGAGACAGGGCCAGCGCGGCACCCCAGCCCCGCTCACAGCTCTAGGTTGATGCTTCTCAGAGGGAAGAGCTCTTTCTCTCTCAAGAGTTTCAATAATCGTATCCTAACTTGGCACAGAACCTCACCCTTCCTGGGAACACAGGAATGTTTGCTACTTGATGTCAATAAAATCCAACTCCTTAAGGTCTCTCCTGGGGTCCATGGGGTGGAGTTCATTCCACACCATTCTGAGACAGAGTCAGAGGAATTTGCTGGGTCTTCTCTGGCTCGGAATAAGTCCACCAGGCATCTCTACCTTATCCAGAAGAGAGTCATTTATTTTCACAAGTGCATAGCGGCCGACACCACCAGCACTAACCAGAGTGGATTCTTGCTTCACTCTCGGGGCCCTCATTCAAGGCTGGTCTCTTCCCGCAGGCCTTCTGACAAGTGCCACATTTTGTTCCTCTAACTTGGGTGAAGCCCCCTCAAACACTAGTCTCAAAGATCCCTTGCTACAAAGGTGGGTGCTCGGGCCTCAAATTCAAAGACCCTGACTCAGTAGATCCAGGTTGGGGTCCCAGGACTGTAATATAGGTGGTCCTGGCACCACACTTGGCCAAATGCTGTGTAGCTTGCAAGAAAGCTCCAGAAGCAATCTAGAGCTTTATATCATCACTCAAAAGTAAAGATTTGTAGGAAAGGTTTAAACCAGTGTCTTCCCAAGTTTCCAGCTTCTTCAACCAAACTGCTGGTTGAGGGGAAGGTGATTTGAGATTTTAGGGCATCGATTTATACAGTGTGAAAATTATTCCCCTGTGGTTAGATCAAAGGAAAATTCTTCATCTGGCACTAAGAGTCTTTAGCACCTCCTGACACTTCTAAGCTCCCTTTTGAACAAAGAGAGAGAGGCCTCAGGCTTGAAGCCATCAGCAGGCAGCAGTATCTGGCTGGAATTTAGCAATGCTCGTTTGTGGTCAAGGTATTTATCTCTGTAGTTACCTTTTATTAATGGCAAGGAATGTCGACTTCCATTTATGATAATGATCTCAAGTTTCCTTTTAGTTAAATGTCTAATTAGAAATGTGAGGTGATTTACAGGAAAAGAAAAATAGTGACTTGAATTATAGTGCAGGTGGTAGGTCAGGCCAAAATGATGGTGGTGGTTCAGAAATTACTGAAATTTGGGAACTGCTAGTCTAGTCGATGCTTAGCATTTGGGGTTGAGAAAACCAAGGCCTTGAGAGGGGAAGGAACTCGTCTGAGCTCACGTAATATTGCGTAATATTGGGTGGTGGTCTTTGCTGTCACCCACAGTCACCCACCATGGAGCTCTGCAGAGCTGCCACTTGTGAACCAGGGGATCTGAGCTCGCTGGGGAAGTGTGAGTCTCAAGACACCAACATCTTTAAAACAGATAAAAATAAAGTGGCAAGAGTGACCTCACCCCAGCATGTGGTGGCCGCTGAGAGCAGAGGGTTGTAAAAATTAATTGCCCTCTATTTGTGACCTGCTGTAGCAGGCGGGCCTCCTTTGAGGGGGTCACCCGAGAGGCGGCGGGCAATGGAAACATTCTTTGGGCCTGACACAGTGGTTCAACAGTGACCTCACCCCAACAACTCAAGACTTGTTATTCAAAACTTAATTTTATTTTGTTTCTAAGTGCTTAGGAGCTGGGGCTAAGGCAACTTTTGTCATCAAAAAGAAGGCCCAGATCTTGGAGAGAAGCAGAGCATCCTGAGTGTCTGCCAAGCGCCAACTTTGCAGCCACAGGTTCAAGTTCTTCCCTAATCCCGGCAGATCTGCCTTCTTGGTCCTATTGGTCTCCATGTGTGGTTGGCGCGATCTCTGGGCTTTGCTGATGTGAAGCCATGGGGAGGTGGAGTTTTAAGAGCGGTGTTCTCAGCGGGAAGAGCTCTTTCTTTCTCAAACATTTCGGTAATCTCATCCCAACCTGGCATAGAACCTCACCCTTCCTGGGGACACAGGAATATTTGCTACTTTACATCAATAAAATCCAACTCCTTAGTGTCTCTCCTGGGGTCCATTCATAGGGTGGGGTTCCTCTTTCGGGTCCCCCATTCAAGGCTGCTCGGTCCCTGCAGGTCTTCGTTCTGTTTCTCTAACTTGAGCCAAGCTCCCTCAAACACTAGTTTCAAAGAGCCTTTGTTACAAAGGCGGGTGCTAGGGCCCCAAATCCAAAGGCTCTGACTCAGTAGGTCCAGGGTGGGATTCCAGGACCACGATACAAGTGGTCTGGGCACCACATTTGGCCAAATGTTGTGAGATCCTCATCCAAGGCATGTATTGAAGGAGGGCTCTAAGGAGAAGCTGGAAAGGCAGTGAGGGCAGAAAGGGGCTGGGCAAGGATTGGTCTTAGCTGGAGTCTAGCACAGTCCCATGGGGAGCCCTGGAACAGGAATGACGCCACAGAGTTGAAACCATGTTAGCTGCGAGGCAAAGCATTCAAACCCCATGCCAGTCAGTACAATGCCTGTGGGGTGGGCAAGGAGGACCTTCTCAGTCACGGACACTTTTCCAGAGAAGGCGACAGCAGTGAGTGTTTAGAAGCATCCATGCTTTGGTAAACCAGCTCTCAGGGGTCGCAGGAGGAAGAGTGCTGATTTATAGCTTTTGCCAATGTCTGTGGTGTCAATACATTCTCTATGCTAATTGCAAAGCTACCAATGGTTTAACAATGGGCTTACATATTTCCTGAATATTTAACAATGAGTTCTCTCAGGCCAGGAGGAGCTGGCTCCAGCACACTCTACACTAGCAGTCAACTCTCAAGACAGCTGGAGGAAGCGAAGGTTCCTGGGAAGGAGACTGTGGCAGGGCCCAAATTGCCTCTTGGGCCTGGATGATGGCAGGTGCTTTCTAACCAAGATTCCTGCTTCCTCTCTCACCCATTGTCTTTCCTTGCTCCGTGAGCAAGAGCATCTTTTGCAGACATGGATCCAACGTGCTGCCCCTGGATTAAAACCCTTCACAGGCTCTCCATCACCTTTGGGGTAAAGTCCCCCTCCTCACTTTGGCCCTCAAAGCCCCGTCCCTTGGGCCCCTGTCGACCACCTCTTTCCACTCGCTTTCTCGTGGACTTTCTGCTCCAACCACCCTGACTCTTCTCCCGTCCTTGAAGTTTTGATCTCTCTCATGACCAGACGTCTAGGCCACTTCACATGCAGCCCTTTTGGCCAGAGACACAATGGTGGCCCCTGCCCCATCCGCTCAGCCCACCTCGCTTCAACACAGCATTGGTGGAACGTCTACTTTGCATCTGTCTCATTTGTGAGCAGGGCATTCGGGACTAGCTATGTGAGTTTGGGCTGCTGCACCCCACTTCTTGGCTAAGTTTGCAGTCTGTCTTCCACCCTGGACTGGCTACTCCTTGAAGGTAAAGACTTTGTGTGGCTTCATTACTCCTCAAAAGCCAACACCTAGTACAGGGCTTTATTATGGAGAAATGAACAAATTGATCAGTCTATCAAATGAATAATGAATGTCTGAGTGGTCAAGGCTGCTGCCTGGTAACAAATGTCTCCAAGAAGAGCCCCTCAGAAGAGTCTCCCTGTGCCCTGCAGCCTCACCCCAATGACTTGAGAGTGAAGTCATGGTACTAAGAGCTGGTCCAGGCTCAGCCCCAAGTGTGCCAGCTGCTTCTTAGACGTGGCTCCATTTACTCCTCACCGCAGACCTGGGTAGGAGATCAAAGCATTGCCCCATTTTAGAGATAAGGAAATTGAAGAGGCTCAAGGGGTTAAATAAATTGCCCAGGGCCAAGTGGTTACTCAATAGCAACTGTTCTGCAATGGACTTTTTCACCAACAGCATTTCTTTCTATGATACAGAGCTACCATACAGCGGTGCCTCATCATTTTGTCCGTTGCTCTGTATCCCTCAGCATGGATGCACCTTGCTCTGTTTAAATGTCCCTATTTGCTGAGCATTTGCATGGTTTTCCTTCGCTTTTCTTTGTGTGTGATCTTTGCATGCCTGTGTCAGTAGCGCTATATTGGCTGGAAGAGGAAGACACAGATCAGAGTGAAGTTCACATCTTGAGTGATTTTGCAGCTAAACTTACAGGCAGTGAAAAATTAACACTGTCCAGAGAGGGTTTGGCCTTTGTCCCTGGCTCCTGGGAGGTGGCCTCTAAGCCCTTGGAATGTCCTGTCTGATGAAAGTGTCTTTGTTTACCTGGGGGATCTTAGGTCACACAAGATAGTCTATGTCTACAGTATGATTTATGGTGGGGGTCTTGGGTCACCCAGTACCAACTTGACTTCTGGAGGGACTGGAGGCCAAAGGCCAGTCACATAGGCGTCATCCATGTCTATGTGCCTGAACCCCAATAAAAACTCTGGGTATGGAGGCTCACATGAGCTTCTCTGGCTGGCATATCTCCATATGTGTGGTCATACATCATTGCCAGGAAAAGTGAGTGCTGTCTGGGACTTAGGAGAGGACAACTAGAATTTTTATGCTTGGAACTTCCCTGGGCTCTGCTCCATGTGTCTCTTCCAATGACCAATTTTAATCTGTATTATGTTGTGTAACAAGCTGTGATGGAGTACAGTGGCTTTCAGTGAGTTCTGTGAGTCCTTTAAGCAAATTATTAAGCCTGAGGATAGGGTTGGGGACCCCAAATTTTTAATCAGTCACAGATGTCTTGGGGATCCCTACTCTGCAATTTCCATTTCAAGAATGCCTCCTCCAGGACTGGTCCTAGAAAGAAAGTGCCAAGAAGCCTCCCACTGCATCTTGCCCATGGCTAGATCCCTTGGTCCTAGCACCCAGTAGACATCCAGTCAATATTTGTTGAATCTATGCATTCAACAATGGCAGTCCCCAACCATCAGAAAGCCTGAGCTGTTAGTGTTATTATCCCCACTTTAAGAGGCTGAGGAATCAGGAGTTCATGGAGTAAGCACCCGGGGAAATTGTATGGGTTGGGGCCAAGCCAGGGTTGCTTGGCTTTTCAAAGTTGGACTCCATGGAGACCTGTCGTGGCCTACGATGATGCTATCTCTTCCATGCGTGCATCTGGCCTCAAAGAAAGGAAGATGGCGAGGACAAGGGGAGAGAGAGAGATGGGGTTGCGGGGGGAGAGAGAGAGAGAGAGAGAGAGAGAAACCTTTGTGAGTTATGAAAGGGAAAACCAGATGAGAGGAGATAACTGCTTCAATGCCATGCTTTTTATTATAGAAATCTGCACTTAGAGGTTGAAGAAAAGATTTCTTTTTTCGTTGTTATTTGCTTAAGAGAATTGGAGAACTGAGAGCTGTCTGGGCGGATGATTAATGGGAAAAAAATTACATTTCAATGAGGTCTCTCCTCCTGAAGGGTGACTCTCATCAAAGGGATGTATAGAGTGGATGTCAGGTTCATTTCCTCATTTCCGTCTCAGCTGGGGCTGAAAGAGACTCTCTTAAGGGGGAATCGGGTATAAAAATTACAGTTTAAGGCCAAGAGTATTCTCATTAAAAATAACATGGCTAATGTCTACAGAACACTTGCTAGGGGCAGGTGCTGTGCCGGGCATGTAGGCCGCAGTATCATGTACACACAACAGCCGCATGAATTAGGTGCCAAAAGCATCCCCGTTTCACAGACGGACAAAATGGGGCACAGGGAGCTTCAGCAGTTGGACCAGGGTCCCAGGGCTTGGAACATGACTGAGACCAGATCCGCCTGGCTCCTTGGTCATGGCTCTTCCATCCAGATGCGTTTAAGGGCTGGCCCCGACTCTGACACGGATAACCATGGGTGCAGGGTCCACGGATCTGGTTTTAAGGAGAGGATTGAAAGAGCCTGTACCTTGGAGCAGGCTCCATCACTGTCTGTGCAGAATGTAATGTGGACACCTAGCTCTTCTCCATCACAGGGCACAGTCTCCTCCTTGGGTGTCTCCGTTCCCGTGCACGTGGGCTGTGGTTTTGTCTTGGGGAGGAAATGGAGGAGACTCTTCCTGCTGCTTTGGGGCTCAGGAATGCAGAGTTGGGGGAAGGCTCTTCTCTTTGTCTCTACTTCGGAGCCAGCCCTGTCCCAGCCCCTCAAAGATATCAGAGGCAGGGCCATCAACAGGAACACTGTGCTCATCAGAGGCCACTGTTTAACATCACTGTCCCCAGCAGGGGAGCCCAGACAGGTGTGGGTTCTGCGGCAAGTGCCCAGACAGACTGGCTGTGGGCTCTTCCAAGGCCCCTCAGGTTTAACAAGGGTGGGGCTTCTGCTGATATAAGGCCCGGGGCTGTGGGCCTGGAAGCATGGAGCCTCACCCAGTTTCCCTGTATGATGCCCTTGGCCATGCGTTTCCTAAGCCTGTCCTCTGTCTTGTTTATATTTTGCCAACTGCACCAGCCCTTACGTGCACAGAGCTGCAACACTAAGTTCCTTTTCTCTGCTCATCTCTCTACCCTCACCCCATTCTTGTCAACTCTTGCTGCAAGGGGTTCCCCAACGCAGCACATGGAGAGGATGTGCTGGCTCTAGGGCTGCTAAGATGCTCAGCTGGAGGCCACTTTGACCAGCACGAGAGGGTAAAGACAGCGAAGGCCCCCTCTCCTTCACCCCTGGTGACTCCAAGAGGATTCTCCTGGGGAGAATTATGGCAGAACACAGATCAGGGTTTGTCCTATAATCCTGTAAATATTTACAAGTGTGCTAGACTTTGGAGTTAGAGTGGTGAAAGGAACATCACAATTCCTGTCCTCATGGAGCTGATGATAAATGGATGGATGGATGAATAGATGGGTGGATGGATGGATGGATGCATGGGTGGATGCATGGGTGGATAAATGGGGGTGAGTGGGTGGGTGGTTGAATGGATAGATGATTGGATGGATGGATAGATGAATAATGGATTGATGGATGGATCGGTGGGTGGATGAATGGATAAATAGATGGGTGTGTGAATGGGTGGATGGACAGACAGACTGGACTTAAACCTCAGCTCTTCCCTTCACTAGTGTGTGATCTTGGACAAATTGCTTAACATCTCTGTGTCTTAGTGTTCTCGTCTGTTAAATGGTGATGATAATAGTATCAATTTCAGAAGTTTTTTTCTTAAGATAAAATGAACAAACATATAAAGTGCTTAGAATAGGGTCTGCACAAGGTAAGTGCTATGTGAATGTTGGATTATGTTAGTGGAGAAGAAAGACATTAACCAAATTTTTTTTTTAGGAGTTGTAACATTGTAACTAGTCAAAGCCACAAAAGAGAGGTATGAGAACATTTAACAGGGTTTGTGGGGCAGTGGGTGGAGAGTGAGGGGAAGGCTGACCTAGGCAGGGAGGGAAGGAAAAGGTGAGGTGAGCAGTAGGTTCATGAGGGGCCTGGGCAAGCAGGGGTGAGCATGGTATTTCAGGCTCAGGGAAATGCACGTGCAAAGGCCCTGTGGTGGGCAGAAGAACAAAGAGCACAAGGTCTGAGAGGCAGTCACACGGCTGAAGCTCAGGGACAGATGGCATGAAGGGGGCAGGGGCTGAGAGATCAGCAGAAGCTGGACCCAGCGGGGCTTCACCTTCCCAAGAGCAGTGGGGGCCAGGAAGGGAGGGAGGTTGGGAGTCATATCTGTGTTTCAAGAAGCTTGATATTGTCAAGCAAACAAACCCAAGGGTCACCTCAGGCCCCCAGAAACCTCAGGCTGGCCATCTGCAGACAATGCTGGTGGACACCAAGGCTCTGCAGAGCTGGGGGTACCAGACCCCCAGGGGTGGGTTGAAGGGTACCCAGGAGGCAGAACCAGATCCCCACTCACTCCAAGCACAGCAGGCCTTTAAACATATTTCATCTGGTACGCACTTTGGGGCTTTGACAGAAGATGTCACTCAAGAGGTCTCCACCAAATAAAAGGGGAGGAAAAGAAATAAAAGAAAACCATTTCTAAGCCAACCCCTTTGTTATGCAGATGGGGAAACCAAGGCCCTGTGTGCCCTACAGCTGCACAGTTCATGGCTGAGCCGGGCCCTGACCCCACTCCCTGCACTGCGCTGTGCTTTCCTGGAGTAGTATTATTTCCTGAATGCTATAAAATATTTATGTTGCCTTAACAAATTAGCACAGACTTAGCTCAGCAACACCAACTTACCTTCCTACAGTTCCGTGGGTGGGAAGTGCTCAGTGGGTCTCCTCGCTGGGCTGAATCAGGGGGGCGCGGAGCTGCGTTGCTTCTGGAGGCTCCAGAGGAGGATGGGTTTCTGTTCTGGACTGTTGGTGGACTTCACTTCCTTGGAGCTGTGGGACTGAGATCCCCCTTCCTGGCTGGCTGTCTCAGCCAGGGGCCTCTCTGCAGCCTGCACATGACCTCCGCTCAGGGCCAGCGTCGGGGCATGGAATTCTGTTCACGTTGCATGGTCGCGACCCTTCTTAGGAGCTGGTGTCACTCTCATTGTGGTTGCCAGAGTTTCTCTGCTTTAAAAAAATAATTTTAATTGTGGTAAAATACACATAACATAAAAGTTCCCACCCTAACTATTTCTGAGTGTGTAGTTTGGTGCATTAAATACACTCACATTGCTGTGGAACTATCATCACCTTTCCTCTCCAGAGCTTTTTCAATTTCCCAAACTGAAACCCTGTCCCCTGTAAACATTCACTCCCCATTCCCTTATCTTCCAGTCCCTGGAAACTACCATGCTATTTTCTGTCTCTATGAATTACTATACGGGCTTCATATGAGTGGAATCAGACAGTGTTTGTCCCTCTGAGACTGGCTGATTCCACTTAACATCATATCTTCAAGGTTCACCCATGCTATAGCCTGTGTCAGAATTCCTTTCCTTTTTAAGGCTGTATAATATTCCATTGTTTGGGTGCACCACATTGTGTATTCATTCATCTATCAGTGGACACTTGGGTTGCTTCTGCCTTTTGGCTATTGTGAATGACGCTGCTGTAAACACAGGTGCACAGGTGTCTGTTCAAGTCCCTGCTTCATTCTTTGGGGCATATACCCAGAAGTGGAATTGCTGGATCACATGATGATAATTTTATTTTTAATTTTTTGAGAAAGCACCATACTGTTTTTCATTTTATATTCTCACTAACAATGCACAAAATTTCCCATTTCTCCACATTCTCACATTCTCACCAACACTTGTTATTTTCTGTTTTTTTTTTTTTTTGTTTTTTGTTTTTTTTAATAGTAGCCATGCTAATGAGTGTGTTTGGGGAGGGGGTATCTCATTGTGGTTTTGATTTGCATTTCCCTAATGATGAGTGATGTTGACACTCAAGTAACTAGATTGTGCGTGTTTAGATAACCAGATAATCGAGGGTCATCTGCCCATCTGTAAATCTTATATAATCACATCTGCAAAGTCTCTTTGCCACGTACGGCGACATATTCACAGGCTCTTGGGGTTGAGGCGTGGACATTTTGGAGAACATTATTCTGCCTCCCACACCTGAGTAGCTAAAAATGAAGCTTGAGGGTTTCCTGGGGGAGCCTGTCCCCTTCCCTCTTCTCAGACCAGGTTTCGGGGGGAGCATTCCAGGACTGTGAGGACCTGCACACTTTCACAAAAATGCACTTGCTTCCAGGTGTCTTGTTTCCTTGCCCAGGTCTCCAAAGAAAAAGCACCTGAGGGCCCCTGTCACTCACCTCCTCTCTGTCTGTCCATCCTGTCAGCAAATGTTGACTGGGTGGCTCCTCCACACCAGGTGTCATGCAGGCCTGACATAGATGGATCCATCCATCTGCCATCCATCCATCCATCCATCCATCCATCCATCCATCCATCAATCCACCCATCTCATTCATCCATCCATCATCCATTCTTCCATCCATCCATCCATCCATCCATCCATCCATCAATCCATCCATCTCATTCATCCATCCATCATCCATTCATCCATCCATTAATCCATTTATCCATCCACTATTCATCCATCTATCCACTATCCATCCATCCATTAATCCATTTATCCATTCACTATTCATCCATCTATCCACTATCCATCCATCCATCCATCCATCCATCCAACCCCCCATCCATCCATCCATCCATCCATCTCATCCATCCATCATCCATTCTTCCATCCATCCATCCATCCATCCATCCATCCATCCATCCATCTCATCCATCCATCATCCATTCTTCCATCCATCCATCCATCCATCCATCCATCCATCCATCCATCCATCAATCCATCCATCTCATTCATCCATCCATCATCCATTCATCCATCCATTAATCCATTTATCCATCCACTATTCATCCATCTATCCACTATCCATCCATCCATCCATCCATCCATCCAACCCCATCCATCCATCCATCCATCCATCCATCCATCCATCCTTCCAACCATCTGTCCATCTGTGCAGGGCACAGCAGTGGGCCAAGTCTTGGATGGGACTCAGACGTGAGCTGCAGCGTCCCACCATCAAAATGAGGTTGTGAATGTCTTAAGAACAGTGAAGAGAGACCACGGGGCACACCCGCTCCGGGCTTGGAAGTTCAGGAAAGGCCTCACTGAGGAATTGATATTTAGTCTAAAGCAGGAAGGGAGAGTTTCCAGGCAGAGGGAGCAGAGTATGCAAAGGCCCTGCAGTTGGAAAGGGCTTAGGATCTGTGAGATGGCGAAGGTGGCTGTGTATACTGAGAAGGAGGCTGGAGAAGTCAGTGGTTCTGTTTCCCATTCCAGAAACTTCTCTAGTATAAAGCACTCTCAGTAGGGGATTGTTTTCCCTTCTGCAAAAATAATGGAAACACCACACGTAGGAGTCATTGTGGGACCCATTACTCAACTGTAGTCGGAATGACAGTGCAACATCTTAGTAAGAAACACAGCCATCAGATTATTACTCCAGTGGGAAAGGTTCAACATATAGCATCCATGAGATGAGAGTTAACGTGTGGGTGACCCATGGGAATCAGGGGTGTGGGGGAACCTCTTTCCCTTTCTTCCCAGACCTGCTCTCCTGCCTCCACTGCCTCCCTGCCCTCTGAAGATCTCATTTGGAGTTGACTCACAAACAGATGAATCTTTTACAACCCCCATTTCCTCTGCTCCAGGCGGCCGGCACGATGAAATGGCATCTCCCCACAGTGAAAGCCAAGCCAAACAGATTAATTTTAGATGCATCTGCTGTAGATTAAACATTTGGAAAAGCCATTTTATAAATATTTTTTTTCCACAACCACATCCCCATATGGCCGCGAGCTCCGGCCTCATTCCGAATGCTGCTGGGGGCCTTACCCATATGTATTTAATGTTCACTCCAGGCTCAAGACTTCTGTTCCCGGCCTCCAGGGAGCATTCCAGAGCATGTTTTAATCTACTTTTAGGGAACGCATCAGACTCCTCTGAGCAAACAAAGCATGGGGAGCCTTCCTGGAGGTGGGATGGGGTTTGGGGAGGGCGAGTGTAGGGTAACCCCTTCTTGATCCTCTCTCCAGATGGCTGACCCTCAGCCCTCTGTCTCTGCTCTGCACCGATCTAGGCCCTAGAAGTTCCAGGAAACAGGATCCTTGTCTTTCTAGAGCTCCCTGTCCAGCAGAAAAAAATCCCCCTTCGGGTCAGCCTTGGCTCACTTGAGCCACCAGACTCCATGGAGAGTCGCCAAGCTCTGTGGGTTCTGCCTCATTGCCTCATTGGTGCCTTCTGGGTCTGTCTCCACTGCCCGTTTCCATCGCCCCCAGCCCATGGCTCATGCCTGGACTATCATTGACCTCCTAGCTAAGGCTCACTTGTCCACTCACTCACCCCGATCCAGCTACCCCCAGCAGCCTAAAGGCTCACATCTCCTGGCCTAAAACCTAACACCAATGGAGAATAGTCACCCGCTTCCACCCCACCCCTGCCATGAAGGCCACACCCCTCAAGATGGTTGTCCAGGCGCCACAAGGCCCCATGCTTGCTGCTTCTCCTTTGATTTGATTTTCTTTGTTTTGGGGAATTACAGATTCAGAGGAAATCTCAAAAATAGTGCAGACAGGTCTGATGTGCCCTTTAAGTCCACAGCAGAAAGTGGAGTTCACTAGCAGGTGTCACCGTGAAGGGCCTGGCAGGGGGAGGGCCTGTGAATCCACGGTGATTGCACGACAGCCAGTGATTACTCTGGGGCCACAGGATCCTGGCTTCTTCTGAACATAAGAGGCAGCACGGGTCCAAATTTAACTTGACTTTTGCCTACCGTATGGACCAGATGCTCCCCATTCCTGCCCCGGCCCTTGCACTCAGTGTCTGTTCTTGCCTCATACAAAATCAGTGGACTTTTCCTTATTCAATTCCATGTTCCAATTCCTCATTCATGAGGCTGGGATGTGGGGTCTCCTGTTTTGGAATTCCAGCTCTGCACTAAGTAGGTAAATATGGGTAAGGAGTGAAGGACTGTGAGGTGGGGACAGCTGGTGCAAAGGCTCTGAGGTAACAACAAGCTTCATGTGTCCAAGTGACAGGTCAAAGTCCAATGTAGGAGTAGGCGGGAAAACAGAGGAAGATGAGCTGCTTGGTCCATTAAAACAAGGGCTCCCAGCCCTAGAAACAATACCAGGGTAAGTCTTTGCTGCACTGGCTCTGTCTTGACTTGTGCTACCCACTGAGTGTGGTGTCCCAGGCAAGTTTCCTAGGCCCTAAAATCTGTTTGGGATGATGAATGTTACCAAAATGTCTATATTCATGTCCTGTTCTGCTGCCCCCAAAAGCATCAGGGTCTCGTATGGGCTTTGCCCAGGTAGGGCTTGATGGTTGTAAGCAACAGAAACTGATACCGGCCACTGGCAGCAAAGAGCACATTTGCTGGGAGGGCACAGGGAGGACCCAGGATAAGCAAGGGAGGCTGGAGAACCTGGCTTGGAATAAACAGCTCTGGGGCAGAACAAGGGAATCATGGTAGCTGGGAGTAATGACAGACTCGCTGGTCTTCTTGCAGGAATAAAGGAACTGTTTCTCCCAGCATCTAATAATTTCATCATTCAATTGAAGAGTCAAAGTTCTAGAAGAAAGAGCACTGTGCCCACCTGGACTAAGTATTCTCCAGCCTCCCCGCCCAACCCTCACCCATTCTCTGTCTGTCTCCATCCTATCCTGAGCCCTGGGAAGATGGCCTTTAAAAACTGCATCCATGGTGTCCCTTGTCCTCTGACTTCTGATTAGGTTTGTCCAAAATGAGCACTTGCAGAATGGAGGATGAGAGGAGAGACAGGAGGTTGTGTGTCCTTCTCCCCAGGTTGTCACGCGGCCTGGCCTCCAAGGGCCACAGCTCCTATGGTGGACAGGGACAAGGGGACCCAATCCTGGGTCCAGCTCCTGCTAGGTTTCAGTGAGGCAGTTTCTGGCCCTTGCCAGCTATTGCTGGTCTTAGCTGCATTCCCCACTCGATGGTCCTCTCTCTGCTTGTATCTCTGTGCATGTTGTGTCAAGCACTTCAGTTTTCTCTTGAGGGAAATCTCAGCTGTTTCTTCCCAGAGACATGGCTGGGACACCTCTTGACTGGTCAGGGTGATGAGTGGACCCAGTCCAAGGAGTCTGGGTAGAAACACATCAGTTACCCTGCAGGAGGGACAAGGGAGCTGGGATACTGACATGCTAACTCCTGGCATTCATTGGTTGGGCACTGCTTTTCCTGGGCACCTTCAGCTTGCCTCATGTGTGGGTACAAGAGGCTTGAGCAGCCACTGATGGCTCTCAGGCAAAGACACTCAGGGGCCGCCACTGGCACTAAAATGGTAATGGCCGAGCGGTTAATGGAGCACTGAGGAGCTGAATTTTTAATTGTATTTAATGGTAATTAATTTAAATGTAAAATGCCACATGTGGCTAGTGATGCCTGTATTGGAGAGTGCAGGTCTCAAAGGGACTATAGGTACAAAATAAATAATCACACAAGTGATTATGTAATGACAGTCTTGCACCTCATAACAGCGTTTTGGTTAATGATGGACCGCATACACAATGGTGGTCACATAACATGATAATGGAGTTGCCAGATTCCTGTAACCTGGTGACATCACAGCCATCATAACTTCGGAGCAGGACGCATTCCTTGTGTGTTTGTTGTGACACTGGTGCAAACAAACCTACCGTGCTGGTAGTCATATAAAAGTCTAGCACGTAAAATTATGTGTGGTACATAATACTTGATAATAAATTACTCTGTTACTGGTTTATGTAATTACTATATTATACCTCTTATTATTTAAGCATGTACTCCATATATATATATATACACACATATAAATATATGTATATATAAAGTTTATGTATATATAAAGTTACCTGTAAAGCAGCCTTAGGCAGGTCTTTCAGGAGGAATCTGGAAGAAGGCATTGCTATCATAGAAGATGGCAGCTCCATGCGTGTTATTGCCCCGAAGACCTTCCAGTGGGACAAGATGTGGAGGTGGAAAACAGTGATTCTGAGGATCCTGTCCCTGTCTAGGCCTAGGCTCAAGTGTGTGCTTGTGTCTTAGTTTTTAACAAAAAAGTTTAAAGAGTAAAAGTAAAACTTAAAAAAATATTTAAAGTAGAAAAAAGTTTATAGAATAAAGATATAAAGAAAGAAAACACAACTGCAAGCTTGTTGAAAGAAAGAAAGAAAATATTTTTGTACATCTGTACAATGTGTTTGTTTTAAGCTAAGTGTTACTAGAAAAGCATCAAAAAGTTAAAAAATTAAAAAAGTAAAAATTGACACTAAGCTAAATTGATTTATTATTGAAGAAAGAAAAATATGTTTTTACACATGTTGCGTTGCCAAAGTGTACAGTGTTTATAAAGTGTGAAGCAGGGAGCGGTAATGTCCCAGGTCACCACATCTCTCCACACTCACTCACTGGTTCGCCCACACCAACGTCCAGTCCTGGGAGCTCCATTCATGCAGGTATCCTATACAGGTGTAGCAGTTTTAAATTTTTTATACCATATTTTACTGTACCTCGTCTGTGTTGAGATAGGTTTAGATACACAAACACTCACCATGTGTTGCGACTGCCTGCAGTATTCAGTACAGCCATGGCCGCACAGGCTACACACATAGCCCGGTGTGTAGGAGGCTACACCATCTGGGTTTGTGCAGCAGGCTGTATGATGTTTGCACAATGATGAGGTCACCTAACAACTCATTTTGCAGAACACATCCCTGTCGTTAAGTGACATATGATGGCATCGCTAAGATCACCATTTTGCGCTCTCACTGTGGCCTCTATAATTTCTGTCTGAACAGGGTTACCAAGGAATGCCTCATTCAGCTGAGATCTGAAAGGTGGCTCTGAGGACGGAAAGGAGAGAGGTGGGGGAGGACCTTCCAGGCAGCGGAACAGGGTGTGCAAAGTCACGAGGCACACGGAGGAAATGGAGGGAAGACTAATTAGACGCAGAGTAATGAGTGCAGAGAGGGAGGACCAGAGACGGACAGGTAGGTCAGACCTAGGGGCCTTTACACCATTAGTCCCATTTTACAGGCAGGGAAAAGGAAGCTTCAAGAGGGAACATACACATCCGGAACCACCCGCTAGCATGGGGTGGGGCAAGAATTTGCACCTAGCTTCATGTGGGGCCAAAGCCCGCTCTTAATCACAGCTATGCCAGCCCCTGGAAGGCGATGGCTTCCATGCATAGCAGGAACTACCAAGATGGGAGAAGCATCTGCCACCCTGCAGGACGGACTGAGTCGGGCTTGGAAACAGACATCGGGGACCTGTCCAGGCCTGGCCTCCCTCAGGAGGCAGCCGCTTCCCTGGGATGGAGGCTGGAAAGCGAGCCCCAGGCTGCCTAGCTGGAGGCTGACAGGAAGTGAGGCGTGGCAGCTGGTGAACAGGAAGAGGAAGGGGCAAGTGTGCAGAGGGCAGAGGTGATATCTGGGAACTGTGAGAGGGAGTCGTCCTTCCTCTGGACCACTCTTGATGGGGCAAAGGGAAGAGGTGATGTTCAGGCTTTAGAGTCTCAAGACCAGGTTCAAATCCACTCCCTAGCCCTAGAGTCAGCCTCTTCTCAGTTCCGAGCATCAGTCCTCTCAGCTGTAAAATGGGCCGAGGGCCATTGTAAGGATTACCTAGCACAGCAGTTCTTCAAATGTGTGGCCCCGGGACCCCTGGGTATTCCTAAGGCCACGATTTGCCTTTTAGTCCTCATTCTCTTGTGAGAGTACGGTGGAGTTTTCCAGCAGCTCCATGAAATGCGAGGACATCATTGCTTTGCTGGCTGATGAAATCAATCTGTGCTGTGATTCCCGTGTTTAAAAAATTATTCCTTTTTATTTCTAACACAGAAATATTGATAGATACAACCTACATAGACAAAAGCCCTTTGGGGTTCTCGTTAATTTTGAGGAGTCCTGAGACCAACAAATTTGGGACCCTCTGGTGTAACACTTACCACAGGGATCTGGTTAGCACCCAATGCCAATAAAACTGGAAGCTGTGCCCGTTTCACAGATGTGGAATACAGTATGCTGGTCATGGCTCCTGGGTTGCAAGCAACAGAGAGCACCTTTGACTTGCTTACGCAAATGAGGATTTCCTAGAACTCTCTTAGTAAAGAAGCTGGAAAACCAGACTGGAGCAGAGGGAAGCACGAGGCAGTGTCCAAGGCCCGAGGTGCTGACACCATGGCAAGGTCTGCTTGAATGAAGCCACGTTTGGGGTCTCGCTGTCTGATGGAGCTGTTAAGGAGAGACCCCACGCTGTCCTGGGCCAGGCCAGTGAGATTCCTCCCCCCGGAACTTGGTTCTTAAGCAGAGAGACAACAACACTCCTGTCTAGAACACAAGGAAGCCCCTTCCCCAGGATGCAGGAATCCCATTTTGTCAATGGCCTTTCAAGAAAATGGGAGGTTTCCCACAGCCCCCTAACCTCCATGGCTCATGGGGCAAATGCTTAAACCAATCCCTCCCCCAGAAGGTGCCTGGGTGTTTAACAGAAGACTGATCCTGTCTGCATTTTAAAATTCACGATGTATCTCCCTGTCCCTACCGTCCGGGAGCCTTCTCTGTAAACAAGCCTCAGCTCCCACTCCCCTCAGCACCCCCGAATCATGCCAGTTTTTGCGGAAGGCCGTGGGCACACTGCCTCCCCTGCAGTGGGAAATATTTCACTGGGTTTATTGGAGAAATTGCCTGTCAGATATGATTATTTGTTTGGAGTTGTGTATATCAAATTCTGCTGGAGCCAGCGTGCTGTCACGCAGAGTTTATAGGTATATGGCAGGCGCAGTCCCATTAAACACTCCTTAAAAATATGCTTGGTTAAAAACAACAACAGCAACCACCACCGCCTTGTTTATAGTTAATGTAAAGAATCACAAAATCTTTCTTCCCTGGGGACTGCCTGTGTTTGGCTGTGTTTACTGTCTGTGCAGTGGAGCCGATGACTCTGACCTCACCCCACATGGCCGCCCCCGCCAGGACACCTCTCCAGGAGGGAGGCCAGACGACAGACAGCCGTGCTCTGTAATTCATTCCCGCTTTGCTGTGATTGCTTAATCACAGCAGGTGAGATGGATCCAGACTGACTAACCCTGAAAAAGGAATCCATCTGGCTCAGCTCAAATGATGTTTTGGGCAGGGATTTGATGGGCAGCATTAAAAGGTTGAAGAAATCCATCTATCCACGAGCCCTTGTGAGTCCAGTTCTGTCTATTGATGACGATTTACAAGGGAAGGGTATTTCACTGGGGTTTTGCTAGCTAGGAGACCCTTGGGTCAGGGCTGAGTCCTCCTGGCACGTCCTGCCTCTTCCCAGCCCTCCCCCACCCTGCCTGGCCTGGATCCCTCTCCTGCTGGCCACGTATCCCGCCACGGCTGCAAGGATCCGATGCCCGTGTCTGGTTGTAAGCAGCTGATAATATGCCAGCGCGCCCCTCCCTTGGTCCACATTTGCTTTGGGCATGAGCCCGTACAGGATGCTGGCACCTATTGATCAGAGTGACGTTGGTTCACGTCTGCTCAAAGAGGTTAATGTCCTTCTTTTGACAACTCATTTAGCAGGGACAAGGTGCCTACCTGATGATGGCAGGCTGCTCACTGGGCCCCTCCCCTAGATCCATATAGCACCCTTTGTGCTTTCACTGTGCCAGGATTTGAGAAAGGGGCTGCTTTGCCTTTCCCTGTCATTCCCTGTGATGGCAGCGGGTCTACACTTGACATGAGCACAGCCCATGTATGGGTGCTTGCCCCTTCCGCAGAGGAGGAGTGTGGGTTCAGGCAGACAGCAATGCTGAGAGGGACCTTCCACAGTTTCTCAGGGCAGGGAACAGCTACCACACTCTTCACCAGAGGACAGAAACAGAAACTCTGTTCATGAATCCGTGCATTTCTGTTGAGGGCTCCCAAAGATACAAGACGCCAAGATACAAATCTGTGATGAAAAAGGGAAGATATTTAGGGAGCGGTCAGGGAGCTCCTAGGAGCCCCAAACCACAGCACCCAGAACTGCCTACTTTGCTGACGCGCTTGAACGCCACCTCTCATTCTCATTCTCTTGCCTGTATCTTTAGCCCCAAAATCCTAGGAAAGGGAGGGCATGGTTCTCACTCTCATTGCCACTGGCAGAAATCTCCCCTAACCCAGCCCACCAAATGCTGTTGAGAGCTCTCTGGGCACCAGCCCTGCCCTGGGCTTTGGGGATGTGCAGATGGACACACAACTACTGCGGCCTTCAGGGAGCTCTTGGACCAGCAGGGAGTCAAGGCAAGCTCCCAGAGCAGCCCATAAGAGAGGCCCCTCCTAGAGTGGTGGGCTCTGGTTAATGGAGGGATTGAGCATGGGGAAGGGGTACCCAGTATTGTCCCCACCCCCTCACTCCTGTTTGCCAGTATCCTGGCTCTTTCTTCAGGAAACTACCCTTCCCCATTTCGTGAAGGTGGTTGGGGGTCAGGCGAATGTGTGTGCAAAGTGCTACCAATTAGAACCTCCAACTCCAAACCCCAGGCCAGACCCAATTCATGTCCTTTCCTGAGACTTCCATACTTGGACACTGAGAGATAGAAGTTCTTTCTAGTGTTTAGAGCCCAAGGATATGGGACGCACAATGTCTGTGCCCATGTGCCCCTGTACAGTGGGCTGGGCCTACTCACAGAGAATCAGAGCAGAGAGAGAGAAAGAGCATACCCTAATAGCATCCACCGAGCTCCTAGATCAAACCATGCCTGAAGGTCTCCCTCTGGATTCTTCAATTATGTGTGCCAATAAATTGTCCTGTTCTTTATTTTTTTAAAAATCATGGTGAGTTAATTTTCTGTCTCTTGCAATGGAGAGACTCCTGATTGACATAGGGGACCTAAGTGAGCTTTGTGGAGACATGTCATTTGGATGGGCCTTTAAAACAGTGGAGATTTGGGTAGGGATGAGAGCATCCAGACAGAGAGTAACTGAAGCCAAGATGTGGACAGGGAAAGTGGAGGGAGAGTACAGGGGAGTCCCTGCCTTTGTTCGCCATGGTATCTCTTGTGGCTCAGTATAGCTGATGCACAAAATCAACAAATGACAAGGCTTTAGTTGAACATGGAATGTGATTTGATGACTGTGTATAGATAAATCTGGAAAGGCAGGTTTAGAAACCTCAGGCGTCTCAATCACTCCCAGTGAATTAGCTCAGAGAGCAAAACAGTTAATGGGCTCCACGGCCAAAGGCATAAACACCAAGCTTTGGTTTCTCTCAGAAACTGCCTAGGATTTGGGATCTGCACAACAACACACCTGACTCCCTCCCACACTCATGCATCTTCCTTTCAGGACAAAAATCTCACTTTCAATCAATAATTACATCCTCACCTGACATGAATGCAAATGCAACTCTAAGTCAGCTTTTTCGTGCCAGGAGCCACAGTGGGAAATTGTTTCTCCGCTCTATTCATGGCTTTTGGAAATGGCCCCGAGACAGAGACCGTTCCATCCATAAGGATGTCAGGAAGGAGTTATTGTCTATGCACCGAAAGGCTGAAATTTCAGCAATTGCTCGATGATCTAATCTGGAGTGAAGCTCCTCTTTCCCCACCAGGATGGTGTTGAGCACTTTTGAAATGCTAATGTTTTCAGATCCAGACCCTTCGTTTTCAGTATCTCAGATGCCATAGTAAATTCAGGCGTCAGTGCCTATTGATTTTACAATTTCCTTGTTTCCTTCCCCGAACCCCTGCAATGTGTATTTGATTTTATTTATGAAAGACTCAACCTCGGTAGACAGTGGACTCAGGGCCTGCCCATAACTTATATCAGCCCAGAGCTGCAGGCCCGAACTTGCTGGTCTCCAGGGGTCCGGCCTCCCTCTCTGGACCGCAGGTGGGCATTGCTCCTCTCACCCTGCATTCTCTCTGCAACCTCCAGGGGTCTGAAGGGACCCAAAATGAACAAGACTAGGTTCCCCTTGCAGGAACTCACTGTCCATTTGGAGAGGAAGATGCGGGAACACAAAGCAGTGGGGTCAGTTTTACAAAAGGGATAGTGAGATGTAGGGGGAAGGGACAACTGCCTGGGTGCTCAGAGGGCTCTGCGAAGGCGGTGAGAATACATTCCCTCGATGAGCTCGTGTCCCCTGCCAGCTTCTGTGCAGGATGCTGCACACGCATTACCTCATTTGACCCCTGACACAACCCCACGGGGTAGATTCACCATCCCCATTTTACAGATAAAGAAACTGAGGCTCAGAGAGGCGATGCAACTTACCTGAGACTCAGCAACGACAGAATTTGCACCCAGATCTCTAAGACTCCAAGGTCAGTGTTCCGAGTAAGTACTTTATTCTTAAGTTTTTAAATTATTTAAAAAATCACCACTTAATCACCAGTGTCACTCAGGCCTTCAGTGCCGCCTGGCAGATCAGCCCCACCCTGGCTGGTTTCCTCTCCCACGCTCTTAGACTGCTATTTCCTGCCGTCTTCTCCAAGCTGCCTCTCTGCTTCCCACTGTGGGCCTTGTTTCCCATATCACTGGGAAAACAGAGCCATGTGAGAGAATTTCTGTGTCCCTCTCTTTCCAAAAGCCCAGACCCTGTTTCCACCTGGGTCCTACCTCCCCTCGGGCACCAGTTATTTTCCCTCTGCCTCTGGACCCACAGACTCGACCCCCACCCCACCCATGCTGCCGGCTTATCTGAATTAGCAACAAAGATGATGGAAAGTTCTCTCTGCTTTTCAAGAAAAACCCTCTTGCTTGACTCTTGTGGATGCCTGAGTGTTGGCTCAATCCACAGCCTAGACTGACACTCCTGATGCCCCCACCAAACCTCCCATGCCCCAGCTCCCCCGAACCTCCTGTGGTCCAGCCCCACAAAACCTCCCATGCCCCAGCTCCCCTGAACCTCCCGTGCTCCAGCCCCACCAAACCTCCCATGCCCCACCAATGCAAATCCCATTCTTCCTGTTTCTCTTGCCTTGGGGTCCTCCTTGACCTCTCACACTTTCTCTTTCTTCCTCCCCCAACATCTGATCCATCCACAAATCCGATCAGTTCCATCAACCACCTCTCACCCCCTCCACCTCTGCTAAATTGGTTCAGGTCATCAAACTTCCCTGGGGTGACTGTCACTGTGCTGAGCTGCCCCTCTGCCCACCCCGCTCACCAGGCTGTAGCCCACAGCAGCCAAAGGTCTGTGAAAGTATAAGCCTCACCTTGTCGCTGATTTGCTCAAGATCTTCCCATTGTTTTTTTCTCACCAAAAATAAAAGCCTAAGACTCTCCAAGGTCCACAAGTCTCTTTAGGTTTGATCGAGCTATCTCACTCCCTCCACACAACTTCACTGGCTGAACTGTCCTTTGCCTTCAAAAGAATACACTTCTCTACAGCACTTTGAGAAAGCCATGTCTGCATCAGCGTCAGCTTGTTCATTCATTTGCTGCTCATCTCCTGACACTATAATGTAAATACCTGGCATGAGGAATTGGATTTTGTTTGCCTCTGTCTCCTTGGTGCCTCGGGTTGTGCCTTACACAGAGTGGGCACCAGATAAATATTTGTGGAATGAGTGAATGAATATTTCTTGAAAGAGCCAAGGTTGCATGTGAATTATATAAATAAACCATAAGCATATTTTTTTTAAGTGGGAAAGAGAGGAAAGTCCGTGTTTGCAGGCTGGGACTTTGGCCCCTAGGGAGAGGCAGGATCGGTCTCACTGCCTCCTAGGGTATTGGGCCCCACTCCGGGAGTCTGCTTTTGCAGGCAAGTCATAACTAATGGTATATGCTCTTCCAAATGTGAACTGTTGCATTCTTGGGCATTTACCCTAGAGACATGAAAATTTATCTTCTCCCCAAAGCCTGTACATAAATGTTTATAGCAACTTTATTCGTAATAGTCTCCAACTGGAAACAATATAGATGCCCTTCAATGGCTGAATGGTTGAACAAACTGAGGTATGTCCATGTCATGGAATACTATGCAGCCATTAAAAGGGAAAGTATGAGATGCAACAACTTGGATGGATATTCAGAGAATTGTGCAGAGTGGAAAAAAAGCAATCTCAAGATGTTATGCACTAAATTATTCCATTCATATAATATTTTTAAATGACAACATAATAGAGGTGGAGAATACATCAGTGGTTGCCAACGACTGAGATGAGGTGGGAAGAGGAGGCGGTGGCTGTGGCTTTAAAAGGGCAGCACAAGGGGTCCTTTCAGAGAACCATCTGTACCCTGACTGTGGTGGGATCACACTAATCGACAGAGGTGATAACATCCCACAGAACTAAACACACACACTCAAGTAAACACAGGTCAGTTTGCTGGAATCCACACAAGGTTCCTGGCTTGTATCAATGTCAATATTCTGGTTGTGGTATTGTCTTGTAGTTGTGTAGGATGTGACCACTGGGGAAATGAGGGAAGGGTCCTTGAGATCTCTCTACATTCTTTCTTACAAGTGCGTGTGGATCTATAATTATCTCAAAATACAAAGTTCATTAAAGCTAGTACTATGGTTTGAATATTTGCCCCCTTCAACTGAGTTTTATTGTTACTCAAATCAACCTCCCTGAAAATTCAGAGGCGAGGGTTTTTCAAAGACAGTTTGTCAGGCAATGAAATGGGCACTGCTGATTAGCTGGGGGTGCAATCATAGGGATGTGGAAAACGCTTCTCATAGGCACTGAGTCTGGTTCCAGGTGGGGCCATAGGACCGCTGGGTGGGTTGGCTGGTTGGGGTGGAGCCATCGGTCATCAGAAATGCAAAAGCCTGAAAAGACATCTCAAAAGGCTAATCTTAGGTTCTACAATGGTGATGTTATTTGCAGGAGTAATTGGGAGAGTTGCAAGCCTCGTGGCCTCTGGAATAATGGCTGGTAATCCTTCCCATCTACACCTTAGCAGAATTCAGGCTCCTCTCATCCTCCTAACCTGGTGGTTTCATTAGCTTCACAAAGGTGGTTTAGTCTGGGGGAAGGGCTGTTATGCCCAGGAATGACCAAGGGCGGTTTGGAGTTAAAGGCAAGATGGGGGTCGGTTAGATCAGATCTCTTTCACTGTCATAATTTTTTCACCTCGTAATTTTTGCAAAGGCGGTTCCAGTTCGATCATGAAAGCTCTGCCGTCATGAATGGACTGATCCATTCATGGATTAATAGATTAATGGGTTAATGAGTTATCACGCGAGGGGGACTGGTGGCTTTACAAGAAGAGGAAGAGAGGCCTGAGTGAGCGTGCACAGCCTCCTCACCCTGCGATGCTCTGCCCTACCTTGGGACTCTGCAAAGTGTCCCCACCAGCAACAAGGCCCTCATCAGATGTGACCCATTGACTTCTCAGACTTCACAACTGTAAGAAATAAATTCCTTTTCTTTACAAATTACCGGTTCAAGTGTTCTGTTATAAGCAACAGAAAACAAACTAAGACAGAAAGTAAACAGAGAAAGTCAACCGTTTGATTTGATGGGGCTATTATTAGAGGAAGCATGGGTGCTGTGAGAACACAGAAGGGGCAACCCACGGAGAGCTGATGAATCGGGGAAAAGTGACCACCAAACTGAGACCTGCGATCACATGGAGCCGGCCACGGAAAGAGGGGACAACGTGTTACTGGGCAGCGAGAACTTAGGAGCAAATACCCAGAGGCAAGGAGAATATTGATCCCTAAGGACAGGGTGAGAAGTTCACACTGGATTAAGCAAAGCCTGGAGAAGGGGTCATGTGAGAGAAGGGACTGGAGAGGTGGGCGGGGGCCAGACGCAGTTGGCCTCACCTACCATGCTGAACACTGGAACCTTCTCTGGAGGGCATTGTGCCATTGATGGGATTCACAGAGAATGGAGATGTAAAGGTTTGTGTTTGAGACCCTACTGCAGACTTGCGTGGGGGAAGAGACTGATCTTCTCCCTCCTGTCCCTGCTCTCCTAGGATGGCTCCATTCAGAGGCTGGCTCTTCCCCTCTGGGGGGTTGAGATGTTGGCAGAAGCTCCCCATCCTTACAGCTCCAAAGCCAAGTGTACAGAGAGAGCCTCCTCTCCAGGGTCCAGGCATGTCTGAAGTTCGCTCTGACTGCCCCAGCCTAAGGTGGCCACACACCCACCCCGTGCCCAGGAAGATGAAGACTGACAGATGTGTGCTGGCCAGCAATGGAGCCCCATCCAGATCTCATCGTCTGAGAAAAGGGCAGGGGGAGGTCCCCAAACAAAGCCTGAAGACTGTCATTCAAAGAAGTGGGGAGGGATGCCGGGCAGGGTGGCATCAGCTCTTGTTCAAGCGAGGCTGGAGCAGGGATGGTGCTTCCCCGGGAGCATCCACACTGGCCACAAGCTGGGGCTGTGGTGCCCTCAGGCTGCACCGGCCTGGCTTGGCCCCCTGGGATGGTCTACAGTGCCCCAGCTTTCCCCCAGGGGTCTGCTGAGTCACATCTAGGGGCTGGGATATCCTCACTTCTGAAGACGCTGATGCACAAAAGATGCCAAGAAAAAAATAATCCCCATTGAAACAAATGAATAGCTACTGTGCCCCCTCCTAACAATGCCCTGTGTGACTGCCGAGTTTCCTCCTGCAGTGTGGAGGGCTGGTAGACGCTGTTTCATTTCCTCATTGCTCTGGGTGAGGGCAAATCCCTCCACCTCTCCCACTTCCAAGAAGGACAGGAAAAGCCAGCACCATTCCTGGACACCTTCCTGGTAAACTTCAGGGAGTTACTTTACCTCCCTGAGCCTTAGTTTCCTTATCTATGAAATGGAGGTGTTAATCATAGCATGTAGAGTACAATTTCAAAAATGTCAGTTAGTACAATTACTACGATTAGTCTAATTACACTACTAGAAACAGGGCATTTATCCTGACGTGCCCCAGGCTTGCTTCTGTTGACTCCACACCCCTGTTCCCACTAACCAGAGCTGAACTGGAAAGCTGTTTTCCCGGGAGAAGAATGGCCTCCCTGAGTGGGATATTGGGACTGAGTGCTGCAAACGGGTTTTAGATCAAGGGACACAACAGGACAGTGACAGAGCCTCCACCTTGGGTTTTTAGAGGAACTTTCTCCTGAGATCTCAAGAAACCACCCAGGACCACCTAGGACTAACTCAGGAGAAGGGCCTGTAAGGGAGAGAGGTGAAGGCATGTGGCTACCTTAGCTGGGCATCTCTACTATAAGTGCCCACACGCTGGCCAGAGCGCAGGCCTGTGGCCCTCTCCAAATCACAGTGAGGCTTTTGGAGACCAAGGGGCTCAGGTGCCCAGCACCCAAGGGGTCAGTAAGGTATCAGGCCCTGGAACTCCAGCACATTCTCTGTTAGTGATGATTCTCTGAGGATGAAAGAAGGAAAGAATATTTTTATGATATTGTGAAATATATACTTCAACTCCATTTCCTGGAATATAACTCCTGACATCCTTAGGAACTCCAAAGCGTTATCTTTTCATCTGCTAATGAGTTGACTGGTGGCTGGCAGCCCCTAGGTAGCGTCAGGATGGGGTTGGTCACAAGAAAGATACCAAGGCAGGATGAGAGAGGTGGGACTTTCAGCTCACTCCCAGGCAGGGGAGAGGGGCTGAGGGTTAAGTGGCTCACCGGTGGCCAATGATTTCATCAATCATGCATATGTAATGAAGCTTCTCTAAAAACCCAAAAGGACAGGGCTCGGGGAGCTTCTGGATAGCTGACCATGTAGAGACTTGCAGAAAGGTGAACAAGAAGCATCCTTAAGCCAGAGGAGTGGCGCCTCCCAACTCCTTGGGGCCAGAAGGCCCTGCACTCAGGATGCTTCCAGCCCTTGCCCTGCGT
Source organism: Homo sapiens (assembly GCF_000001405.40). Lineage (NCBI taxonomy): Eukaryota > Metazoa > Chordata > Mammalia > Primates > Hominidae > Homo > Homo sapiens. The sequence continues at coordinate 57,933,015 of NC_000020.11, read as the reverse complement.
GCCTCTTCGTCCAGCTGTTCATTTGTATTCTTTAAATTATCCTTTGTCATCAACTGGTAAACATGCATTTCCCTGAGTTCTGTGAGCCTGTCTAGGAAATAAATTAAGCTTGAGGGGAAGGTTTTGAGAACCCCGATTTACAGGTCAGAAGTGAAGGGGCTTGCACTTCGTGCTGAAATGATGGAGGCAGCTTCAGGGACAGAACCCTCCACCTGTGGGATCTGACACTATCTCTGCAGAATGGAATTAGGGGACACCCAGCTGGCATCACTGCAGAATTGATTGCTTGCTTGCTGGTGGGAAGAAACCCCCACACATTTGCTCACGGAAGTTTTCTGTGTTGCTTGTTGTGGTGTGAGAGCAGAGGAAGATCAGTTTGTGGTTTTAATTTGTTTGTACTCACATCTGAATGGAAGGCTCGCATGGGACCACCGGCGCTACTACAGGACATGGTTTCATCATCATTCCCGTTTCACGGATGAGGAGACACAGCCCGTGCAGGCATTGCAGGTGCTCCGCTCAGACCACCTTCAAGCCCCTTGACCCCTCTGCTCACCCACCTGGCGTCCACATGCCTTTGCCTCTAACCGCCTGCCCCTGTACCTCTTGGGAGATGCCCCCTTCTCCTGGAGCCTGGAGAGAGCGGAGGATCTTACACGGCCCCTGCTTCCCATGGCGGTTGTGCCCAGTGATTGCCCGAGCTCCCTGGATTGGAGTGAGGACAAACTCACAGGTGCCACTGACATGAAAATTGAGAGAGAGCCTGGCAGCTCGAGAGGCTGTGGGCGCTCCCTGGAGGGGTTGCCCTTTTCCCCGAGGGATGGTTTTGAGGACACTCAGCTTCCGTGCAGGCACATGCAGGAATGAGCACGTGGTGCAGGCCGCTCTTGTGGCAGGAGCACAGGACAGGAGTCAGTAGGTGGGATTCCAGTCCTGCCTTCACCTCTCAGCTGTGTGACCCTAGAGAAGTCTCTTAACCAATCTCAACTTCACTTGGCAGTGGGGTGCTCTGCCATCTGTAAAGAAGGCATAAAAACACCTGCTTCAGCTGGGCCTGGTGGCGAGCACTTGTAGTCCCAGCTACTCGGGAAGCTGAGGCAGGAGAGTTGCTGGAACCTGGGAGGCGGAGGCTGCAGTGAGCAGAGATTGCGCCGCTGCACTCCAGCCTGGGCAACAGAGCAAGACTCCATCTCAAACAAAACAAAAGACACAAACAAAACAAAACAAACGAACAAAAAACACCTGCTTCCTGTTAAGGTGAAAGCTTTGTCACCTCTCAGTGTGTACAGTGTAAGGGATGAGGACAACCACATTGATTACGGGGTGGAGGTGCAGGCTGAGGTCTGTCCAGCTCATTTGGTGCTTGCTGTGGGTGGCAGGGAATGAGAAATTAAGTATTGAAAGAAGACTTTCCATATTGTCCTAGGGTCATTTCTTTTCCACAGGACCCTGAAGTACCTGGGCCACCATATACCCCCCCAGGTTTGAATGCACTGAATTCAAACCCAAGTCACAATGTGCCAGTTCCCAAGCAGGACACAGAGGACACTACCCATGTCTGGCATGACTTCGCTAATGCTGCAGTTGAGGACTCACACACCAGGAGCCAGGGTTACATTTTACATTCATTTAATCTTTACAGAAACCTGAGAGGGTGGTACTTTTTTCTCCCTTTTCCAAATGAGAAAACCAAGGTTCACAAACCATTATATAGCTATAGAGAGATTCCACAGATATGGAGGGTAAAACCAAGGCTCACCAAGCACTATAGATATAGATATAATCAGCTAGATTAGATTGACAGGAATAAAAGCAGAAGGGATGAGGGAAGAAAAGAAGGAAAGAAGGAAGGAAGGAAACAAGAAAGGAAGGAAGATAGGGATTTGTGTGGAATGCAGAAACTATTTCTTGTATTTAGAACACAAATTCAAGCAATGAATTGGAGTTTGTTCTTGTTTTTATTTTTGTGTGTGTTTCATTTTGTTTGTCTATTATTATGTTTCTTCTTCTAGGAGAAGAAGCACAGTATAATAATATATGGCCCAGGTACTGCGGGGTCTCCACGGAAGAGAAAGGACAATATGGAAAATCTTCATTCAATACTTAATTTCTCAGTGCCCACATTCCAAAGCAGGCACAGAATGAGCTGGACAGACCTCAGCCTGCACCTCCACCCTGCTTCTTCCAGAAAATCACAGAAATAATATTTCTTGGTAATAAAATAAAGGCAGACCCTGCCACTTTTCCTTCCTGCCTGTGCAGGCAGATGCGCTGTGTGGCGGATCTCAGTGTCAGAAAGACGGCTGGAGGGGAGAAGTGTGGCCGCCCTCAGTCAATTAATGGCGGTAATTACACACTGCAAACAGTCTGGGGTATAATTAAGACTGGAGGCCCAGGGCTGGGTGTGCACCCCATTGAGATGAGCACCATCAAACAATGGGGGTTGGAGACTCAGCTCTCTCCAGGAGACATCAACATGTCTGGTCCAGCCCTTGGGGCAGGCTGCAGCCTCCTGCCTCCTGCACTACCATGAGTTCTCTCAGGACAAAGCCCACCTTCCAGTGGGACCCACATTCTGGCCAAGTGCCTGGCTTAGCAGAGGAGGCTGGCCCTGTCCCAATGCTTAGCCCAGAAACAAAGCAGCCAGTGACTTCCAGGCCCCAGAGACAGCCACATCCTGGGAGGGAGGGGTGGCTGTTCCGTGGCAACCAGAAGCTCATAGGGTCTGGGACTGACTTTCATCTACCCTCTCTGCTTCCCGCCAAGCTGCTCCACCTACAGTCTCCAAAATCCACTATGGGACTCAAACCCCAACACCTGGAGCCACCTTGAAGCACCCGCTTCTCTCTCATCTCTGAGGCTGAATCAATTCATTCGTTTGTTCACTTATTGCATAAATATTAATTGGGAGCCTCCCATAAACCATGTTTTTGTCATCACCAGGGACAGCCAATTCCACTTCCTGAATGTTCTCCATTTCCATAGCACCTACTTGGAGCGAGCTCCTGTCACCTCATCAATTACAGCCAACTCCTCGTGGTCTCCTGCTGTCCTCTCCAACCCCTCCAGGATAAGCTTAGGAAATGCAAGTCCAGCCAGGTCTTTTCTCTGCTGAACACCTTCCAAGAGCTTACCATTGTCCCTATGATGAGACAAGGCCCTGATGAGCCCCTGCACAACCAGGCCCCACTATCTTGCCCAGCCCTGAGCTCCAGCCACCCCAGCCATCTCTCTGTCTTTCTGCTTACAATCCCAAACTATTTCCTCAGTCAGGGACATTCTCTTTCCTCTCCTTGCTCATAAAACTTCAGCTTATTTTATTTGCCCAGTTTAGACAGCCTTTATTCAGAGGAACCTCTTCTGATCCTTCTTTTTGAGTCATGTACCCCAATTCATGGTTTGATGCTTCCATGTTGTTGCCTTTTGAAAGTTAAATATTTTGTAATTATGTGTTTAATGTCTTCGTCCTCTGATAGTTTTTCGCAAGTTGCATGATAGCAGGGTCTCATATGGCCTGTTTATTGCCGTGTCTCTAGTGGCAGGAAGAGTGCCTTGCACATAGTAGGTCTTCCCTTCATTGAATGAATGAGTGAATAAGCAAACAAATCCATGAATGAATGCATGGCTTTTATCTTTCCCCTGGGACACATAGAGGCAGCATATTACATTTTCTGCTTTTTATTTTTTTCTGACCCACCTAGAGTGTTCTATTTATTTTGGTTTGATTCTTGTCATTTCTCATTTCTGTCCTTCAGGTTCCCAAGTAATACGGGGTTCAGAGTTGTGGGAATTAAAGATGGCTACAAATTATTTGGGGTCCCTCCCATTGAGAGGTAAAGTTCATGTTGTCTCATCTTGTATCATGGCTGGTGCCTGACCAACCGGTATGGTGGAAGGGATGCTCTGTCCATTCCAGGCTTTGTCTTTAAGGGGACTGCTACCTTCCACTTTTTTCCTCTTGATACCCTGAGCACTCATGGATGGATTCTGACTGCTCTGAGGCTGCCATGCTGTGAGGAAGCCCAAACTAGCCACATTGGGCCATGTAGATAGAGGATAAGGAGGAGGAGAGAGAGACAAAGAGGAGGAGGAGGAGGAGAGGAAGGAGGAGGAGAAGAAGAAGGAGGAGGAGGGAGACAAGAAGGAGGAGGAGGGAGACAAGAAGGAGGAGGAGGATGAGGAGAAGGGGCAGGAAGAATAAGAGGAGGAGAAGAAGGATGGGGAAAAGGGAGAGAAAGAGAAAGGAGGAGGAAGATGGGGAGGAGGTGGACAGGGAGAAGGAGGAGAAGGGGGAGGAAGAAAAGGAGGAGGAGGAAGAAGAGGAGGGTGAAGAAGAGGAGGGTGAGGAAGAGGAGGGTGAAGAAGAGGAGGAGGAAAAGGAGGAGGAGGAGGAGAAGGAGGAGGAGGAGAAGGAGGAGGAGAAGGGTGGGGGGGGGAGGAGAAGAAGGGGGATGAGGAGAAAAGGGAGGAGGAAGAGGGGGAGGAGGAGGAGAAAAGGGAGGAGGAAGGGGGAAGGAGGAGGAGGAGGAAAGATGCCCAGTCATCCCCCAGTTGTTCAAGTCTTCTGAGCTGAGGTCCCAGACTTGTGCTGTCCCTGCTGTGTGTCATCCGCCTGGCATGCAGAGTTGTGATGCAGCATAGTGATAAACAGCTGCATGAAGTTCTGATTTTTGGGGTGGTTTTTAGGTAATAGTAGATAACCAGAGCAGGGACTCCTTAGCTTTGGCAGAGAAGACAAAATTTTAAGCCAATTAAGTAATGCCATATCTGCCCCCACCCATCACACTTGCAAATCCTCCCACGAGAGAGCTTGCTCTCCTAGAATGCTTCTCTAATAAAAATAAACAGATAAACAGCATATCCATGGGTTTCTGACTTATGGGGCAGAAAGATTCCTTTGGTTTTGTGTTTCAGAGTCTTTCCTTGTGGTCTTTTATTTTTCCAAAACAGACTCTCAGTTGGTTTTCATTACTCTGTGACCACTGGAAAATTCTAATCCTTAATGCAAGACCTATATTTTAAGAACATTTTAAGAATCAAGAAAATTGGGAAGAAAACTATGTCCAGAAGGAACGGAGCATCCCAGAATGCTTTGAGGGTGGGGGTGGGGAGGGGTCTGAGACCAAAAAACTCCTCATGTCTTCTTACTACATGGTCCCAGCCTGGATCTCACCTGCAGCCTGAGTGCTGACTCCTAAGTCCTCTCAGCCTCCTTTTCCATGGGAGTATGGTGGAGCGCAGATCAGTTGGGGTGGGAGTGGAATTATTCGAATGTCTGTTATTTACCTCCTCTGCCAAAGCTGAGGTCTCCTGTTCTGGACATCTATTGCTATGATGTGTTTGTTGGCTGAACAGAAGTGACCCTTCCTTTGAAGCTGGGCTGAGTGGGTCTTGTTTATAGGTGGAAATGCACTTTGCACCCTTGGCTCATGCCTCTTTCTGTGGAGATAGCTCCATGTTGCTGGTTAAGGGGCAGCTGCACATAGTCATGGTGTCCAGTAACTTGCCAGTGGCTTCCAGAGGGACTGCCACTGACAACCTTCCTTGGACTGAGTGCCTGGGAGAATATATTTGGGCAACTTCATGTATGAGTAGAGCAGGAACACATCAGGGATTTGAACAGATGTCATCTAGAGGAGCAGGAACGCCATCTCCCTCCCAACACCCAATAAATAGGTGTTTCTTTCAGGGAGGGGAGTCAGCTCCTAGGTTGGTAAAAACAACAAAGAGTGGAGGAAGGACTTTGTAGAAGGGGAAGGTCTGGGTGAACCATAAACTACTGGCCTGCAAGGAAGAACTGGGACAAAAGAGGCTGAGCCTGCCTGGGGTGGTGAAAGAGTAGAACCCATGGTCAGGGTGGCCCAGGAAGGCCCCAGGGTGGAGTGGAAAACCCACGGCCAAACAGGACACTCAGGGATGGCATGATCATGAGTGCCAGGAGACTAGCTTGGAACGTGTGCAAATGTCCCAGACCCTTTGGTTTTCAAGTTGCTTTCCACCCAGCAGCCCAGGCCATCTTCTCTAAACCTTCTCCAAAATTAAGTCATGTCTTGCCTGCTCATCTTCAAATCCTGCAGTCCTCCTAACATTCTATTCTGCATGTCTTGGTTTCAGCCAACTTCCTTGGACTCCATGTACCCACAAGGCCTCTGGCACACCAGGCTTCTCATAGCCCCTGGTGCTCATTCTGCTCTCTCCAACCTCAGGATCTTTGCACATGCTGGTCCCTCCACTTGGAAAGCTTTTCTCTTCTCTCTTTACCTAATTAGCAACTAGTCATCCTTTAGGTCCTGATCAGTTGTCATTTGCTCAGGGAAACATCCCCAGAGCCCCCTAAGTAGGTTTGCTTCCTATTCTAAACTCTTCTAGCCTCATGCACTTTTCCCTTTGATCCCAAGTCAGAGCTTTTGTCATAAGAGCTGTCTCCCTCACAAGAGGTCTGGCTCTGTGAAGGTGGAGACCTTATCTCTTTTAGCCCATTGTTGTATCTTCAATTCTCAGCACACAGTAAGTGGTTAAGAAACCTCATTGAATGAATGGGTAATGAGAATCATTCACTCAAGATGTATGAGTGAATCACTGGGGAGTCGTTTGTCCTGGTTTGCTTCAGATTCACCTAGAAAAGCCCCAGACATTTTCTCAAAAAAGGGTAAATCATGGTAGATGTGTCTTTCATGAGGGAAGAGAAGAATATATTTATTTTTATTTTTATGGTGCTAACAGGGGAAGAGGTTTCAAGGCCCTAGAACAAGCCTCTCCCCTGCCCTCTCACTCATTGTAAACCACACTGATTTGCTGCAAGCTCAGAGTGGGCCATGGCTTATGTGACTCAGAGGAGCTTTCCCTGATCCTTACCTCACACCATACACAAAAAGCAATTCTAAGAGTGCTTATGAATTTAAATGTAGAAGGTAAAACAATAAGGCTTCAATATGATGATGAAGGAAATTATCTTTATAACCCTGGAGTAGGCAAATAATTCTTAAGCAGGACACAAATAACATTGTCTAAAATGCGAAAGATTGCTAAATTGGACTACCTTGCAGTTAAGAACTTTTATCCATCAAAGGAAACCATTATGAGAGTTAAAAAGGCCACAGAGAGCAAGAAAATGTGTGCAATATATGTATTAGTCCATTCTCATGCTGTTATAAAGACATACCTGAGACTCAGTAATTTATAAAGAAAAGCGGCTTAATTGACTTACAGTTCCACAGGGCTGGGGAGGCCTCAGGAAACTTACAATCATGGTGGAAGGGGAAGCAAACATGTCCTTCTTCACATGGTGGCAGGAAGGAGAAGTGCCAAGCAAAAGGGGGAAAAGCTCCTTATAAAACCATCAGATCTTGTGAGAACTCATTAACACAAGAACAGCATGGGGGGAACCACTCCCATGATTCAATTACCTCCCACTGGGTTCCTCCCGTGACATGTGGGGATTATGGGATTACAATTCAAGATGAGATTTGGGTGGGGACACAAAGCCAAACCATATTATATAGATATCCAACAAAGGATTTGTCCATGCAGAATATATAAAGAGCTCCTGCAAATGATTAAGAGAAAGATAGATAAGCCACAAGAAAGATGGGCAAAAGGCTTGAAAGGGCAGTCCACAAAAAGGACATTCTGGTGTCCACAAACACATTAAAGGATAGTCTCCTCTGTAGTCAGTAGAGCAATGCAAAGGAAAGCCACAGTAAGACGCCATGCACACCCAACAGAATGACTAAAATTTAAAAGTCAGGTAGGCCAGGTGCTGTAATCCCAGCACTTTGGGAGGCTGAGGTGGGTGGATCACGAGGTCAGGAGTTCAAGACCAGCCTGGCCAAGATGGTGAAACCCCATCTCTACTAAAAATACAAAAAAATTGGCCGGGCATGGTAGCGGGTGCCTGTAATCCCAGCTACTCAAAAGGCTGAGGCAGAGAATTGTTTGAATCTGGGAGGTGGAGGTTGCAGTGAGCCAAGATCATGCCACTACACTCCAGCCTGGGTGACAAGAGTGAGACTCGGTCTAAAACCAAACAAAACAAGACAAAACAAACAAACAAACAAAAAACTCAGGTAATACCAAGGGTAGGCTAAAATGTGGAACAACTACCTGCTGGTGTGAGGGTAAAATAGTTTGACTTGGGGAAACTCTGGCAGTAGCTAATAAAGCTGAACATGTTTATGGTTGAGGATCCATCAATTCCATTCCTGGGCAGAGACTCAACAGATATACATATATGTGTCCGCAAAAGACTTGTATGAGGACATACACAGCAGCTGTGCGTATTAGCCCCAAACTGGAAACAGCCTAAATGTTCACCAACTGTAAAAGGACACATATAGTGTATTTCATGCAGCGGAATAGTGCTCAGTACAGAAAGGAATAAACTAGTGCTACATTGCTTCACCCACACCCAACAACATGAACTTAAAGTTGTGCAAAAGAAGCCAGACACAGAAAAGCGCATACAACAGGTATGAGTTCAGTCACAGGCAGTTGGAGAAGAGACACAACTCACCTGTCAGGACCTATAGGTCAGAGACTGGGATGGGGAGCTGCTTGGGACTGAAATTCTTCTGTGTGGAGGGTGAGGACACAGTGCAATCACTTTGTGGAGATTCCTAGAGCTGTATGCTAATGGTTTGTGCACTTATCTGAACATCACTTACACTTCTATTAATGTTTACCTAAAAAATAAATAGAAATAAATTAGGCCCATGCTCCAGCCACTCACTCATTTTATTTACTGCACAGAACCTCTGAGATAGAGTCATTTGGGGCCCAATTTTTTAAGTCCAAAGCAAGTTACTTAAAGTGTCTGAGCCTTAGTTTTCTCATCTATGAAATGAAGGTAATGATGACAATGTTGCCCTCCTGGGGTTGTTGTTAAGGTAATTGAGATCATACCTACGGAGAGAGAGAGGACAGGGCTCAGGCTCATGCACAGCTTTCTAGAGTCAGCAGGGCACCTCCCACTCTCTAAGATCACCTTGTTAACAGAAGTTATCTCTCTGGCTAAAATGTACACTCCGAGTGAGCAGGGGGCTCGGCAGTCTTGCTCCCATTGTGCCTAGTTCGGTGCTTGACCACTGCAGGTGTTTAATAATTATTCATCAAATGGCTGAGCAGAGAGTCTGGGGACCTTTGAGGCAGAATCCCCCCAACCCCCCGCCAGCCCAGGAACAGGCGAGAAAAGGAAGCATCTCTGGCATAAGAGCAGAAGGGGAGGGAAGGTCAGCATGGCCACAGGGAGCCATCTGGGCATGCACTTGCTTGTCAGTGCCTAGAAATGGCTGCTACTCAAACATCCAGCCCTCACAACTTACATAAGCCTTGGGGAGGAAGGGGAAACAAAGGGAGAACACAATTGGAAAAGGCAACTCTTTCTCCTGTTCATCAGGCAGAGAGGGATATGTTCCCAGCTGGCCTGGGACTCTTGGCTCCAGGACCAAAATGAACCTTCAGAGTTGCTTCCTGCCTGGGTAGACTTGGCACATTTTTAAAATTACGCCAGGACCACCAAAGACCGGGAAGAACGTTCCCTGAAGGCACCGAAGGGATGGTGAAGCCTCCTCACCAAGTTACGAGGCAGCCCTCAACCTCCTTTCCTGCTGGGGTTCCCAACTCACAGTAAGCGGGGTTGGAGGGCCTCACCTCCTAGGGGACTCCAGCCCAGCCCAGGGCAGGTGATGGCCGCGGCACCAAGGCCCAGCCACTAAATTCTGCCCAAGAAGGCAGTCTGGGGATGGTGAGAATGTGTCTCCACCTTTTCCAGGGAGCTCTGTCTGACAGGACGTCATAAAAAATCTTTTAATCTTTGTCACTTTGGGTAGGCGGGGAGGCCAAAAGTCTCAATGTTTTAAAGGGAAATTTTAATTAGTATGTAAATTCGACTTGCGGCATTAAAATGTCATTTGCTAAGTAAATGTTGCTGCACTCCGAGTTCAGGTATTTATTTGATCCTGTCCTGCCAAGGTGCCTTTGTGGGTTTCCTGAGTGTGTAATAACAGCATTTCAAAAACAAAATGAAATTCTCCCTCTCTTACAATGCACCCGGGTTACGGCTTCGCCGCCAGTGATGTGACTGGAATATTTTAAGGCAGCAGCCGCCGACTCTGGCAGCCAAACTCCAGCCCCTCCTTCCTGCCTGTCTGAGATGGCCTCTCTAGAATCCCTGAACCCCGAGCCCCGAGCAGCCCCACGGAGGAGCCAGTTACCTGCAAAGGGGGTTGGACATTTAAGTGACTGAGCATGGCACAGCCTCCAGAAAACTCATGTGGAAGCACCTGCAGGAGACAGGGCAGATCACCAGGGGCTGCGTATTCCTTAATTCCAAGATACATGGTGATTTGATGACAGGGATCCAAAGCGTGGGAGCTCACTGTCCAGCCCTTCCATGCGCTGGGATTTCCCCCCGGGTGTGATCAAGCACATTCTGCATGTTAATTAAACTTTACTAAACCATCCCAGTGTGCAAGTGTGCATGCGTGTGTATGTATGTGCACACGTGAGCGTGTGTTCATGTTTGCATGCAGCCCCAGCTGAAGCTCAAAGCTGCCCACTCCCCAACAGTGGCACACCAGCTCTTAGCCTTGTCTAGACAGCAAGTGTGTCAGCTACTGCCAGGTCTGAGCCGACTGTGTATGTGTGGATGTGTGTGTGTGCATAGGCATTGTGGGCACATGTATGTATGTGTGTGCATGTGTGTGTGCATTTGCATGTGGGCACATGTGTGTACATGTGTGCAAGTGTGTGGATATGCATGTGTGCACATGTGTGTATGTATGTGTCTGGGTGTGCACGTGAGTGTTCCTGTGTGTGTGGAGAGTAATTCTGCTAATTACCACACTCCCCAGATGCCCACATGCACAGATGGAGGTGAAGAGACATGATGCAACCGGTCTGCCTTCCCCGAAGCTTCTCCCTGATCCTGACCCCAGCTTCCCCATACAGCTCTCAGAGGAAGATAACTGGGAGGCACCTTCAGGATGTGGAGGGTCTTGGCCGGAAGTACCCACAAGGGAGTTGGCTCTCACGCTGGCCGCCCTGCCACTCCCCAGCTGAGATCTTGATCCTGAATCTCCAGCCTCCAGTGCCAATCCCTGAGCCCCTCTTCTCCAACTCAGAAAATGGCACTATAGGCATCCAGGTGGCCAAGGCCCAAAGCCAGGGTGTCCTCCCGGGCTTGCCTGAGGGCACCATCTGCTGTGGAGGAGAGGAGAGGCCAGGAGAAGAGAAGCATGGGCCAGGCAGAAATGGGTTGTTTCTGCGCCGTTTATAGGTGTTAAGTCAACACTCGAAGACCTCCAATCCCATCTGACAAGTTATATTTGCCCAGCCTGCCGGAGTGCTAATCGTTGCTGTAAAAACATCCCACCTTTGGCTACTGAATATTTACATTGTAAAATCCAAGTCGAATCACAATAAAGAGGCATCCTTTCCCCCACACTTTTGTTACACTGGAAGAGGAAAGATACTTGAATCAGAGGCACAGGGATTTAAACAGCTGTTTTCATGTCATCATTGCTGCATTCATTGAAAAACATTGGCTGAGGACCTACTAGGTGCAGGCCAATGCTCAGCACTGGGATTGAGCAGCAAAAGAGACAATTCTGCCAATTCGGAGCCCACGGTTTTGGAGGAAAGACAGAAGTCATATGGGAATTAGAGTAGGAAGCATGCCACCTCCATAGGCCTGAGCTCGTGGGGCAGAGGCTGGGTGGATAGGGACATATAAGGAGATCATTTGACCTCTCTGGGCCTCTGTATGTTGCTGAGCCCTGGTGAGGATGAGCAATCCTCGCACCAAGGTCTGGCTGTGGTGTCCACGTGCCTCACCCTCTCCAAGCACCTCTGACGTCAGCGGCAGTGGCTGGCTCTTGCCAGCTCAGACTCCACATGCCCCACCCCAAGTGCATGGGCATCCTCTGCTTCACAGCCTTCTCAGAAGCCAGGGGAGCCTTCTCCGCCACACCCAGGTATGGTCCAGAAGCATGAGCCAGTCAATCAATGGGGGAAGCCAGCTGACAGACTGATGCTGTAAAAACAGCCCACATTTGCCTACTGAATATTTATATTGTAAAGTCCAAGTAGAGTCACGATAAAGAGGCATCCTTTTCCCCACACTCCCATTATACTGGAAGAAGAAAGATACTTGAATCAGAGGCACAGGAGCACACACCCTCTGCGTTCAGGTGGACAACTTCTGTTTGCTTCTCCGGGGTCCCAGGGAACTGAGCCATCTGTGCCTTGGTAACACAGCCTTGTGTTGCTGTCTCCTCCTTCCTTGTCTCAATGGGGATTCCCTGCTCCCTGGGGTCACTTCAGGCTCTGCTTTCTGTAGAATCCAGACAGCTCCTGACCCAGCACTGGTGTCTCCTGGCGGTTGGTGCCATAGGCTGCATGTCTGTGCTCCCCCCACACATTCCAATGTTGAAGCCCTAACCCCTAACATAAGGATACTTAGAGGTGGGGCCTTTGATTGGTATTTAGGTCATGAGCATGCAGCCTTCATGAATGGGGTTATAAAAAGAGACATGAGAATTTGCTTTCTCTCTCTCTGCCATGTAAGGACAGTGAGAAGGTGCATCTCCAATTAGGAACCCTCCAGTCCTCACCAGACACTGGATCTGCTGATGTCTTCATTGTGGACTTCTCAGCCCCCAGACCTGTGAGTAATTAAAATTTGTCACTTAAGCCACCCAGTCTAGGGTATGTTTGTTATAGCAGCTGAACTGACTAAGACATTTGGTAAAGAAAGAATCAAAATGGCAATGAGGAAGAACATTGTGTATCAAGGATATAAAACCAGTTTAGCAAAAAGAAATGAAGGCGACCAGTGACAGGGGCTTATCTGGCTGAAGTAGGATCAGTGTTGGGTCCAATTTTATTTGGCATTTTCTTAAATCTCACTCCTCTCCTGTCATCATACAACTTAGGAAACCTTAATAGTCCTCATTAGCCAGGCCACCCTCTAATTACAGAGCCAGGGCAAGCTCTCTAATTCTGTTTCATTGTAGGTAAAATTGGGAATTCCAGTTCCGAAATCCTTTGATGCCTCTTTTCAGCTCAAGGTAGTGACCCGAACACATGCATTTAGACCCCCACCTTCCTATCCCCAGTAATGTAACAATATAGCAATATAGCAAAGATATCAATCAGCCATCAGCCCAGCTTGGCTCCTGGGGACACGAATGTGAGCTTCCCAGCTGGAAAAGGAGTCTAGAGTCTAAAGACATATACTTTCCAACCACTGGGTCTCTAAAAACAAGCCCATGCTGCATTTGATGCTCAGCAGAAGACACTGTAGGTAGTAGGCAGGTTCAGTGATTTTCAAGGGTCATAGTTACCCTACTTGATTTTGCCTTTGGTGCCCATCTATACAAATTAACAGCTGGGCCATGTGCTTATCCACACTTGGGCAAGGAGCCCCATGGAGCCCAGCTCATACCAGAGAGCATGAAGCGTATGAGGACAGCAGAATTTGGGGCAGTCGCCTGTGGTGGAAGATAAGGGGCACTGCTGTTCACACTGAACAGGGACCCGAGTGGGTGTCATACAGCAGGGCTGGGAGGGAGCATCTACCATGAATCCCAGCTCAGCTATTGCGGGATGGGAGGCAGGAAGTGAGTTCAAGAAGGACATCTTCAGAAATGTGGACAGGGAATGGAGGAAGTTTCTGTTGACCCACATCAGCACTGGGGAATTCCTGTCTCCAGCGGTGTTTCTTCCCAGGAACAGGGAAGGGCTGGCTCAATGGCTGAACCTGTGGACTTTATCCCCACCAGCTGTTCCCTCCCTCCCACCTCTTCCCTGCTGGGAGAACCCACCTTCCCAGACTGAGACTGAAGCAGTCACTCTTCACAGCTGAGAGAGGCCCGATGACCCAGTCCTGTCCAAAGGGATGTGAGGGGGTATGGCAGAGTCCACCAGGTCCCTCTTACATTTATATGTCTCTATTTGGTTTCTGAGTTAGTGTGGCCAGATAAAATACAGGATGCACAATTTAATTTGAATTTCAGAGAAACGGTGAATACTTTTTTAGTATAAGTATGTCACAAATATTGTATGGGACGTACTTATGCTAAAAATGACTTGTTATTGATTTAAAATTCAAATTTAACTGAGAATACTGTATTATACACTTGCTACATTTGACAACTCTTTCTGAATGCTTTTGACCTTTGCCTGCAATTGCTTTCCCTTGGGCTAGAAGTATCTGGGAGTTTATAATCCCTAGGATGGCCCATGGTTAATGACTAAAGAGTGCAGGAGTTTGGGGCCCAGGAGGTGGCACAGGCTCCGAAGCATGATTCACGCTGCAGAGGTCCCACAGGATCAGGCTGAGCTGACTCTGCATGGAATCTTGTGCTTGCTTCCCTTCTTCCCCTCCATCATAGGAGCACCTTCTTAATAATCCTGCAAGGAGCCCTCGTCCCTGCATTCTCCTGGAGGAACTGACCTAAGACAGGGAGCTTCTGTGAAAAAATATTTTCCCTGACAAAATGAAGGAGGCTTCGTGAGCAGTTCTGCTCACACACTTTGTCAGGAGGAGGGATGTGTGGGTCCTGGCAGCCATCTCATGGTCATGACCAACGGCATCACTGTCCCTGAGGGGATAGCAGGGAAGGAATGGAAGGCTCTGCATCAGGAATGGAAGGCTCTGCATCCTTAATCAAGCTGCTGATCCCTGGGCCCATCCTGGAAGCACCCAGCTTCAGGTGTCTTCTGAAGGGAGAATAATAATCTCCTGTTACTCAGTCCAATTTCATCATATGTTCTGTTACTTGCTGCTATAAGCACCCCCAGCTGACTCCACTGGAATGTGGTGGCATCAAGCTCCAAGTCCAGGAAGACATAGGGTATACCTAGGTGCACTGAGCTGCAGACTCATGACAGGGTGATGGATCCAGTCAGCCCCATCAGCACAGAGGGTTCTACTTGGCTCAAGAATGCGATGCCCTGCCTCAGGCTGATGTTGCTTTCATTATTGCCAGAGACAACCAGACCATCAGTCTGACCAAGTAAAGGCAAAAATACATCAAAACACCAACCCCTTCCCCTCAAATTTGGTCTGCAAAGCTCTGAAAGTTTACCGTGAATGCAGCTCCTTTCTGAAAACTGGACAACTATAGACAGCATCCCTACTCCCTTCCTCCCCATCTGTCAGGATGAGCAAACAGAGAAAAAAATAGCCAGTTATACAACAAAACCCAGAAGTTCACAAGACAGGAACTGATCTGAGAACAGGAGAGAATATAGCTTGATGAAACAGGCTTGCTGCAAGAAACAGGAGAAAATATTACAAAAATCCTTTCATTGTAATTCACATAAGATTCTCAACATCATCAGGCCTATGAAAGGAGAGCAATGCTATGGACTGAATTTTGCCCCCTCCCCAAAATTCCTATGGTGAAGCTCAGTGCAATGGTGTTTGAAGACAGAGTCTTTGGAAGGTGATTGGGGTTGGATTAGGTCATCAGAATGGAGGACTCGTGATGGGATTAGTGTCCTTAAGAAAGGAGGAAGAGAGAGCTCTCCACATGCATGCTCCTGGGAAAGCACACAGTGAGAAGGCAGCCGTCTGCAAGCCAGGAAGATAGCCCTGACCAGAACTCGGCCAGGCTGGCACTCTGAACTTGGACTTCCAGCCTCCAGAACTGTAAGAAAATACATTTTTGCTATTTAAGCCACCCAGTTCACGGTATTTTGTTATGGCATCCCAAGCAGACTAACAAGCAGGAAGTCTTGAAAACAACATAGGCTGAAGTTCAGAAAGACTGCTTGGAGAAGGGACACACAATTGTCAAGTGAGGTGAAAAGAAAACCTCAGGAAAGACAGTGAGCATAAAATTGACAGCACACAGATGCTGGCATCTGTGTTTAAAAAGTAACTTGATACTGTTTCTGGAACTCAAAGGAAAAGGAGAAAGGAATTAAAGTAATCAGATAAATGTCGGGCACAGTGGCTCACACCTGTAATCCCAGCACTTTGGGAGGCCAAGATGGGTGAATCGCTTGAGCCCAGGAGTTCAAGACCAGTCTGGGCAACATGGTGAAACACCATCTCTACAAAAAATACAAAAATTAGCCGGTGTGGTGGCACGCACCTGTAGTCCAAGCTACCTGGGCAGCTGAGGTGGAAGGATCACTTGAGCCCAGAGGATTGGGCTGCAGTGAGCTCTGACTGCACCACTGCACTCCAGCCTGAGCAACAGGGCAAAACTCTGTGTCAAAAGAAAAAACTCCAGAAAAAAGTGGGCAAAAGACATGAACTGGCAATTTATGGATGAAAGATATACACATGCCAATATGCCTAAGAAGAAAGTTCAACCTTACCTGTAATTAAAAATATAAAATAAAACAACAGGACCCGTTGGTTTCTGAATATCAAATTTCAAAGCTAAGAGAAGAATGATGCCCAGCGTTGAACAGAATGTGGGAAGCAGTCTCTCTCCTACACTAGTGATGGGGATAAATTGGTGCATTTCCACAAAGCAAGATGCAGAGCAAAGACTTTAGAATTTTGTGTAATTTTTGTCCCAGCAATTTCACTTCTAAGAATATTTTCTTGGGTGGGCATAAAGAGTTACCTGTACAAGTTTTCTTTTTTTTCTTATGGGAATGTTAATAATAAAGAAAAAAAGAAAACAACCCAAATGTCCAGTGCTCTGACCTAGGTATCATTAACCTTATTTTATGCAAGAGGAAGCAGAGTGGGAAGACAGTGAGCCACTTCCCTAGATCACATTGAACGTAAGTGGGTGTCCAGGTTCGGCCCAGGCAGCCCCTCTGCCTGTGTGCTTGACCTCCACACTGTCCCTCCTCCCAGGGATACCATCCCATCTTGAAGGATGATAGCCACCAAAGGGGCCAGCACATCTGACCTCTGCTTCTGCAGTCCTAGAGAATGGAGGGACTGGGCCAAAATCAAGTCCTGATTCTCGCTGGGCTGGGATGTGAATATAGGTCATTAGGGCCTGGGCCAGGCCTCCTTATGGCTTTAGAAGCTTTTAGCTAAAAGTAACAGAAAATCCTAAGTTTGTTGGTTTAAATTATAAGATGTTTATTATCTTACCTAATAAGAAATCCTGAGGACCTCCTCCAGGATTGGTTAAAAAAGAAAGACCCAGCTGTGTCACCAGAGACCCAGGTTCTTTGCCTCTTTCTTTGGGAGCTGTCTTTGTCCCAGGCCTTGGCTCCTCATGGCACCAAGATGGCTGCTTCTTGCCCATGCAACACTGTCCAACAGAGGATGCCACAGTCTCTTCCTACGTGTCTTCTTTTAAGAAAAGAAATGCTTCCTAGAAACCCCCAGGACACTTGCTTTCAAGTTCCATTGACCAGAATCACATCATAGGTCTACCCTTAAACCAACCGCTGGCAGTGGTTCTGAGACCCCACCTGGGATGGTGTTGGCCTCCACTAAAGCTCACAGTCAACTGAGAGGAAGGTGGACATCTGAAAAGAAGAGCAGAAAGAAGGAATGGAAGGGGGATAGAGGCCAGCCTCAATTTATTTAACCCTTAGTCTCTCTACCTTGGAGTGGGTGAGACAGGAGAAGTGAGGAGGGCCTGATGCTGTGCCTTGCTTGCAACTGGAGCCATTGACCCTGCCCTTCCCATGGCCTTTGCTGCTACAGCCAAGCATGACCGGGGAGTGGCTACGAATTAGACATGCCTTCCCCAACCCCCTCCCACCAAATCTGCCTGCTGTGGTTTGAATATTTGTCCCCTCCAAAACTTATGTTGAAACTTAATCCCTTATGTGGCCATATTGAAAGGTGGTGCCTTTAAGAGGTGATTGGGTCAGGCAGGCTCCACCCTCAAGAATGAAGTAATCCACTCATGGATTAATGGGTTAATGGGTTATTATGGGAGTGGAACTGGTGGCTTCATAGGAAGAAGTAGAGGAAACCTAGCTAGGACACTCAGCCCCCTCATCATGGGATGCCCTGGGCCACCTCGGGAATCTGCAGAGCCCCCACCAGCAAAAAGGCCCTCAACAGATGTGGACCCTTTACCTGAAACTTCTCAGCCTCCATAAGGGTAAGAAATAAGTTCCTTTCCTTTATTAATTACCCAGTTTCAGGTACCCTGTTATAAGCAACAGAATATGGACTAAGACACTGGCCCTGTTGCTTTGGCCTTAGGGAAAGTAATTTCAAGAACGAAAGCTGGGGCATGAACCAGGAGACTAGGGACTAGCTCCTCTGGGTAAAGACCTCACAGTTTGCTGCAAAACATGGTTGGCCATCTCTCAATGCTTCATGGTGACAAAGACGTGGGAGGGTGGGGGAATGATGTGGGATTTGAATGGGCACATTTCACACGGAATCCAGGACAGGAGCCTCCATTGAACAAGCACAGATCTTCACACACAGATGGTCCAGTGCATGCCCACTGGCCTCCAGGCTCCTACATAGATATTCGTGCTCTCCCATGCAGACCCATGAGGTGGTGCTGTGATTATCTCATTTTGCTGATGAGGAAACTGAGGCACAAGAAAGCTGAAGTGAGTCTTTCTCAAGGTCAAGTGGCTGGGATTGAGAGCAGAGCTTCTTGAATGAATTCAGTGCTTTTTCGGAAACATCTGTGTTAAATAGAAAGCTGCCAAGGAGCTGAGAGGAATGCAGAATTCAGCCCATCTCCAGGCTCAGTCCCCGTTGTCTACAGGCTATGCTGGAGAGACAAGGGCTGAGATCAGAATATAGCCAGATAAAGGCTCACAGATGCCGTCAGTTCACTGCAGCATCCCCAGCATGGGGACCCCTGCCTGGGACATAGCTGGTGCTCAGTTCACCTCTGCAGAGGGATGATGGCACACTTTCTAATGGTTGTACACAGTGAGGTGGCAGAGGGACAGCTGCATCCATCCCTACCTGGAGGGCCATGAGGGAGAGGCTGAGATGTAGTCCTCCCTCAGAGAGTCTAGAGGGGCAGAGGAAGGGCAGGGGTGTGGATGCCGGTGTTTTAACCTGGAAGTGCTCTTTTAAAGATGAGAGGAGATGAAAAGCAACCTGACTTTGTAAGCAATGTCGAAAGGGGCAATCACAGGGTCTGGTTCATCTGCCAGGTGGGAGCTGCTGGGTCGTGGGGAGCACCCATCCCTGACCCATTGCTCTGGGCAAAGCAAGGAGAGCCTCACTTGGGTCCTTGTGCTTCCCTCCTAGTTGGAGAGGCTGGGTAATGGGCCCACCCTGGGACCACCCCTCCTATTCTGACCAGCTCTGCAGCTGCGAAGGAAAGCCTGGCCTCTGCCCGTCCACCCTGCCCATGCACATGGTCTCCATTAACCAATTCCAAGCTGCGACCGACGTTCCCAGCTCTCCTGAGTGCAGAAAAAGGTGCTGGTCACTCCACTGCTCATGCCAGAGCCCAGGGTCCCTCCTGTCCCCTCCTGTCTCTCATTTACCTCCTGCAAGGCGACCTCCAAATTCTCTGCAGTATCTGTCCACATGAGTCCATTACCCTGTCCCTGCCTGGTCTGGCCACTGTCTACCACTGGACTACCCATGGCCTCCCCGGTCTCCCAGCTCTGGTCCTGCACCGTACAACCTGTGCTCCCACAGCAGCCAGAAAGATCCTGGCACAAGGCGCGTCTGATCATGCTGTGCCCACTCCCACAGACTCCCTGGCCCCTGCTGCTCTAAGATGGAGGGTAGCAGACCTCCACATCTACCCATGGCCCTGCACGAATGGGCTCTGCAGACACCTCCACCCAGGATTTCCACGGGTCTCTCACTGGCTTGTCATTCCTGCTTAGGGTCTTGACAGAGCACCCACTTTCTCCAACCAGCCCAGCCTTCCTGCCTGGCTGACTCCAGGGCCTGTGCAGGCTTTCATCCCTTTTAGGAGACCCCCAACCTTCCCAACCAGGCCAAGCACCTGGATTCCTGCCTCCTCTTGCTGGAGTCTAAGATTCCTGAGGGCAGGAACCGTATCTGCCTCTTCACTCCTGCACTGCTGGCATGGCCCTGAGTGTTGGTGTTTATAGCATCTATTTAATTGGTGTTAATAGTGCATAGGTATTGAGCATTTATTTATGTGCTGGGCTATTCTAAGTAATTTCCATATGTACATTGTCTCATTGACTCTTTACAAGTCTGTGGAGGGCTATTTTTTATGCACATTTTACTGACAAGGAAACTGGGACAGAGAGGTTAACTTGCCCAAGGACGCACAGCCAGGAGGCAGCGGACCCGGAATCACATCCAGGCAGATTGGCTCCAGAATCTATGCCTTTCAATCCCTTGGCTATACTGTTACCATGCTGAATGGGCGAATGAGTGAATGAATGAGGTCAAGGGATAATGCCGTCAGGAGACGTGGGCGATGCCCAGCCTTGCCCTGGCTTCCTGAGTGAGCTTGGGTAAGCTCCAGTGCTCCCTGGGCCTCAGTTTCTCCTCCAGAGTCTTCAGGCTCTTTCTGGGTTTCTGTCCTTTTCTGTTGCCCTTCACTTGGGGACCACTCCTTTCTAGTCCAGGACACCGGGGAAGGCTATTTCTAAATCCAGCCACCAACACTAAGGCCCCAACTAAGCGGATCACTTGTTTTTCTGGCCTTTTATGATTTCAAAGTGCCGTGACCCTTGGAAGCAGATGGTGCCAGGAACCAGCCCGAGCCTTGGGAGAGGGAGGAAGTGGGTGGGAGAGGTTGGAGCTCTGCCTCCCAGGCCGCTTGGATCCTCAGTTCAGCTTCACCGTCTAGTCCAGGCATGGCATGCTTTCTACACAGCCCAGAGAGAGACATAAAGTATTCATGGTTATCAATTCATCAGCCAACTGAAATGAAATGCCTCTCTGGAATACATTTCGAATCTCCATCCTCCCAGCCCAGGACCATGTATTCCCTTGTCTGTAGACTGGTGCTGCTGCTCTTGCATATTTTGATGGGCCTGCTGACAGAGCTTCTGTGGACCAGAGGGTACCACGGAAAAGTGCGGGGTCCTAGTGAGAGTACCCACAGTGAGTGTGGTATGTGCCGCACGGGGTCTCCTTTCATGCCCACGGTAAAATGCCACATAAAGTTAGCACCTTCTGAATGTTAGGTCACTAGTGGTAACAGGACAGTTCTCTGGTTGGCCTTGGAGACACCCAGTTTTCCACTTCTTCTCACTTGTCGTTCTCAAGAATAACTGTAGAATGTTCTAGGACTGCAATATCCTGAGAGAGGGAGGAGCTGGCCAGAGCAGCCCAGGCTCGGTTCCAGATTACCCCTAGAAATGGGATGTCCTTCATTGCTGTAGCTCAGTGGGTCACATTTCCCCCAGGGTATAAAACCAAGGGCAGGCTGCTTTCTGGGTCTCTCTCCTGCAGAGCAAATGGGGCATGCACAGTCGAGACTCCGTCTTCCCTGGGTAGCTTTCTGAGCCTGGGTAGCTTCTGAGCATCGTGAGTCCTGACTCACGATGAATCCCAGGCTCTGTGGCCCCTCCCTGCCCATCTGTGAGTTATAAACCCGCTTCATAGAACTAGTTGCCTACCCGTGTGTTCTGTGATTCATGTATGTATCAAAATATCACATATACCCAATAAATATGTATCATTATTATGTATCAATAAAAAAACTTTTAAAAAATAACGACAAAAAAAAACTCCCAACAAACTCATGGGTACTTAGCAGTCATATTTCACTATCTAGAAATAATAAAAATAAGATGACCCTAAATCCTTCTTGTCTCCTTCCTTCCTTCCTTCCTTCCTTCCTTCCTTCCTTCCTTCCTTCCTTCCTTCCTTCCTTCCTTCCTTCCTCTTCTTCTCTCTCCACCTTCCCTTGTCTATTTAACAAATATCTCCTGAGCATCCCCTGTTTGGGAAAGAATGCATGGAAAGAAAGACAAGACATACCCAGCCTTTCAGGTGCTATCAGAGTCCAGGTTTTCAATGGAGTTCACGGAGGAAGGGAGAACCAACAGTTCACACTTCAGCATCTCCATTCTTCAGGCAATAGTTCCAAGAATCCTCTACCTCTCCCTCTCCTCAAGTTTCCAGGGCTTTGTAGAACTTGCCAGATAGCCTGGTTTTAGATTCTGAGTCTGCTGCTTACCATGGGCCTTGGGCAAGTTACATAAGCCACACCTCAGTTTCCCCATCTGTGAAATGGGGATATTAACTGAATCTTTCTCATAAAACTGGTATGGAATTAAATGAGATAATGCACACTGAGCTCAGAATGAGCGATGACCATGTGTTGTTGTGTGGTCATTTTGTTATTATCCTCTGTTCTCCTCTCTGTTATTCCCAGGCATCAGGCTGAGCCCTAGGCCATCTCACCATGGCCCTGCCTTAAGTCAGTGGCTCTCACCTGGGCTACCCTCTGGCATCATCCGGGAGCTCTGCAACTTCCCACCAATCACAGAACAATTCAGTAAGAATCCCTGGGTTTCAGGAATCGGGAATTTTAGTACTTCCAAGTGATTCCAACATTCAGCCAAGGTGAGAAACCCTGGCTGAATCCTCCAATCCTAACTGCCCAAGAAGGAGAGAGCATGCTTCTAGATGACACATCTGACAACTGTTCCGTCTTCCAATGGGTGGTGAAAACCACTGCAAGGAGCCACATGTCAGCGTCCTTGTCCACACTCATGGCATCTCCCTCCCCAGACCTTACTGGCCTCCTCTCTGCTTTGACCCTGGAGGCTCCTTTAAGTCCCTACTGAGGGACTGTGGCCAAGACCTCCTAAGTCAGTTTCACAAAAAAATCTAATTTCCTTCCCTTTTTTGAGAAGCAAGGCTATTTGGGGTCTGCATTCAGCAGGCGCAAGGCCGGTTTGGCTGTCCCTTAGCTGGGCACATCCCTTTGGCAAATTCTGCCAGCCTCGCCCTGGAGACACCAGCCTTGCAACCCCTTGTAGCCCAGAGCAGGCTTCAGTCCTGGCTGTGGGCCAGGACCACCTTTGTTCATATTCACACTCAGGGTCTCCTCCATCCACTTTGCACTTCCCAGGTGCCAGGTGCTGACTGTGTGGAGAGATTTCCATCTCACATGGCTGTCACACCAGCACTGCAATGAGGGAGGTGCCATTGTATACTCACTTCCCAGACAATCTAACTCAGGCCCAGAGAGGTGGATAACCTGCCCAGGACACACAGCCAACAAGTGGCAGAGTGAGACTCAAGCCAAGGCCTTCTGATCCCAGCGACAGAGCCCTGAGCCCTTTCCCCATTTAATCATTCCCAATATGCAAAGGCTAAATAGGGGGAGAATACAGGAGTCAGTGAATAAGGTGAGGATTGGAATTCTCAACAGAAACCCTGGAAAGAATGTGGGCATTTCCTGCCCCAAAGGGGCGCCATGAATGCAGGTGGCATTGCCCGGGTGGAAGTCCACTCAACCACTCAAGGGAACAAAGGGTTAAGGGGAAGTGAATGCATGGCTTATTTCTCTTCCTCCATTCATCCTTGGGGCCACCATTGAGCACAGGATCTTGTCCAATACATAATTTATACATGTACGAATATCAATAGGGTGTTCCAGATGGGACAAAAGAGTTCCACAGTCTTTGAGCTCTAATAATTTCCTTATGTTGCATGAAAGTTTCAGTCTCTCCAGGCATGAGCTGCACCTCGCAGGAGGCCAATAGCCCTTGAGCACTGGGTTAGCAAACGTGAGGGTTGGCTGGGAGACTCATTATTGTCTTGAGCTTTCAAGAACGTCCTTCAGATAATAACCTAGCAAGCCAGGGGGAAACTGCCAAATAAATTAGGGAGAGATGCCCGACAGGAGCCTTTTCAGATCCTTTTGAGAGCAGAAAACCAGCGCTCTTCCAAGGCGGTTACCTGTCCAGGTATCCCCTGAATCGCCCTCGTTGTTCTGAGAGCCTCGGGAAAAGGCCCAGCGCTCCAGGAACCAACGCTTTGAAGAAGAGACACAGTCACGTTCAAACCAATCTGACCTTGAAGGGCAGGATGCTTAGAGCCCAGCTGCCTGGCTGGGGTTTAAGAGAAGATTATTTCCAGAAAGAAATGAGGCAGCTCTTTCAGCCTCAGGCCTAAGGTGATTTTTTTTTCCTCCATGGATTTTTTAGGCAGTGAAATAAGACTGAGCCTTTATTTATGAAGCCTCTTTCCTGTAAGAGCTCTGTGCCTTGTTTGCCCTGGAAACACTACCCGGGTAGAAAGCTGTGGGGGAGTTAGCCTGTCTCATAGGTGGAGGAAGGGGGCAGGTCCTTGGCAGGCAAGTGGCTTACCCTGGTCACAAAGCCAGACAGTCTCCAGGTGATATGAATTGCATCTGTGTTTCTGGAACATTCTGGTACATTCATCTTTCCACTGGAGTGGGTTTTCCAAACCTTGGCACTGTGGACATCTGAGCCCAGTAATTTTCTGTTGTGGGGGGTTGCCTGCTGCACTGCAGGGCGTTTTAGCAGCTTCCCTGGCTTCTCCCCACTGAATGCCAGTAGCATCTCCCCTCCAAGTGGTGACAACTGAAATGTCTCCAGATGTGCTGAGTGAGAACCGCTGGCCTAGAGGGCAGGGCAGGCCTCTTATTTGAAGACAACAGGACCTTGGGGTCCCTTGATCTGCAGAAGCCCCTTCACATCTCAGGCGCATGTGTCCTTCATCAGTGAGGACCACTCTAACTTCGATCCTCGCCCCCTGAGCCCAGCAGCTGAGGTTTTGCCCGCCGTCCAGCCCTGCTGCCCTCAGGCCTCTCTGAGATGGCCTTCTCTCTGCGCGTGCTCCTGTCTGCCACCTCTCCTGCTTCCTCCACACCAGAAGGTGAGCTCCTGCAGGGCGGGAACCTTGTTCATCTCTTCACTGCACCATCCCCATCCAGAATAGCACCTGAAATGGTGGTGTTCAAAGGTGGCTTGTAGAAATAAGGAATGAATGAATAAGTGAATGAATGAATGAGAACACAGACAGTCCTTGGATAAGCAGTGGACGAGGAGAGGGGCTTGAAAAGGAAGCACTGATTTTCCCCAAGCTCCCAAGATTCCATCCAGCTGACATTGAGCATCTATAAGTGCCCGTACTGGCCCTGGGGGTCCTGGTGTTCATGCCAGGGGAACACTGACAACGGCAGGCCAAGAAACATGGGCAAAGACAGGGGTGGCTGGCTCTCTGTCCCCTCCATGCACCCAGAGTCTAGCTCCCCCACCATTCCCACTGCAGTAAAGGAGGCTGCCCTGGCTACTTGCAGGACACCGCACTTGGCCTTGTTCCAAGATAGGAGACCGGGGGCGGGAAAAGCAAACCCAGCCCCACTGGGCAGCTGAGGCGCTATGCAAATGTATTTAAAATAGCGATTCTCGCAGCTGCCAGCAGATTACTTTCCTATGCAGACTGGATGGCTTTAATAAAAAATGAGAACTTCCCCATCTGTTCTTTAAAGATAAGCCCCGTTCCCTGATTCAGTGAGCGACAGAGGCCCAGGGGCTTGGGAGACAGAGGGGGATTCAGGCCAGTGACGGAGCCAATTAGCTCAGATCCCACAGCTCCTTGTGGGCGGTGGGACCGGGAGTGGAGGCCAAAGGGCAGGCCCCAAATAATGAAGATGTCATGTCATTTAGGTTCTGCCTCAGCCCCACTGCCCTCCCCGGGACTATGGGCCAGCTTTTCTCACCTCTCAGTTATCAGAGGGAAAAGGAAGATTCTCCAAGAGGCTGGAAACCACTGGATTATGACTAGGTCCCCAACAGTGATGGGGACATGGCGGACATGGCCTGGTAGACAGAGACCACAGGTGAAGGCAGGTCACACTCACTCGAGCAAGGCGAGCCACGGAAGGTGTGGCAATCAAGCCCGCGTGACACTGTGGCCGGAGAGGACACCATAAATGCCTCCTATCATGTGAGCTCTTTTAGTTCTATGATTGGGGAAGGAGTGGGGTGGATGCAGGTTCTGGGGGGCTCAAAGATTATAAATTTTTTTTTTTTGAGAAGGGAGTTTCCCTCTTGTCGCCCAGGCTGGAGTGCAATGGCGCGGTCTTGGCTCACTGCAAACTCCACCTCCCAGATTCAAGTGATTCTTCTGCCCCAGCCACCCAAGTAGCTGGGATTACAGGCATCTGCCACCATGCCTGGCTAATTTTTGTATTTTTAGTAGAGACGGGGTTTTGCCATGTTGACCAGGGTGGTCTCGAACTCCTGACCTCAGGTGATCTGCCCTCCTCGGCCTCCCAAAGTGCTGAGATTACAGGCTTGAGCCATTGTGCCCGGCCCCAAAGGCTATACAATTTGAAAGCCTTCACTGAATAAAAGAATACAAAATTATGAACACAAAATTGTTAGAGCCCTTCCAGGGCCTTGGAAGAGGCTGTACAGGTGAGAGGTCCCAGACATAAGCTGCATCAACTGCATAATAAATATGTGTGCAAAAAAGAGAGAGAGAGAGAGAGAGAGGGTGCATGCAGCTGGTCTCTTTCCACCTGAGCTCTCTTGGGCGTGGTGTCCCAGACATGCCATGAAATAAGTCTGATTTGCTAGTGGGTGATAGTGCCCCCTCCAAACCCAGCTCCTGACCCGGTGCCCTGGGCAAGGACTACCCCTCACCAATCACTTCCCAGAATTTTGTGATGCAGAAATCAGATTAGAAAGGCAGGAGGGAAGAGAGAAGGAGTTGCCCAGAGAAGCCAAGTTTGTCTGTAAAAATAACAAAGACTTGGTAGAAGGGAGGCCAGGAGGAAGAAGAAAACTCCACAGGCAGCAAGTTTGAGCTCCTGGAGAGCTTGCAGAAGGTGGATGTAGTTTTGATAAGTGATGTTGTTGGTTAGGAACTGCATCTCCTGGTGTTCTTTGAGAGACACAAGCAAATGTCCAAATACCTTTTTGTTGAATTTTGATTGTAGCAACAAATGTGACTAGTGGGATCAGCTGGGCAACACGGCACCCAGGTAAAGAGGAACACGGCACCCAGGTAAAGAGGGGCCCGGCTTTTAATAGGGTTAACCTTTCATCCAAAGAAGGATTTTCTACCAGATGCATGCATGCATCGTGTGTGTGTGTGTGTGTGTGTGTGCTTGAGTGCACATGCATGTGTATAAGCATGAAGAGTAAGATGTCAGACCTCAAAGCTTGATAAGATACAGAGCACCACCTATGTATTTTCCCTTTGTGGTGTTCAGGGAAATTATTCAAGCTTGGAAATAAGGGGAAAAGATTACCATGTGAAGAGCTTCCCGAATCATACTAGAACGTTGTCTAACAAGCCTGAATAAAAGTTATCTGACTTTCTGGTGTAACTTTGTTTTCTAACCATTACTATTGATCAGAGCCCAGGCTCTGAAAAGTTAAAGGCTGACTTGTGGGAGATTGGTAAGTAGGAAATGATGGCGTGTCAAGAAGAGATGCAAATGATTAACATCCGATAGAAAAGATAACCTGAGTTTACAAATTGTTTTGGCTCTGAAGGACGCAGGAGACAAACCAGCTTTGTACTGAACATTTCCTCAGTTCTCTCCATCCTCTTTTGAGTCAGCTTTGTCATTATGCTGGTTCCTTCATTAATGAATAAAGCAATCTTGGCATGTACTCACCGTGTGCTTAGATGAGAATTCTGTTTTCGACATTTTTGAATCTTATGCTTTGACATCAGCCCCATTCCCCAGTCCCTTTGGCAATGAACTTGTTTGATCCTCTCTAGGTTATTCCAAATGAGAACTCAAGGCACGTAGCTATCATCATGTCAGCTTCTTTTGATTCTATCTCCTTTTTAATCTCTGATAATTTTCAGAACTCAAATTGCGATTGCAAGTGTAGCCCAGATCATTTCTATGCTGCATAAGGCTCAGCCTCTGCTCCTCAAAGAAAGACAGCTAAATAATCAAAAGGAAATGAAATGTACTTCCAATTTCTACTTGCATTTTCAAAGGAGATTAAAGGGATCCAAATCACAACACCCCCACCCCCGGGCACTTCTGAAAAATTCTTTTTGCCTCCTCTCCTAGCCTCTCTCCCCCAGCAACTACCTCAGAGCCCATAGCTCAGCAAGGCTTCAGGATTCTCTCTTTGCTCTAATTCTCATGAACGCACTCTTCGGGGGCCTATGTGAAGAACGCTTTTGATTGCAAGCAACAGAAAACTGACAAACACTGGTTTTAGCCGTAAGAATATTTATTGCTCATGTAACCAGATGCCCAGAAGTACAGGGTCACAGGGCATGTTCAGACGGCAACAGTATCATCAAGAATCCAGACTTCCTCATTCTTCCACCCAGTGAAATTTTATTGTCATGCTTCTTGTCTCATGGTCACCACATGGATGCTTCAATTCCAGACATCAGGCCCTTGCATGCAGCATCTCCAGCAGGAGGGACAGGGCAGGGACCAAGGAGCCGCTCCTCAAAAGACTATCTTTCATCCAGAAAGAAATCCTTCCCAGATGCAACCCTTCTTCTCTTCTCACATCTAAAACTGGGTCCCATGGCCATACCGACTTATAAGGGAGGCTTGGAAACCAAGTACAGTTGACCCTGAACAATGAGGAGTGAGGGGTGCTGACTCCCTGTGCAGTCAAAAAATTGCATATAACTTTTGACTTCCCCAAAACTTAACTATTAATAGCTTACTGTTGGCCAGAAGCCATACCCGTAACATAAACAGTTGATTAACATGTATTTGCACGTTATATGCATTCAACACCGTATTCTTACAATAAAATAAGCTAGAGAAAAGAAAATGTTGTTAAAAGACTCATAAGGAAGAGAAAATATATCTGCTATTGATTAAGTGGAAATGGATCATCCTAAAGGTCTTCATCCTACTCACAGTGAGTAGGCTCAGGAGGAGGAGGGGGAGGAGGCATTGGTCTTGCTGTCCCAGAGGTGGCAGAGAGAGAAACTCCACATATAAGTGGACCCCCCAGTTCAAACTGGTGCTGTTCAGGGGTCATCTGTATTTGATAAAGTAGAAAAGAATTGTCTTAGCTGTCTTAGACCAATCAGGACTCATTCCCTGGGACTGGGAACATCGCAGGCCCTTATGACTGGGGTTGTTTGCCTGGAAGCAGGAGGGGAGCTGGAGGGATTGGCCGTTGGGGAAGCAACTATAGGCTGTCAATAACAGCCTTTAGTTTAAAGCTGGGGAAGCAACTATAAAACAAGAGGCAAGTTTACATAAGCCAGACAACAAAACAAAGCATGGGGTGTCTTTTCAGGGAAAATCACTGGGGTTGGGGAGGTGGGGGCTCAACTCGCCACCTGCTGCACCTCTCTGTGGCCTTTCAGTACGCTGGCTCAGCACTATGCCACAGAAAGGCCCTGGATTAAGACATTGGAGGTGGGACCCCTCCAGATGCCATCACCTCTGTCCACCTGGGACAGACCAGGCAGGAGCTAGGATGCATCTCTACAGTCAAGGAAGCCACCGTGCTTAGCGCACTCACTCTGCACCCAGCGTCGAGCTGACAGGCACACACATATCCATCTATTTCTCAAAACGAATGCACGAAAAAGATGCAAATTTTCCCAGTTTTACGAATGGAGGAAAAAGGTTAGAGAAGTTAAGGGACGTGCTCAAGATTAGCTAGCAAGTAAGTGGCTGTGCTGAGAGTTGGCCAAGGTCTACAGAACTTCAGAGCTTGTTTTGGGTTTCATTTTTTCTTAAACCCTTAATACCTGTTGTTTCTCTTAGCAAGTGGACCACACACTAACTTAGCAAGGTGAAGGCATGGACAGTAAGTGGGCGCTGGGTCTCAGGGTGGACCAGGCCTTGCTCCTGGTGATGGGGGCCTCACCTAGCACACACCCCATCTCCTGTGGAGATTGCCAAGTCCCAAGGCTTCCTGCCTTCCTCAGAGGCCCTGGAATCCATTCCATCACCAAACCAGAAGCCATCCATCCAGAGGGGAATTTCATCCTAGGCAGTGGTCTGTCATCCAGGGTCAGCAACGAGGTCCCAGAGCAACGACGGAGGCTGTGGGGTGAACGAGGTATTTTAACATCAGGAGAATCCTTCCAGGCCCCATTTGGACTGAGTTCTGATGGTCTCTGAGGGGGCTGTATTTTGGGAGATCCCATCACTGTCAGGACAGGCCAAATGCCTTGGGACCTGGCAAGGCTGTGGTTCTGTGGAGCAAGAAGGGGCTACTCTGGTCCGGCTTGATTTCCTTCTGCTCTGGCCACCTAGGAAAGGCAGTTGTGTGCTAGTGAAAACCATCAGCTTTGGACCCCTGGGATCAAGGCCCCGTTCTTCCCCTCCCCAGCCACATGACCTTGGGCAAATCATTTGACCTCTCAGCCTGTTTCTTTACCTGTAGACAGGGATGGTAACAACTTCATCATTGGGAAGCTGCAAATTTAAAAGAACCAGTGGGAGAAAAGCCCTACATAGTACAGGCGTGCAATTCAGAAACTGACCAGCATTACTGCTGGGGCTGAAATGGTTGCTTGTGGTTAATCTGTGGTTAGGTAAACCATGCAATGAATCACTTAGAGCTCTTCCCCCACTCTACCCTACCTTCTCTCCTTTCTGTGCCCTTAATCCTCTCTTTTAGCCACTCCTGTGGTGCTGGTATTTGTCTCCTGGGAGGATGTGTGCTGAGTATAGTGAATAGAACCAACCCATATTCCAGAATCCTCTTCCAGAATCTTCTAGAATCTTCCAGAATCCTCTAGAACCCCAGCCCCTCTGCTCATTTGTGGTGACACCTTGGGCAAGTTTCTTTACTTCTCTGCACATCAACTTTCTTTTCTTTTAAGAGGGCAAAATGTCTCTGTTGGAGGAGCAGGAGGTTTGGAGAATGAAATGTGAGGACCCTTAAGCACCTTGCTGGCTTCCAGCCTGTCACTGAGACTCCAGCCAATCTCTCCACAGCCTTCTGCCAAACTCACACCTTGGTCAGAATTTAGGACTCAGGGACCCAGCTCTATAAGGAATTGTCAGATGGTTAGCTTGTCATAAATACGGGAGGGAGGAGAGGCCTGGGCATTTAGGAAGTTTTCCCTTCACTGTGCTCTCCAGGAAGTGGATGCCCATGCTGAGGTCCCTATGCACTGGCACTGCCTGGGACTGGGATTTGGAGATGTCAGCAGAGGAAAGCAAAGGTTCCTCTTCCAGCAAAGCATCTCCTAGCATCTCTGCACCTGTCTGAGGGCCTGGCTCTAAACCTGCTCCAGTGTGGGCTGTACAGGCAGATTTATTTGTGTGGAAAATTAAAACTTCATGTTGACTTCTGTATATTTTCCTGACTGTGTCATTCAAGGATTTGTAAAAGACCTTGAATTAAATCTGCTGTATTATGAGCTAGGGGAGGAAGACAAGAGGGAGTGATGGAGTGGGTGTGAGTTCCCTACTCTCCACAAAGCCGGTCTGCCCTGAAGTCACCAATGCATCACAGCCCAGCACGCCAGCCCAGGGACCCTTGGTCTGCCACCCTGAGACCTCCAGACATTTATTCTGTGCCCTCCATTTCTGCTTCCCTCCGACTCACCTTATGCCCCTCACACAAGGCTGGACACAATGATAACCTGTTGAATGATGATTTGGGGGTAGGGGGATGTGTACAAGACACTTTCATACGGGTGTGAAATTGCTGGAGAGAAATCCTAGGACATAGAGACAGTCTTTGTTAGTCCCACTACAAGGGCTCCAGGAATCTTACCAAAGTCTAAAGCTGTGGTAACCAGTACTTGTGGCTATTTAAATTTAAATGCATTGAAATGAAATAAAATTTAAAATTCAGTTCCTCCATCATAGATGTTTCAAGTATTCCATAGCCACCTGCGCCTGGTGGCTGCTGTCCTGGACAATATATACAGAAAGAACAGTGTCATGAGCACAGAAAGTTCTATCAGGGCTGGACACGGTAGATCACACCTATAATCCCAGCACTTTGGGAGGCTGAGGCAGGAGGATCACTTGAAGCCAGGAGTTTGAGATCAGCCAGGGCAACAAAGTGAGTCCCCATCTCTACAAAAAAAGGAAAAGAAAATTAGCCGGGCATGGTGACACATGGCTGTAGTCCCAGCTACTCGGGAGGCTGAGGTAGGAGGATCGCTGGACCCAGGAGGTTGAGGCTGCAGTGAGACAAGATTGCGCTCCAGCTCCATCAAAAAAAGAGTCGAGATTTTTTTTTGTGACAGAGCATGACCCTGTCTCAAAAAAAAAAAAAAAAAAAGAAAGAAGTTACATTGTGTTAGAGGAAAGCCCTGATTTTTTTTTTGAATTAAAGATTCTATTGGTGTTTCTTGCGTAAAAACAATGACACTATTTGTCAAACCATTTAGAAAACACAGAATAGCACAAAAGAGAGTAGAGAGGGACCCAGGTTTGGCTGCAGGCTTAGCAGCTTGCTGCACCCCAGGGCCCTCAGCACAGACCCAGGATGGGCAGAGGAGTAGACGCAGATGTTCTGCAGCTACTGACGTTGCCAAGGCGGGGCAGAGGATGCCAGGCAGGAGGAGGACCAACACCTGAAGCCCCTGCCCCAACACTTGAGGGACCCTGTGAAGGGCTCGAGGCCCTGTGGGTGAAGGGAAGTCTTAGTCAAGACCCAGACAGAAAAATGGAGTCCAATGATGGACGTGCATGCCAAAATCTCCATATAAAGGTGGCAGAAGAGCTGGAAAGCCAAGCCCCAGGGCAGTGAGAGCAACACAGATGAGCAACAGCAGGAAGTCCCCACTGCCCCTGGGCTAGCAGGACAAAGGGAGGAACTGTGTTGTCTGAGCCCCCAGCTGTGAGCTGAGGCTGCCTATGGGGAGCTGGAGCCACAGAGGAGACTCACCCACTGCCGACTGAAAGAGGGGGACACACCTGGGTGTCTCCTCCCTCCCTCCCCTCAACCTTCCTCTGGGGCCTCCCCTTGGCAGAGCACAGAGGGAAACGAGTGGGAGGAAGGGTGGCCTGGGAAACGTGGTTCTCAGGGGAAGAGAAAGGGAGGGTGTGGGAGCCAGCAGTCTCCTGTGTTCTGTGCTCGAGACAGAAATGTGTCCCCCCAAAATTTCTATATTAAAGCCCTAACCCCAATCTAACCGTGTGTTAAGACTGAACTTTTTGGAGGTAAAGTTCAGTGAGCTCATAAGGGTGAGGTCCTCATCTGATAGGGCTGGTGGCCTTGGTGGTGGAGACCTTGCTCTCACGTTAAGCACAGACCCAGGAAAGGTCACATGAGCCACAGCGAGGGGGCAGCAATATGCAAACCAGGAAGAGGGTCCTCACCAGAACCCTGCCACGCTGGCACCCTGATCTCGGACTTCCAGCCTCCAGAACCATGAAAAAATGCATTTCTGTGGTTTAAGCCACCCAGCCTATGGCATTCTTTTATGGCAGCCTGAGCCAACTAAGCCATATTGCAATTCTGATAATACAACCCCACAAACTCGATGTGCTGGGAGGAGTCATGGTCCCAGCTGTGGTTTGGACATGGCTAGTTTGTCCCCAAGTCTCGTATTGAAATCTGATCCGTGGTGTTGGAGGTGGGGCCTGGTGGAAGGTCTTTGGGTCATGAGGGCAATGCCCTTCTTCGAGGAGAGAGCTCTGCTCTGTTAGTCCCCGTGAGCACTAGTTGTTGAAAAGAGTGTAGGACCACCTCCACCCATTGTTACTGCTCACTGTCTCTCCCTGTCTCTCTCTCGCTTTTCCATTGGTTGGGTGGAGAATTGCTGCACTCAGTCATTGTGTGATTTCTGCACACATCAGCTCTCCTTCCCTTTCTGCCATGAGTAGAAGCAGCTTGTGGCCTCCCCAGAAGCGGATGCTGGTGCCATGCTTCTTGTACAGCCGTGGAACTATAAGCCTAATAAAGCTCTTTTCTTTATAAATTACCTGCCTTCAGGTATTCTTTTATAGCAAAGTAAGTGCACTAAGACCATCCCCAAAGATGTCTGCATTCTGACCCCCAAAACTGTAACTATGCCACCTTTTAAGGCAAAGGGGGCCTTGCAGGTGTAATTAGGGTAAGGAGCTGGAGGGGGAGACTCTCCTGGATTATCTGGGTGAGTACAGTGTAATCACAGGGATCCTAATAAGGGAAGTGGTGGGCCAGGAGGTCAATGTCAGAGAGAGACATCGGAATGGCAGCAGAGGTTGGAGTGATGAGCTTGCTGGATTTGGAGATAGAGGAGGGGCCATGAGGCAAGTAGTACAAGCAAACTCTAGAAGCTGGAAAAGACGAGGAAACGGATTTCTCCCTTAGAGCCTCAGAAGGAACACAGCCCTGCCAACACAATTTTAGCCCGATGAGACTCCATTTCAGACTTCCAGAACCGTAAAAGAGGAAATGTGTGTTGCTTTAAGCTAAGTCGTGGTCAGTTGTTACAATGGCAAGAAGAAACTCATACACAGGCAAATTCTGGTAAGCCTGCAAGTCCGCGCTCTTCACCAGGTGTGGTGCTCCATCTCTACCCTGGAAGAGCCACAGACTAGCAGAAAAGGAATGTCTTTCTAGTTCTAGGTCCCTAGAACCTTGTATTCCATGGGCGTTTGATGCTTGCTTGCTCAGCAGGTGAACAGCTCAGCATGTGAGCAGCTCAGCATGTGATCCTCCAGCAAACCTGGGAGGCAGTAGTGGCAGGGAAGAGTGGCTAAGGTGACATAGCCAAAAGGCATGCAGTCCGGGGCTGGAAGTCCTAGCTCACCTACCTACTAGCTGTGTGACCTTGGGAAAGACACTCACCCTCTCTGAGTCTTAGCTGTTCCATTGGTTAGGGGGGATTACAGTCATTCCTGCCCCACATGGCCGCCATGAGGTGAGGCCTCCTCTCGTTGATGGGCATTCCTTGGTTGTCTGCTATGTGCCCAGGTCTAGGTGCTGAGGAGACAGTGCTGTTCCAGAAACCAGACTCGTTCCTGGCCTTTGGGGAGCCCGTGCTCTGGCAGGTAAAATGAAAGAACATTGTCAAACACTAAGCACAGTACTAGGTACACAATAGGTGCTCAAGCAATGCTGCCCTTGACCTCCTCAATGAAGAAACAACAGAGGTTTCAGAGGCTTGCCAAAGTCAAAGCGAGCTGGTGCAAGTCATTGTTTGAATTCAGGTTTTCTAACTGCAGTCTCTGGGGCAGCGGCCTGTCGGGGCAGAGTGGTAGAGGGTGGGAGCAGGTAAGGGAGATGGAGCCTGGAGAAAGGGCTTTGCTCACATTTTTAATGCAATTTGGCCCTTAGGCTCTGGTTGGATTTTAGCTTACTAGGGACTGGGTTGACCCAATAAGCCATGAGACAGATTCTGTGTAAGGAGCTAAGGACTTGGTGTGAAGACTCCCCCAAGGTCTACAGGACACTGACAGCCCTCCTGGGGCCAGTGGGGAGGCCCAGCTCACGGCCACATTCCTGGATGCAGCCCGAGCTTCCCGGGACAGGGTTTTCCAACATTTCTCCAGCTCTCCATGCTCTAGGGTCACCAGGCCTCGGAGCTCTTGGGAGATCCCTGGAAATGCCCCAAGAAGAAGAAAGAGATTTGCCTGTCCCATGCCCCGACGGGCCTGGCTCCCTGAGAGAGGAAGGCCTGATGCCAGAAGCCTGGGGTCAGAGTCCGGAGTTGGGCACTTGTAGTGGGGCAAGGTCCCCTGGGCTGAGGGCCAAAGCTGGTCCTCAGATGTGTGTGCGTGTGTGTTTGTGTGTGTGTGTGCCAGCTCAGTTTTCAAAATCAGAAACAAACAATCACATTAACCCGCAGTCTCCGGCTTCTTTCGAAAATAGAATTTGGGTGGGGTGGGATCAGACAGCCCCGGGACCGCATCCTGGCAAGGTGGCAGCAGGCAGAGTGGTGGCTGCCCTGGGGGGTGAGAAACTCGAGGTGTCCTCCTCGTCTCCCACAGTCCCCAACACTCCCTGGGCCTCCTGGCTTCTTCATGTGACCGCCTGGCCTTTGAGTGTCTGGTTCTTCTAAGGTAGTGTTTCTCTACCACAGTGATTTTGCCCCCAGGAGGCATTTGCCAATGTCCGGAGACATTTCAGTCGTCCCAAATAGTGGGGACTGCTACTGGCATCTGGGTGGGGGGAGGTCAGGGTCCTGTATTGTACAGGGCAGCCGCCAACAGAGTTACCCAGCCCCAGTGTCAACAGTTCTGCAGCTGAGAAACCCACTGTAGGGAGGCAGAGGTCTTAGTTTGAGTTCCCCTGAAAGCAGAGCGCGAGTCAAGGCTTGGGTGCAGATAGTTTTAGGAAGGTAACCCAGGGAGAGGAGAAAGATGCATAGAGAAAGGAGAGAGCTGAAGGAAGGGTGCTTCCTGGGCTGGTTGGCTGTGGGCCTGTGGGGCCCCATCCACCGGGGGCCTTTGGAGACCTGCGCTGGGCCATCTCCAGGTGACCCACAGAGGAACAGGTGGGGCATTTGCCACTGCTTCCTGCCTGTTGGTGAGGGTGTCTGTTCCTGCCTGGCTGCTTGCCATGAGGCCCATCTCTAGCCCGCAGGTCTCTAGCCCTCGGACAACGGAGGCAAGTCAGGGGAGAGCTGGGTAAGGGGTCAGCCTTGGCACCTGCTGCTCATTCCATGAACTCTGCAACCTGGCCTGTGCCTGCCCTGGCAAAATCCTAACTCAGATATCAACGGTTCTTTCATCTTCCAACCAAGAAAACGTGATTCAAAGGAGAGAACATTCCTCATCGGCCTCCAGCTTTGCAGAGCAGCGAGGGCTAGTGCTCCCGAGGCCTTGCTGGGGTCCTTTAACCACAAAACATGGCCTTTGCTGACCTTGAATGCGAGCAGATAGAGGAGAGCCAACCTCACGGATTCAGCTGGTTGGCACAAACAAAAGGAAGGCTTTGCAGGGGCTCCGGCTGAACAAATCCAGAGCTTTCTACTTGGAAATTCCAAAGGTGCTAAGGGAGCTGGGCAGCATCCTGCCTGTACTGCCCATGCCAGTGTGAGCTGGAGTCCGGCAT
The DNA here is from genome assembly GCF_000001405.40 of Homo sapiens. Taxonomy (NCBI): domain Eukaryota; kingdom Metazoa; phylum Chordata; class Mammalia; order Primates; family Hominidae; genus Homo; species Homo sapiens. The sequence continues at coordinate 57,896,256 of NC_000020.11, read as the reverse complement.
ATGGGGCACAGCCAGCAGGACGTCACCATCCGCCCATCACAGCGCCACAGGCCCTTGCACCAAACAGTGCCAACTGGGACTTCATTGCTGACTCAGTAACAGGGCCTCCTCTAGGGCTCCACAAGGGCTGAATGAAGGGAAGCCAGCACCAGGACTGGCCAGACTTGCCCGACAGTTCAACTTTTTACCCCAGGGTGTCCCCCGAAAACCCAGATCTTCTGAGGTGGGAAGGATGTATTGGCAGGAGGGCAATGCCTGGGGCCCTGAAGGAAGATTTAGGTACATGAAGGAAGATTTAGGGCCTCGGAGGAAGATTTAGGTCCCCAAAGGAAGATTTAGGGCCTCCAAGAAGATTTAGGGTCTTGAAGGAAGATTTAGGGCCCTGAGGGAAGATTTAGGGTTCTGAAGAAAGATTTAGGGCCCCCCAAAAGATTTAGGGTCCTGAAGGGAGATTGAGGGTCCAGAAGGAAGATTCTCTGGGTGGAGATGCTGACCCCCAGGGCTGGGGCAGGTGTCAGGAATGTGTTCAGGTGTGAGTCCACATCGGGTGTCCACAGTGAGGCTTCCAAGTTCACAGCTGGCAGCTGGGGCTGGAAGCCCACCCCTCAGGAAACCACGCCCCCTCTGTCCAGCGGCCTACGATGGTAATGAAGACCCATGGGCTTGTGGATTCAAGCATCCCTCACTTTTCATGTGTCTTGTGGGCCTTTCCTGCCTGCCCAGGAGAAAAGGTGGCTCTCACCATCAGGCTGCTTTAGCTTGTGGATGTCCCAGAAACAGTTCAGGGTTGCTCTGTTCAACCACCTTTGTCTTCAGACACCCAGGATACCAGGAGCTTCACCGCCGGGCTCCCCGGGGTCTGTACAGTGTGATGTCCCTTATCCAAGAAGATTATAGGCAAGGGGTGGGCCTGCCCCTGGTTGTGAATGGTGGTAGCTGTGCCTCTGGGTGTGGGGATCACAGTACACATGGACTTGGGGACCCGGTGAGCCTGGCCATGGGCGACCCAGGAAAGTGATTTAACCAGGCTGGGCCTCACTATGAAATGAAGGCAATAATAATAATAATACCTCCCTTATAAGGTTGCTGAGAGGATTAAATAAAATAATGCACAAGAGTGCTGAGCACGGACCCGGCATGGACTGAATCAATTGTATCCATTAGTGATAAAATGATGCCTTTAAGAAGAATATTGAGACAGGCTGGAATCGGGCTTCCTGATGGTCTTAGCCCAACCTCCTGTCTGACACTTGAAAGCCTTCCCTAAAAACCCTTTGCTTGAATCTTTCCAACAATGGGCTTTTCACTACCTCACGGGGAAGGCCTATCATCTACCTACAGTTTCCTCTCCCTGCACCACTTCTTTCCTCCCTCATTTTCTTTCTCCCATATGTCCTTCCTCCTTCCTTCCTCCTTCTTCCTTCCTTCCTCCTTCCCCCTCCTTCTTCTTTCCTCCTTCCCTCCCTCCTTCTTCCTTCCTTCCTCCCTTCCTTCCCTTCCTCCCTTTGTTCCTTCCCCCTTCCCTCCCTCCTTCCTTCCTCCTTCCCTCCCTCCTTCTTTCTTCCTTCCCTCCCTCCTTCTTCCTTCCTCCTTCCCTTCTTCCTTCCTTTCTCCTTCCCTCCCTCCTTCTTTCTTCCTTCCTTCCTCCTTTCTTGTTCCCTCTTCCTTCCTTCCCTCCTCCCTTCCTTCCCTTCCTTCCTTCCCTTCCTCCCTTCCTCCTTCCCTCCCTCACTTCTTCTTCCTTCCTTCCTTGTTTGCCTCTTTCCCATACCTTGTTTCAGACCCAATTCCAGGTGACTGAGTTTCTGTAAGGATGATTCTGTCCCCATGTGGGTTCCAGTCATATCCAACCCTGGACCACACAGACCAAAGCTGCCTCGCCGTCAGCAGCACAGCTCTTGAGGGCTGCAAATAAGACTGCCCCACGAGCTCCCACACTCTGTGCGGAGGTCCCCTCCAGGGATTTTCCGAGGCTCTGTCCCTTTCTGGTTGAGGGCGGGCTGCGAGTGGAACCCCCACCTCTCTCTGCGAGCTTTCTCTTAGCTGACCCTTTTCCCTCACATCTCCCCTAGGCCCCGATCACACGAATCAGGGTCTGGAAAGAGTTCCAATCCATTATCTCTCCATCCTAAAAGGTGCCAAGAGTGGCCCTGCTTCTTGTGGATGGGTGACTGTTTTGTTAATTATCTCATCTCTATATTTCTCCAAGCCCAAGCTGCAACCTGGATTTAAAAACCCCCTTCAGCCTCAGAATGGAAAGGAAATAAAATCTAGTAAAAGCCCCACCACACTGAGGCTCATGGAACATTTCTCGTCCCAGCCTCTCCTCGGAAGGCGCTTGGTCACCCATATAGGTGGACGCAGCCCATCACTGTACAGCCATCCTCTAGCTCACATTTGTGCCATGTGCTCACCCATGGCACACCCTCAGTCATGCATGTGAATACCCTTACTCATGCGCAGCTGTGCATACACACACACTTGGCACGCCCACCTCTGCTCATGCACACGCATGCATGTACGCACTGGAACAGACACGTGGACGTGTAAGCACAGGTAACAGCCATTCACAGAGCTTGTATTTGGAATATCCGATTGAAAGACCCATGGTTTCTCTGCTGAACACCATGGGCTGCAGCAGCCTCGGCCAACACGTTCTGGATTGCCTGCCCGTGACAGATGGCAGCTGGAAACCAGCAGGGAGAGAAACCGCCTCTGCTCCTGGATAATGAGCTCAGAGCCTCTCAGTGGGAGCTGCACTCACCTCTCGGCCACTCTATAATCCAGCAGAGGACAGAGGGCAAGTGGGGACAGTTGTTGGAACCTTTGGGGACCCTGTTTCCCAGGGCAGATGGATGTCAGGGAGGTGGATGGGGGAACTCCAGAGAGGAGGTGGCTGTGCTGGGCACAGGGCCACTGCCCTCAGGGTCTCAGAGGTAACCAGTGTCCTACCTTGGGGACGCCAGGGGCCAGAGTCATTGCCCATCAGCTTTTGTAGGAGTGTGTGCTGGAGAGACAGACACAGAGGCAAGACAAGGAACCAGGGTGTGATTTGCTTTTTATTTATTACACATTCCACGGCCAGAGAAGCCAGGGGAGCAAGTACGCAGGGCTGGGGGTGTCAGGCAGGGGCCGGTGACTGAAATGCAGCCCCCCAGCTTCTCCCCAGAGGTGCTGGAGTGGACTCTTTTTCATTAAAATCTCCCTTTCCATGTGTTTATGACTTGGTCATAAAGTGTGGCTCTGGGCAGGATCCCGGCATGGCAGGACCCCGCTGGGAAACAGGCTTCTTGCTTTTCATCCATAATTATTTTCTTTATGGTTTATTGGGTTTTATCATTCAGAAGGCAGAAAGAGTCCTGGTGGGTGCTGGGAGGCGTTGTGGGTCAAGATGTCCCAAAGACACCAGTGGACGGAGGGTGTGCAGGGATGGAGGGTCCTGGCCTTGTCCTTGCGCCTTCCGCGTTGCCATGAGATTTGGAGTCTCTTCCGTAACCAGAGGGAAAGAATCAGCTCCCCAGCACTGCCTGCCCTCAGCCCCTCCCCTCCTCACCTCTGAGACTTGCTCGAAGCTTGCTTCTCTCCCCTGACTTTGCAAGGGCGAGTGACCATGCGGCCTGCATTGCCTGCTGCTCCTCACATTTAAAGGCACCTGTGACACCCTGGATGCTCCGCCAGGCACAGAGGAAGCCTTGGTGAATGAGCCCAGCAAGGGTCCCATCCTCACAGAGCTCAAACGAGGTCCAGGAGGGATGCTCTGCCACCTCCCTGGCTGCCAGTGTGATTATTTAATTATGGAGCTGATCAACGCCACAAGGGAGAATGTACCCTGGGGAACTCCATGCCCCCTGAGGGCTGCAATGTTAATTTTATGTGTCTACTTGACTCAGCCACCAGGTATCCAGATATTTGGTCAAACAGTATTCCAGTCCAGGTGCAGCGGCTCATGCCTGTAATCCTAGTGCTTTGGGAGGCTGAACTGGGCAGATTTCTTGAGTCTTGAAGTTCATGCCACTGCACTGCAGCCTGGGCGACAGTAAGACCTTGTCTCAAAAAACAAAATAAAACAAAACATTCTTCCAGGTGTGTCTGTGAGAGTGTTTCTGGATGAGATTAACATTTGAATCTGTGGACTGAGTCAAGCTGTTACCTCTCTTGTATGGCTCAGCCTCTTTCAATCAGTTGAGGAACTGAATGGAGCAAAAAATCTGACTCGAGGGGATTTGACCTGCTTGCCTGTTTGAGCTGGGACATGGATTCTTCCTCTGTCCTCAGACTGGAACTTACACCCTGAGCGTTCCTGAGTCTCCAGCTTGCCAGTTGCAGATCCTGGGACGACTCAGCCTCTATAATTGTGTGAGCCAATCCGGTATAATAAATAAATTTATATGCATGTAAATATATGTCTTCTGTTCTGTTTCTCTGCAGAAACTAACACAGGACCCAAAGAAAGTTGCGCTGAGCACAGGGAATTCAAACTAAGGCATGAGGATTGAGGAAGTATTGCTGTTACGGTGGACAAGTCTCACCCAGTGACAGGCGGCCACTGCACCAGGTCACAGAGGAGATGCAGCTTCTGCTGAGATGCCACCCATGGGAACACCTGACTTCCCCCTCCCACGCCCTCCTCCTCCCTTCCCGCCTCCCACAAGCCACAGCAGGGGCTCCCTGAGCTGCCACCCACTGGGGCTTCTTGCCATCCCTGTCAGGTTCGAGCTCCTCCACTTCCGTGCCCTGGTTCCCTGTGCTAAACTCCCTTTGTTGTGAATATCTGGAGTGATTTTGGTTTCACTGGTGAGCTCCAACCTCCATGGGGATCAGGGCCCAGTAGGGTGGGTGTGGGCTGAATAGCCAGCAAGAGCCTTGAAGTCTGGCAGGATTGTAGGGTTGGACGAAGAGGGGCAGGGCCTGGGGGGAAATGAGCAGGGAATAGTGAAGCAATTTGAGCAGCGCAGAAGTGGGACTGAGCTAAGGACTTCGCACTTGACCCAACTGGCAACAGGGAGTGAGCAAAGCAGGGTCCCAGGAGGCCACTGACAATGCTGGACAGGAGCCGTACATTTGTACACAATAAAAGGAGCTCCAGATGCCTCTGCAACTTGGCTTCTGCCCAACTCGTTGTCTTGCCTTGAGTTAGGGGCCTCAGTGATGAATGAAGAGGCTTCTGTCCCTTCCAGGCCACCATAGAAGGAGACACTGGGGGTTTTGAGCCAGCAGGAGATGTCATGTGGCTTGATTTAAAAGGATACCTCTGGCTACCATGGGAAGGCCAGAGTGGTATAGGGGACCAGATGGAAACTACTTTCGTCCCCTAGGTGGGAGATGACAGGTGTGAATCAGGGTGAAAGCAGAACTTCGTGGGGTCCTGTACAAGGCCTGGGACTATAGGTGACCCAAGACTGACTCATGACATTCCTCCATTGCCCCCCAATCTCCTTCACTGTCTCTTTGCAGTGAAAAGATCAGAGCCCCCACTTCTAGGTCAGTGGGACCCCGGGCCTCAGGGAATGCTGATGATGGGCCATCTCGCTAGAAGCCAGTTTCAGCACACCACCCTCAGGGTGCACCTCCAGCATCCTCAGGTCTCAGAGGAGCCGACAGCAGACCTGGGAGGTAGAAGGATGAGGCCCTTTGGCTGGTGAAGGCCAGGCCATTTCTCACTTGGAACTAGCATTACAGCCCTGCTCTCCTGAGATGAGAGGTGGAGACTAGACTCTGGACCAGATTGAAGACTGGCTGAAACAGGGACGAGGTGAAAGCCCCTCTCCATAAGACACGTCCACCCACGTGGCCATTTACCATCACCATGGCAACACTTGGAAGTTACCGCCCCTTTCCATGGCAGCAACCCAGAAGCTACCACCCTCTTTCTAGAAAGTTCTGCATAACCGGCTCCTTAATTTGCACGTAATTAAAAGTGTGTATAAATGTGACTGCAGCACTGCCCCGAGCTGCTACACTGGGCACACTGCCTATGGGGGAGCCCTGCTCAGCAGCGAGCAGAACCTCTGCTGCTGCACACTGCCATTTCAGTAAAAGCTGCTGTCTAACACCGCCAGTTCATCCTTGAATTCTTTCCTGAGCAGAGTCAAAAACCTTCCCAGCCTAAGCCCCAATTTTAGGGCTCACCTGCCCTGTATACCAGTGCCCCCTCCTCTACCCCCAAGGCCACTCATGAGGGAATTAAAACTGAACCCAATGCTAAAGCGATCTGGGTAATAAATGTGTTGGGACATCAAGAAAGCCATTTGCAAAAAAGATAAAATTAATGCATTCCTCATCCCAAGCACAAGAATAAACCACACATAGATCAGGGAACCACAAGTCATCATTAAACTATGGAGTATTAGAGGTGATGGGTGAATTCCTCTACTCTGGGTAAAGAAGACTTTCTAACTGTGATTGAAAACCAAGATTGATAATTTGATACAAAAAAACTCAAACAAGATTTTTTTGCATGGCAAAAATACATCAGCAAAATCAAAGGACAAATAGAAAATTGGGAGAAAATATTTGCAACGTATATCACAGACAAAAGGCCAATATTCTGGCTGGATGCAGTGGCTCATGCCTGCAATCCCAGCACTTTGGGAGGCAGAGGCCAGTGGATCACGAGGTCAGGAGTTCGAGACTAGCCTGGCCAACGTGGTGAAACCCCATCTCTACTAAAAATACAAAAATTAGTTGGGTGTGGTGATGCGTGCCTGTAGTCCCAGCTACTCGGGAGGCTGAGGCAGAAGAATTGCTAGAACCTAGGAGGTGGAGGTTGCAGTGAGCCGAGATGGCGCCCCTGCACTCCAGCCTGGGCAACAGGGCAAGACTCCATCTCAAAAAAAAAAAAAAAAAAAAAAAAGCTAGGCTCGGTGGCTCACGCCTGTAATCCCACACTTTGGGAGACTGAGGTGGGTGGATGACCTGAAGTCAGGAGTTCGAGACCAGCCTGGCCAACATGGAGAAACCCCGTCTCTACTAAAAAATGCAAAAATCAGCCAGGTGTGGTGGCAAGCGCCTATAATTCCAGCTACTGGGGAAGCTGAAGCAGGAGAATCAGCTTGAACCCGGGAGGCAGAGGTTGCAGTAAGCCGAGATCGCACCACTGCACTCCAGCCTGGGTGACAGAGCAAGACTCCGTCTCAAAAAAAAAAAAAAAAAAGAAAGAAAGAAAAGAAAAAAAAGGCCCATATTCTTTCAAATACACAGGACATTTTAAAACTAAGGAAAATGTCCAAAGACATAAACAGACAATTCACAATAAGAGTTATAAAATGGCCCTTAAACATGAAGCACGCCAAATAAGGGAAATGTGGATTTAAATTACACTGTCGTACCACTTTTCAGCCATCACAGTGACAACATTCATATGCTGGATAACCGTTCCCACCAGGGAGGCCATGGAAAACCCTCACTGTCTTGTGCTGTTAGTGGGCATGAAGCATGGTGGAATCTCTGTGGTGGAAAATTGGGCAACCTCTTACAAAACAATGTGCAGTGTGCATTCGCACTTCAAACCTGCAATCTCACTTCTAGGAATTTACCCTAAAGATCCACCTCCAATTATATGCAAATGCATAAGCACAGGCTTATTCATTGCACCATTGTTTGTAATGGCAGAATCCAGTAAATGACCCGAACACCCACATGCAGGAGAGACTTGGAAGAATCTGAGGTACATCAACACTGTGGTATGTAGTAGTAAGTACTATGCAGCTATAAGAAAGAATGAGGAAGATCTCTATGAATGAATATAGAGTGATTTTCCAGAGATGTTGCTAACTGTAAAAAGCAAAGTGCAAGATAACACGTAATGTAGAATATGCTACCTTTTGTGTAAGAAAGAAGGGGAATTACGAAACCATGCATAGAAAGAAAAACACAGAGGGGGTAAAGTAGGAAAGTGTAGACATGATTCTTTGGAGGTATGGGATAAGAGGACAGGGTGGAAGGATACACAAGGAAGAGGACCTCTCCAGGGCACCCTTTGGTCTCGTCTTGACATTTGGGAGCATGTTAATGTTTTAAATATTCAGAAACATAAAACTTAATCAATAAGGTCAGAGAGGGGAAAAAGACCCAAGAGTGACAGGAAACTAACAAATGAACTCAATGTTTTTCAAGTGAACACCATAATCACACTGAAAAAAAAAAGAAAAAGTTTTAGCTAGAGCAATCAGGCAAGATAAAGAAATAAAGGGCATCCAAATCAGTAAAGAGGAGATCAAACTGTTGCTGTTTGCTGATGATATGACTGTATACCTAGAAAACCCTAAAGACTTATCCAAAAAGCTCCTAGATCTGATAAATGAATTCAGTAAAGTTTCAGGATACAAAATCAATGTACACAAATCAGTAGCACTGCTATAAACTAACACTGACCAAGCTGAGAATCAAATCAAGAACTCAACCTTTTTTACAACAGCTGCAAAAAAACAAAACAACAACAACAAAAACTTAGGAATAACCTAACCCAGGAGGTGAACGATCTCTACAAGGAAAACTACAAAACACTGCAGAAAAGAGATCATAGACAACATAAACAAATGGAAACAGATCCCATGCTCATGGATGGGTAGAATCAATATTGTGAGAATGACCATACTGGCAAAGGCAATCTACAAATTCAATGCAATTGCCATCAAAATACCATCATCATTCTTCACAGAACTAGAAAAAAATCCTAAAATTCATATGGAACCAAAAAAGTCCCCACATTGCAAAAGCAAGACTAAGCAAAAAGAACAAATCTGGAGGCATTACATTACCTGACTTCAAACTATACTACAAGGCTATAGTTACTAAAACAGCATGGTACTAGTATAAAAATAGGCACATAGACCAATGGAACAGAATAAAGAACCCAGAAATACAGCAGAATATTTACAGCCAACTGATCTACAAAGCAAATAAAAACATAAAGTGGGTAAAGGGCATCCTATTCAACAAATGGTGCTGGGATAATTGGCAAGGCACATGTAGAAGAATGAAACTGGATCCTCATCTCTCACCTTATACAAAAGTCAACTCAAGATGGATCAAAGACTTAAATCTAAGACCTGAAACCATAAAAATTCTAGAAGATAACATCAGAAAAACTCTTCTAGACATTGGCTTAGGCAAGGAGTTCATGACCAAGAATCCAAAAGGAACTGCAACAAAAACAAAGATAAATATAATGGGACCTAATTAAAAGAAAAAGCTTCAGCAAAGCAAAAGAAATAATCAGCTGAGGAAACAAACAACCTACAGAGTGGGAGAAAATATTAACAAACTACACATCTGACTAACTACTAATATCCCGAATCTACAAGGAACTCAAACAAATAAGCAAGAAAAAAAACAAATGATCCCATCAAAAAGTGGGCTAAGGACACGAATGTAGAATTCTCAAAAGAAGATATACAAATGGCCAATGAACATATGAAAAAATGCTCAACGTCACTAATGATCAGGGAAATGCAAATTAAAACCACAATGAGGTACCACCTTACTCCTGCAAGAATGGCCATAATTTAAAAATCGAAAAATAACAGATGTTGTGGTTGTGGTGAAAAGGGAACACTTCTACACTGCTGGTGAGAATGTAAACTAGTATAACCGCTACGGAAAACAGTATGGAAATTCCTTAAAGAACTAAAAGTAGAACTACCTTTGATCTAGCAATCCCACTACTGGGCATTTACCCAGAGGAAAAGAAGTCATTATATGAAAAAGACACTTGCGCACACAGGTTTATAGCAGCACAATTCACAATTGCAAAAATATGTACCAGCCCAAACGTGCATCAGCCAACGAGTGGATAGGGAAAATGTAGCGTGTGTGTGTGTGTGTGTGTGTGTAGTGTGTGTGTGTATATATATATGTAGTATAGTGTGTATATACATAGTATAGTGTATATATATAGTACACACACACATAGTATATATATATACAGACAATGTGTATATATATATACAGACAATGTGTGTATATATATATATACAGACAATGTGTATATATATATATATATATATATATATATATATATATGCACACACACACTATGGAATACTACTCAGATAGAAAGGAATGGAATAATGGCATTCACAGCAGCAATTCGGATGGAGTTGGAGACCATTATGCTAAGTGAAGTAACTCAGGAATGGAAAACCAAACATCCTATATTCTCACTTACAAGTGGGAGCTAAGCTCTGAGGATGCAAAGACATAAGAATGATATCATGGACTCTGGGGACTCGGGGGGAAGGGTGGGAGGAGGGTGAGGGATAAAAGTCTATACTTTGGGTACAGCATACACTGCTCAGGTGATGGCTGCACCAAGGTCTTGGAAATGACCACTAAAGAACTTATTCATGCAACCAAACACCTGTTCCCCCCAAACTAGTAAAATAATAATAAAAAATAAAATAAATTACCTGTCTGCCACTTCTTGACTTGTGAGCTCAGAGAAGACATGTGCTCTCTGTAAGTCTCAGTGTCTTCACCTTGCAGAGTTTATGGAAGGATTAAAGATGAGGCCAGCTCCTTGTAGTATATCAGGTGCACGGTAGCAGTAAATACAAATGTGTTGCCTGGCTGTGATACTGTATATTGTATTTATTTGCATCATGATGCCGCATATGATCATTGTGATTGAAAATAAATACTTATATGTTTTTGCAAAAATAAAATAAAGAAATTAAAGAAAAAAAATAAAACAAGAACTAATCGTACAAACTTACAAATATGGTCTTGCGTAGGTCTGGGACGGAGGGTTTGGGAAAGAGTTGGAAACAAATACTGAACTCTGTTTCACAGATGTTTTCGTGGTGCTGTGAGCAAAGCACTTCTGCAGTGATTTGGGCTGTATCATAGAACTGGGCATTTGAATAAGGGTGATGTTGTTTTCAGGTGCAAGGATTCTCACTGTGAAAGAAGGGACATCTAATACAGATCAAAGAAAGCAAGAAAGACCCCTGGAGTGCAGGCTGGGACCAGGGTCGCAGGTACTGGGTGAGGTTAGAAACATACATGGCTTCTTGGCGAGCACTTTTGTGATGGAAAGTGGAGGATGCGGGGTGGGACAGTGCGGCTGCCAGACCATGTGCAGACTCACAACGCCTCTCATCCTGGTGGAGAGTTCTGGGGCAAGGACTGCCCATAGAGTGGTCCTGCACTGGGTAGGGATGGGCAGCCCTTGTACCACTGCCTTGCTCAGGCATTGGCTCAGAGCTTCCAAGAGGAGGACAACTTCTGAGGTGGGCCTTGGGTGAGCTAACAGCTGGAGACTGCACACTGCACAGCTGGGGAATGAGAGAGGGCAGCTCTATATTTGCACAGAGGAATTAGGTGAACGCATAGCTTCTGAGATATATGTATCCAATATGTTAGTCTATGCATGCCCATGGTCACTTAGACAAGTATGGGTCTGCACATATGTATATATGCAACTTCATTTGTGTCCAGATGCATATACATCACTAAATATTTCTTAACTCAGTCCAGTGACAAAGCCTAGAAGCAAAGACAGCCCAGTTGCAAAAATCACGGCAGGCCCGGATTCTAATACCATCCGCCATGAAAAGAAACTAGGCTCCTCAGAGAAATGGCTTGTTCCAGGACTAGGGTGAGGAAGCACTAGATGAGCCTCACATAGCTTGTTATTTCCCAAAGTGAGGATGCGTTAAGAAAAAATGGTGAAGACGTGTCGTAAGAACACAGGAGCCAGCTTGAACAGGCTCTCACTGGCCAAATCTGGGACAACTTGGGCACCAAAATAAGAACAGTAATAAGTTATAAACCATTGGAGAAAATAGGACTCCATTAGTCCATATAAATAATAAATGAATGAATGAATGAATGACTGGAGGACGAGGAAGAGCCTTTGCTTGCAGTAGGATGTGAGTGGGCTGGAGTTGGGAAACATCACCAGGGTCATGAAGATTGGTCAGGGCCAGAGTCATGGAGGAAGGATTTGGGGATTTGCGGAGGAGCTGACACTGTGTGGCCTTAGAGGTGTCTCCAGAGATTGGCTGTTAGTGTGAAGGGAAGAATCGTGTATTAGTCCATTCTCGCATTGCTGTCAAGAAAAACCTGAGACTGGGTAATTTATAAAGAAAAGAGGTTGAACTGGTTCACAGTTCTGCAGGCTGTACAGGAAGTATAATGGCTTCTGCTTCTGGGGAAGTCTCAAGAAGTTTCTAATCATAGTGGAAGGCAAAGGGGGAGCAGGTGTCTTACATGGTGGGAGCAGAAGCAAGAGACAGAGCAAGGTGGGAGGGGCCGTGCACTTTTAAACAACCAGCTCTCTCGAGAACTCACTCATCACAAGGACAGCACCAAGGGGATGGTGCTGAATCATTAATGAGCAACCCACCCCCGTGATGTGACCACCTCCCACCAGGCCTTACCTCCAACACTGGGGACTACAGCTGAACATGAGACTTGGGTGGGGACACAGATCCAACCCGTATCAAATAATAATTACACAGTGAAGAAATCCGACAATATCTTGGCCAGGTGATCAAGATGAACATTGCCAGTGCAGGGCAGGTAGGATATCCTGAAAATAACACAACATCACATATTGATGGGCCGCCCAGGATGCCTAACCTGACTCTAACTATGTAGAAAACACTAGATCAACTCAGAAAGAGGAGCATTCTGTTGTTTAAAAGTAGGGATAGATGGGGATAGCGTAATTTTCAAAAATGTTAATGGCATACGGACGAAGGAAGACAGACTGTGGAAAGGTTTCAGGCGAAAGGGAGTCAAAAAGACCTGACAAGTAAATACAACACTTGGTCTTAGACCGAATCCAGTACTGGAGGAAAAAATGCTATAAAGGACATTTACTGGGCCATTAGCCAATGGAAATATGGGTAACAGGTTGGATCTAAGAACTGCACCGATGTTAAATTTCCTTCCTGAAGTGGCTAATGGTACTGTGTTATGTAGGAAAATGTCTCTTTTCTTAGGAAATTCTCACTGTAGTATTGAGGGGTCAAGAGCCCCTTAAAAGGCTAAGAAAAATTTATACATACATGGGAGGGTGGTTGGTGGGGAGATGAAGGCTGAGAAAGAGATATAAAAGGAGAGGAAAAAAATACAAATGATAAGGCAATGCAATACGATGGTAACAACTGGTAAGTCTGGGAAAGCGCTTATGATGTCTTTGTATGATTCTTATTCTGTCAACTTTTTTGTAAAGTTTAAAATTATTTCCAAATAAGAATGTCTTTCAGCATGAGCCTGTGTCTCTCCTGGGCTGATGGTTGCACGTGGAGCGTGCCAGTCACAAGGGGACTGCACCGTTAAGGCCCAGCTGCTGAACCTGAGGCCTCCTGAGTGCTCGGGTTGCCCCTGGGAGGGCCCACATCAGCTAATCTCGGGGCAGAGCTGGGCTAAGGAAAAGTGCAAGGTGAGTCTTGGTTGTGCAGTGAAATTAGAGGAGGGCGGTGTTCCCAGAGCCCTGTGAGCCCCCAGGAGGGAGCTGTCGGTGGCAGCCAGACCTCAGGTCCTCAGCCCTTGCCTCTGCCCTTCCCTCCAGTACCCGAGCCTGGAGGATGAGTCAGATGTGGGTAGAGTCACCACATATCTCTGTCTCCAAAGCTGAATCTCCCCCCGACTGCCCTCTGGAGGATCCAGTCCCAGCCCAGTTCCCAAACCCCGAAGCGCCACCCTCCCAAGGCTGGGTCTGCACCCATAAACCACACGTGGCCGTCAGCCATCCCTCCCCACTTACTCCTCCCAGTGCGGTCCCTGGGAACTGGTCAGACATGCAGGATCCTAGGCCCCCACCCAGACCTGCTGAATCAAAATCTGCATTTTAACACGACCCCCCAGGTTTTGCGGGAGTGTTCAAATCTAAGAGAAACCCTGCACTAACCCACTTAACAAAACAAAACAAAAAGCCAGCCCCATCCAGAAAAGGGGTCTAACAGAGTAGTGTCCTTAAGTGTGCAAATTTCAGAGGTTACAGACTTCTTGGGACTGTTGCCTCTTTGGTCAGGCTCAGGGCCAGCCCTTGCTGCTCTTGTCCGATGGCAATTCTGGCAGTCCCCACACCTGCTGTGTCCCATCCACAGTCTCATGCTGACTGCTACAAAATGTCTGGCTGTCTGTGCCTCTGCCACCTGGATTCAGGGAGAGGAGACTCAGGACAGGGGCTGGGGAAGGAACAAGCTCTCTAAAACTGAAGCCAAGAGCCCAGAGATGCTAGTTTACCACCAACAAAACAACCATCTGGAATTAGCAAAAAGCATCTGGAATCCAAGAGGCCCTCAGGCAATTCACATGGTTGCTCTCAGTTGAATGTCTTTTATGATCAAGGTAATTTCTTATGGAAACTGACCATGTGGTCCTCTGTGGGGAGGGATAGCGGAGGGAGGAGGAGCACAGGTGGAAGCAGGGTCTGCATGGCCTGGCCCACTAGGGCTCAGCTCTAAGGGGCAGCCTGGTGCAGCGGGGTAAGGCTCAAAACCTAATTCTGGTCATGCCATTTGCTGACTGTGTGACCTTGGGCATGTTACAAAACTGTCGGGGCCTCAGTGTCGCCACCTGTAAGATGAGGGTGTGGATGACAGCACCTTGCTTTGTAAGGACCGAGTTCGAGTGTCCAGAGTGCTTAGGACAGGACAGTGCCTGGCTCAGAGTAGGTATGGGGTTTGCTGTGGGTGGTCCGCGCTGCATCCTGCCATGCGGGGAGAGGAGGTGGGGCTGCATTTGAGTTGCGTCCCGTCTGTCTCCATTCCTTCACCCACCAGCCCTGGGCCTCAAGGAGGTCACTTAATCAACCGCAGCCCCGCTTCTCCCGTGCATCAAATGAAAGTCACAGGACAGCGCCTTGGCATGAGGTTATCTCACTAAACCCAGCACGTTTATCATCCCATTTCATAGATGAGAAAACATCTGCAGGAAAAAGCTTAGAAACCTTGAGAGAGCAGATCCCCATCCTCCTACCCAGGGGGTTCAGTGTGGAACACGGATTGCCAGGAGGCAGAAGGTGATTTCTTGGGTTAAGGAAGATGAAAGGTGAGAGGGGGCCCTAGGGAAGGCTCCACGGAGAGTCGTAAAGGACTGAATCTTTCGTGTTACTCTGCACCGTAAAGAATAGAGACCACAGACGGCCAGTGACTCCAGACCCGGACCTCCAATGCACCCTGAGGACAGACTAGAGGTGACTGTGACAGAGTGACTCTCCTCCCAAATCTGCAGACACCAAGTAGAGAGTTGTGGATTTCCACTGTGCATGCAAATGGGGTTTGAAACAGTCTTCTCTTAGGACACAGGGAGATGGCAGCTGATACCTGAATCCCATTTCTACCCTCACCCAGAAGCTGTTGGCAAAAGTTTGTGGACAAAGCAAATGAATAAACAAATGGCCAGGGGGTGGCCCAGTTCCCTGGATGTCTGTTCTTGCAAGTTTTCTTTTTCATGTTCATGAAGAAAAAAGGGGAAAATATCAGAATACTAAGAAAGACCCTCCCCTCCATTCAAACCTCCAAAGCTAGATTTAGTGTCCCAACACAGGCTGACTGGTTTGAAGTAAGATTTTGGCAAACAAAGTGCACTCCCTCTCTGTCTGGGTAGGGAGCTCCCAGAAAAAGAAGGCAGCAGGACTTAATGGCTTGAGGGAGGGGAAGGCACTTACTGAAAGGCCTGTGTCAAGACAGACCAGGACCTTGGAGACATGCAACTCAGGGGAGAAGTGGACACTACAGGGTCACCCAAGCAGGGATGGCCGCCTTGCACCCCCACAGACAAAAGAAGCAATTGGGAACTGCACCGGGAACCCAGGGCTGCCTCTGGACTCCATTTTCTGGCAGTACTCAATTTGCACTTGGAAAAAAAAATAAAAAGAAAGGGCCTAGGAATGAAGGGGATGGAATGAATTATCCAGCAGATCAGACACTTCGGTTTAAGCCCACGACCTTGCAGAGTCTTGCGTGAAATCTTACAAGCAACATAAACAGAGTGGCGGCCAACCCCACCACCAGAAATATTCAATAATAAAACACAGCTGTCGGTGCCGGCATTTCCCAAGCAGACTTTGTCATTCTTGCCATTAGAAATGCTGACAAAGTCAAAAACTGCCAAATGAAAGCCAGTTTTCTTTTCCCCCCAAAGAGAGAGGTTTTTGTGAACTGCAGCCTAAATATTCACTTATAACTTGAACGATCCATAGGAATAATTTAAGACAGAACTTCTTGGAAACTCATTTTGACCAAGTGTTTGTGAGAGACCTTGGCTGATCCTGGCTGGGATCATCACTTTGATTTGAAATCTGTGTCTTGATTATGAAAACGCCCTGGGGTCCCCCTCCTTGGCTCGTGGTGAGGGTAATTAAGCGGGAGCCTTCTTAGCTGACTCTGTGAGATGGAGTTGACACAGTGCTGGCAGTGGATGTTGGCAGGTCTTGTTGGGACTTTATAATAATAAAATCTTACAATCGTTACATCCAAAAAGAAAGACCCAGATGTGGGAGAAGAGAAACATCTGGAGCCACAGCTCGATCCTCTGGCCTCAAAGCCTCCCACTCTCTGGGGTCCCAAAGATGACAGCAGAAATTTTGGCAATAAAAATAAAGCTTTACGAGGGTCGGGGCAGGGAGGGAAGGAAGGCAAAAGACATGAGTTCTATGTGATTCTGTGTTCTTGGGTATTTTTCTCCTTGGGAAGACACTTAGGATTTGCACACACGCATCAAGTCCGGGGTGTGGGCTGTGCAGGGTCGGGGAAACAGGCATGGGAATGAGGGTAGGGATGGATGCAGAGAGGGAGTAAGAAAGAGAACAAGTGAAGCAAGGCAGGGGGTTTCCAGGGACCAGGGAAGATTACGAGTTTTGAGCCCAGAAGATCAATTTATTCAAATCTCTGCCTCTGAGGTCCAAAAAAGTAAAATTAAAGAAACAAACCCCATTAAAAAAATAAGCACAAAAACAAAGGAACCTGGGAGAAACACAGGGGAGGGAAGTCCAGGGCATTGACTGAAAGACTCAGGAGATGTTTCCACAGAGGTGACATTCAGGCTGGGCCATTCAGGGATGTGTAGGAGTTTTCCAGGCAGACTGAACCACAGATGCGAAGTCTCAAAGGCATCGGAGAGCCCAGCCTGAACCTCAGGCTGAATGTGGCCCTGAGCTCTGGGAACACAATGACATGAGGCATCACACCTGCTTCTCTGAGTTCGGCTCTCCTGACACAGCGTTGCCACGGTGCCCAGCCAGACCCTCCCCAGCAAGTGTTGCCCCAAGCCCCTGGGGTCCTCTTCCTCCTCTTCCTTGTGGTCATCACAACCCCATCTCTGTGGTGAGAGTCTGGGTGGGGGTGGCATTTGGAAGCATATTTGGGGTTTGGGAGTGAGCATGAGGGGCACTCGCTGGGATCCAGTGCCATCACATGCCAATCAGCTCAACCTGCTTTGGGGTCAGCCACCTCCCCTTGCAGGTCAGAGTAATCCGGGTGTCGTCAGCCAGTCTAAAATCAGAAGGAGGCCTCAGAACAGAGGCTGGGGACTCTGAGAAGGTGCTGGAACAGAGTGTGGGTGTTCTGGCTTCAGGATGCTGCAGCAACCTTTACCTTTCAGGGCTGGTAGTCTACCAGGGCCAGAAGGTCCTTCTCCAGGTAGGAGACACCATGAGATTCTCCAGAACATGGAGTCAGAAGGATGGTGCCCCAACTGCCTTCCCACTTAGCCACGCCATAAAGAATGTTCCTTTCTTTCCCTGAGAAAAGAATGATTCTCACTGCTGATAAGCTTTTATTTTGTGCAGAGAACAGTCTTGTTTTAAGCCGTGATAAGCCAGAAGTCCTCAAGCTGAAAAACTATGTTAAATTCACAAATAAATAAGAGAGTTTTTTTTCATTTTTTGTTTTTTATTTGTCAAATGGCTTCTCTTGTTAAAATGATGCTCAGAACTTCCTGGTGTTTGGAGCATATTCTATATCTTGAAATAGTGCTTACACAGGTGTACTCATTTGTTAAAAGTCGTTAAACTGCAGACTTAAAATGTGCACATTTAATGTATGTAAGTTACAATTATCTTACACTGTCTTCTTCGTGGATGATCTTCTGGTCCTGATAGACCACAAGCCCTGTGAGGCAGATGTTGCTGCAGCGTCCTGAGGCTGGAACACCTGTGCCCTGTCTGGTGCCTTCCAAAAGCTCCCCCATTAAAAGAAAGTTTAATATCATGTCCTTTTGGTTAAATATAGCCATGTCAGCTTTGAACAACTATAGGCTGGGTCTCAAAGTGGCTCCTACCTTTGCCGGCTCTTCTTCCTACTGTTTGCCATTTAAGTACGATTAAATTTCACCAAAGTGCTCAGAGAAACCAGACAAAACCTGGTCCTTTCGTTGGACACTCTTATGAGCAGGACGCACAGTGGTGAAAGGGTAATGAAGGAGAGAACGTGGTGACTTTGAAAGAGTGATTTTCCTAGCAGTGAGGAAGAACTGCTAGCACTTTCCCCCTCCCCCAATTCCATATTTATTCCTGCTTTATCCTTAACTCAGAGGCACACGGTACAGAAATAACAAAACCATTCCGATGACGATTCGCCCAGTGCTGCAAGCTCTGTCAGAGTGCATGAAGTTATGCTGTAATCAAATGCACGACATCTTATCTTCTTCAGATAAAGTAATCATCAGCCAACAAGAGGCTCAGGGCAGCAGCGTGCCAGGCAACCTGCAGCTTCGGTTACCTCATTGGAGCCTTTGCCCGAGCAACTGAGACTGGCCTCTTTACTTCCCTCTTTCCCTTGCACTTTCTATGAGAGGAGAAAGCTCGGTAGTGGAAAAGCTCTTGGAGCATGAAGTATTGCCGTCTTTTCCTTTGACTGCAGTATAACAGACATTCAGAAAAGTGCAGAGACCCTTGGCATGAACCAGGAGATCCCACCAGGCAACCTGCACCCAGATCAGGCACTGCAGATCCAGACTCAGGGCCTGCCCCCTCAATCCATGCTCCGAGAGCACGTGATCTTCTAGTCACACATTGAAAGGGTTAATAAAACGCAGACAGGCCCCTCTCCCTCCCTTTCTACGCCTCACCCAGTACAGGAGGGGATCCACTGACCAGACAGTTTCAGTTAAATCGATAAAATATTGTTTTAAAAAACAAAAAGAAGTGTATTATTTTTCTGTTATACGGGTAGGGGTAGGGTTTACCCCAGGACACTACCAGAGACAAAGGTTTCCTGAAGGTAAGCCGTGCCTCTAGGTAAGCTGCTGCCAGGGCTCTTGCATTGCAGAGTGATTCTGTCTATTGAAACAGCACCCTGGAACGGGGTAGGGGGTGGAAGACAATGTTTTAATGCCTTTTAAGTGCATTTTTGTCACACTGAAGAAAGGGAATGCAGAGTCCAGGATGGAAAATTCCCTTTCCCTCATGGACCTGCAATTGCATGTCACTAAGGCCATCTCCTCCCCACTGGCCATCCCTGAATTACTGGTGGCAGCTACCTAGGTCTCTCAGAGAACCTCCCGTTAGAGCCCCCTGCTTGTCTTTTAAGACCCCTTGAGTTGTGAAGTGGAGGACCAGTGACTTCCAAACATGTAGTGTGTACCTACCATGTGTCCAGCAATCAAAATAGCCAGGACTTACCCTGTGCCAGATACAGTTCTGAGGACCTTACGTGTATCAGTTCATTTAATCTTTACAGCAACCCCAGGAGATGTGTACATGGCTATCCTCACTCAACAGAAGAGGAAACTGAGGCACAGAGAAATAAAGTAACTTGTCCCCCATCATGATAGCCATAAGTGGAGGAGACAAGAGAACCCCATTGACCTGGCTCTGGGGTCGAAGCTCTCACCTACTGAGATATGCTGAAGACAGGATGGAGGATGAGCCCACACAGAGACAGACCTGGAGACTCTTAAGCCCAGCTGCAGGAGCTCAGTCTTCATCAGAGGCCTCGTCCAGAGTAGACAGTGGATCGACGCAGCCAACTGTAGACACTCCAATTCTAGCCCAGGGCCACCCACCCTTCTGCTAAAGGACCACTTCTCAGAGGCACAGCCCTGGTTCAGGAATTTTGTTATTCCATAAAAGGAAGCCATATTTGCAGAAAGAACCACATTTGGCTGGTGAAATTCATCCAATCCAAAGTTATAACCAAGTTGTTGTAATTCAAACTCGGATGTCGATTTCAACCCCTATCTCACAACTATTTTGAGCCTAGGAAAGCCCACAAGTGTGTCTATTCTGAGACAACGACACAAAAAGATCCAGTTAGAAAAATGTTCAGAGAAACTTGGGAATTATAATTACTCCTACACCCGAGAACGTTCAACTGCTCTCATTTTATAAAGTGGCTTTACAGAAATTGCACTTTAATGTTCTGCCCCAAAGGGGATGGGGGCTAGCAATATTTTTAATGGATGGAAGGCTCCCCCAGTGACAGGCTTGAGGGACAAATGGGCGCAGGAGCTTGCAGGTAAGCAGGTGTTCCTGGGAAGGTGTGGAAAAGGCCCCAGAGCAGGGCCAACCAGAGAGGAGCCAATCGCAGGCAAGAGGAAAGGAATTAGGTAAAGGACCGAGGCACAGTAGCATAAAATATCAACTTCAGTTTTAAAATAACAATGTTGGCTACTATCATTTAGTGGCCATGTCTCATATGGCCAGGACTATCCTAAGCCCTGGACAAGTATTCACTCATTTAATCATCCAAATAACCCCTTAAATATATCCTATTAGAATCCCCTCTTTATAGCTTGAAAAATTAAGGCAGAGAGAAGTCTAAGGACTTCCCTTAGATCGCAGCGCAGAGCCATGAAGCCACAACTTGAAACCAGGACCTGGACTCCTGAGTCCAGCCCTCGTATTGCAGGTCACAGTTCCCCAGAAACCGTGCAAGTGACCTCATTTAGAAAAGGGGTGTTTGTGAATGTAAATCACCAATTCGTTCATTCTAGATTCATCTAGAATGAGATCATCCTGATTTATTTGGGTTGGGCCATAAATCCAATGACAAGTGTCTTTATAAGAGACACACAGAGGAGAGACACAGAGAGGGGAAACCATGTGAAGGTGGAGGCAGATATCCATCTTCCGGATCTTGGGGCCAGAAGATGAATCTCTGCCTCAAGCCAAAGATGCCTCTTCCTTGCTTGGAAGAGGGAAGGAAGGATCTTTCCCTGGAGCTTCCAGAGGTAGCGCAGCCCTTCAACACCCTGATTTTGGATTTCTGGGTTTTTTTTTTTTTTTTTTTTTTGACAGGGACTCACTCTGTCACCCAGGCTGGAGTGCAGTGGTGCAATCACAGCTCACTACAGCCTCAACTTCTCGGGTTCGAGTGATCCTCCCGCCTCAGCTTCCATAGTAGCTGGGACTACAGGTGCACACCACCATGCCCAGCTAAATTTTTTTGTATTTTTTTTATAGACACAGGTTTTTGCCATTTGCCTAGGCTGGTATCGGAACGCCTGTCCTCAAGGGATTCACCCTCCTCGGCCTCCCAAAGGAGCCACCATATCCAGCAAGATTTCTGGATTTCTTGATTTTGGACTTCAGAGAATACCTTTCTGTTTCTCTAAGCCACCACGTTTGTAGTCATTTGTTATGGCAGCCCCCAGGAAACGAATACGTGAACCCTCCAATGTTGGTACTTTAGCATTAGAGACGATGATGCTGAGGCTCAAGGGGTTAGGTTATTCCAACCACAGATGGCAAGTGACCCACAAGGCCTCGAACCCCAATGTGTCTGTGCTCTGAACACGGCTCTTGCCTCCAGCCTGTGAAGTGTCCTGGGAAGCAATGTTTCTAGGGAGCCTTCTTGGGGTTGGGGAGAAGAGAAAGGCTCAGGCACTAAATAAGAGTCAGCACCCCAGTGAGCTGGGGTTCTCAGGGCTCATGATGGAGCGAGGGCCGGACAGAGGGGCGCCTGGGCCACCACGGGATCGGAGGAGGCCAGGGCAGCCCACATCATCTTCAAGGTGCTCTATTTGAAACCTCTTCATTGTATTGGGCTCAAGGACTCTATTTATTCTCCTGGAGTTGTTTCTGAACAAGTCGGAGGGGAAGGACTTGAGTGGGCTTTGGATAGCTGTTGCCTCCCTCAAAGAGCTTGAGGCCAGCACTTGAGTCCACTTGACAAGATCCGATGTTGAGCTGTGATTGGGGAGGGGGACAGTTCAAGACTCAAGGAGACAGAAGTTTTACCCTCATCTCTTAAGTCATCTCACCTTGCACTGGCGTTGCCCTTAGGAGCCAGAGGAATAATCCTGACAATAGCAATAAAACAATAATATATTTCTCCCATGTGCCGTGTGCTCCCTCTGGGCCAGGTGTGTCTCTAAACCCTTTACACATGTGACCTTGTCTCCTGCTCACATCGACATTCGAAGGTGACTGCCATCCTCTTCCCCATTTTCTGGAGAAAGGGAAGAAGCGAAGCCAAGCCTGGTTAGGCCCCGCTAACCAGGGTCCTAATCACCTAAAGTGAGGCCCTTTTTCTCAGGCTACATGGCCAGTAGATTTCAGGGCAAAGATTCCAGCTTAATTCTACAAGTGCAGAGGGACTTCTGGCCTCTTTTTCACTAAGCTGCCCCACTACGGCTTAAGCATTTTGTATCACACCTGTCCTCTAGATTCTGAAGTTCCAAGACGGACCCACATGACTTGCCTTGGGAACCCTACCAGTGCCTTCTACAGCACCCCCCCAACCCCCTCAATAAATAGCTGATTGGGATGGAAAGGAGTGGAGTGCAGTGGACTTCAACTGCCCTGGGTTGACTTGATCTGAACTGATCTGCACAGACTTAAATAGACTTAATCCGAGTTGACTTGTCTTGAGATGACTTGATGAGAGTTAAATAAAAAACCCATTTAGGACTACTTCTGGGAAATGAAAGAAAGCTCATTTTACTCCTTTTTACTGAGACCTGCCAGCCCCCATCCCTCTGACTGTGTTGGGCTCAGATGGAAAGGGAAGGTCTCAGAAGCGACAGCTCTCTGCATTCAACCAAGCCCAGCCAGGACCACAGACACCAGGGCAGGGCAAGGCAGCCAGAGTGCTGTGAGGAGCCAGGTTTTCATCTTGGAGCCATGGCTGGCACAGAAGCCCCCATGCCCACAGTGAGAGGAATGAAGGTGGTGAGGAGTGAGCCTCACCCAGACCCAGCCATGCCCATGAGTCACAGAGTGTGGCCTGCCTGGTGTGGAGTATTGCCCTGCGGAATAATGAATATTGCCCTGCGGAGGAGGAATGCAGGGAGGCCCAAGGCAAAGCTGAGGCTGTCTTCCCACTGCCACTCCAGCTGCCAGGGCACCACTCCCTTCCTTTCCATTGTTGGCTAACTGCGAGAGCTACCCTGCCTTGAGCTGTGTCTGGCTATATGCACCCTGCTTGCATGACCTCATTAAGTCTCCATGACAACCTATTACCATCATCACTCTATTGATGATGAAGCCAAGGCCCAGTGGCCCACCATCTTGGCTTACCTGGGACTACAGGGTTTCCTGTGATGTGGGATTTCCAGTGCTAACACTGGAATCGTCCTGAGCCAAGAGGGAAAAGTTGGTTACGCTGGATTACAGAACCTTACACCAGTCACATGGCCAGCCCTTAGTAGGTGATTAGGTTTGGCTGTGTCTCCACCCAAATCTTATCTTGAATTGTAGCTCCCATAATTCCCATGTGTCATGGGAGGGACCCAGTGGGAGTAGTTGAATCATGGGAGCAGGTTTTTCCCATGCTGTGCTTGTGAGAGTGAATAAGTCTCATAAGATCTGATGGTTTTATAAAGGGCAGTTCCCCTGCACATGGTCTCTCTTGCCTGCTGCCATGTAAGATGTGTCTTGCTTCCCCTTTACTTTCTGCCATGATTGAGAGGCCTCCCTAGTCATGTGGAACTGTGGGTCAAGTAAACCTTTTTATAAATTACCCAGTCCTGGGTATGTCTTTTTTTTTTTTTTGAGACAGAGTCTTGCACTGTCACCCAGGCTGGAATGCAGTGACAAGATCTTGGCTCACTGCAACCTCCACCTTCCAGGTTCAAGCAATTCTCCTGCCTCAGCCTCCCAAGTAGCTGGGATTACAGGTGCCTGCCACCATGCCTGGCTAATTTTTTGTATTTTTAGTAGATACGGGGTTTCACTGTGTTGGCCAGGCTGGTCTCAAACGCCTGAACTCATGATCCACCCACCTCGGCCTCTCAAAGTGCTGGGATTACAGGTGTGAGCCACCGCACCTGGCCCTGGGTATATCTTTATTAGCAGCATGAGAACAAACTAATACAGTAGGGCCAGTACACAGCTCTGCCATCAGACCCAGCTCTCTTGGTGTCTCCGCAGGAACCATTCTTGAATGGAAGTAACTCAGGCAGACATGAAATTTCTCCGCCCCACCTCCCCCTTCCTGCAAATCCCTTGAGAAGGAACAGCCAGACTCACCCAGAGAGGCCAGACAGCAAAAATCTGTCACGCTTCCCGGCAGCCCTGTTTCACAGCATAGATAAACTGAGGCCCCCCAAGGTCAAATCAGTCCCTTGAGGCCTGTGACCACACGTGTCTGGACCCACATGTTCCTGGGGTCTGGAACTGACACTGGAATATTTGTGGGAAAAAGGGACACTGTTGCTCAGCTTTCATCTGGGGCACAAACATGGACGCAACCTACACAGTCATTTTGTAAAATTCGTAAGCTCAAAACAAAGTGAAGGAAACATGGCTCTGCGTCCGGGTACAGGAGGCCTGTGGCGGTGAACCTCACTCATGTGAAACTGCCAGACCCCATGGGGAGGTGGAGTGGGAAAAGGAATTTGATGAGTCGGGCGGGGCCCAGCGGAGACACTGGAAGAAGGGACAGCTCAGGCCACAGGGCTGCTTCTAGCGGACAGCACCCAGCAACTCACAGACACCGCATCAAAGCCTTGAAAAATGACCATCGCCAGCCTCCCGTCCATAGACAGGATGACACTGTCAGCTCTTCTGTGGGGCTCGCCGGCCCCCTGCCCATCACTGTCAGACACAGCACCTTGTTTCCCTGTACCTGAAAGCAGATAAATTAGATACATCTATTGATGGGTGGACAGCAGCTCAGTGTGTGTCTGTAAACCTGTGGTGTCTGTAAACCACTGTGTCTGGGGCAACAGGGACTGGGACCTGGGTCCAGGAAGAGGCTGCTCCGTAGGGCAGAGGAAACCCCTGTTGTCAGCGAGGGGAACCCGGAGCTGGGATCTGAGGGAGGCTGTTTGCCAGTTGGTTGCAGGGAAAGTGGGGTGCAGGCTTCAGAGCATTTGGGGACTCTGCGAAAGGCAGGTCCAACGTCCAGTGGTACCCAAGGCTTTGTGGGGTATTAAAATGGAAGAACGGGGTTTTCCAACAGGCCAGCACCAGACAAGGCTTTCCAGGCCTTTTATTCTCTGCCATGCCTCTAGGGAAGAGCAGCTTTTGGCCAGTGTTCCCAGCTCAGAGGTGACTGAGCCCCTGGCCCCGAGGTCTCTGTTTCAGCCCCCTTGCTCTGGTGACCTGGAAGTTGGGGGTTGGTGTCGAGGGACTTGCCTGGGTGACCTGAAAGTCCCACCACTGCCCTAAGCCTCATGTCTTCCTCTGCAAGTGGGCTCCTGAGCCCAAGACCTGTGAGTCTTGAGCCCTCCATGCCCAGGGCTGTGCCCCCAAGCACAGGCTGGTGGGAGTGAACTTAATTTCAGCTTTGGAACCTAAGTGGCTGAAGTACCCCCAGCAAAATATCTGGGAAGCCTGGAATTTCAGTGGATGTTCCTGAATGTGCCATTTTCCCAAGATACTGACTCCTTTGGGAAGGAAGCCGGGGGCTCCCTAGATGGCCCTTGGGGTGTGGGGCTGCCAGTGGGGAAAATCTCCCAAGCCTCCCCTGCTTGGCCCGGGCAGCTCTTGCTGCTGTTCCACATATTGGGGCTCCCAGCGTGAGTCCACCTGAAGAATGGCATCTGCTGATTTCTCAGGTTTGAGGGCTCAGAGTCAAAATGAAGCAGCATAGGCTTTGGAATCGGGCAGATCCTGCTCTACCACCACAAGGCACCTGGGAGACCTGTAGATTCTCTGAGACCACGTTCCTCATCTATAAAATGGAGATGCAAGGCCGTCTCTGAGGGGTGCAGGGGTTAAGCCAGTGTGTGGACAGCACATAGCAGGCAACCACTTGCGCCAGCCTCTGGGCACATGGATGCTAGCTTATCATGGAGATCAGAGGGACCAGCAGGGACCAAGGTGAGGCGAAAGCGGCGTCTTAGCTCAGTCCCCAGGAGCAGCAGCGGAAAGGCCTGGGTGGCTCATTTGAGAGGTGGTCCTGGGGAGCTAAAGTGCAGCGGGTGGGAGGAGTAAGGCAGGAATGGAGGGAGAGGAGCACACCAAGGGACAGGACTTCAAGGTCAGATGGAACTGATTTCAAATCCCATCCCTGCCACTTGCCAGTGGTGTACACACTTGCACACGTTCCCTGGAAAACCCAGATCCCCTGGGGTGGGAGGGATGTGTTGGCAGGAGGGGACAGCCCAGGGAGTTGAAGGAAGATTCTCTGGGTGGAGACGCTGACCCCCAGGGCTGGGACAGGTCTCAGGAATGTGTTCAGGAGCGAGCCCACATCAAGTGTGCAGGGTGAGGTCTCCAAGCTCACAGCTGACAGCTGTGACCAGAGAGAATCCTTTGGTGGGGGAATTGGAGACTCTTTTAGAAGGCAGAGGGGAGGGAGAGGGGAGTGGCAGGGAGGCCTCAGGTGAGCAAATATAGCTGGAGAATTAGAAATGATGGGTTTGGAGGGAGAGAATGAGGGACGGGAATAGACCCAGGTGAGACAGAGCCAGTGAGAGAGGAGGCGCGGAGGAGGCCCACGTAGGCTGCCATGCAACTAGAGGAAGGAGAAGGCAAGGGGAATTTTCCACTTTCTTCCCCCAAAACCTCCTCACCAGACAGACTTCTCCACTGCTAAGAAGACACGTTTCGTTTCATATTTTTTTCTTTCGTCAGTGAATTGTCAAAATCACAGAGGCTTGCCATGAAAGAGAAGTCAGATTCCTCAATCCCTTTTAATTTTTTTTGTGTAATAAAATTTCCTGGCTATGTCTCTCTGTCACATCCTTAAGAAAAAGTTTATTTTATTGGGGGCAAAAGCATCAGCTTTGATGAATCTTCAACAGACGTCATCATCATGATTCGCCATCATGAGAATAAGGAAATGTCTTTTGGGGGTTCTGTGGGCAAATCTCCTTCCCTGCGGTTCTGCGGCTTTTCTCTCTCCTAAAGGGAAAGCAGTTTTGTTTGGGGTTTTTTGGTAGGGGTGGAGATAATTTTCTATTTATATAGATGATGTACAATTCATCCAGTTCATCCATGAACCAGGAGGTGGAGAGAAGAACGGACCCTGTTACATTTCATATTGAACCGGAAATCTCCGCTGACACAGGAGTGAGCTTCAGCACACAGCTGGGTGGATTCCACAGGGTGAGGTTGGGTACATGACCCAGCCCCGAAATCAAGAAGCAAGACACTGCCAGCTCCACAGAGCCCCCTCGGGGCCCCCAGGAATGGGCTCCCATTGCTTTCAACCCCTTTAGTTCTGCTTTTCTTTTCTCCTCACCAGAATCCAACAGAGCAAATGAGCTCAGGCACGAAGGGCTCAGCCCTTCCTGAGTGTCACCTCTTCCCACGGGCCCCAGATGAGCAAACTGAGGCTCAGCGGTTAGCCACTAGCTCGAGGTCTCATGGCTATCATGAGGAGGAGCCAAGGTCTAGCCCCTCAGGTAGAGTCCAGAGCTCATACCCTTCCTCACTGACCGGCCACCTCCTCCGATCCGTGTTGGCCCCAAAGGGGGCATGACATGTCCCACCACAGGCAGCCCCAAGCCCTGGATAAGAGCTTGACCCGATGGTTGCCAGCTGGTGCCTCACCACACGGTAGGCGCACAGGACGTGTTTTTGAACGAAGGACACACTGGCTGCCCGGATGGAACACCGCATGCGTGCACACAGGATGAAAGCTCTGGGAAACCAAACAGAGAGGGCTTTTCCATAGATAAAAACCACCACTGAGAAGATGACTTGTTTGGTTTCCCCACCAAACAGCCCTTGAGAAAGAGCACTGGGGGATGAAGTTAATTAGGGATGTGATTCTGGGGAGCAGGAGTGAGGGGGGTGAGGAAGGTGAGAGGGGAAGGGGGCAGGACAAGAAAGATGCAGTTATGAGTATGTTCCCTGTGCAGAATGACCCCAGAATTGTGCCACTGAGGCCTGGAAAGTGGGGTCTTCACCCCGATTCCTGCTGCTTGTGGCTGGGAACTGCCATGAACACTAAGTCCCCGGTACTTCCAGGTTGCCCCTGCTAAGCAGGTTCCTGAACTAAGTATGCTCCTGGGGCTCAGGAAAAAGCCATCTGGCAGCCAAATAGAGAAGGGAGGATGGCCAAGGTGGGCAGAGGTGGGCAGGCCAAGGTGCATGCCAACTTAGGGACTTAGGGGATCTGAGTGGGCCAACAGCTTCTGCTACACAGGGCAAGAGAAGATAGCAAAAGAGGTTAACACTTTGGAGGCTTGTGATTGGCCAGACTCCACTCTAAGTGTTGTTGCCCATGTTAATTCATTTAATCTGCATAACAATCCTGCTAGTAAGCACTATCCTTATCTCTACAAGTGAAGAAACTGAGGCCCAGAGAGGTTATTTTCTCACCCAAAGTTGCACAGCGAGCAGGTAGCAGATGGAGATGAGCTCAGGCAGACCGGATTCTGAGCCTGTGCTTATAACCAGGGCTGGAACCAGGGCGAGGTGAGAAGGCACAAAGATGCAAATTTTAGGGGGGCATCATTATCAGGGTCCTGCTTCACCCTAGTTTTGGCCCTACTCATGACTGCACAAACTACCACCTGGGATAAGCCTTCCCCACAGGTGCTGCTTGAGATGGCCGCGCATTACCTGCCAATCCGAGCTGAGAGGATGCGCTGTCCCGGCTCTAACGCTGACAGAGGGCCACATGCCTCCACATGCAGAAGGCTCTTGGAGTAATGGAGGCAATTACGTGGCTAGCTTACCTAGGAGATCATTTCTGCCTTTGATCTGAGTTTTTCAAGAGCCTGCAAGTAACTGCCAATAAAATACATTACAACTTGACTTACAAATGTATTCAGGGAGGCTTCCAGTTACTGCTCCAAAATATAAAGACCTTAGAAGTGGTCGTTCTCATCCTCACAACAAGAAAAAAGCCGAACAAACTGAAAATCAACAATTCTTAGATCCATTAGAGAATTGTGATCATGGTGTAGACCATTACTCCAAAATCTGGGAGACAGACAGGTGGCTAAAATCACAGCACACAGGGATCAGAAGCTGCTGGGGCCCATGGCAGGTAGGAACGCCAACGGTAACTGATTAGTCACTGCACAGCTGGAGGCTGTGTGGACTTAGCTGGAGATGAAAAACTCCTCGGTGGCCAGTCTCACAAGGGGCCCCCACATGTTCATGAGTTTTCTCTCCAGGAGCCCCACCAAGTTCTCAGAAAAATCCCCTCATGCTTTCAGCAGGGGGGAAGGAAAAGCGAGCATTTTGAAATATATCCAGAACATTCTGTTTTCCTCAACAAAGATTTGTACTCAAGGGAAAATCTTTTACTGCAGCCTTATCTGCCCTAGAAGATGGGCAATTAGACAGCTGGATCCCCCTCTAGCCTTCTTGTCTCACTTAAGGGGAGAGGGAAAAAAAAGGCTAAGAAACTCTCTGGAGGTCACAGCCTAGGAATTCCAGCCTCCTCTTTTTAAAAAACCCAGAGATGTAATTAGAAGATTATAGAACACTTCCTCCCCCGGGTTACCATTACATCCTTATCATTACATCCTCACCATTACATCCTTACCATTACATCACTCCACTATAACAATCGGTCACAACCAAGAGAGCTGCAAGACACAGACTTCATTCCAAAGGAGTTTCAAGGGAAACTCAAAGACAAGAGGGGAGAAAAAGGGACACTAGAGGGAGGTGAAGCCTCTGACACCTACATTTACAACAAACATTAAATATATCCCAACTCTGAGCCAGATTTGTGAAATCTTCACACCAAAGCCTCAGCTCCTATTATCCAATACGTATTGTCCAACTCCCAGTAAAACATTACAAGGCATACTAAAGGTAAAATAAATGAAACAAAACAAAAAAAAACTCAGAACCACACTCAAATATGGCAGAGATTGTTGACAGAATTCATTTCCTTGGGGCTAGATAACTAAGACTCTCAGATTGGGAGTTTATAATAACTATGATTAATATGCTAAGGCCTGTAATGGAAAAAGTGGGCAACCTGCAAGGACAGGTAGATAATGTAAATGGAGAGATGGAAACTCTAAGAAAGAGTCAAGGAGCAATGTTAGAGATTAAAAACACTGTAACAGGAAGTAAGACAGTCTTTGATGACCATCAGTAGACTGGATATAGTTGAGGAAAAAATCAGTAGGCTTGAATATATGTCAGTAGAAACTTTCTAAACTGAAAAGCAAGAAGAATGAAAACAGCAACACACAACAGAATATTTAAGAACCATGGGCCAATTAAAAAAGGTATAACTATGTGTAATGGGAATTCCAGAAGGAGAAGAAGCAAAAGAGAATTCCAGAAGGAGAAGAAGCAAAAGAGAATTCCAGAAGGAGAAGAAGCAAAAGAGAATTCCAGAAGGAGAAGAAGCAAAAGAGAATTCCAGAAGGAGAAGCAGCAAAAGAAGGAGAGAAGCAAAAGAAATATTTGAAGTAATAAAACCTGAGATTTTCCCCGAATTGATAACAGACAACAGGAAACCCAGAGAACAAAGCAGGATACGTGCCCAAAAAAACCACACCTAAGCATATTTTTTTGCCAAAAAATTCATACCTAAGCATATTTTTGCCAAAAAAAATTCATACCTAAGCTTTTTTTGTGACATATTCAAAGGAAAGGAAAAGAAAAGAAGGAAAAAGGAAAGGAAAGGAGAAGAGAGGAAAGGAGAAGAGAGGAGAGGAGAGGAGAAGAGAGGAGAGGAGAGCAGAGGAGAGGAGAGGAGAAGAGAGGAGAGGAGAGCAGAGGAGAGGAGAGGAGATGAGAGGAGAGGAGAGGAGAGGAGGGGAGGGGAGGGAAAAGAAAAGTAAAGGAGAGGGAAACGAAGAAAGAAAGACCATTTTGAAAAAATCCAGAAGTGAGATATCAGGGGGACAACAAATCTTACCTACAGAGGAACAAGGATCTACAGAAATCATTCAAGCAAGAAGGGACTTGAATGAAATATTTAAATGTCAAAAGAAAGGGTGGGGGGAACCAATCTAGAATTCTATATTCAATAAAATTATTCTTCAGAGGTGAAGGAAAAAATAGGACTTTCTCAAACAAACAAAAACTGAGGGAATTTGCCACCAGTAGATCTGCCTTACAAGAAATAGATTTAAAAGTTCTTCAAACAAAAGGAAATCTCAAATCTGCAAAAAGAAAGGAAGAACATTTGATAATGTATAAATGAGGGCAAAATAAAATCTTTTATTTTTCTTATAATTGATCTAATAGAAAATTGTTCAAAATAATAATAGTAAAAATGCATTAGGTTATTATAGTTTATGGATAAATGAATGAAAGCAATGTTACAAAGGACAGATGGAGAATTGGATTGAGAATGCTCAGGTGCTTTTACTACTCATCATATAGTACAGTGTTGGTTGATAGAGGACTTAGATTAGTTGTAAATGTATATTGCAAACACATAATAATTCTTAATGTATATAGACCTAACAACAGAGAATCAAAATGCATGAGGTAGAAACTGATAGAAATGCAAGGAGAAACAGATAAATCTACTATAACAGTTGGAGACTTCAACATCCCCTTATCAGAAATGGACAGATCTAGCAGGCAGAAAAGCAGTAAGGACACAGTTGAATTAAACAGGACCATCAATCAACTGGATATTACAGATATCCATAAACTACTTTATCCATCAACAGTAGACTACACATTCCTCTTAAACTCACGTGGAACATTCACTGAGACAGACCACATTCTGTGCCATAAAATACACCTTAACAAATTTAAAAGAATAGAAATCATACAAAGTATACTCTTGAACTACAATAGAATTAAACTAGAAATCAGTTACAGAAATACAGCTTAAAAATCCTCAAATATTTTGAGATTAAACAGTATGTTTCCAAATATCACATGGGTCAAAAAAAATATCACAAGAGAAGTTTTAAAATATTTTAAATTAAACAAAAATAAAATGCATCTTATCAAAATATGTGGGATTCTGTAAAAGCAAAATGGTAGATTCACAGCATAAAATGCTTATATGAAAAAAGAAGAAAGATCTAAAATGAATTATCAAAACTTCCAGCTTAAAAAATTTGAGGAAGAAGCACATATAAACCTAAAGCAAGCAGAAGAAAAGAAACAATAAAAATTAGCCATGAAATTAAAAATAGGAAATTATTAGGAACATCGCTGATTATTTGTAAAGATAAATAAAAATGTCAACCCTTTATCCAAGCTAGCCGAGAAAAAATGAGAGAAGACACAAATTAGTGGTATCAAAAATGACCAAGGAGACATCACTATAGATCCCATGGTGGGAAGTACAGGGTTACTGCCAACCCCACCCAGATTGAAGAACTTAAAACTGATGGACAGCCACTAACCACTTACTTTAAAGTTGGCCAAGACGCTTGCTCTGAACAGCGGACCCCAAAGTTCAGGCTATGCTCAAGTGGGAGGCTCCCAGCTAGGCAGCTGAGACTTGGGGATTCTACCTGCTCTTGTTGTCTGGGGTGTCTGACAGTCTGAGAAGTGAGCACAGGACATTTACCTATATTGATTGCCTACTATCTGCTTGTTTTAACTCTTTGTATTACAAGTGAATGTAAGGTTCCAGGTTCAAGCAGATCTGGCAATGAATGTCACATCTATTTATTACTAATGTGGCTGCATCATCTTGAGTGGCTCACCCATGTTCTCCGACCCTCAGTTTCTTCTGCTGAAAAATGGGAAAGCAAATTCAGCCCTGGAGACTTTTTCCCATGCTTTCTCTGGGGCAGTGTAGATCTAGAAAAGTTGCAAGAAAGGCAACTAGATGACCAAAAAGGGGAAATTTATTAGTGGATATTTCAAAAATGTTACTATTATTATATTTATTTTTAAATAATTTTAATAACAATAATAATTCTTATATTTAATGGGTGCTTGTAATGAAATAAGTGCTTCATGGGTTTTTGTTTTTGTTGTTTGAGACAGTCTCACTCTGTCACCTGGGCTGGAGTGCAATGGTGCTATCTCGGCTCACTACAACCTCTGCCTCCTAAGTTCAAGAGATTCTCCTGCCTCAGCCTCTGAGTAGCTGGGATTACAGGTGCTCACCACTACGCCCAGCTAATTTTTGTATTTTTAGTAGAGACAGGGTTTCACCATGTTGGCCAGGCTGGTCTCAAACTCCTGACCTCGTGATTTGTCCGCCTCCGCCTGTGTAGTTTTTCCTAATCAACTCTGGGAGGGACGAACTACAATGATCCCATTTCACAAATGGGAAAACTGAGGCTCTGCCAAGGGGACATAGCCCACAGGGCCAGAGCCTAGCTGGAGAGGGACTGAAGGTGGTGGAGGATAAGCAGCTCAGAGAGAAAGCAGATGAGCAGCTCAAGGAACTCTGGTCTGGACACCAGGCCTTCAGGCAACTCACATAGTCCATGGCCCCAAGGGTCAGAAAAGAAGATAATCACTGGGGAAAATTAGTGGGACAAAGGGAGTTGATGCGATGGGCTGGCCATTTTCCCCGTGGTTGAGGATCATTCCTTAGGGTGGACAAGACCATTCATATTTAATAAAAACTGTATCTAAGTCCTGAGAGCCCTGGGACTGTGTCACTAATTAATGTGTTCTCTGATTTGTGGGGCCACTGCTGGTGAGCCAAACCCATCATACCCCACCACCATGGAACCCAGGGCATTGCCCTAAGATGACAACACACTTAAGGAACATCAAGTTCAAGTACATAGCAGAGTCAAAGGCCATGAAAGATAAAGTGGTCAGGACTGAGCATAATAGCCAGTGGGAGGACTTAGATACCATTTAGGCTAACTCTCTTACTTCTTCCTGTTCATGAAGGGGACATCTGCTTCCCATCTTTTTTCTCTTTGCAGAGGGAAAACATAATGATTGTTAATATTTGCTAAGCACCTACTACATGCTGAATGGTACTCATCATATGTGGTACCAGCCACAGCCCCATAACACAGATGCTATTGATATCCTGCTTCACGGATGAGGAACAAAGACCTTAGAGTAAGTCACTTGGGTCTGGTCATATGGCATGTAAGGGGTCCCTACCTTTACTCCCTGCACCAGTGGCTCTCAAGAGTATGATCTGGGGAAACCTACATGTGCCCAAGATCCTTCTGGGGAGTCTACAAGATCAAAATCATGCACAGGTTAAAGATCTATATGGAAAGCAAAATACACCATAGACTTTAATGTAACAAAGTACAGACAAATTCATTGACATGTTTCAGATTCCACCTTGCAAGTAATTGTTAAGAAACTACCACTTGTTGAGTTTTGGTGTATTATCAAAGAACACTGCCCATAATTATCTGCAAAGATGATGAAAATACTTCTTCCAACTATAGTCAACTCTTGAACAACATGGATTTGAACTGCACAGGTCCGCTTATAAGTGCATGTTTTTCAATAAATACAGTCAGCCGTCCTTATCAGCGAGTCCCACACCTGCAACCAAATGCAGATGGAAAACACAGTATCCAAGGATGTGAAACCTGCATATATGGAGGGCCAACTTTTCATATCCACAGGTTCCCCCAGGCTGTGACTTGAGTATGTGCACATTTTGGTAGACGCAGTGGTGCGGAAACCAATCCCCCACAGATACAAGGGACAATAGTACATATTTGCATGAAGCTGTATTTTCTTCACATACTTCAACCAGAATGACCTGTCACAACAGGCTGACTATAGAGCAGAGAATCTGCTATCTTCTATTAAGCCAGACATTAAAGAGATTTGCAAAAATTAAAAAAAAATTGTTTTAGAAAATTTATTTTTCATAAAAGTATTATGTTAACATGTAACAGGTTTATTATAATTATTTTAAATAAATTAACATTTTTTAAAATTTCTCAATTTCTGTGTCAAATATAACCTTACGTGATGAAAGCTTTTTGAGGTCTGCCATAATTTTTAGGAGTGTAATGGAGCCTTGGGAGCAAAAAGTTTGAGACCTGCTTTCCTATTTTCCTAACAGGCTGTGGTTTCATTCAATCATGATGCAGATGTTTGCTGAGCATCAGTCCTGTGCCCATAGGCACAGGGCAGGCAGCAGAAATAAAACAAGCGACCATAAGCCCTGCCATACAGAAGCACAGGGTATGTTGGGAGGAGACGTTAAGGTGACTCCTCCACGGTGCAGACGGAGGTGCTGGAAGGGGATGCTCAGGTCAGCCAGGGTGGCTCTCCAGAAGCAGATACTGTGAGAATGTTTGGGGTGCAAGGTGTGTATGAGGGACCAGTTCCTGAGAAAAGATGCAAGAGAAGCCGGGCTGCGTAGAGGGAGAAGTCCAGCTGTGCTGCAGCCCAGCAAAGTCTTGGCTAAGCTGGTGGGTAGCTCTGGGGTGAGTATAGCCCATCAGAATATAGCATATCAGACTGTGCACAACATATGAAATGGGCAAGCCTTTATTCTCCACCTCATTTAGTCACCCTACATGGCTGCTCCAGGAAAGGAGCACACCATGGTCCAGGAAACCCTCTGCAGCCAGGGCAGACCCTGCAGAAGCTGACAGCAGTGGACAGCAAATCCTTCCCCAAAGCAGGTCTGGACAATACATCATTGGGCCAGCACAAGAACCATGGGAACCCCTTCAGGCTCAGAATGTCCTCATTTCCCATTGTCCCTGGCTCCTTTAGACTTCATGGCTTTGCTATATCTTTCCACTCAGCAGACATCCATTGCAGACCTACTATGTACCAGGCACTGCTGAGGTGCTGCTGAGAGGGGTTTGGAAAGCAGAGGCCATGTATCCCTCATGGCCACTTCTACTGGGTCTGGTGAGGCTCATTTTGATTTGTCCCTTTAGGGGTTGAGGGTCTATGGAGTCTAATCTGAGGTGCCCAGGCACCCCATATTGGCTGGCCATTGCATTAGAAGGGGGCAGACTGAATAAATGCCCCACGCAACACTAGGGGCCTGCAGTCAGGTTGAACAGGAACATTTTCTCAATTGCTTCCCTTAGATTTCCTGGACTTCTCCTTCTCTGGATTGGAAATGACCCTTGAGAGTTGAGTTTCTCAGGTGAAACTAATCTTAGGTGTTTGAAGTCAGGGTAGTAGTTACCCTTGGGTGGAGGGTGCAGGAGTGACTGGAAAGAGAGGAAGGAGGGGCTCTGGTTTGCTGGTTATGCAAATATGTTCAGTTTGTAAAAATTCATGGAGCTATACACTTATGATTGATGCACTTCTCTGTATGTACATTATAAACCTATTTTTAAAAGCCCATAGATTTATAACATACATACCTACAAAAGTTTATAGATTTATAACATATATACATACAATCTCTCTGTTGGAGAAATTAGGAAAGAAAAAGAAATAAAAGCATCACATTGGGAAGAAAGAAGTAAAACTATCTCTATTCACAGATTGTATGATCGCATGCATAGAAAATCACAAGGAATACACACACACCAAAAAACCTATTCAAGCTAATAATTAGTTCAGCAAAGTTGCAGGATACATAATAAATATACAAAAAGCAATTGTATTTCTATACACTAGCAATGAAAATACAAAAATAAAATTAAGAAAGCCAACGTACTAAAAGTGGCATTGAAAAGAATAAACATAACAAAAGAAGGGTCAGACTTGTACACTGAAAATTACAAAAAAAAACTATTGAAAGAAATGAAAGAAGATATAAATGAATGGAAAGACAACCCATGTTCATGAGTTGAAGCATTAATATTATTAAGATGGCAATACTCCTCAAATTGATCTACAGATTCAATGCAATTACTATCAAAATCCCAGCTTCCCGTTTTGCAGAAATTGATAAGGTGATCCTAACATTCACGTGGAAATGCAAGGAACCTAGAATGGATGAAATAATTTTGAAAAAGGAAAATATTGGAGGACTCATACTTCCCAATTGCAAAATTTAGTACAAAGCTAAAGTAATCAAGAAATTGTGAATAAAGATAGACATATAGATGTACATATATTTGAGATTCCAGAAGTAAGCCCTTACAATTGTAATCAATTTATTTTTGGTGGGGCAAAAATAGTCTTTTTAACAAATTGTGCTGGGATGACTGGACACCCACATGGAAAAAAAGAAGCTGGACCCTTATCTACAAAAAATAACTCAAAATGGACCATAAACCTAAACATAAGCACTAAAACTACAAAACTCTTAGAATAAAATAAATCTTAGTGTCCTTGAAATAGGCAGTACTTTCCTAGATACAATGCTAAAAGCACAAATGATAAGACAAAGAATCAGTAAATTGGGTTTAATCATAATTTAAAATGTTTGTGCTTCAAAGGACACCATCAAAAAGGTGAAAGAAACACCACAGAAGGAGAGAAAATATTTGCAAATCAAATGTCTGTTAAGAGATTTGTACCCAAAATATGCAAAGAACTTACAACTCAACAACTAAAAGGCAAATATCTGATTTCGAAAATGGACAAAAGATTTGAGTGGACATTTCTCCAAAACATATATCTAAATGCCTAATAAGCACATGAAAAGATGCCCAATATCATTATTTATAATATTAGGCATATACAAGTCAAGTCCACAATGAAATACTACTTAACACCCACCAGGATAGCTAGAATCAAAGAGTCAAATAATAACAAATGTTGGTGAGGGTGACAGAACTTGCAGCCCTTATGTGTTGTTAACGGGAATGTAAAGGTGTATATCCACTTTGGAAAACAGCCCGGCAGTCCTCAAAAGGTGAAGCACAGAGTTACCATGTGACTCAATAATTCCACTCCCAGGTATCTACCCAAGAGAAATGGAAACCTATGTTCACACAAAAACCAGTTTATGAATATTCCTAACAGCATTACTCATAATAACCAAACAGTGGAAACAGCATAAATGTCTGCCACCTGATGGATGGATAGACAAAATGTAGTATATCCATGCAAGAGAATATTATTCAGCAACAAAAAGGAATGAAGTACTGATACATAGTACAATATGAATGAACCTTGAGATCATTATGCTAAATGAAAGAAGTCAGACACAAGAGACCACCTATTATGTAATCTCATTTATATGAAATGTTCAGAATAGGCAAATCCAGACAGACGGAAAGGAGATCAATGGTTGACTAGAAATTGGGGAAGGGAGAGGAATGGGGAGTGACTGCTAATGTGAACAGGACTTTTGGGGGTGACGAGAATGTTCCAAAACTAGATAGTGGTGATAGTGGCACAACTCTGAATGATACACATTAACAGAGAAAATTTTGTAAAATGAGAATTATATCTCAATATACTTATTACTTAAAAGTTTTCTGAAGAGCTGCATTCTGTTAAAGGACTGTTCTCAGGTGTGTGTCCACCCCTCACCCACACTGGTGAGCCTCGGCATCTCCTTATATGATAAGAGCTGACTGCCTTTGGTACAGATGGCTGAACCAAGGATGGACACTGGGTTCAAACTGGGACAACTGGTGTCTCTTCTGTGAGCATTTGCAATTAGGACTGAGAGGGGATAATCAATCCCTGTGTTGTATAAACAGAAGAGATAGAAATCTGTGAGCTGCAGGGTAGCCAAATCTGACTCTGTGCTTTTCAAGTAAGTGGAAATAAGTCTGGAGAGAATGAATAGATGGGTGGGTGGATAGACAGATGGATAGACAGACAGATAGGTGATAGATAGATAGATAGATAGACAGATAGATAGGAAATATAGATGATAGATGGATAGATGGATGGATGAATAGATGGATGGAATAATATGGATAGATAGATACACAGATAGGTAGATGATAGATAGATAGATTCGATAGATGATAGATGGATAGATGGATGGAATGATGGATGGATGGATAGATAGATAAATAGATAGATACATAGATGAAAGGATGAAGATTTAAGGCCAACTTACGGAGAGAAGATGAGATAAGGTCAGTGAGCCCTCAGAACAAAGAAAGATGGAGGTACTGTCTTGTCCCAGGCTGGTTTACATATTTACTGGTCACAGACATTTGTAAGGAACAGCTCAACTTCCAACCCTATGGTTTTTGTTACCTTATTTTTAAACTCACCTTGTCTCACTTCAATGGCGTAGGTGATTTCCTGTTACTTACAACCTAAACTTCTTTGACTAAGTCAGCTATGTTTGCAAACCACAAGCTAAACCTACATGGCATGCAATAAAAATGTGCATGCTGGTGAGGTGGGTGCCCTCCTCCGGAAGGGGTCACTCCCCACTCTGCCAGGCTCACCTTTTCTGCACCAAGGCCTCAAACTAGCTGTGACTGCTTTAGAGGTTTTCACAGAGTTCCACCCAGAAAACCACTTCTTCCTCTGAAATCCCAAAACTTGACTCACACCCTCAAAGCTGAGCAAAGCCTTCTTGGGTTGCTTTTTTTTAAATGTCAGTATCCAGGGAAAGCTATCTGAAGGTGGCATGGAGTTTTGCCACACATTGGATCCCTTCACAGAGGACAAGCTTCTAAAGAAAGACCTTTAGCCCCTTTGCTTACTGCTGTGTCCCTAGGTCCTTGAGTGAAAACTGGTATGCAGTAGGTGCTCAATAAATGTGTGCAGAGGACATGGGGCCTGGCACAGGCTCTACCTCCATATGGAGTTCTCTGATGAGCAGTGATAATAATAATAATTATTATCACAGCACATACTATGGGTCAGGAACTTTCTAAGATTTTTGCATCTTCTCTTTTATAACCCAAATAAATTCTGGAGCTCCAAACAGGCCAGCTTCTACATGGAGTTGAATTCAAAGAACTGCATACCCAGTAATAAGTAATTGAATTGAAATCTCCATCTTTATTTGAATCTCTTCAAGAACTTTGCAAGTATCTACAGTCATGTGCCACATAACATTTTAGTCGATGGCAGATTGCATATATGACAGTGGTTCCCTAAGATTATACTGTATTTTTACCATATCTTTTCTATGTTTAGAACCACAAATACTCAAAATTATGTTACCATTGCCTATAGTATTCCACACAGTCACATGCTGTACAGGTTTGTAGTCTATGAGCAATAGGTTATATCACATAGCCTAGGTATGTAGAAGGCTGTGC
Organism: Homo sapiens; assembly: GCF_000001405.40. Taxonomy (NCBI): domain Eukaryota; kingdom Metazoa; phylum Chordata; class Mammalia; order Primates; family Hominidae; genus Homo; species Homo sapiens. The sequence goes on along the minus strand of NC_000020.11, from coordinate 57,856,011 downwards.
CATCTAGGTTTGTATAAATACACTCCATGATGTTCCCACAATGACTGCATTGCCTAACAATACACTTCTTAGAATGTATCCCCACCGTTAAGTGACACATGATTGTATTTCATAACCCACAGCAACATCACAACACCCTAGAATCCCCTTTCTCTCCTCTGCGGCTTCAGAGCCTGCTGCTCATGAACCCCCGGAAATCTCTATTCCGCTCAGTTTTCTGTCTCTTTCCTCTTCCATCTCATTTATCCCATAAATTTAGATAGCTTCTCTCAGCGCTTTAGTTTCCTTTTGTGTGGCTCACTACCTTGGCTTTCCATAAAAGTTACAAATGTGAATATAAAGGACATTTCCTCAGAAGGTGTGGAGGGATGCCAACCCTGAGGAGCAAAGGGAAAATCCTCTCCAGTGGGTGAGAAGGAAGGCTTGGGATGCCCCCGAGTGAAAAGGCCCTGTCCTCAGTACACAGTGAATGTCCTTAGCAACCGCATTAGGTGGGTGTTGCTATTATATCCCCATTTCACAGATGAGGAAATCAAGGCTCACAGAGGCTAAGCAACTTGTCCCAAATAACACTGCTAGAAACAGAATTCAAATCCAGGTCTCTCTGATTCCAGAGTTCACACTGTTAATTATGACTATAAGTTGCTTCTCACAGTATCTGTTTATTTTATTCAAAAAACATTTATTGAGTCTCTACCACAAACAAGGAATTCTTCTAGCTGCAACAGCAGGACAGACAGGTCAAGAAGCTGGGCAAACCCCCAGCAGAATAAGTGTGAGTAAAAGCAAAACTAGTTGTATGATGATCAAAATTTTTAAAAGCAAAAATACAAAATCTTAAAGGCAGCCAGAACAAAAAAATATATACATTGCTTTCGGGAGAATGAAGTAAGTATAATGGCTGGCTACTCATCAGGAATGATGGAAGCCAAGATATTTAAGGGAATAAAATATTTATAGAAAGTTGAAGAAAAGAGAAATTGCCAACTTAAAGTGCTTTGCCCCGTGAAAATACCCTTCAAAACTGAAGGTGAAATAATGACATTTTCTGATAAATAAAAGCTAAGAGAATTAATCAGCAGCACACGTGGGCTATGAAAAATACTAAGGAAGTTCTTCAGGATTAATAGAAGTGATGCAAGATGGAATCCTGGATCTGGCAGAAAAAAATCAAATTAAAAATCAGAAAGGATAAAATATATAGATAAATATGGGACTGTCTTTTTAAATTTTCTCTAAAAAACTATTGACTATTGAAAACAAATAAGATAACAAGGTATTGCTACATTTATAACATATGTACAAGGAAAATGTATGATAAAAATAGCACAAAAAACTAAGTGGTTAATGAAATTATACTGAAATTATCCACGTCCGGTGCAATCCCCTCCCCCTGAGTGTGGGTGAGACCTGGGAATAGGATGGGATGTTACTCCCAGGATTAGATCACACTATACGTCAACCAGAAAGAGATTTTTATAGATGTGATTGAAGTTTCTAATCACTTTGACTTTGAGTTTAATCAAAAGAGAAATATTCCTGGGTGAGCTCAACCTCATCGGGCAAGTTTTTAAGAGAGACATTCTTGCTATCTTTGAACAAGTGAACAGTGATGTTTTTGACTGCCTATGCAAAGGAGTGGCCTGGGAGGTGGGGATGGGGAGAGTCTTAGTTATCTAGTCCCGAAGAAATGAATTCTGTCAACAATCATGCGAGCTTGGAAAGAAGACCCTAAGACTTGGATAAAACGACACCACCAGCTGACTCCTCACTTGCAGTCTTGTGAGACCCTGAGGACCTTGACACAGGACCCAGTGAGGCCCTGCTGGGACTTCTGACCCATAGAAACAAAATGGTGGGTAATAAATAGTTGTTGTTTAAAGCCATTACATTTGTGGTCATTTGTTATGTAACAATAGAAAACTAGTATGTGTTGTTTTTAGGTTCCAATTTTGTAGATGAAATTGCATAATATTTATTTAATGTGGACTGGGACAAGCTATGAATGCACACTGAAATTTAGAGAACCACAGAAAAGTGTTACAATAGAGGAGATTAAAAAAATACTAAGAAATACTCAATCCAAAAAAAGGCAGGGAAAGAGGAGCAAAGGAACAAAAATATTAGAGACAAATACAAAACAAATCACAACATGCTACACTAAAACCCACCCATATCAATAATGATATTAAATGTAAATGAGCCAAACACTTCATATAAAAGGCACCAATTATCAGACTAGATAAAAATAAACAGTACCTGACTACTTGCTGTTTACAAGCGTCACTTTGATAGTCACTCTTTAAGGACACAGATGAACTGAATGAAAGATGATGGGGAAAGATACATGATGCAAACACCAATCATAAAAGAAACTAGAGTATTACCTGAAATAAAGAGAGACTCCTCATAGTGACAAAAAGGTGAATGCATCGAGAAGATATAACAATGCTAAAGGTGAATACATCTAATAACAGAGGTTCAAGATATTGAAGCAAAATCTGACAGAATTAAAATGAGAAATAGACCAATCCACAATCACAGCTGAGCACTTAAAACACAGCCCTGTGAATAATTGATTTTTAGAAAGCAGTGATGGATAGAAAAATTAGTACGGCTATAGAAGATTTGAACAACATTATTAATCGACTTGGCCAATTGACGTTTTTGGAACATCCCACCCCATAACCACAGAATATATTCTTTTCAAGTGACATGAAACATCCACTACAATATATCATATGCTGAACCATAGAGTGAGTCTCAATATATTTCAAAGGACTGGAATCGTACAGACAACGTTCTCTGACTACAGTGGAATTTAACTAGAAATTAATTACAAAAATATAACTATTCCCAAATATTTTGAATATTAAGCCATACATTTCTAAATAACTGGATCATGGAAGAAATCACAAAGAATATTTTTAAATGTTTTGAAATAAATGTAATGAAAATAAAACACATCAAAATCTGTGGGACAAGCTAAAGCAAAAAACTTAGAGGGAGACTTAGAGATTTAAATTCATACATTCAGAAAGAGCAAAGGTATAAAATCAATACTCTAAACTTCTGTCTTAAGAAGCTATGAAAAGAGAGCAAATTAAACTCAATGCAAGTAGAAGAATGGAACTAATAAAGATAAGGGGAGAAAACAAAATAGAAAATAGATACACAATAAAGAAAGCAACAAAGTGAAAACTTGATTCTTTGAAAACATTAATCAAGTCAGCTGACTCCTAGGAAGACCTGTCAACAAAACTACAATCTTGGTGCCAACCAGACCTGGGTGTGAATCCCACCTGGGATACTTCCCAACTGGGGACCAATGGAATGTGACTTAGTCCACAATTTCCCAACCTGAAGAGTGGGGATACTTATATCTGTTTACAGAGACTCTGCAGATTTAGGAAGATCATGTATGGGAAGGGCTGGCACAGGCCCTGGGGTGTAGGAGCACCAAGAATGGTGGCATTAAAGTAAAGATTCTAAGGATGTAGAATGTAAAGTTTGCTGCAGAACCTCGACCTCAGTTTGTCATTATACACCCATTAGTGTGCTGCATTGATTAACATCTCTCTTCCCCATAAGACTGTAAGCTACACAAGGGCATAGGTCTGTATCAATAAGGTTAAGCTATGGGTTCTTTATTTGAAGGCTACCCCAAGTTCATTTCCATCTCTTTTCTTTTTTGCCATCTCCCGCCTTCCTTGCAGCTAGAGTCAGCCATGTAACCCAGTTTGTTGGCTTGGGCTTGTAGGACAGATGTGGCTGACTCAGAATTCTACCCTCCTTTCTTCTTCCAGTCTTCAATGCAGATGTGATGGATGAGCTATAGTGGCTATCTTGTGTCCGTATTGTAAAGAGCAAGAGAAGCAGAGAAATCATCCTTGACTCTGTTGAATTGCTGAATCAACTCAGCTGCTTACTTTTGAACTTCTCTCCATGTGGGAAAAATAACTCCTCATTGCCTGGGTCATTTTAGGTCAGGTATTATTCAGTCTACAGGGGAATGCCTTCCTAACCAATGTGGCACCATTCCAGGGTGTAGGAAGAAAAGCGTGCAAGGATGTTCATCGCAAGATTGTTTTAAATAACACATGCCCCCGCAAAGGGACTTGGTTGGATTATGATACACAATACCACAGAGGCTCTACATCTCTTAAACAGATTAAGCTACTGTTACAAAAAGAGACAAAAAACAGTACATTTTAAAAGAACAGAGAAAAAATTATTATATATATATTATATATATGTATATATATATGTATATATAACTAAAACAAAAAGTGTATACATGTATGCACTCATATATTTGTGGAGAATTGGGAAGTCACCATTGCTACAGCTATCCCATCCAGGGGACAGGAATCCCAGAGACAATGACCAGGGGCCACCCCAGCCCCCACCCAGAGGCTTGCTGCTGTCATCCCAGTGCTGAGGCCAGCCATGAGGGAGGCAGAGGAAAGAAGAAGAGAGAATTCCTGGGAGTCTCTTCCCAGAAGCAGAAGTCAGGGTCCCCCTGGGGTTTCCTCTTGAGCCCTCTGGACCTGCCTCCCTGCTCTCTAAATGACCTCTCTGACTGTCTTGTCCCTCAGGAGAAAGTGTTGTCTCTCAGGCCTGGGCCAGAATGTCTTCTTTCCTAACATGTTATGGGAAACATTGGTCCTAAAATAGTCTACATCTGCAGAACATTTCCCAGCTCACAGAGCCACTTCACATTCCAGCCCCATACCCCAATTCTGTGATGTGGATGCTGAGGAGCCCATTGTTCAGATGAGAAAACTGAGACTCAGGGTCGTGTAATTCACCTTACAGTCCTCCTCCCCGACCATTGCTGGGTATTGAACCCAAGTCTGCAGACTTCAAACCCTGAGCTCTGCCAGTTTCAGATTCAGGGAACATTGGAGCAGGAAGTGGGTCCTCGCCATGCCCCAACTCTACCAGCATCTTGGTCTTGGGCTCTCAGCCTCCAGAACCATGAGAAATAAGTTTGTTGTTTAAGCCACTCAGTCTGTGATAAGTTTGGTATAACAGTTCGAAATGGACCAAGGCCTCCCTCTCTCCCTCCCTCCCTCCTTCCTTCCTGTCTTCCCTCAATTCTTTCTCCCCTTTTTTCCTTCCTCTCCCAGGCCCCTGTGGGAGTTTGGAGTTGCAGATTCTGAGGCCTGGGGAGGCGTCCTGGCTACAAGGCTCACCACAGGGGACATCTGGGTGCTTTTCCTCTCTGATCCTCAGGTAACTCCTCTACAGACTGGGATAACGGGAGCCCCTGACTGGTGCCATTACTCAACAGGAGAGGGTAGGGAGCTGGTTACTGAGATCATACATGTGGTACCAGAATGACTGAGCTGCCTGGATTTACAGGCACTTGTTACACCCCAGGAAGAGCCACTGCAACCATCAAGAATAATTGAAATGAGGCCGGGTGCAGTGGCTCATGCCTGTAATCCCAGCACTTTGGGAGGCCGAGGCAGGTGGATCACCTGAGGTCAAGAGTTCGAGACCAGCCTAGGCCAACTTGGCGAAACCCCATCTCTACTAAAAATACAAAAATCAGCCAGGCATTGTTGTGGGCACCTGTAATCTCAGCTACTCGGGAGGCTGAGGCAGGAGAATTGCTTGAACCAAGGAGGCGGAGGTTGCAGTGAGCGGAGATTGCACCACTGCATTTTAGCCTAGGCGAAAGAATGAGACTCCATCTCAAAAGAAAAAAAAAAAAAGAATAATTGAAATGAAATAAATTAGGCCTCCAGGATGAGAATGGCAGTTTGAAATTTTCTCACAGAATTCCTTTCCCCCCGTGCTTGACATCATGGGCAAAAAGTAGCAGCAATCATCAAAGAAAGAAAACAGCCAACAGCATCACCCAAGCATGTACAGGATCAAACTTAAATAACTGACAGCCAAGAGAAGAATCGGAAAACTCAGGGCACGGCACGCTGGCTTCCTAATCCTGCTGACCTCCTGACCCTTCTGGCTTCCTAACCCAGACAGCCCAACTCCCAGGAACTGGCGCTGGGAGCTGACAAAGTCTGGAGAAGACCTGAGGAAAGCCACTTGAATGGGTTTTCTTATTACCTTTTCTGACCAAGGCCTGGGAGGAACCAGGGCTGGGCAAACAGGAGGGCTGATCCTCTAACTCATTGGTCCTCAACCTTTTTGGCACCAGGGACTGGTTTTATGGAAGACAATTTTTCCACGGGACTGGGCGGGGGTGAGGGAAGGTTTGGGGATGAAGCTGATCCACCTCAGATCATCAGGCATTAGATTCCCATAAGGAGCGTGCAACCTAGACCCTCTCACGCGCAATTCACAATCGGGTTTGTGCTCCTATGAAAATCTAATGCCGTTGCTGATCTGACAGGAGGGGGAGCTCAGACGGTCGTGCTCACTCACCTGCCACTCAGCTCCTGCTGTGCAGCCAAATTCCTAACAGGCCACGAACCGTGGCTGGGGGATCAGGGACCCCTGCTCTAACTGCAGTAAATGCTTCAGGACCGCAGGTTAATCCAGAAAATAGCCTTGATCCGAGGGTCACTCTTGTATATGCACCCACATACACCCAACCAGAAGGGAGGACAGCCTGGCATAGGAAGACAGCAAAGCCCAGGCAACCACGTGGCCACACATGTTCTTCCCTAAACTCTCCTGATGTTGCAACCATTCCTGGGCTTCCAAGTAAGTGGTAGAATATGAAACACTCAGATCTCAATGCCCAGTGCCAAGCAGGAAATTCCGTGGTCTCAGACACAGCACAGGGGAAACAAGAGAAGATTTTGGATGAGCTGCTTAAGGCCAAGATCAATGAAAAAAATGCAATGGTTTTCTAGGGCTGACATAGCAAAATGCCACCAATGGGGTGGCTTACACAGTTCTGGAGGTTGGAAGTCCAAGATGGCGGTGTTGGCAAGTTTTGGTGTCTTCTAAGGACTTGCAGGCAGCCACCTTCTTGCTGTGTCTTCACATGGTCTTCTCTCTGTATACACATCCCTAGTGCCTCTTTGTGAGTCCAAATTTCCTCTTCTTATAAGGATACTAGTCAGATAGGATTGGGACCCACTCAGTCTTATTTTAACTTAATCACCTCTTTAAGGCTATGCCTCCAAATACTGTCACATTCTGAAGTACTGAGGGTTAGCACTTCAACGTATGATTTTGGAGGGGGAGCCTAGTTCAACCCATAACAGATGGGAACAAAGCAAACACACATAGTAGAAGAAAAAAGAGAAAGAGAAGAAGAAAGGAAGGGAGGGAGGAAGGAAAGGAGGGAGGGAGAAAGGAAATGAGGAAGGAAGGCAGAGAGGGAATAAAGGAAGGAGAGAAAGAAGAAATACTTCAAAAAGAGCACAACCAAGAAGAAAACTATCTCCAGAAACAGAAGACAATATCTCCTAATTGCTTAGCCTTATAGAAAACTTAATAAAAATTATACATTCAATAAAATGAGAGCTCAAAGACAAAATGATAAAAACAGAAAATCCTATTTAGGATATAAACTGACCTAAAGAAACAGATTAATAACAAAAATGACATCATTATATACCTAAGAAATAAATTTTAAATGACAGAAAGCAGATCAGATACAAGTAGAAGTCAAAATATTGACATGGAGAATGGGCTTGGGATAAAATGAGTAAACATGAAAAAAGCAAAAAAAAAAAAAAAAAAAAAGAGAGAAAACTGAGCAGAGCTTTCAGGCATGGATGCCACTGCAGGGGAAGCAGTAGCAGGGCTTTTGAGCATCCCTGAAGGGAAAAGCCCAACAAAGACAATATATTCAAAAATATGAAGCAGGAAAATTTTCCTGAAATAAAGACAAACCTCTGAAACCTTACAGTTTAGAAAAACAAATACACGTTGTGTTCCATGAAAATTTTGTTAAAAATGTTCTGCATTGAGACATATCCTAATTGAATTATTGAATTTCAAAGATAGAGAAAGACTTCTCAAACATTCAGGCAGGAACACAAATCTTTGAAAAGCAGGGAATATCAGGCTGGACCCAGATTTTCTACAGCAATATCTAAAGCCAGAAAACAACAAAACAACTTCCATAAAGCTGGAGGGACTGTGAGTGCCACTGTAGACACTGTGTCCTGTCAAGACAGCGGGGAGATGCTCCCACACGTGAGAAAACTCAGGGAGTTCAGCCCATGAAGAAGCCTCCCTGAGCAGAGATCTTCTGAAGAAAATTGTAGGCTGGGTGCGGTGGCTCATGCCTGTAATCCCAGCACTTTGGGAGGCTGAGGCAGGCAGATCGTTTGAGGCCAGAAGTTTGAGACCAGCCTGGCCAACATGGTGAAGCCCCATCTCTACTAAAAATACAAAAATCAGCCAGATGTGGTGGCGGGTTTCTGTAATCTCAGCTACTAGGGAGGCTAAGGCAGGAGAATTGCTTGAACCAAAGAGGCAGAGGTTGCAGTGAGCAGAGATTATGCCACTGCACTCCAGCCTGGGGGACAGAGTGAGACTCCATCTCAAAAGAAAAAAAAGAAAAGAAAATTGAAGTAAACTTTTTGACAATGAATGCTATGGTTTGGAAGTTTGTCCCCTCCAAACCACAAGTTGAAATGTGATTCCCAATGTTGGAGGTGGTGCCTAATAGGAGGAGTTTGGGACATGGAGGTGGATCCTTCATGAATAGATGAATGCCTTCCCTTAAGTGGGGTTAGTGAATTCACACTCTATTAGTTCCAGAGACAGCTGGTGGCTAAAATGAGCCTAGCACCTCCCTGCTGTCTCTCTGGCTTCCTCTCTCCCCATGTGTTCTCTGCACATGCCAGCTCCCCTTCACCCTCCATCATGAGTGGAAGCAGCTTGAGGCCCTCACCAGATGCAGATGCTCAGTCATGAACTTTCCAACCCCCAGAATCATGAGCCACATAAACCTCTTTTTCTTTATAAATTACCCAGCCTCAGGTAATTCCTTATTGCAACACAAAACTAAGACATTGAAATCCAAGCAGTAAGAGATTAATCAGAGAAAGGACTCAGACCACGCATATACATACCCTATGTCCCAGCAATTCCACTCCTAGGATTTCCATGATAGCAGTGAGGGCATCTGTCCAGGCAAAGAGCTGTACACAAATATTCAGAGCAGCTTTATTTGTAACAGCCAAAAATTGGAAACGACCCAAATGTGCATCAACAGGAGAATGGATAAACAAGCTGTGATACAGCCAAACAAAAGGACATCACTCAGCAATGAGGTGAGTGAACTACTGATACACACAACTGCATGGATGAATCTCCAGGTGAGAGAAGCCAGAACAAAAGAACACATATGGAAGAATTCTATTTACATGAGGATCAAGATCAGGCCAAACTGAGCAATGGGGATGGAAGTCAATATATAGGGGGCACCTGTCAGCTCCAAGGGAGAATGCAGAAACGTGCTGGGGAGCTGGGGATGGTCAGTGTTTGATCTAGGAGGAGGCTACACACGTGTGTGCCCATGTAAATTTCACCAAGATGCACTTTATGTGTGGGGCACAGGGAGAAGGAAGCAGGGAGGAGGGCCATGACCATGTCACTGCCATCTGTCAGAAAAGAGAGATCCCACAGACAGTACAGTCAGAATAATGGCTGATTCCCAGCCTGGAGAAGCTTCAAACACTGTGGACAGGAAACCCAAGCCTAATGCAACAGTAGCCATTGGGTATTTAGAGAATGAGAAAGAGTATGGCACAAGGACCTCTGTGGCTGTGGGAGAGTAACCTGGCACTGGAGAATCAGGCAGTATAGACACCTGACTGCAGGGGAACCCAAAAACCAGGGAGCAGCCCAGAAGGCATCAAGCCCCATATCCCTGCAAGCAATACTAATCCCCAGGTCTCGGATGAGAAGATGATGTTATTCTGAAATGAAGGAGCTCCTGACAGCAAGAGCTGATGTACCCTGTGCACTTGGTTCCTTTCTCTGCTCCAACAAGTTACCGCGGCTTAAATCCATGGCTTACAACAATGCACATGTATTATTTTACAGTTCTGGAGGTCAGAAGTCAGAAATGGGTCTTACTGGACCAAAATCAAGGAGAAAATCAGGCTGCCTTCCTTCTGGCAGCTCTAGGGGACCATCCATGCCCTTGCCATTTCCAGCTTCTAGAGGCCGTGGCATTCCTTGCCTTGTGGTTCCTTCCTCCATCTTCAAAGCCAGCAACTGCATCACTCCAACCTCTGCTTCCACCATCGTCCCTCCCTCTCTCTCTCCCCGCTCCTTCTCTCTCTTGAACCCTCCTCCTTTTCTCTTCTAAGAACTCTTGTGATTACATTGGACCTACCCAGATAATCCAAGATAATTTTCCCATCTCAGGATCCATCACTTATTCATGTCTGCAAAGTCCTTTTTGCTATGTGAGGTGACATCACAGTCTGCAGAGATTAGGACTTTGGGAGGCCATTCTTCTGCCTGTCACACCTGGAGACTGAGCTAGTTTGGACCAGCGAGGGCCTCCTTATTGATTCATTCACTTACACAACATCTTAGAGCCTTATCTTTGACTTCTGATTGGTCCAGTTTGGGTCACATGCTCATGCCTGAGCCAATCACTGGGGCCTGAGGAGTGGGCCACTCTGACTGGCTAGATCAGAGTCATGGGTCCAGCCTATGGTCAACCAGGCCATGGCCCCAGGGGACAATTCACATGGCCAGCTTGAACCAGTCACTGTCAAGTGGAGCTGTGCTTAACTGACACCAACCTGGGAGAGTATGGCAGGAAAAGACACAACCCACTCCCCAGGTCCTCCTCCCACAGGGTGACTCAGCCTCACCTCAGGGGTTTTCCTTAGCCAGCGAGATGACCAGAGGGGCCCCAGCAAGGACAGTAGAGCCAGCCATCCTTGGGCACCACCCTGTTTTCCTTTCTTGCTCTGATACTGTGTCAGCAGCAGGCAAGACTGCCAGCTCCCGGCACAGAGCCGATGTCCCCTATGGTCAGCAAGGTGTGAGGGTGATGCGTTACGACTGTAGCAGGGAAGACGGGACTTTCTCACCCCTAGTGACTGGAGAGAGTGGCTCGCTAGTGGCTGGCTCTAAAATTTCCCTGAGCTCCAGCCCAGAAGGAAGGAGAGAGGGAAGAAAGTGAGAAAAAGAAAAAGAAAGAAGCAGATTGCCACCTTGAGAGCCGTGAGCCGGCCTGGGTGCTTGGAGGGGAGCCCCTCACTGCCCTGAGAACTCAGTCCAATCTCCTCTCCATGCTGGCAAGGCCCTGCATGTCTGGGCTCTTGCACCCCCCTGCTCCAGCTCACCCCAGACCCCTCCTGTTCTCTCCAGCCATGCTGAGCTCAGCCTTCCCACACTCCCTGGCTCTCTTCTGCCTCCCAGTCTTGGCCTAGCTGTGGCTGCAGCCTGGAGCACTCTCCCCATCCCTTTCCTCCTCTGGCCAAATTTGGTTCATCTGCTGGGTGTGAGATGCACGCTCCTTCATCCTGGAAGATGGTCCGTCCGTGCCCCACAAACCACGTGAGATGCCTCCATGCTCTCTTAGCAATGCTTGTGGTCCCTCTTGACTTGTGCCCCTGCCTCTTCACTGGCGTGTCTGCTCGTATCAAGGCACAAACTTCTTCACCTTCACAGGCTCCCCAGGTGTTCCTTCCTTCCCTTTCTTGGACAGCACCTGCTGCGCCACCCAAGTCCTCACCTTCACAAGTGGAGCTACCAGAGCACGGCATGGCCTCTGGCTTCCTGAGCAGCCTCAGAGGGCCTGGACGAGGCAAGCTGGAGAGCGTGGGAAGACACTCCCAGTGGCGTAGAATTCCTTCTGATTCTCTCTCCTGTGGATTCCTTTGAGGTGTGCCCCCCACCCCCTTTCAGCTTTCCATGGAAGCCCATGTGCCAGGTGAACACATGGCTGGGGCCCCCAGTGGGTTTCAACCCCTCTGCAAGCTCACTTGGTGCTGAAAACCTCCGTGTCTCACAGCATAAGCATCTGCAACAAAGCAACCAAAAGATGCCTGCATGGAGACCGCATGAGTCCAAGTTCCAGTTGAATTTATTTTCTGACAGCCGAGAAAGCTGTGAGGTCTGGGGAGGAAAAGTCTACAGCCACTGCCACTTACATGACCCCAGGCTACACCTTCCCTCCCCACCTCGCCTCCCTTTTCTTTCACCTCCACTGCCCTGGGCTTGCACCCCCCCCATAAATCATCAGTAGCTTAATCCTTGCCTCAGGCCCTGCTTTCTAAAGATTCCCTGCTCCTTGAGGGCAGGAACATGTCTTAACTCATTATTTTAAATCTCCAGTGACTGGAGATAAAATATTCAAGGAATGAATTAATTGATTCATTGAATTTTCATAGATCCATTTTACAGATGGGAAACAAAGACACAGAGGAAGTAAATCCAGTGACCCTCTCTTTGGACTCTCAGTCCAGAAATTGATCTAATGACTAAACCAGAGTCCTCATTCTCATATAAACAGATGGGTCACTGAGATACTCTGTACTTCTATGAAGATATTTTCTGACCCAGGAACAGCCTCACTGGAACTCAGATAGCTGGAGATAGCGGACTTTTCCTCCCCAGGTCTCACACCTTTCTCAGCTGTCAGAAAATGAATTCAATTGGAACTTGGACTCACGCAGTCTCCATGCAGGCATCTTTTGGTTGCTTTCTTACAGATGTTTATGCTGTGAGATGGAGGTTTTCAGCACCAGGTGAGCTTGGAGAGGGGTTGAAACCCTGGGTTTCAGCTGCCAGGGCTGTCCTTGAACCATGTGCCCTAAGAAAAAGCAGCAAGGACATATCTGCCCTGAAGTGTGGTGCCCAGGTGCAGGAGACTTCTCCAGATGACTGCCTGAAGTCAAGTCACCTCCATTCTGAGAGAGGTGGCCGTGAGGTCTGCCCAAGCCTAGACACAGCTAAACACAACACCTTAAAGACGGGACAAGCCTCAGAACCTCTCCAGGGGGAAGCAAATCAAATCACTCAAATGTAATGCAGATGACTTTTGCTCATCTCGCTGGTAATAACTGTGTGTTTTGTGATATTGCTTTTGTAAGTTTCCCTAGTATGCAGCACAGTCTTCCATTTGCTCAGCTGTTCCCTAATAATACAACCTAATTAAACATGATTAGTTTCCAAATTGCATTAAGCTGGAGCCCCACATATAGAGACCCTGAATCTAATTAAAGGCCACTGCAAGCATCACAGAAGCCCGCAGACATGACACCACTCCATGAGGCCTAATTGTCTGCTGGAGTTTAGACTTCAATTTTCTTGGTGATGATGAGAGAAAAAAACATACATGGCAAAAATAAAAAATCGTGTTTTTCAGTTGCAGTTTGACGACTTTAACAAATAGCTTTGCATCTTAATATAACGTGTTTCTGATAGACGTTCCAGAAAGAATGTGATTATAAAGTGCTTTGTCAGGCTTGAGAAAGGAGATGGGCCTCTACAGCTTTTCCCTACCGTAATTCAAAGTGACTTCATAACATTTAGCATGTTAAAATGAAGCAGCCACCACATTTGTGCAGAGAACAAATCAAACTAACCTTGGTCCCAAACCTCCCAGGAGCGCATGCTTAAGAATGTCTTCTGTTGGCCAGGCGCGGTGGCTCATGCCTGTAATCCCAGCACTTTGGGAGGCCGAGGCAGGTGGATCACGAGTTCAGGAGATTGCGACCATCCTGGCTAACATGGTGAAACCCCGTCTCTACTAAACATACAAAAAATTAGCCGGGCGTGGTGGCAGGTGCCTGTAGTCCCAGCTACCCGGGAGGCTGAGGCAGGAGAATGGCATGAACCTGGGAGGCAGAGGTTGCAGTGAGCCGAGATCGCGCCACGGCACTCCAGCCTGGGTGACAGAGCGAGACTCCATCTTAAATAAATAAATAAATAAATAAATAAATAAATAAATAAAAATAATGTCTTCTGTTTCTGAAACAGGGACGAAGATGGTACAAAGGAAGGAGGCTCAGGAAGCCCCAAACCCAAGGGCATCCCAATTTGTTCTAGGAGATGAACAGTGAGTGCCTGAGAACACAAAACATGACTGGAGTCATTCTCACAGCAAAAGCAAACCTGAAAAGAGATTGAATCCATATTGGTGGCTGAGCATGGGAAAAGTTTAATGGTTGTTCTAGGAAGAGAAAGCAAATGAGGCAGGGGGCGAATCCCTGCTTTTCCTGCCTAAAGTTGGATAGAATGTGCTTTATTTCCTCATTTCTCTGCTCCACTGGGTTTCCATGAGACCACCTTCCTGGCTGTCTCTTCTGTCCAGGGGTGCTGCTGCCGCCTGGCACAGAGGAAGGGGCACTGGAGACTGGCTGAGCTGGGCAGGTGCCCTGATCCACCACGCCTGTCATGCAGAGCTATGCTAGCCTTGGATCCCTCCTGGGAGAGGGCCATGTTGGTGGGAGGCCCAGCCTGGAGAGAAAGCACAGGAGCGTGGGGGCACAGGCACACTGGGGTGGGCAGCTGCTTCCAGGCCAGAAGCTGCTAGAGTTGCTGGAGACTTGCAGGCTGGACCCATGGCAGCAGAGCTGCAGCACCGAGCTCGTGAAGGTCAGCAGCGGTTTGAGCACGGAAGCTCAGCGCTCAGACCTCAGAGTTTGAACCAATGACTGGGGCTTTGGAGGCATTTGGGGACACACCCTCCATCTGCATGCTCTTGTTTGTATGATGATGTCAGTTAGACATGCTGGGGCCCCTCGGGCAGGCGGAGGGGACCTGTGTGGCCCAGCTCTAGGAGACAAACGGATGGATGCTACTTGGCCACTTGGCCACACAGCTGAGTGCTTCTTGTGGCATGAGGCCTTTCTGTGGCCCATCCATGATGAGACAAGCACAGACATTGGGGGTGCTTTTAAAAGCATGACGATGGCAGCGCCACGACCCCCAAGCATGTAGTCGGAGCTCAGCCCAGTCTGGGTGATGTCAGACTCACATAGTGGGTCGTGTGTGACGTGAGCTGCAGGGGACCCCATATGGGTGTCTGATTAGCAACACAAATCCAGCCCTTTGGCCCAGAGAGCTTGGGAAGCTGTAGCTGCCTGACCTCC
Source organism: Homo sapiens (assembly GCF_000001405.40). Classification (NCBI taxonomy): domain Eukaryota; kingdom Metazoa; phylum Chordata; class Mammalia; order Primates; family Hominidae; genus Homo; species Homo sapiens. The sequence continues at coordinate 57,841,003 of NC_000020.11, read as the reverse complement.
CCATGAGCCGACTCAAGGCTCCCCTGAGGACACCCAGAAATGGTGGGGGAATGTGGCGCGGGGTGGGGGAGTCTGCTTTCTGTGAGCCAGGCTGCTAGTGCCCAGGGCTGCTGTCCTTTGGCATTAGATATGCACGGGATCTTCACTTGGAGCCACAGGATATGGTGAGTATCAAGGGAAAGACTGTGTGTAGCCCGGGGGTTATGTGTTCGAGCCCTGGAGCCGGGGGCTTGGCTTTGAAGCCTGCCCATGCTGCTTCTTAGCATGAGGACTCCCGGCAAGTTGCCTAGCTTCCCTGTGCCTCAGTTTCCCACCTATGAAATGGGCCTCAGTGAGTGCCTGTGGCCAGAGCCAGCAGACAGCAGGGAATCGATGCATGAGGCCCTCCACGCCCTCTGTCATCAAGTCCTTCCCCGAGGGTCTCTCTCTCCACAAAGACCACCTCCTGGGAGCGGTCTTCCTGGACCCCTGCCATCCTTTGTCACTTCTCTGCGTTATGTTTTTATTTGTGACTCTTCTGGTAGAACATGAGCTTCAGGAGAAAAGACTTCACCAGCCCTGCCTGGGGCCGCATCCTGGTGCCCAGGATTGTGGGTGTCAAGGAGGACTTTTGTGTGAATGAGTGAACAGACACTTTCACATGCCGCCCTGGCTTACCAGCAGCTATGAGCTCCCGCACGGGGGTATCTGGGCCCGTCCGCTCTCAGGTCCAGCTCTCAGGAGCAGCTCCACAGAGCCCATGGGAGGAAAGTTCAGTAGAGGCAACTCCCGCCAGCTATGCACAAGCAGACACTGTAGCTGGTGCCTCCGGAGGCGGTATGGACTGATACTGCCAAGAGTCTCTGAAATGCCTGGCTGGAAATAGGGAAAGTGGAGCCACATTGTCATCCAGCAAAAGCCAAGCTGCGGGCAGGTTTCCTCTCCTAGTTTTCATGTTTAGCCGAGCCCACCTCCCTCAGCTCACAAGCCCCAGTGGGGACAGCCTCAGCAGCAGTGGCTTCCTCTGCCTGGTCACCTCCTGGAGCCTCTGGCCTTTCCTGCTAACTGGGGATAATGAGATTGCACACACCCTCCCGTCGTCACAAGTGTGGCATGGACACTGTATGTGGCACGTGGTTCACTTGCCTTAACCAATGGCAGTCGGATGTCTGGGTTGTAGAACATGCCATCAACAGGTTCCTTCCTCTATTTAAGAAGGTGTCTCTTTGACCTCATCTCCCACCACCCTCCTGCTCATTCACTAGCTTTAACGGCTTTCAGGCCAGGGAGGGTTTCCAACCACCTTGACCTGGGGCAGGATCCAGAAGGAACATGTCCCGTGGTCAAGGTCGTCTGCCCACCGTACAGATTCTAGAGCTCATGGCTCAGTGGGGTCCCTGTGGGAGAAAGGAAACCAGAAGGAAGTCAGAAAGAGGCTGGCCTCATCTTGGCGGCTCATCTGCTGTGTGTCTCTGAGCAAGTCACATGGCTGTGCTGGGCTTCAGTTCCCTCAACAGTAAAATGGGCATAATAAGATCCATGTCATCATGGCCCCTGCTTTTATCTCTTCCCAGCTGTGTGGGCCTCAGATCGTCACTCCACAGCTCTGGGTGCCTTCCCTGGCACTGAAATGGGGTCAGAATCGTACCTATCTCAGGTTGCTACAGAGCGAATACCGTCTGCAACTCCCTGGCACTTGGTAGGTGCTAAGTAAACATCCAGTTCATCATGAGTGATAGGGGGTCGCTCAGACAAGCTGGCAGTAAGAGAAGAACAGTCCTCTGGAATAAACCCTGGGTGAGGGTGTGTATAAAAAGGGTCTTTGAAAATGGTGGCAAGGCTGAAAAACACAAAGACGAGAGAACTGGGAGGAAGGGAGAAACAAAGCACGTGTTCCCAGCTGGGACTGGGTGGATGGGAGCCAGTCCTGCATCTGACACTCTGGTGTTTGGTATCGCCGGCCTGGGGTCCAGGACCTCCTGGCTCCAAGCCACATGTTAAGTGGAGCCATCTGTCTCCTGGAAGCGTGGCAGGTAACCAAGAGAGAGACATGCGTGGACGGGGGACCCGCCTGTAGCACATTCCTCTCTCTGCCGCACTTTGAGGGGGCCGGAGAGTCTGGGGGACCAGGAAGCAGCCTAGTCTGGGAAATATTAACCGCACAGCCGCAGCTCACCAGATGGCAGACCCCACAAACGGCTTCCAGACGAGTCCTGGGCTGGAGAGCGGCCCAGTCAGAACGCCAGCTTCTGAAAGCTCCACCGCAAGAAAATGTGGGCCGCATTATGAGTGTGGCAAAAACAAGGCCGGGCAAGCTCAGGTCTCTCCTGAGTTCTGTCAGCAAAAAACCCACCAGAAATTATAGACCCGAAGCCCTTTCTTGTGGGACTGCTGAGGGCCAAGAGGGGCGGAGCAGGCTGAGAAGCAGGTTTTAATTCCAACTGTCTCTTACCAGCTGGGTGACCTTGGGCAAGTTACCTCCCCTCTCTGCACCTCAGTGTAAAAAGTGTAAAACAAAGCCAGGTGCGGTGGCTCACACCTGTAACCCCAGCACTTGGGGAGGCTGAGGCAGGAAGATTGCTTGAGCCCAGGAGCTCGAGACCAGCCTGGGCAATGTAGCGAAATCCTGTCTATACAAAAAATACAAAAATTAGCCAGATGTAGTGGCACACATCTGTGGTCCCAGCTCCTCGGGAGGCTGAGGAGGGAAGGTCGTTTGAGCTGGGGAGGTCGTTTGAGCTGTACGACTGCACTCAACCTGAGTGAGTATGAGACCCTGTCTCAAAAAAAGAGACTGAAAGTCTTCTCCAAGTGTCCCTTTCCACAATTATGAGTCTAAGCTTCCCTGATGTCTGACTTTCTGTCCTCTCGCTCTGAAACTCTGAAAGGGAGAGTGTACATAAGGACCAGCAAGGCCACGTTCGAATCCTACAGGCTTTCAAAAGCCAGGCTTGGATCCTGGGACAGCCAGGAATGTATCAGGTGCAGGTGATGAGAAGCACAGCTCAGAGCAGCCTGAGTGCAGAGGGACAGTTACAGGTTTTTGGAACATAAAGGCCAGTTGGCTTCAGGCATGGTCTATCCAGAATCTCACACAACGTCACCATCCCGCTTCCCTCTCACCCAGTTCTGTCATTCAGATGAACATGCACCTCGTGGTCGCAAATAGACCCCCCAGCAGCTCCAGGGTAACACCTGCTGCATCCCCTCAGCAGCCCTGATGGAAAGACAGCGTTCCGCCCCTGTTGGTTCCAGCGGAGCCCAAGGATTGCTTTGTATTTCCCAGCCTTGTCCACGTGGCCATCCCTGAATCAGTGGCTGAGGTTGGGCATGGATGCAGCCCCCATCACGGACGTAGACGAGAAGTCCGCTGTGTGGGCTTCCCACAGCTGCGGAACCACATGACCACACGCTTACTGGCTGAAAACAAAACGTGCTTATGATCTTGCAGACCTAGAGGCCAGTCTAGAAATCCGCAATGGGTCTCTAAAATCAAGATGTCGAGCAGACTGTGTTCCTTCTGGACACTCCAGAGGAGAATTCACATCTTATGTTCCCCACTGGTAGAGGCCCCCACGCTCCTTGCCCTGTGGCCCTTCCTCCACATTCAGAGCCTGGCCGGGCGTCTCTCACATCATATCGCTCTGTGCCGATTCTCCTGCCTCCTCTTCTACTTTGTGTTTCCAAAACCACAAAGGTTTGAGGGCCCTTGTGTTTCCACTGGGCCAATCTGCTAATCCCAGATAATCTCCCATCTCAGGGTTGACCGATAAGCGACCTGAGTTCCATCTGCAGCCTTAGTCCCCCTTGGGCCTGTAACATAACGTAGCACAGATTCTGAGGCTTAGGACATGGGCATCTTTGAGAGGCCATCCTGCTGTTGACCACACCAGCTTTGCCAGTTCTCATTCCTTTTCTCTGTAGAATGGGACAAAGGTATGGCTCGTTGAAAGGATTGTTGTAAGGCTGTAAGCAGACGGTGCACAGACAGTCCTAAGCACAGAGCCCAGCACACAGTGAGTGCTTAACAAGCAGGGGGAGCACCCGCCAGCCTCCAAATTTTTCTGCAGGCTTGCTCGGCAAGCATTTCTGAGACGCTGCAAGGTTATGTTGGAAGGGAAGTAACACAGTTTTTTTCGGTAATTAAATCATGTAAAGTAGCAACTCAACTCTGGGCCTCAAAGCCTGAGATCTCCAACATTCCTGATGCTATTTATGCTACTGCTGCTTTGACGGGTGGAGAGTACATGTTTCTACCAGACACCACTGCATGCGAGGGCTCAAGAGAGAAGGAAAGAGTCCACAGCCACCCTGGGAGGGTGGGGGCTGCTCTGTTCCAAGGACATCGGGGTTCCTGACACCTTCCCCTCCACTAACCCACCCTTCTCTCCACCATCCACCGTAGCAGCTTGAGTGTTCAAAGGTGCCTGGCATACAGTAGCTGCTCAATAAATGGTCTTCAATCTTAATGACAACGAGATGAGTAGGGAGGTTTAGTCAGGGAAGGTGCAGGGTCCCACCTGCCCTGCTCGGGCTTGGAAGTCCCGTTGGTTTTACCATGCTAGACCAGGACCTGCAGCACCCAGCCTGGGACCCAGCCGGTGCTCCGGAAATGCTGGAGAACAAAGATGCAGCCAGGAGAGGCCCCCGAGGGCAGGAAGACTAGAGTCCTAGCCCTGGCTCTAAGCCTCAGTTTCCTCACCTCCAAGTGGGAGAGATCCTTGGTGCTGGCCACGCGGGACTCTCCTTGGATGGGAAGAGCCAAGAGCAGCCTTTCTGAGCCTGGAAGACTGCCCTCGCCCTCTGCTGTCTCCCAGCCTTGCCTCTGCTGGTCTCCAGCCTGGGTCCCATGGGAACTGTTAGGGGTCAAGAGACCAGTTTTGCCAACTCTGCAAGCCCCCGGGAGCCTGAGCTCATTGTATCAATGAGGAATCTGAGGCACAGAGAGGGACAGGAACCGGCTGAAGGGCACACAGCACAGAAGACATCCGGCACTAGAGCACCAGTCCCCGTCTTCATCACCAATTACAGTGAGCAACGGAGGGCCTGCTTGCTCACCTTCCCAGACGGCAGACAAGAGAGACAGAAAGCAAAGCAGGAAGCGCCAGCTGGACCCTCAGCCCTCACGCCTTCTCCTCGAAAGCTAATTAGGGAGTTTACGATCTCATGTGCACAGTCACCGCGTTCTGACAGCTGTGTGCACCTCAGTGTGATCAAGCCCCCATCCCCGTCAACCTTGTTGTTATTGATTTGTAAGCAGCTCAATTGTCTGGGAAAAGACAGCGCGGCCGCTGGCATCTCTGGGGTCCACGGCAACGCTGCGACCCGCGGAGGTCCGGGCCTCCCAGCAGCAATCAGGCCCCTGTGGTGTCTGCTCACAAATGCAAAGTAAATGACACCCCTCATCTGGGGGAATGCGGGGGACGCCACTGTGTTGGCTGGAGCTTGGAAATAATTCTGTGTCTGAACATTTCTCAATGTCTAGACAAGAAGTATTGCCTGCCTGCCTAAAATATTAAAATTTTATACCACACTCTCTGGAGAAAGTCTTTGGTTATAAACACACAGAGCCCATTTGAGTTTTCTGTTTTTTTCTTCTTCTTCTTCAGTGTTTCTGTTTACCACCAATTTTGTGGACTGTACAGCTGGAGAGGCAGTGTGAATTTGAGGACCTGTGCACTCCCTGACCTCACTGGGTTCTAAAATGCTCTGGGTACAAGTCCTGAATTTGTCACTTAGCAGCTCTTGGGGCCCTCAGTCCCTCAGCCTCAGTTTTCACATCTGATAAATGGGTGTGATAATACCCACCTCACAAGGCTCGCTGAAGCAAGTAAACAAAATTGCCACTGTCCTGGGGTGAATTGTGTCTGCCCCAAAATTAATCCACCTGGACCTCAGAAGGTGATGTTACTTGGAGATAGAGTCATTCCAGATGTAATCAAGTGAAGATGAGGTCATAATGAATCAGGACAGGCCCTAATCCAATCTGACTGGTGTCCTTAGAAGAAGAGGAGAAACAGAGGGAAGAAGCCATGTGAGGACAGAGGCTGAGGCTGGGACGAGGTGATTGCAGGCCGGGACATGTGGTGGGCGGCCTGCAGCCAGCAGAGCCTCCAGAGGGAGTACGGCCCTGCAAGCTCCTCGAATTCAGACTTCCAGCCTCCAGAAGTGTGAAGAATCAATGTTTGCTGTGGAGCACACAGCTGTGGGCTTTGGTTCCGGCAGCCTTAGGAAACTAATGCCATTTCAGAAAAAGCACAACAATTTGCTGGGCACTCACAGAGGCAGGTGCCAATCCTCACGACAGCACTTTGAGATGGAGAAGTGGCTGCGAGCCCATTTTACAGATGGGGAAACTGAGCCCCCAACAACCCCAAGCGACTTTCCCGACTTCAGGCTCAGGAAGGCAATGGAACTGGGGGTAGGAGAAAAGCTCGGAGGGGGCTCAGAGGGGCGGACAGACTCCACTGGGTGGGGCTGAAGTGGTGGAACTCTGTCCTGAAGACCTCACAAGCTGCAGAAGGGCACACGGAAGGAGCAACAATGGCATGTGTGCGATTTGGTGGGTCCCTTCTCCCACCAAGGGCTGCTTCTCCCACCGAGGGCTCCTTCTCCCCACGAGGGCTCCTTCTCCCCATGAGGGCCCCTTTTCCCAGCAAGGGCTCCTTCTCCCAGTGAGGTTCCCTTCTCCCAGCGAGGGCTCCTTCTCCCAGTGAGGGTCCCTTCTCCCAGCAAGGGCTCCTTCTCCCCATGAGGGCCCCTTCTCCCCGTGAGGGCTCCTTCTCCCAGTGAGGGCTCCTTCTCCCAGTGAGGGTCCCTTCTCCCAGCGAGGGCTCCTTCTCCCCACGAGGGCTCCTTCTCCCCGTGAGGGCCCCTTTTCCCAGCAAGGGTTCCTTCTCCCAGTGAGGGTCCCTTCTCCCAGCGAGGGCTCCTTCTCCCAGTGAGGGCTCCTTCTCCCCACAAGGGCTCCTTCTCCCCGTGAGGGCCCCTTCTCCCAGCGAGGGCTCCTTCTCCCAGCGAGGGCCCCTTCTCCCAGTGAGGGTCCATTCTCCCACCGAGGGCTCCTTCTCCCACCGAGGGCTCCTTCTACCCGTGAGGGCTCCTTCTCCCCACGAGGGCTCCTTCTCCCAGCGAGGGCCCCTTCTCCCAGTGAGGGTCCATTCTCCCACCGAGGGCTCCTTCTACCCGTGAGGGCTCCTTCTCCCCACGAGGGCTCCTTCTCCCCATGAGGGCCCCTTTTCCCAGCAAGGGCTCCTTCTCCCAGCGAGGGCCCCTTCTCCCAGCGAGGACTCCTTCTCCCAGCGAGGGCTCCTTCTCCCAGTGAGGGTCCATTCTCCCACCGAGGGCTTCTTCCCCCCACGAGGGCTCCTTCTCCCCGTGAGGACCCCTTTTCCCAGCGAGGGCCCCTTCTCCCAGCGAGGGCTCCTTCCTGACAGGCTCCCTCCTCTCTGTAGGCTGGTGGGAGAGGGGAGACACCCTAGCTTCTCCCTCAACAGCTGGGGCCCAGCGCCCTCCTCAGGGACCCCCAACCTGAAGGGAGAAGCTCAGGGCTGGTACCTGCAGGGACCCCTGAAGACCACATGGATAGGTAGAGAGGCAAGCAGGAGGGCACCGCCCAGAAACAGGCCTCCTTAGGAACAGAAGGACAGGCCTCCTTAGGAAGCTCGGGGACACCCAGTCCCCAGCCACCTGCAAAGGACCTCCCAAATTGCCTGCAAAGGCCCTGCCAGTCACAATAGCCCCTGCTGGGCACAGAGCTGCTCCAAGGGACATGCACGCTGGGGAGTGGATTCATCCCAAGACCTACTCTGAACAGGATGTCCCAGCCCTCCTCACCAATAGGAGTCACAGGGGGGCACTGGGGACCTGCAGCCAGAGACCCCGCACATCCAGCTGAATCTTCCAAATCCTCTACAGCCCCACATCCAACCCCACTGACCGCCTGCTTGGAGATTGTGCCATAGTCCTTGGCACTGTTATTTACCTCATATTCTCAGTTCAATCACCACTCCCCTCTCTCTTTAACTTAAATATACCCCTTTCAAGGAGACTCTGTTGACTGGACTTGAAATGCCAGGGGTGTATTTTTTTCCTGTTTCATATTAAAACAAATGATAACAGGCCTGGCTCAGTGGCTCATGCCTGTAATCTCAGCACTTTGGGAGGCCAAAGTGAGTGGACCACTTGAGGTCAGGAGTTTGAGACCAGCCTGGCCTACATGGTGAAACCCTGTCTCTACTAAAAGTACAAAAAATTAGCCGGGTGTGGTGGCATGCACCTGTAATCCCAGCTACTCGGGAGGCTGAGGTAGAAGAATCACTTGAACCTGGGAGGCGGAGGTTGCAGTGAGCCAAGACCAGCCACTGCACTCCAGCCTGAGCGACCTGGTGACAGAGCGAGACTCTAGCTCACAAAAAAAAAAAAAAAAAAAAAAGAGATAGAAAGAAAAAAAAAGATAACAACACAGAAATGATTTGTTCTTTCATCACTTGAAGGCACCCCCATTCACCATCTTTTGGGAGCTGCAGACACACAGCACCCCAAAATGTATTACAGGTGTGGAAACTGAGGCCAGCGAAGCCAAGGGCTTGACCTTCATCACAGAACACCCAGCGGTAGAGCCAGCGTCCCTGGGCTCACCCCAGCCTCCTTCCTGCTTCACCACCTGGTGGCCTTTCCCTTGCCTCCCACAGTGAGTGAGGCCAGGAGCAGCTTGAGCACGGCTGAGCCCCGCGCTCCCTCTACCATCACCACTGCACATAGTAGGTGCTGTGTCAGAGTTTATTAATTCCAATGGCTGAATAGACTGAGAGTTATGCAAGGACAGGGACTGGTCTGTCCTGTTCCCAGCTGTCTCCCAGGGAAGACTGCCTAAAATACTGCCTGGCACACAGTAGGTGCTTTGCCAGTGGTCAATTGCTCAATCCCATCGAGGGTGAGCTGTGTGGGAATGGGGCTGGCCTACTTCTTTTGCTCCTGTCTCCACGGTGCCCAGACACTGCCTGGCACATTGTCATTGCCCTAGAAAGATTCATTGAACAATGCAATGAATGATTGAAGAGGGAAAGTCGTCTAAATGGCCATTTGACATAGTTTGGACTAAAAATCTGCTTGTCTGAATCCATCTGGCCATTAAGCAAAATTCAATCCAACCCACACAGGCAGAGCAACCATAGAGGGGCAGGAATTGCTATAAATAGTTCCCTGTGCTGACATCTCGTCCAGAGGCCAATCGTCAAGCTAAAATTAAGTGGCACTGTTGTCCCAGAGCCTTTTCAGGTCTCCCACAGGGAATTAGCCCCTGGGCAGGACTGGGGCCATCTTGCACCCCCAGGGGTGCCAGCCTTCTCCCCTGAATCAGGTTGAGAATCTTTGGGGCCGAGGGGAACCCTGGGGCTCCCACCGTCTCACCGGCTGAGAAAACCCCAGTGTATACAGGAGGTGAAAATTCATGCTCTGAGGAACTCCCACACCAAAGGCCCCTGTGCCGGGCTGTCCAGGTGACCCACAAAAGTGACATGGATCCAAGGAGCCCACTGCAAGGCCAGCTGCTCCTCAGCTGGGCTGGGGTGGTGGGAGCCGGCCATCCGCCCTCCCTAGGGAGTACACAGCTTAGTCAGTGCAGCCCAGACTGCCATGGCTTCTGGGTTCAGAGCTCCTCATCATTGATCTCCTTCTGGGCTCTTGCAGCATCTGTCCAGACTTCAAAATCCCCATCCTTCTTTGACAGTTGTGGAAACTGAGGCCTAGGATGGTTTAAGAATTCAGTGCCTTCGACGAGCTTTCACCCGATACAGATCTCGCCCTCACTGCCGTCTTACAGGTTAGGTTAGATTCACAGGCGAGAAAACCAGCTGAGAAAGGTTGGGGAAGCTGCCCAGGGTCACACAGCTTGGGTTCAAACCCACAGTTGCCTGGTACCAAAACCCACACTCAGAATAGGGCATCCCTCCCTCTTCCAGCCCAGTGTGATTTTGAACCACACTCGCTTGTCTGGAGTGAGCACCTACTGTGTGCAGGCACAGGGTTTTGTGCCCTCCACAACTCTCATGCCATCTTTCCTGCAGCCATTTAAGGCATCTGTCCCTTCCTGTTATGGGTTGAACTGTGTCCCTCAAACATGTTTACATCTGAACCCCCAGTGCCTCATAAGGAACCCTACGTGGAAATAGGGTGTCTGTCAGGGTTTCCAGGTGAGAGTCGCATTTAAGTTGGTGGGCAGGGTCACACAGATGGCACTCCCCAGGGTGGGTGGGCCTCATCCTGCCCAGCGAGGGTCTGAATGGAACAGAAGGCAGAGAGGAAGGAGGAATCCGCCCTCTCTGCCTGACCACTGGGGCAAGATGTTGTTTTCTGCCCTCAATGCTCCTGGTCCTCTGGCCCTCGGACCGCGGCTGGAATCGACACCATCAGCTCTTCAGCTCTCAGGCCTTCCAACTGCGCCACCAACTTCCCTGGGTCTCCAGCGTGCAGATGGCCGGTTGTGAGACTTCACCTCCATCGTCATGTGAGCCAGACAAGTAAATACACAAATCCCATTCTGTTTCTCTGCAGAACCCTGACTAAGACAGAGGCCCTTGAGCTCAGTTAGTCAGAAGCCGAATGCAATCCCAGCGCTGCTCCTCACTAGCAGGGTCTATGGGGCAGCAGGTGTGAGCCAGGCCCTCCCCTGGCCCCACCTGTACCAGGCCCCAGCCATGTGCAGTTGGCTGTGGCTGGGATCCCGAGTCTGCGGGTCAGCTGGGTGGTTCTTCTCATTGCAGCAGGGCCAGTCCGCAACTACAGCCAGCGGAGTGACAGGTAGCAGGGGTGCACTGCAGTGCCTTTGGATGGGAGGGCCTCTGCCCCCTACTCTCTTCCCTTAACAAGCACTCATTGAGCCATCAGCCTGATACAGCAGGTGCACAATAAGTGCTTGTTAAAGGAAGAGGGGAGGGAGCAGAGACCTGCATCTGTATCAGACACAGACAGGGTTCTTCAGAGAAACAGAACTGACAGGATGTGTACACAAAAGAGATTCATCCGAAAGGGCTGGTTCACATGATTGTGGAGGCTTCATCCTGAGAGCTGCTGTTGGTAAGCCAGAGACCCAGGAGAGCCGAGAGGGTGGTTCCTGTCAAAGGCTGGCAGGCTCACAACCCAGGAAGAGCCACCGTTTCAGTTTGAGTCTCCAGGCAGGCAAAAGCTGGTGACAGTGGGAGGAATTTGCTCTTATTTGGGAAAGGGTCAACATTTTTGCTCCATTCAACTTTCAGGTCATTGGACGAAGCCTACCCACATTAGGGAAGGTAGCCGGCTCTACACGGTCTATTCAAATGTTAGACTTACCCAGAAACGCTCTCACAGAAACATCCAGAACGCTTAACCAAATACCTGGGTATCCTGTGGCCCAGTCAAGTTGACACATAACATTAAGCATCACACTTACTGTGTGCAGAACGTTGGCCTGGGTGGAGGAGGGACGGGATGGGGGTACTGGATCCATGGCTGTGAGACCCTGAGTGCAGGAGGCTCAACAGCCTCATCTGACACTGGCCCCAGCATCCAGCCCAGAGCCTGACACTGGCAGCCTCTCAGTAACTATTTCTTACATGAAATTCTTAAAGATTTAAAAGAATATGCCCCAAAATAGTAACAGTATTTAGGTACTGGAATTATAAGCAACTTATATAAGCAATATATAAGCAATTTATTCTACTTTTGGCTTATATGTACCTCTTGACTTTTTACAAGGAATATATATTACTTGTCTAGCTTAAAATGTAATTTTAAAAAATTTTTTCAAGTAAGGAAAACCTCATGTAAATTGTGAATCTACAGTCTGAAGGCTTGGGAGCCGGGGCCACACTGGAGAGGAATTTGTGAAAATAGCAGCTGCGGACCTGCCCTGCCCTGCCCTGCCCTGCCCTGCCCCTCAGGACCACTTTCACCAGGAACCTGCAAGGACTGCCTCCTCCGGAAGCCCAGAGCTGCACCCACCCCTTCTCTTCTCTGGATCTCAGTTCTCTCCTGCTGAACTGACGGAGCAGAGGTCCTGCCTGGATGCTGCGCCTTCATCTTTCAGGCAGTTCCCATGCCTGGGGCTGTCCAGCGGCCCCTGTGCTGCCCTACAGGAGCACTGTCAGTTTCCTTTGGGTTGGGGGTTTCTCAGGACGTAGCCATGAATCTGAGTAACATAACCCTGCCCACTACCCAGCCCAAACAGGGGCTATAGAGGGGCCTCAGCCCCCAGCACTGTCCCTGGTGGGTGGCGGGCACTTGGCGACTCTGTTGAACCGTGGGCAACTGAGAGGGAACTGACATGTCACCCGTTCTCACCGTCATTTTCACACCAATCCCATGTCATTGCACCCCAGCTCTGGGAGTTGACATTAACATCCCCACTGTCCAGACAAGGAGGCCAAAGCCGACAAGGTTAAAAACTTGCTCAAGCTCCGAATGCTTATAAGGCCAAGGCCAAGACTCAGCCCCAAGTCAAAAAGACTCCAGGCAGAGCTGGGTGGGGTGAATTTCATGAACCACCTTTATATTCCAATGCCATGCTCTTGCTTGCTTCAGAGGGGCAGGTCTGTATTCCTTGAGTAAAACCACTTCTAGGGAGAAAGTAGGAAAAGAAGGAGGGAGAGAGGAAGACACCAGTCATTCCTATTTTCTCAACAGATTGTAACTACAACCTTTCATTCTTGATTAACTCGGTCTTCACAACCCATGAAAAACAACAGAAGTTTTTTTGGTACACCCCAAAACCAACTTTTAAGTTGGTGGGAGGTATGTTGTCAGGCAAATAGGAAATTGCAAAAAAGAATGGACAGTGTGATACTTCATTGTAAAACTAACCATTTCTAGAATACCTAGGACTCGATGGTCTGTATGAAGAACTTCCTGGAAAGCATGTTACAAACTTTTAATGGCAATTAATTTGTGGGAACTAAGGAGGCAGGATGTTTTTGCTTTCTAAATGATACATTCTTTTGTCCCTGAATTTTGTATGATAAGCCCAATAAAAGCAATCAATCAATAAATGAATAAAGTTACAGCCTGGTAGAGGCCCTGCTTGGAAAAACATCCTGTTGTCTGTCTTCCTGCTGTTATAAGCCCAACCAAATCTGAGCTCAGGCAGACACTTCTTCATTGTCCACAGCGGACATCCCTGGCTGCCCACTCTCCATCCCCTTCCCCATCCCCCAGCCTGTCAGGGCCTCAAATTTCCCATGTGCATATATTTCCCAGACAAAATATAGAACATCCAGTTAAATTTGAATTTAAATAAACAACAATTAATTTAAATATATTTAGACTGAGAGCTATCTTTACATATAGCTGAACTGACGGAGCAGAGGACCTGCCTGGGTGCCTGGCAGTTCATTCTCAATATACATAAATGTAAATATTTTTATATTTTTCTTTCTTTTTTTTTTTTTTTTGAGATGGAGTCTCAGTATGTCACCCAGGCTGGAGTGCAGTGGTGCAATCTCCGCTCACTGCAACCTCTGCCTCCCGGGTTCAAGCAATTCTCCTGCCTCAGCCTCCCAAGTAGCTGGGAGTACAGGCACCCGCCACCACACCTGGCTAATTTTTTGTATTTTTAGTAGAAATGGGGTTTCACCATGTTGGCCAGGCTGGTCTCAAACTCCTGACCTCAGGTGATCTGCCCGCCTCGACCTCCCAAAGTGCTGGGATTACAGGCGTGAGCCACCACTCCTGGCCATATTTTTCATTTATAGTTGGGAAATACTAAAAACTCTCATGCTAAAAAGTTCTTCATTATTTATCAAAAATCTGAAGTTTAACCGGGGACCCTGCACTTTTATTTGCTAAACCTGGCCACCCTAGTTGAGTGAGGCCCAAGCACTCTTTGGGGATGCCCTGACCAACCCAGCTATGCAGCCCACCCGTCCTAGACACAGGCACGGCTTCCAGAGTGGACCCACGGCCCTTGTCAGCGGGACTCAGTTCTGGGACCTTGATTTGAGCTCTCTGGGGAGTGACGTTTCTCTTTTCTACCAATTTGAGATCTGGAAGCAGACAGTTGACAAGGGGCATTTGCTGACATCTTGGGGCCAAGAGAGGAGGCGATCGGAGGATGAAATCAACACAATGGAAGCAGAATGGAGAGGTGAGGGGGAGCTTTCTGGCCAGATGGCTGGAGCTGCTAAATCCAGCCTTATCTGAAACCACATACGCTTTTCACTTTCCAGTTACAGCAGGCTCCAACTCCCTTCGTTATTAAAGCCAGTTCAAGCTGAGTTTTCTGTTGCAACCAAGCTGGCCAACCTAGCTCGTGCATGGAGCAGTGAATCCCAGGCTTCCTAATGAAGATGTGTCCCGGGCATACAACCATTGAGTCCCCAGATGCTCAGCAGGCTTCTTCAGCAACAAAGCATCTACTCCAGAGGCCTCTGCGATTTGAGCTTTCTTGTTTGGGCTTGACTGACCTTGGAGGTCTGCACTTGGGAACACATACGGCCCCATTCAACCCAAGAGTTCTACCAAGATGTAGTCTTTGCTATGTCTGCGGTGATTTATCTTCTCGAGGAATTTCCTCACCTGAACATGGTTCAGGGCGTAAACTCCAGGGCAGACAGCATGAGAAACACATTATGGAGCCTGATAAAACATCAGAAGTGAGGAGCAAGAGGAAACATGCCTTATTGGTTCAGACACACAGAGCCAGGAGGCTGCTGGCCAGGGAAGGCATTCTCATTTCTGGAATTCTTTGGGAGCTGAACAATGAAACAGAAATTAGGAGGAACTCAACTGACCCAAATGAAAAGCGGACCAGAGAGGAGCCCTCGCCATGAACTGAAACTGACGTAAATCTAACCAGCGCTGCACCTCCACCTGGGCCATGAATCTAACCAGCACCGAACCTCGACCTGGCTGTTCTTGTCTTTTCTTTTTCTGGTTCCATGTCTTGGCAGGATCCCAGACAAGACTGAGAGGAGCTAGCTTCGGTGCAAGAAGAGAATCAGTCTCCTGCCTGGAGAGGCCACGCACGTTCTTTGGCATGAAAAAGATGTTTATTTCCAGGGTAGGAAGAAACAGTGGCCGCCTGAGTGGAGCTTGATTTTCTGAAGCAGGGGTCTAGGACAGGGCCCTCTGTCTTTTCCACTGCATGCTGGGGCACGCTCCTCTTTCACAAGGGGCCACCAAACCAACTGATGAAGAACATCCATGTTTTCTCATATTCTCCTATTTTAAAAATATAAATGCATCACACGCTTGTCAAATAACCAAAATATGTCAAATAGCCAAAAATAAATAAGTCAAATAACCAAAAAATGCACAAACAGTGGATATAGCCCATCCCACTACCAGTCTCGCACACCCCTATTCATGCCTGTTTTCTGCTCCTACGAACAGACCTGCAGACCTCACAAAGTGTAATCATACGGTAAGCACTACTCAAAACTTGCTGCTTTCCACCAAAAACCCACAGTGGCATCTCTCCAGATCTATTCGTGTGGCTCTAACTTATGATTTTTCGTAGCAACAAATATTCCTCAATACAGGTGGACCAACATGTTCCTTATCAATCACACTTACGTTGTTTCTCGTTTTGTTGTTTTGACCACAGACAACGCTGCAATCGCCATCTGTGTGTGCAGATGTGAGTCCAGATATTTAACAACTGTACTTGGCCCAGGTCTAACCATCAGACGGAGGCTGGCCTTCAACATCTGGGAGGCAGAACCAGCAAGCTGTAAGAGAATCCTAGTCCTCAACGGAGGAACTTGGATTAAGTGCCACGCTTTCATCCTTTTAAGATGGATTTGTACAAATGGGATTGCTGGGTTAATGTAATGGATGTGCACTTTTAATATGAATTCCCAGAAAAAAAAATATATATATATACATCGAATGAGGATACACAAGTCTTACACTGATCTCTGCGTGAAAGAACTTTGGGCTGAGTCAGCTGAATGCCTCAGCACATGTCAGGTGCCTTAGGCTGGGTATACGAATCAAGAAGAAACTTTCTTTGCAAAGACAGATGGCATATTCAATATACAGAAGACAGCAAGGCCTTTGAAGTAAAGAGTCCCACTTAGTAGCCACCCACATGCCACCAACCAGGGGGAGCCCAGGGACTGAGGAGGCCCTCAGACACGCTGTGTGACTCGACTGTACCAGCCCAGGAAGTACACTGAGGACAATCCTAAGTTTGTCATAGTTAAAGGTGCTTATGGTCTTTTGATCCTTTCCGATAAAAGGCTAAAAACTCCAGTACACAGTCATGTGCCACTTAACGCTAGGGATACGTTCTGAGAAATGCATCATTAGGTGATTCTGTTATGCGAACATCATAGAGCGTACTTACCCAAACCTAGATGCTGTGTATATTTTTCTTTATATATGGTCCTGTGCTGCTTAGTAATGTTTTGGTTAACAATGGACTGCATATATGGTGGTGGTCCCATAAGATTACAATGAAGTTGAAAAATTCCTGTCCTAGAGATGATCCCTGAGAAATTGGCTAATGAGGAGTTGTTGAAACTAGAACAAGAATGCACAGCTGAAGAAGAGGCAAAAGAAAGAAGGAAAAGAAGAGGCAGGTGCAGTGGCTTACGCCTGCAATACCAACACTTTGGGAGGCCGAGGTAGGAGGACTGCTTGAGCACAGGAGTTGAGACCAAACTGGACAGCATAGTGAGACCTTGTCTCTACAAAACAAAAAAAATTAAAAGATCACCTGGGCGTGGTGGAAACTGTATCCCTGACTACTCAGGAGGCTAAGGCGGGAGGATCACTTGAGCCTGGGAGGTCAAGGTTGCAGTGAGCCATGATTGCACCACTGTACTCCAGCCTGGGCAACAGAATAAAACACTGTTTCAAAAAAAAAAAAAAAAAAGAGAGAGAGAGAAAGAAAAAGAAGAGGATCCTCAAGAAAATTCACAGTGAAGGGTTTAGCAGCAGCTTTCACAGTCTTCAAAATTTCCTTACAAAATCTGAAAACATAGATCCCAGCGTCAAAAGGTTTTCAGTAATAGGGACGAATATTCATGACACATTACCTGCTTATGAGCAGATTTATGATGAAAAAAAGACATAAACTAAGAAAACCATCATGGACTTATTTCTGGAAAGAGTGTCACCTCCCAAGAAGAGGCTCAGGCAGGTCCTTCAGCAGGTATCCAGAAGAAGGCATTGTTTTCATAGGAGATGACAGCTCAATGGGCGTTATTGCCCCAGAAGACCTTCTAGTGAGACAGACATGGAGGTGGAAGACAGTGGTATTGACAATCCTGACCCTGTGTAAGGCCTAACCTAGTGTTTCTGTGTCTTCATTTTTAACAAAAAAGTTAACAGTAAATAAGTAAATTTTAAAATAGAAAAAAGCTTATGGAATAAGGGTATAAAGAAAGAAAATATTTGTTACAGCTCTATAATGTGTGTTTCAAGCTAAGTGTTATTAAAACGGAGTCAAAAAGTTTATAAAAATTCAAAAGTTTATAACGTAAAAAAGTTACAGTAAGCTAAGGTTAATTTATTATTGAAGAAACAAGAATGTTAAAAGTAAATTTAGGCCGGGCACTGGTGGCTCACACTTGCAATCCCAGCACTTTGGGAGGCCAAGGCAGGTGTATCACCTGAGCTCAGCAGTTCAAGACCAGCCTAGCCAACACAGCAAAACCCTGTCTCTACTAGGAATACAAAAATTAGCTGGGCATGGTGGCACCTGCCTGTAATCCTAGATACTTGGGAGGCTGAGGCAGGAGAATCACTTGAACCCAGGAGGTGGAGGTTGCAGTGAGCCAAGATTGCACCACTGCACTTTAGCCTGGGCAAAAAGAGTGAAACTCTGTCTCAAAAAAAAAAAACAAAAAAAAAGTAAATTTAGTGTAGCCTAAGTGTACGACGTTCATTCATCAAGTCTAGAGCAGTGCACCTTCATGTCCTGGGCCTTCACATTCACTCACCTCAGCCTCACTCACTGACTCACCCAGAGCAACTTCCAGTCTCCAGTCCTGCAAGCTCTGTTCATGGGAAGTGCACTATACAGGTGGACCATATTTTATCTTTTATATCTCTTCTTTTTTTTACTGTACCTTGTCTATATTGAGGTATGCCTAGATAGACAAGTACTCACCCTTGTGTTATAATGACTTATTCAGTACAGTCACGTACTGTACAGGTTCATAGCCTAGGAGCCATAGGCTACACAAAATAGCCTAGGTGTATAGTAGGCTGTACCATCTAGGGCTGCGTCAGTAACTCTATGATATTGCCACAAGGTTGGAATCACCCAAGGACACATTTCTCAGAACAGATCCCTGCCATTAAACAACATGTAACTGTTTTTTTTTTTCCACATGGAAAACCAAATGCCCAAGCACTATTACGAATATCAATCATTTCCCTTACTTGATCTGCAATGCCAGTAGCAAGTGCCATGTACCAGGTTTCTATATCCACTCTGCTATGATCTTACGGAACCACCGTCACATGCAGCTGTCATCAGCTGAAACGTTGTTACGCAGTGCAGGACTGACAGGATTTAAGAGCATACAGTAAACCCAAGAAAGGTGGGAAGCACTATCCTAGACCAGCCCTCTATGATAGAAATACAATGCTAGCCATATTTTAAATTACCTAATAATCGCCTTAAAAAAACAAAATAAGAACTAAGAAACAGGTGAAATTAATTTTAATAATATATGTAATTTAACCCAATATATTCAAAAGATTATCATTTCAACATGTAAGCAAATTATCAACATTTTCATTTCTTTTTTATATTGTCTTCAACATCCATTGTGTATTTTACACTGGCCGTACAGCTCCATTCAGACCCAGCTGTATTTCAGACCCATTTCAGCTCCATTAGGACCCAACTGTAGCCATTTGTGATAAGCGGCTGCCGGACAGGAAAGTGTGGGTTTAGAAGATTTCGGGGGTGGAGACAACCACATTCCTGCTTTCAGGGCACACAGACTAAGCAACTCTGCAGTGTGCATGAACTGCACAGGCTCTGGGCACAAGAAGAAAAAGATGCCATCCCTGCCTCCCAGATGTTCATTGTGTAGTGGGAAGATGGGCAAGTGACCCACCCAGCACCCACTTAAAAATTTCCACAGTGGGATGAAAGTTCTGCACCATCCCAAAATGTCAGTTATTGGAGAGGCTTTTTCCTACAGGGAATAAAAATTAGCCTCGCTGTACTTTTCAGCCACTGAAACTGGTTCTGCCTGTTGGAGGCCACAAGGAATAAACCTACTCCTTCCTCCCCATGGATAGTCCCTCGTATTCATTCAGCATTCATTTGCTCACCCAATTTTAATTGAGCACCTACAATGTGCCAAGCTCTGCACAAGGTGCTGGGGATACTACAGCCATGAACAAAAGAGACACAGTCCCTGCCCCCGCGAGCTCCCAGGTGAATGGGGCAAATATGCAAATAAACATGCAAATAAAGAGGGCTGGGGAGGCTTAAGGAGGGGCACCTAACCTGATCCGGGGGTCTGGAGGCTTGCCAGAGCAAACGCTTGTGATAAGACTAGGGAGAGAACTTTGGGTAGGGGGAGGCCTGTCGTGTTGGAAGGTGGTGGCAGAAGGGTGGGACCAGGCAGAGGGGACAGCAGGTGCTAAGACCCCGGGATGAAAGACGGCCTCTGGAGGACCCGTGAGTTCTTCCAGATGACAACTGTGGAACTGCAGAAGGAAGAGAGTCAGGATGAGGTGGAGGGTGTTGACAGATCTCAAGGTGGGGGCCGCGTGTAGCCTGCTAAGGAATCTGGATGTTCTTGATTGTACCCCAAGAGCACTGAGGAATGCTCGCAGTGAGTACCAAGCCTTTATAGAGCCTACCCCCAGGCTTCTCCTTCTCCAACCCCATTCTCTCCGTTGTCCTGCAAACACCAAGGTGTCTGGACCCCTGGGCTTCTGGGTGCTTTGGTTGGCACAGAGCAGCCTCCCAGCCCCAGGCTCCTCAACCAGGGTCTGGGGGAGACAATGGGCTGTGCAGATCACACAGAAGGAGGCCCCCCCATGCTGCAGCAGCTCCTTCCCAGGCTCCCCCTTCCACCCCTGCCCTCTGCAATCCATCCCTACAGACCCACTCCCTCCCACACTAGGGATCTTCTTAACAGCGAATGGCTATTCCCTTTCCCCTTCCCCTTCCCATCACCCTTGGAGTAAATTCCAAGCCCCCCTTTCCTCCAGCCTTTTGAGACGTTTCCTACACCAAGGTCTCTGAAGGCACTGTTCCCTCTGCCTCTGCCTAAGATGCTCTTCCCGACCCCTACCCTTGCAGGCTGGTCCCCAAGAGCTTTCTGACATCACCGAGCTGGCACCTCCTCGGGAGGACTTTCCTGGCCGCCCTAAACAAAGGAAGCCTTGGTGGGATGGATTGTAATCTGTCATTACTCTGTATGTGTTTGTATGTTCTTACACACACATGCACATGAACACGCATGTCCATGTACACACACATGCACATGCACATGGTCAACAGGCCATGAGCCTCTTGCCCACGCTTGCAGCCCCAGCATCTGGACCAGCACCTCGCACAGGAGAGGCATCCGGCAGATGTGTGCTGAATGAATAAATACTCAAACCTCTCAGAGTCAAATGTTCTTCATCTGTAAAACAGGAATCATGGGATCTCCCTCCTCAGGGTTTTCCAGAGAACTAACTGGGATACTTTATGTGAAGCTCCTGGAGTCACACGTGGAGAATAGCCATGGGCAGGTGACCATCAGCCTCTGACCCCATCATGACACTTGAGAGCAGATATTCTGGATCCAAACTGCCCAGAATCACATCCTGTTTCCTCCTAGTTCCTGGTTCCTGGTGACCCTGGGCA
This sequence comes from Homo sapiens, assembly GCF_000001405.40. NCBI lineage: Eukaryota > Metazoa > Chordata > Mammalia > Primates > Hominidae > Homo > Homo sapiens. The sequence continues at coordinate 57,820,218 of NC_000020.11, read as the reverse complement.
GGCTGCTCACCTGGTGGCCTCAGGCACGCTGCATTTTGTCTTCACATAGCACCAGCCTCCCAGGCCTCCCATGGGATGCAGAGAGTGAATCCAAGCAAATTGCCCTGCATGGGACTGGGGGAGGGCAGGGCTGTAGAAATCGTAGCTGCTCTGATGAAGCCTCCTTCTACCTGGTTCAGCAGCAATTCCCTGAAAAGTAGAGCTGGAGGCAAAGCTATACACTACTTCATCCAGGAGTGCAGCCCAAGGGAAGCCAGCCTGAGGGGTGAGGGACGTGAAGCAAAGAAGGAGGGAGAGCAGACAAGGGGCACATGTCCCAGCTGGCCACAGCTGGTCAAGGAAACCCAGCTGGCTGCTCAGTGAGGCAGGATGTCCTGTGAGATGCTGTGCAGAGCCACCACATCCTGGACTGGCCTGCCCAGCAAGGAGATGGAGTGACCTGTCTACTGGTTCCTTCTTGTCTCCTATCTTGCTTTGCTTGATATTCTGCCTGTAGGGTGTTGACTTCTCTCCCCACACTCTTAGGGTGTGCTGTGCTGCCCCTTGGGATGGCCCCAGGATGGCCACCAGAGCATCTAAAGTTCCCCTCCACGTAAATTCGTGCACCAGAGCAGCCGTGATCACACACGAGCGTGTGATGTGGGCTGTGCGGAAGCCCTACCCTCATCTGAGTGGAGGCTGAGGTGTGGGGCTGAGAAGACAGCAGAGGCAGCCGGCGCTTGACGACCTCAGGGACGGGGTGATCCACTGCTGGGGAAGGCAGCTGAGCAAAAGTGGGGCCATGCACAGCCTGGAAGGACATGTGGACTGGCACACATGCCCTTCTACCAGATGTCCTGTGGCTGGGTGCATGCCCCATTCCACCACCCCACCATCTTTGTGGCAGGCAAGGTGATCGAACCTTCTGCAATAACATTGCTGTAACAAATAAATAAATTAGCACTCCAAAAGCTCTTAAAGCAGTAAGAGACACATAAGAAGCACCACAGAAATAATTGTAAATAAGTCAATAAGTCTAGACATTTTAAGAGAAAATGGCACCACGCATGGTTTCTGCATTATGTCTTGTCATTTGGTTCATTTAAATTTTCTTTGGCCAGAGACACACAGATAACTGCTCCCTTTCCCTCCCATAACCCTCGGCTGGGGAGAGAAGTGTGGGAGGGGAATGGTGTGGAGAGAGCTGGGCCAGCCCCTGGGGTCCCCCTGTCCTACTTAAGGGTCGGTCTCCTGCCTCACTTGATTGCATCTGCTCCCACCCTCTCTCTGTCACTGTGGCCGCAGCCGTGACTGCTTCATTCCTCCAGAGTCAGAACCAGTGCTGAAAGCGTCATTTAAAAATAAAATAAAACGGGAACTCATTTATGCTGAGACTATGCTATTTTCCCAAGTTGCCTACGGGACAGAGCAATAAAAAATTTATCCTTAATAGCATTTTGCAGGATTTTGCCACAGGAGATGTTCTCCCCACCGGAGTTTGGAATGATTCCTGTCTGCGTTACATCCCCAGCCCTCAGTCATGCCAGCCCCCAACCTCCCTTCTCCCTCATCGGAGACTTTGCAGCCAGCCTGCCTTTTCCTCATCCTGCCTCCGCCCAGAGAGATGTCTGGATGCTGGTCACTCCACCCATGAAACTCATCTCCAGGAAGGGGAAGAGGAAAAACAGGCAGCCCTGTCATCAACTTCCCCTCCCTTTCTCCATGTCTCATCTGTAGATAAAAAGCTTGTGTCAGAAGACAGAACAGTAAAAGAGAACCCAAGCAGCCAGTAACTTAATTTTATAAAAACCAACATGATAAGAGATGTTAAAAATTGAGGGGAGCACAGGGGGTAGCAAAGCAAGCTCCGGACAATATATAATACAGCAATCACACTTATGCATTTAAAAATCAATATATAATTATTAATTTATGTTATGTAAATGCAGCGAGAAATCTGTAAGAAACACTTCAAACTTTTAACAGTGGTTCCTCCAGAGAGGAGCATGAAATCAGAAACTGAAAAAAGCAGATAAGAGGCTTGGGCTTTTTTCTCTATACATCTCCATTGTTTAATTTTTTAGAGGTAACAGTTATTAAAATTTTTTTAAATTAAGAAGGGATCTCCCATCAGATTAAAAATAAATGTAAACATATTATAAGAAAGGAGGTCTTCAAAAATTACATGGAAAATGTATATTATCAAAAACTATGCATAGATCTCAAAATTTTTGCACCAAAATTAACTTGTACTAACTTGTTATGTCTGAACAGAATCTACTTTGAGGCACTAAGTAGGATAAGAAAGCAGTTTGAAAAGAGCCCATATCAGAGCAATGTGAATTCTGCTAAAATTGAAGAACAAACATCAAATTTATGGCAAAATTGGGTGGAAGAATAGTGAAATCATTGATGGTTTATGAAAGGTTTGTGGGGACAGTGCCCCAAAGAAAGTAGCAGTTTACAAATGAATAACCCATTTTCAGAAAGGGCAAGATGCTGTTGAACATGAAGCTCACAGAAGCAGACCGTCCACATCAATTTGTGAGAAAAAAATTCAGCTTGTTCATGCCGTAATTGATGAGGACCAACGATTAACAGCAGAAATGCTAGCCAACACCACAGACATCTCAACTGGTTCAATTTACACAATTCTAACTGAAAAATTAAAGGTGAACAAACTTTTCACTCACTGAGTGCCGAAACCCTTACAACCAGATCAGCTGCAGACAAGAGCAGAGCTTTCAATGGAAATTTTAAACAAGTAGGGGGATCAAGTTCCTGAAACCGTTTTTTCCAAAGAATTATTAACAGGAGATGAAACGCGGTTTTACTTGTACAATTCTGAAGACAAAGCACAATCAGAGCAATGGCTACCAAGAGGTGGTAATGGTCCAGTCAAAGCAAAAGTGGACCATCAGGAGGTCATGGCAACAGTTTTTTGGGGATGCTCAAGATATTTTGCTGTTGACTTTCTATAAGGCCAAAGAATAATAACATCAGCTTATTATTAGAGTGCTTTGAGAAAGTTAGCCAAAACTTCAGCAGAAGAATGCCCAGGAAACCTTCAGCAGAGAATCATTCTCCACCATGACAATACTCCTGTTCACTCCTCTTGTCAAACAATGGCAATTTTGAGAGCGTTCTGATGAGAAATCATTAGGCATTGACCTTAAAGTCCTGATCTGGCTCCTTCTGACTTTGTAAAAAAAGTGTTTGCTACTCTTAAAAAATCTTTAAAGGGCCCTTTTTTTCTTCAGTTAATAATGTAAAAAAAGACTATTGACATGGCTAAATTCCCAGGACCCTCAGTTCTTAAGGGATGGACTAAATAGCTGGTACCACTGCTTACAAGAGTGTTTTGACCTTGCTGGAGCTTATAAAGTTTATGTTTTTCATTTTTATCTTTTAATTTCATTCTTCCATGAACTTTTTGAAGTCCACTCATATTACTAGTTAGGGAACAAGTGGGGAGTTGCCATTTACCGCCAGTGGGAGTATATATTAGTATAGTCATTTTAGAGGATAATTTTTTAGTATCAAATTTTTAATATGCAAGCCAGCACCCAGCATTTCTGAGGAATGTGCACTAAAGAGCACAGGTTAGAACATCTATTTTAGGATTCCTCATAGCAGCAAAAACTGACAACACCTCCATAGAGGACTGGCAAAATAAACTATCAAGTGTCCAAATCATGACATCATTTGCATCCTTTAAAAGGATGAAGCCAAGGTACACATCCTGACATGGAAAATTCTCTAAGATACTTCTTAGGGAAAGAAAAAGAGTTGCAGAATGGTCTTTATAACATAATACATTACATATTTTCTACCTATGTATGCAAACGCATACAAAGAGGCCTCAAAAGGAACACACAAACTGATCCCAGTGTGTGGAGGTCACCATCTGGTTTCTGAATATTTCTGACCAACTGCACTTCTGGAGCACCTTGAAGTTCAGTGGGAACATGTCACTATTTCTGGCCAACGAGTTATGAGCAAAAGTATCACAGGGCCACTGCTGGGCATTTAATTGCTGATGTGCAATTCCTCAGAGTTCTTTTTGCTGTGGCATAACAATCAACCATCTCCAAGTTGGCAGCTCCCTGCCAACCTTGTGCCAATGAGCAGAGCCCCTTCCCAACCCAGATGTACATGTAGCTCTGAAGCCTGGAGATCTGGGTTGTATGTTGTTGTTGTGATTACAGAATAACCTAGCCTTCCTTGACAGATGCCCTATGTCACCCCCCCAAGGAAAAGTTTGGGGATTTGGTACAATGAACAAAGGGCACTTGCCTGTAATATTTTACTCTTTACAAATTGAACATGGTCATGCACTACTTTTGCAATTAATGGTACAATTTATACATATGAATTGTGTATAGTTAAAATTAATCATTTCAAAGAATGATAAAACTAGCAAAGAAAAGTAGTAATAGTCAGCATCCAAGAGTCTTGGCTTTTGGAGCAAGAAGTGGACTGTGAAAGTCAATTTTGTGTCAATTTGGCTGGGCCGCAGTGCCCAGATATTTGGTCTAACATTATTCTGGGTGTTTCTGTGAGGGTGTTTTGGATAAGATTAACATTTAAATGAGTGGACTTTGAGTAAAACAGATTGCCCTCCATAGTGTGTCTGGGCCTCATCCAATCAGTTGAAAGCCTGAATAAAACAAAAAGATGGGCTTCCGACAAGCAAGAGAGAATTCTCCCGCAGACTACCTTCGAACTTCATAAAGAACATCAGCTTTTCCTGGTTCTTTGGCAAACCATTTTTGGATTTGAACTGGAGCATCAGCTGTGCTGGGTCTCCAGCCTGCTAGCTCACCCTGCAGGTTTTGGACTTGCCAGCCTCCACAATCACATGGGCCAATTCCTTCGAGGGAGTTTTGAGTCACATCAGCCTGGGTTCAAGTCCCAGTTCTACCCCTTCCTAGTATAGAGCCCTGAACACGAGGCATAGACCCCTGGAGCCTCAATTTCCTCGTCTCCAAACCTGGGATAATAACAATCACCCCTTTCCCTCACTCCCCAACCTACTCAAACATAGGGGGCTGTTTGAGAAGTTACTGAGCTCAACAATATGAAAGTCCTTCATGAGTCTAACACAGGGAGTGGCAGCACATACTGTTATCATCTTGACCACAATGCCCCCAGTCCTTCCTATGACACTCACGAGACCCCCAGCTGATTCTCTTGTCACCACTTTGGGTGCAGCAAGGGATTCTGGCTGTTAAGAAGAAATCTTTAATGTGTCTGGGCAGTCAGATATGCAATGATAAGAAACAGCGCTCAAAGCAAGTCACTTCACCCTCCCAGCTGCCTCCTTTTTGGCTGCTGCCTTTTCCCTACAGTTTCCTGCATCATTCCATCTCTCGCCTTTCCCAGTGGGGGATGCAGGTTGACTTCTCAAGAAGTCAACTTTACCTCCCGCTCTTGTTAGGAGCATGTGGCCTCAGGTAAGCCAATCACTAAAGTCCATCTCTTTGGCAGAAGCAATTGGATCCCAGGTGGCCATGTGACCCAGTGCAGTCCAATCAAAGCGAAGGTCGGGACTCGGGCTGAGAATTCTGGGACAGAGACCCATTCTCTTTCCTGGGAGCCATCTTGGAGCCTCAGAGTGAAACCAACAATGCAGAAGACAGAGCGAAGAGATGGGAATTTGGGGACATTGACTGGCTGTGGGACCAAGCCTGGTCTGGAGTCTTTATGGGCTTTTGAGGTACTTGAGGCGTTAAATTCCCTGCTTACCTAAGCAGGTGGTGTCAGGTTATCCATAGGTTATGAGTGAACCCCTGGAACTGATTTAAGTGGAAACAGTTGTCTTTCCCAGGAGGGCACGGGAGGAGGGCATGTGCTGAGGAGGTGCGGGAGCAGGCGGGTGCCTGGGACACTGTGCGTGTTCAACCACTACTGCTTCTCTTCATGTGCACCAAGGCGCTTTGTGGCTACAGCGAGGAAGCCGGGTAAACACAGCCTGGAGCACAAAGCATGCCCTGGGGACTGGGCCTGCCCCACCCTTGGTCCTGTTTTCCTGTGATGACTGTCACCTGCGTGACCTCTGGCAGTTTTCAGAACCAGGAGGAGAACTCTGCCTTTCCAGTTGGGTGGCGCTGTCCTGGTTGGGTTGCTTGCCTTCAGAACCACTCTCTGTGGCCAGAGGATGGTGCTTTCATTGGCTGGGCCTGGTCATGTGAGCGGGGAAAGAGGCTTGACCTCACTGACAGCTCATGATTGAGGTGGGTGCGGGTTGGTGCCCCACTGGGGCTTACGGAAGGGGGAGTGTTTGATGGGAGTAGAGAGGACACAACAGAGGCCTCCTGTAAACGGCTGTGTAATGAGATGATCTTGTTCAGATGGTTAGTGCTGTACAGGAGTTACATGTAGCACAGGGCTCCTCAACCCACCACCATCTGGGGCTGGAGAATTCTATGTTGAGGGGTGCCTTGTGCACTGGAGCATGACTAGCAGCATCTCTGGTCCCCACCTGCCAGATGTCAGTAGCACCACCCCCAAGTTGTGAGAACCAGAAGTTCTCTAGACATTGCCAAATGCACACTAGAGAAAAAAAAATTCAGCCCTGGTTGAGAATTACAGACACAGCATCTTCAGGAAATGTTCAAGCTGACTGTTCATCCATCACTTGGTGGCCAGAGCTTGTGCACTGAGCTGCTTCCCCCACAGATACTGAAATTTTCACTTATTCATTCACCCAGTGAGTCTGTGTTGAGTACCCCGACAAACTTTCCATAAGCCAGGCACTGGGTTATGTTCAGGAGTGGGACTGAGCCGCTGCCTCAGTTTACTCATGTAAAATGAGGGGAAGTGACTGGAGTTTCTGGGCCTGTGTGAATCTGGCTTCTCCAGAGAAATGGAACCAATGGGATTAGACACATCCTCCCACAACCCTCAGAGGGGCGCAGAGGCTGGCCCAGGGCAGACAGCAGGGAAACCACATGCAGGAGCCCCAGTTCCCTGGGGCCTGCTTCCCCAGCTTTTCTCGAAAGTGGGCCCCCTGCAGCTCTCCTCCCTGACTTCCCCTGGCCACTCATGGCCCTCTGCCCCACAGACTCCCCTGCTAAAATTGAAGAACAGACATCAAATTTATGGCAAAGCTTGGGTGGAAGAATAACAGAATAACTATTGGGTACTATTGGGTACCTGGGTGACAAAATAATCTGTACAACAAACCCCATGACATGAATTTACCCTCCATGCAGCAGCAATGTAGCCCCTGCTTCAAATCTCCAGCACATAATATTAAAAAATCAAAAAATAACAGATGCTGGTGAGGTTGTGGAGAAAAGGGAACACTTATACACTGCTGATGGGAGTGTAAATCAGTTCAACCCTTGTGGAAAGCAGTGTAACGATTCCTCAAAGAGCTAAAAATAGAACTACCATTAGGCCCAGCGATCCCATTACACCCAGAGGAATACAAGTCATTCTGCCATAAAGACACATACACGCAAATGTTCATCGTAGCACTGTTCACAATAGCAGACATGGAATCAACCTAAATGCCTATCAGTGACAGACTGGATAAAGAAAATGTGGTACAAATACACCATGGAATACTATAAAGCCATAAAAAAGAATGAGATCATGTCTTTTGTGGGAACATGGGAGGAGCTGGAGGCCATTATCCTCAGCAAACCAGTGCAGGAACAGAAAACCAAATACCGCTTGTTCTCACTCATAGGTGGGAGCTAAATGATGGAACACATGGACACATAGAGGGGAACAACACATACTGGGACCCACTTGAGGGTGGAGGGTAGGAGGAGGGAGAGGAGCAGAAAAAATAACTATTGGGTACTGGGCTTAGTACCTGGGTGACAAAATAATCTGCACAGCAAACCCCCGTGACATGAGTTTACCTTATAACAAACATGTACCTAAAATAGGTACCACTGAACCTAAAATAAAAGTTAAAAAAATAGGCCAGGCACAGTGGCTCATGCCTGTAATCCCAGCACTTTGGGAGGCCGAGGCAGGTGGATCACCTGAGATCAGGAGTTCGAGACCAGCCTGGCCAACGTGATGAAACTCCGTCTCTACTAGAAATACAAAGAAATAGCTGGGCATGGTGACAGACGCCTATAATCCCAGCTACTCAGGAGGCTGAGGCAGGAGAATCGCTTGAACCTGGGAGGCAGAGGTTGAAGTGAGCCGAGATCAGGCCACTGCACTCCAGCCTGGGCAACAAGAATGAAACTCCACCTCAAAAACAATAAATAAAATAAAATAAAATAAAATAAAATAAAATAAAATAAAATAAAATAAAATAAAATAAAATAAATCTCCAGCACACTCTCTCTTTGCTCCTACAATGAGGCTCAAACTCCTCTGTGGTCCACATGGCCTGGGAGGTCTGGGGACTGTGGAGCCCTGCTTCATCTCCCATCATTAGCCCCTTCCTCTGCCTCCAGCCTCGGCTGCCTCCCCTCCTTCCTGTTCCTCATAAGCACCATGAGATCAAGAGCCATGGCTCATTCTTGATGGCACCCCAGGGCCAAGTACTCAGTAGGGGCTCACTAAATGTCTGTTGACTGAAATGAAGGAACAGGTTTCTCAGGAAGCTTCAAGGGGCCGAGGGAGTTAGCACTTCCTTGTCAGATCTGGCCTGACATGAACATAGAAACTTTTCGTAATTATTCCTTCTTTAGCAGTGGCAGAGAATGCTGGCTGCCTTCCCTTAGCGGGCTCCTTGTTCCTGAGTGAGAGAATCCCCAGCTGACTGCGTTTCCCAGCCGCCCTGCAGCTAGGGCACAGTGAGAGGAACACGCTGTTTGGAACTGCTGGGGGGAGGGGCTCCTTAAGCGGTGGACAGACAGCTGCGGGTGCCTCTTTTTGCCTTGCCCCCTGTCTTTCACTGGGTTCTTCCAGAAGCTGACTGTAAGTCAAGAATTCAAGTGCAAATGGAATTTTTCCAAGGTAGAGGGAGGTGAGCAAAGGGAGAAACCAGCGAAGAGCATAGCAATGAGTAGGCTATGGCAACCGGAGCAACTGGAGGCCAATCCTGTGGCCATCTTAGGAGAAATGTGTAGAACGAGCCTCTCAGAGTTATCCCACCCCAGAGGCAAGGAAGCTGAGGCACTTAATCCACCAACTCCCTGTCATCATTGACGGCTTCTCCTGTCCCTCCTACCAGCTCACCCTGCAGGGGCCAAGGGTCAGCGTTCTGCCAGGGCTTGAGGTGGGACACTCCCGGCGTACACAGGACCGGTGAGTCAGAGGCAGCTGGTGCAGCCCCAGCCCTCCCTCCTCCTGCGTGGAATGCAGAGGTGTCGGATGGAATTCCAGCAGTCATATTAGAGCACGATGCAGTCTGGAGGATGGAAGCCCCATGCTCAGATGGATGAGCCAACAAGCAGAAACACCTAGGACCTTGCCGACAGCACGGAGCTGCCACCACAGCTATGGACAGCCTACCTGCGGTCCAGGAGAATCCATGCCGAGATTAATCCACAGCTACTCCTGGTGTTTATTACCAGCAGCCGAATGCTCCCAACCGATGCATCATGCGATGGCCATGCTGCTCGTGCCCATTACGGCTCAGCTGCTGCTGCTGCCGGCAGTGATGGTAGGGAGCGCAGGACAGTGCCTGACACGCACAGCTGCTTTTGCATTTACGCACTGTATGTGCCTTCACTTATTTAGTCTATGTCATAACAATCCTACGAGGCAGATACTGTTATTATTCCATTTCGCAGGTAAGGAAACTGAGGCACAGAAATGTTAAGCCACTTGCTTAAGGTGGCGCAGTTTGTGACAGCTGTCTGGCTGTGGCTGGTTGGCCCACACCTCCCCACTACAAGACACCACCTTCTACCTCAGGCTAAGCACCTTCCTGACATCTTTGAGAAAGTCATTCCGTTCCCCACCCACTCTTCAGACTTTCTACAATGACAACTTTGAGATTTCATTTTGTGTGTGAAATAAGCCCATCAGGCTTGACAAAGAAAAGAATATGATGTCTCAATAAGCCTGTCTCAGGACAAAGTGCCTCTGTGCAACTTAAAGAAGCTTTTCATTAGAAGATGGGACAGAGGATGGGAAGAAATTCCTCGGAACCTGAGAGAAGGCTCTGGATTCCATACAGCCTGACAGCTGAGGGGCCCGGAGACTGTCCTGCGTGTGACAAGAGCTGTTCTACAAGAGCTAAGCCAGGGCAGGCCCTTCTGGGATACGATGCAAAGCTCATGCCATGGTGGTGACAGTTCAGTGAGGGCTGGCATGCACTTCCCACACATGGTAGATGCTCCATGAAAGGCACAGTGGGGACGGGAGGGGCGGGCAGGGAGACAGCGCCAAGTAGGGAACCTGTCATCTTTGGAGCCAGAGAAGGCTGAGTGCAGTTCCCTCTTCACCTTGTGCCCCAGGGTGGATTGTGCAACCTCCCAGTGCTCCCATCTCGTCATCGGTGAGACGGGGCTGCTGGCAGCTACAACTGTCAGTGGGTAAGGGACGTAGTGAGACAAATGCGGGCCGTGAGATTGCCCTCTGGTGCTCCATCCTGAAATCAAAGCACAGACACCCATGCAGAGATGTGCAGAGGCTCCTCCCACCGGGGACAGATCTGGGTTCTGCCACTTAGCAGTTGCGCCACTGGAGCCTGTGACTCCAGCTCTCTGAGTCTTGGTTCCCTCATCTGTAAAAAGATCAGATCATAATAGAGCCTCCCTCATCAGGGTCTTTATCCACTCATTCAATACATCTTTATCAAGCATCTACTATGCGCAGGGCCCTGTGCCAGGCCTGGGAGATACAGCAGCGAACAGCGTTAATGAGACTTCACCCTCACAGTCCAGGGCAAAAGTACGGTTGTGATAAGTGCTACAAACATAAGGGACTGTGGTAGGAGGGCTTGACCTTGTCACATGCAAAGGTCCTGTGGTTGAAATGATTAAACAAGATAAAACATGTAAACCTTTCAGACTTAATGGCTGGTATATATTGCATGGGAGTGCTGTTAGTATTTTCTTGAGCCAGTGCTTGGAGCATTCACATCAGCTGACAAACTCGCCCTGTGATTCTGCACTCCAAAAGCCACCTTCTGCCTATGAATAGAAATGGACTGGTCACTCATCCCCAGGATAGATTAAACAAATCCAGCGGCCTTCTGGTTGGATGTATGAGCTTGGTTAAGGCGTGACATGGGCCAAGCTAAGCAAGCTGGCACCATCAGGTTTCTCAGCCTGCAAGCATTGGTCCCTGACTTATACTGAATTCACCCAGCAGTCAACCCCACCCTGGTGGCAGTCACTCAGGTTGGGGGTGGGGGCAGCCAGCAGCATTTTGCAAGAGGACATTTTCTCCCCGATTGGAGTAATTCCAAGGATTAGAAATGAGGTGCTTAGGACACGGAACAGTCCTTTTTGTCACTTCCTCAGACCCCAGAAAAGTCTCTTTTCCTGGCCTCAGGCAAGCTGGGTGCTCCAGGAAACTCACAGCCCTGTGCTCTCCAGACATCAGCCAAGGGGACTGAAACATCCACAGAGCAAATGTCAACTTTGCATTCCATGTCCCAGCATGAGACAGGAGCCCAGCCAGGCCCCACTGCAGACAGAGACTGCATTCGCATGTCACCCCTGCAACCTCATTTCCAAATTCAAACAAGCTAATGTCTCCCATAATGGGCCTCCATTCCTGAGAACAGATATTTTGTCATTGCCTTGTTAGAGGAGGAGTCTGAAAAGGCTGGTGAGCGACATAACAAAGCATGAAGGCGGTCCTGGAAAGGTTGTTGCCAGGTGTGAGCCCATAGCAGTGGGTCTGGGGGGACCAGGACAGACGCCGGTCCACCTGTCCGCATCCCTGGTTCCAGCCTGAGGCCCATCCTAGGGTTGACCCCATGTTTACAAGGCCCACTCCAGACACTCAGTGTAGCTGCGCTAGGGCCAGTGGGAAGATGGCCAATGGCTGTTCCTATTCCAGAAACTGACCCCACTGCCAGGGCCACTCAAATGTCAGAAGGCACCGCTGGTCCTCCTGGAACTTTACTAGTGGGGACATTGAGGCTGAGAGAGGGAAAGGATGCAGCTAGAGCCGCAAAGCAACCAGAGCACAGCTGAGAAAAGCAAACCCTCACCTCCTCTCAGCCCCAGCCAGCCCAGGCCTGCCTGGCTGGTCCCTGCAACACCTCACTCTGACAGCTTGCCTTGTGGGAGTTGGCTCAGCTACTTCTGGACCTTTCCTGACCCTTCAGGCAGGCGTCACTTACCCCATGTTGCTGCCTGCACCCTTGTCTGTCTCCTCACAGCATAAACCCCATGGTGGTATGGGGCGTTGTGTATACACCGTGTCTCCCTAGTAGGGCAGGCACCCACCCACACATGCACACTCACACATGTTCACACACATACACACATGCTTACACAATGCACAACAGTGTGGATGAAAGGAGCTCTCAGTTACTCTCAATGGCACAGGTCTGGAATGACTGTTCCAGAAGGAGTGGGCTGGCTGCTGAGCAGAGAATCCTCTTCTCCTAGCTGTGTTCTGATGTGCCTGCGACCGTGGCCACACTCATTCCCCCATCTGGGTCCATTTCTCCTTTCGTCTTGGAGTTGGCCCACATGCCAGTCTTCTGTGCATGCATTCATCACTCAGCATCGCAGAGTGGTCAGGAGCCCAGACATCAGGGATAGGCGGACTGCACTGAGTCCTGAGCCAGCTCCTGTCAGCAGTGTGACCCTGGCTGCTGAATCACTTACCCTCCCCAAGCCTCTGTCCTGCTCAATTATAAATGAGATAATAACTTCTGCATGGGTTCATATAATGCATAAATGCTTAAAGAGAACACCAACATGGCACTTAGCACCGGGCAAGCATTTGGTTTGTTGTTTTCTTAGTTTGGGGTTCCCCACATGCAGAGCCTGAGACAAGGATTTTGGTGCAGGCGGTTTTCAGGAGGTGATCCAGGCAGTGTGGGAGTGGGAAAGTGAGGCTCTAGGGAGGGCAAATCAACACAAGCTGTGCTCATGAGGGGTCAGCCTATGGTCAGGGACCTGCTTAGAAAGTGCATGGGACATGCCTCAGCATGGACCCAGCAAGGGCCAAGGGATCTTCACCCAACTCCGGGCTGCCATTGGCTGAGGGCTCCTCCCGGGGAGAGGAGTGGGGAGGCTTTAACACCCCAACAGTTGTGCTCTCCGCTTCTACATGTGGGTCCAGAATATTCCTCCTGTGCCAGGAGAAACCCTGAGGTGGGAGATGAAGGAAGCCATTGGCACCCTGCAGGTTGGGTGCAGTGGGGACAGGATGGGCCCCTGCCAGTATCTGCTATAGCTGCTGCTATTGTCCTTGCCATTATCATCATGTCACTAGATGACAGGCACACAGACGAGGGGAGGGACCACAGCAGAGGGGAGGGAAGGAGAGAAAGATGTCCACACACACCAGGGATACTCTGTGAGTCCTTGCCAGTGAAGGAGGGGTAGCGACAGACTGATAGCACCAGGAGGCCTTGCGGTGGCTTGGCTGCTGGGGCTGACTCCCCTGGAGGCTGGGCAGAGGATCCGGAAGAATCAATCAAGTTGGAGAAATGGAGAGGAGGACTGACAGGTCATTCCAGGACTCCTGTGGCAAAGGGGCAGTGAAGGCAGTGACGGTGGGGCTGGTGGGCTCAGGGCAGGCGCCCAGGGCTGGGCCACGCATCATCATATTGGGGGATGCAGCTGGGAGGCTGACTGGAGTTGGCTCTTGGGAGCCAAGGCAGAGCCCAAGCTTTAGGTATTTGAGGCCAGAGAGGAACAAGTTTTAGAAAGATGGCTCTGGGCTCCCAGGCAACCTGTAGCATGGAGCAGTGTTTGCAGTGGCATCTGGACATGAAATGATGACCTGATACTGATGCTGCTCCACAAAGCCACTGGGACACGTTCCACCAGCAGGTTTTGGCCAGCTCCCTGGAGGGACTTTTCCAAACAATTTTCCAGAGGTTGACGTATGTTGCTGTTGCCACCCAGCATCCACCACACCTTGCCCTGGCAAAGGGACCCTGGATATCCCTTGGGGACTGCCCTTCCCTCATTCCTAGGTGGGACAGGTGACCCTGCCTGACCATGTCCTCCTGGTTCAAGCCAAGTGAATCCTAGGACTTGTACTGGAGCCAACAGGTAGAGAGTTGTTCCTTCTGACTTGGAAGATAGAGGTTTGGGGCTGTTGGCAGCCACATTGCCACCAGTGGATCCTCGGAATGAAGACAACGTGGAGAAGAACAGGACCAAGTAACAGAGTGAGAAAGCCAATGTTGGATCCACCCCTGCCTGAAGCCAGAACTACTCCCTGATGGTTTGGGATCACATGATCTAATAAATTTCCTTTTTGCTTAAGCCGGTATGAGTCAGGTGTTCTGTTTCTAACAGCAAAAAGGAATGTTTGAGATTTTCTGCAAAGCTTTAGGAATCGGTGTTGAGTTTGTCAGTTCTTATTGGAAAAGACCTTGGTCATTTGCCAACATGAAGGTTATCCGTAAGTAAAATCCTCACAAAATAAACTTGCTTATTCTATGAACATGCATCCAGCCATCCCTGTGTACGAACCCAACTCTATCCAGAATCCCCTGCATTCCACAACGAGCCACTGTATCTGTTCATTCATTAACAAATATTTTATCAAACTCCGACTAGTCCAGGCTTTGTGGATGTAACAGAGAAAAAAGTAGCCAGAGTTTTGCCCTTGTACAAAAGGAGACAGACAATGAACAAAAGCATAATAAATAAAGAAACTACTATTTGTAAAGGCCATGAGCACTATGGAAAGAAAAAGCAAGATGGACAAGATACTGAGGATGGGGTGTGGATGGGAACAAGTAGCACTGCAAGATAGCATGGCCAGGGAAGAATTCATTGAGAAGGTGACATTTGATGGAAGACGAAGGAGGGATGGTGTGAGCTGTGCCAGTATATGGGGGAAGAGCATTCCAGGCAGAGGGAATAGCCAGTGCAAAGTCCCTGAGGCCACAGTGTGCCTGGCATGTTCGAGGCACTGCCAGGAACCCTGCAGTGCTGGATACAATGACAGGGGGTGGGGTAGGAGGAGGAAAAGTGGGGAGGGGGCAGGTTTAGGGGCGTGTGAAATGGGAACATGGCAGGATTTGGAACAGAGGAGTGATCTGCTGTAACCTGTTACTTGGAGCACAGTTGGGTGAGGACAGAGCGGGAAGACCAGGGAAGAGAGGCGGGAGAGGCGGTGGCCTGGCCCTGGGTGGTGGCTGTGGAAGTGGGCAGGAGTGGTGTAACCCACACAGGTTTTAAAAGTTGACTTTCTGCCCCTGTGGAGAGGGACTTTGGGTGGGGCACATCTTGGGGAACCTGCACTTCCCAGCAGGGTTTCAGTCCCCTCTAGACATCAGTCTCCAAGGTCCACCCTGTCAGACTCTGCCCTTGGAATGGAAGCGCAGATGATCTAGCCACAGGGGGCTCCCCTGGAAGGAGGAAAGGTGCTTCCCAGGAGGGAATGAGGCTCCCCGCATGGGAATCCCTGAAGGCTTGCAGGAAAGGAGGGACATGGATGTGCTCTTGTCCTGAGAAACACCCTCCATGGCCGTCCCTGAAGTGGCAAACGTTCCCCCCGCCCACATGCTGCTGCCGCACCAGCGGTCCATCTGTTAGCAAGACGTCTGAATGTCCAGACAGGCTTTAGGGGTCAGAGACTGGAGTCCCGAGGCAGTTCTCAAAGTGGGCATGTGGCTGTTTCTGCAGAGAACAATGAAGCCAAACGACAGAAAGCTGACCCTCTCTGCATAGTTCATCAAATAGGAATATGCTTAATTCTTTTCTTTTTTATCAGCTGACAGCTTCCAACAGATAAAGCTTACTTTATTTAAGCTTTCGCAGGCCCAGCAAGATAAATATCCCTGAATTCCAGTCTTCACAAGGGAAAAAAGTAAAATGGGATGAAGTCAGAATCTTGAGTAGTTTTCTCGAAACCAGAGCAAAGATGGGCCCCTATGATTGGGTGTAAATTAAATGGTGACTGGTGGCGAACGTGGAGGGAGTTGGGTCATAGGGATTAGGGGGCCTGAACTGGGAAAAGATGGGCTGGTCCCAGCTGAGGGCATAAATGAAGCTGCTGGCGGAGACTGTTCTGAGAAGAAACCTGCCCAGCTTCTGTCCCAGAGGACCCCAGAAGTCGGTGGGGGTCGGGGGGAACTGAGCTGCAGGAGTGGACTGTGTGGGGTTTAATCCTGGCCCTGCAGCATGTGGGCTGCTTTCCTGTGCCTCGATGTCCTTAAATGGAATTCAAGATCATGAGCAAAAGTCTTCGAGTGAGTCTCTGTGGCAGAGAAGGCCCCAGTGGCTCAGCAGAAAGAGGCCTGGTGGTGAGCTCGTGCCTAAAAGCACCCCTGGGCCCCACTGCGCCCTGGGAGGGCCTTCTGAGCTCTGAATGGAGCACCACACTGGCACTGGCTGGACGCTTGCAGAGAGGTCACTCTGCAGAGGTGGAGATGAGGCGCTGCCTGCCGGGGTTGGGGACTCTGAGCTGTAGGACAGATACTGACTCTGATCTCAGCCAACGAGGAGTTTATTGACAGGAAACCTGGCTACTCACAGAACTGCCCAGGGGGCAGGAGACTTGGGCTCGAAAAGGGAGTGAGACAAGCATGATCCGACCGTGGGGGGACCTAATGTGACTACCAGTGCTGGGCAGGGTCCTTTGCTCACACCCTGGGCCATCAGGGCTGGGCTCAGGACCCCTTAGCTCAGGCACAAAGCCTGAGACACCCCCACAGCTTATCCCCTAGGCTCTCAGTGCTGGGCTGGGCCCCGCCAGCTCATGTCCTGCCTCTAGCTCAGGTCCCAGGACCCCTAGCTGACACCCAGGAAGGCAAGCACTGGACCAGGGCCTCTAGGGCTTGACACTGAGCCCCTTGGCGCTTCCTAGCCACCTCCATAGTGGATTTTGAGATCCTGGCTGTTCCTGATCCCAGGTCTGGGCCGGAGCCCCCAGGGTGGTGTCTGATGGGTGCGCAGAGCGAGGTGTGCGGCCGCTGCAGAACCAGCCAGCACCGGCATCCACCTGGCACTTCCTAACGGAGTTCTGCATGGAATTAATTGCAACAAAAACTGTATGGCTTTTCAAAATAGTATATGGGAGGGAGGTGGCTGTGGTTATAGGACAGCTCAGAGCTCCTTGTGGTGTTGGAACTGTCCAGCATCTTAACTGTGGCAGTGGAGACACAAACCTACACAGGCAATAAAAGAACATTAATCCACATACACAGATGAGAGCAAGGACCACTGGGGATGTCAGAGGGATGGTGATGGATTTTGTCACTGTCAGCAGCTTGGCTGTGTTACTGTACCATGGCTGTACAGAATGTTACCACTGGGGGAAACGGGTAAATGTACGAAGGATCTCTCTGCATTATTTTTTACAATGGCATTTGAATTTACAGTTACCGCAATAAAAAATAGAAATATTTAAAAGACAATATGAAGACTTCTGAATGCTCTTTATATGTTCATTAATTTATTCTAAAAATGCAATCAAAAAAACTTATTTTATTCAAACTACATACATTAAGCACTGTTCTGTGCCAGGTACTGCTCTGGGGACCAAGACAACCAGCCAGTGCTGATCTCTCTCTCTCTCTCTTTCTCTGTCTCTCTCCTCTCATTACTTAAATCTTGTAGAAGAAACAAACTACAGTTAGGTAATCACCTGATTACAGAGGATGCTGTCACATGATGATAAATGCTTTAAAAACATAAAACACAGGGATACTTTGAAGGCTGACAAATGACATGAGGTCCAGTTCACAAATAGAACCCAACCCATGGGGATCTGGGGCTGGAGAGTTCCAAAAGAGGAAACTGCAGGGTACAGTCTGGGCGGGGAGTAAGCTCAGCCCTTCTGAGGGTCAGAAACACTCCAGTGGGAATGACACTGGTCCACAAGGGGCAGGAGGGAAGAGGTGGTGGGGGGTTTGGTGGGGGCAGAGGTGGCAGGGCCTGCATAGCATAGTGGGAACCAGGGGCTTTATCCTGAGGCCCAGGAGAAGTCCCCAAAGCATCTTAGGCAGGGGTGTGACATGACGAGTTGTTTTTAAAAGATCATTCTGGGTGGGGCGCGGTGGCTCATGCCTGTAATCCCAGCACTTTGGGAGGCCAAGGTGGGCAGATCGCTTGAGCCCAGGAGTTCAAGACCAGCTTGGGCAACATGACAAAACACCATCTTTTCAAAAAATACAAAAATTAGCTGGGTGTGGTGGTGTGTAACTGGAGTCCTAGCTACTCAGCTGTGGAAGCTAAGGTGGGAGGATCAACTGAGCCCAGCCTGGGTGACAGAGTGAGATCCTGTCTCAAAAAAAAAAACAAAAAATCATTCTGGCTCCAGGTCACTTCCAGTTCAGAGCTGTGACTCCAACTGGTACCTGAAAAGCACCTGCTGTGCGCCCAGCCCAGGGCCAGGTGTCACCGGACTCAGCAGAGGCCCAGCCCGTGCCCCGTCTGACACCTGGCTGGTGATAATGGACATTGATCATGGTCAATGCCAGCAAGTGGAGTGAGAGCTGAGGGTGCAGAGGTCCCTGGGAGAGGGTCTGCACTCTAGGCCACCTGGGTGGCTCCAGAAAGGGGTGCAGATGGGCCAGGCATGGCGGCTCACACCTGTAATCCCAGCACTTTGAGAGGCTGAGGTGGGTAGATCACCTGAGGTCAGGAGTTCGAGATCAGCCTGCCCAACATGGCGAAACCCCATCTCTACTATAAATACAAAAAATTAGCCAGGTGTGGTGGCACATGCCTGTAATCCCAGCTACTAAGGAGGCTGAGGCAGGAGAATTTCTTGAACCTGGGAGGCAGAGGTTGCAGTGAGACAAGATCGTGACACTGCACTCCAGCCTGGGCGACAAGAGTGAAACTCATCTCAAAAAAAAAAAAGGGCTGCAGATGGTCTCCACCAACACCCAGGTCCTGCCCGCCCCCTGCTTTGTAAACAGTCCCACCTCCCAAGGGACAGGCACAATGATGGCATCTAGATTTGCAACCCCCATGGGAGTGAGTCACCCCCAGGCTGAGCTGTGACAACAGGGTCAGGCAGAGGAAGGCAGGCCCCAGTCTTCTCCACCTATCAGGGACACGGAGCGGGTGTATGGTGTTCTGGAGGGGCTGCCCGCGAGGCCCAGGTGGTCACGGCTTGGTGGAGAATTCCCGAAGTCATCGGTTGGCAGCCAGATCAAAAGCAGAACAGAATTTAGACAGCTTCTCCTATATGGTTTATTTCTAATTAATTCCTCGCTGGCACATGCAGAATCTGCACTTTCTCTCCCTCCTGGCTCTTCCAATCCCATACATATTTAAGAGCCTGACAGTTTTCCTCGTGCTAAATATAAATCGCGGCTTAGGCTGGGAGTTCAGTGTGAGTCGGTGGTCCTCCTCCCAGGCCCCACTGACGATTCTGCTCCTCTGCTTCTCGCTGGCCAGGCATGTGGGGGCTCCCTCACCCAGCAAGCATCCCCCCGTCGATCCACAGACCCAAAGTGCAAGGGACATGTTATTTTTGTCTACCTAGCATCTGTCCCATCTCCTCTGGGAACAGCACCCCAGTTTTCTTTTGAGGAATAGAGCTGACCCCACTTCCAACTCTAAGGGTGGTGTCTGACTCTGATTACGGCCAATCAAAAACTGGATCCCTCCAGCCACAGAGGTTGGTTCAGGATGTGCCTATCACTCAAAACAGGCCAGTCAGACTTCTCTGGGATTTCTGTTGGAGCCGGAAGGACAGAGACATTCTCTTCACCTAAACCAATAATGCAAGTGAGAGAAAATCCTGAAGCGTCTAGAGGCCATCTAGGCACCAAGACGGGAGAGGTGGACTGAGGCTGAGGCCAACACAGAGAAAAACAGTGTCCAGAAACAAGAACAGTGAGAGGGACTGAGTCCCAGCGCTCAAGGCCCTTGATCATGAGGCTTAACTGGTTACATGAGCCACTGTACCTGAGGAAATACCCATTCTTGCCTAAGCTAGTTTGAGATGGGTTTTTGTTGCTTATGACCAAAAGAGTCCTATTACTACAAGCAGCCACAGAATCATCCTGGCATGGTTGTTGTGAAGAAAAAAAAAAAGCAGATAATTAATAGGAAAATGACTGGCACACAGTGGCAGGCCCTCTCCTCTACATTATTTCATGGGAACAGCACATGCGGCCTCTGCGGTAAGCCTTACCATCATGAGCCCCACGATGAGGGCAGAGAAGCTGAGACTCAGAGGGGTTGTCACTCCCCAAAGCAACATAGCTAGTAGGGTAGGGATTGAAACCTCACTCCCTCAGTCCCCAAAATCCAGGCTATGCCTGTTCCTAGGGTGATGCTGTATCTCACTCAACCTGCCCAGCAAAGACCCGAGGCTGCCCAGACCCGAGCTGCTCCCAAGCCAAGGCACACACCTCTTAAGACCTGTCCCAGAGCAAACACTTCCAGCAGTTTGCTTGTTTGGGAGGTGGTGGGCAAAATTTCCAAAAACCTTTAAGTGGCTGCCTCCTGGTCCAAGGAGGAGTGCAAGGGCATGATTTTGGAAGCTCGTTCAGAGCCTGGAGATGAAAGTTTGTAGTGTGCTGTGAGAGAGAGGAGGGTGCAAAAGAGGGTGATTATGTCTGCTGTGGACCTGCATGGAGGAACTTCTGTGCACACCCTGGTCCCATTGACACAGCCATCCTAGAAGGGACAGGCTGATGCCCTGGTTGAGAGAACGCTCTTCTCTGGAGCAGAATGCCTGCTCATCAATGCAAGAGGAAGAGCACCTTAGCAAATTCACCATTTGCAACTCCCATTGAAATAACCGATCCAGAAAAGAATCATCAATGGATCCAAAAGCCATTAGGTGAGAGGGTATTGGGGGGATAAGTTCTTTGCAAGGGGCCAAAATACCCTCCTACAGAATAATTTCCAAGAGAAAACAGAAGCTTTCACCACAGAATGGTTGGTGGCCATCATCTTTTCCAAGCAACCACACTCGGCGTCACTGAGGGCCCTCTGCAACACAGCCAGTTTGTTCACTTCAAAAAGTCAATGTTCTGGGGAGGAAAAGTAAGGAGAGAACATTCTAGATTGTAAAAGACTCAAGAGATGTAAAAACTAAATGCAATGTGAGAAAGTTGTTAGATCCTGGTTCAAGAGCAAAACAGCTAAAAGGATTTTGGAGCAATGGAAAAAATGTGGAAATTTGATTGCAGACCAAATAATAGATAATATTATGGAGTTCTTGTTAGTTTTCTTAGGTGAGAAAATGGTGATGAGGACATAAAGGATCTTTTTCTTAGGATGCACAGCTGAAGTATTTAGGGATGAACTGTCATGATGCCTGTAACATACATTCAAAGAGTGCGCACGCACACACACACATCAAATACGGCTGTCAAATGTAGGTGGTGAGCACACAGGCATTCACAGCGCTGTCCCTCCAACTCTTCTGTATACTTGATAATTTTCATATTAAAAAGTTGGAGTAAAAACCCAGCCCCATCCCTTACCATAGGGTCACCTTGAGAAAGTCACCTTAAGGCTCTGATCCTCCACTTCCTCATTCATCAAATGGGGATGATGATAAAAAACAAATATCTTCCTAAAGTTCTTGGAAGTATTCCATGAGACAATCCATGTGGGAATCTTGGTTCTAGTGCTAGGTCCCCAGGAAGTACCCCATAAGTGCTCAATGTTGTCATTATTAGAAGACAGTGAACTGAATACCCCCATCTCTAACCAAAGGATCCCAATCAGAATAAATTCAGAAAGCACAGAGAATCATCTTCCAGGATATTCAACGTTTGCCCTCATCTCTCCCAGATCAGAGCATTGACCCAAATTCAATACTCTGGGAAACAGGCTGCAGGAGTCCCACAGCAGGGCCTGGCCCCCCTGGAACCCACCTATTTCTTTCTCAGTGCCTCCTAGGATCTTGGTTTTTACTTGAGAAGACAAATGTAGGGTCATGCTCCCTAAATTAATTGAACTGTTGTTCACCCATTTAATCAGCGAACATGGGGAAGATTTGCAAACAAGCTTGGTGCCCAGCAAAGAGGGGCCACTACATCTGCTCTTGGTGGGTGGTCGCCTGGCCCAGCTTTTCCGGAGGGCAATTGGCAACATGTCACAAAAGCACCAGAGTCACGCATGCCCTGTGATGTG
Organism: Homo sapiens; assembly: GCF_000001405.40. NCBI lineage: Eukaryota > Metazoa > Chordata > Mammalia > Primates > Hominidae > Homo > Homo sapiens. The sequence continues at coordinate 57,798,109 of NC_000020.11, read as the reverse complement.
ATGAATTCGGTCTCCAGGAATCCATCTTAAGCAAAAAATGAGACAAGTGCATAAAAATGAATAAGGACATTTGTTCCTGGCCCCACTTGTAAGAGCAAAAAGCAGAAACTATCTAAATGCCCATAGTAGGGAAATGGTAAAATAAATGAAGACTCATTCAAACAATGGAATAATGTGAAATCATTAAAAATGAGGATGTCGACAAATATTGAGTGACAAGAAATGTTCACTGTAAATTGTTAATGCACGAAGAAGCAGTGAATAAAATTGTATGTGTAAGACTTTGGTATTGTTTAAAACTGTGTGTGTTGGCATATTTTTGCATGCATAAAAAAGGGAAGGTTAAATGAGTCACAGTACAGCCATAAGATGGAATACCATACATCTATATATAATATATATGTGTGTGTATATATATAATATATAAAAAATATAAAATGTATATTATATATAATCTATAAAAATATATAAAATATATATAACATATATATGTTTTAAATATGTAATATATTTATATATATAAAATATATATATAAAAAAGACAGGGTCTCACTCTTTGCCCAGGCTGGAATGCAGTGGTGTCATCATAGCTTACTGCAGCATCAAACTCCTGTACTCAAGCCATCCTCCTGCCTCAGCCTCCCAAGTAGCTGGGACCACAGGTGAGCGCCACCACACTGTGCTAATTTTTTATTTTCATTTTTATTTGTAGAGATGAGGTTTCACTATGTTGCTCAAATTCCTGCCTCAAATGATATTCCTGCCTTGGCTTCCCAGAGAGCAGGGACCTGTGCCCAGCCCAGCTATTTTTTTAAACAGGGAACTCTTAAGTGTTGATGTGGAAAAATCTCTAATATGTATTGTTGCAAACAGCAGGATGTAGAAAAATATATATGATATATCTTTTGAGTATAAAACACAGGATAAATATAATACATCTATTGAGAGAGAGAGAGAGGGAGATCCTTGTCACTAAGAACTAGTGAAGGATGTCATCTGTGGGGTGGGAGGGGCAGGGCCAAGGGGCACAGGGATGCAAACGGGCTTTACTGGGTACCTTGTGTATTCTGGCTTTTGAGCCAGGTGAATATATTACCTATGTAAAACTTTTTCTATCATAAAATAATTCAGGAAAGACATAACCTAAAATTATGCTAGAGGCTGTTTCCAATTAATGAGATTCCTAGTAATTTTTATTTTCTTCATTACGACTTTTTAAATTATCTGTTTTTATTTTACAGTGGGCATACATTATTTTCATATCTAAAAACAGGTTTCCGTTCTGAAATAAAGTGATAAAAATATCTGCACTTGGCCAGATGCAGCGGCTCAAACCTGTAATCCCAGCACTTCGGGATGCCAAGGTGGGTGGATCACCTGAGGTCAGGAGTTCGAGACCAGCCTGGCCAACATGGTGAAACCCCCATGTCTACTAAAAATACAAAAATTGGCCAGGCATGGTGGCGCATGCCTGTAATCCCAGCTACTCGGGAGGCTGAGGCAGGAGAATCACTTGAACCTGGGAGGTGGAGTTGCAGTGAGCCGAGATCGCGCCATTGCACTCCAGCCTGGGGGACAAGAGCAAAACTCTGTCTCAAAGAAAAAAATAAATAACTGCACTTGTGTTTCTTTCTTCCCCATTTCCCTGCTTTAGCATGCCTGCCCCCCACACACTGGCACAAGCTCACAGATACTCTCCCACATTCGCACACATGCACACACAGGTGTCCTTGCACACATGCACACTCACAAATGCTCTCGCACACACAAGTGCTCTCTCTCACACACACATAAATACAAATGCTCATACACTCACATGCTCACACAGTCACACACTCATACACACTCTCACTCCCTCACACGCTCACACACTCACCCACACACATGCACTCCTACACACGCTGATTTATTTCTTGACCCCTCAACTCTGTTTCAGGTCTGTTGATTTATTGGCTGGATTGGAACAGGACCTTCCTCCCCCAGTAAGTAGCCGAAGGCCCACATACCCAGGGACAACACCAGACCATTTCATAGCAGACACAGCAGAGAAGAGACCCAGCCTGGGTGGCACAGGCCTGCAATAGACATAGGAAACGCTCTCCTCTAAACAGAAAGTAAGATCAAGTCCAAAACCATGACAGTGGTGTTCCAGAAACCAATCACAATGGTTGGGTACTTGAAAAACTAGGAAAACCGTTTTTCTAGGTCAAAGTAAAGTGCAATTTCCCCTGGACCCTGAAACTTGGTGGCCCTTTTCCTGTACACCTTTTAGATGGAGTTAGAGAGAGAAGTATAGCTACTTAGCTAACCCCCACCGCAAACAAATATTAGAATACTGATGAAAATACTAAGTGTTAACATGAATGTGACACTTCACATGTGCTAAGCACTATTCTAATGTTTTCCAATAAATAACTTTTCTCATCTGAACAACTATCATTATTCTTAATGTATAGATGACAGAGCTGGGCAAAGAAAGCTTAAGGAAACCGCCCAGAGTCACAAAGCCTGTGAACAGTGATGACAGGACTTGGCTCCTGGCCGTTGGCCCCTAGCCCTGCTGCCCATCACCGATCCACACTGCCACACTTTAATGGAGGAGGGAAATGAATGTGGAGGCTTAAAGAACTTGTCCAAGGTCACATGGCTGGTGAGTCACGGGGCAAAGATGCGAACCCAGGCCCATCTCACTCAAAAACCCAAGCACCTAACTGCCATGTTATCCAGGCACTCTGGCCCCAGTTTCTGCCTCTGTAAGACGGGGTGATAAGACTCATCCACCTTGGAGGGCACACACAGCGGTTGTCCAGTAATGAGGCCTGATGGAACTGGCCTCCATGGGTGACTTCTAGGTTTACCCCATGCTCCCTGTGCTGCAAATCTCCGATCTTGTCCCTCCATTTCCCCCACAAAAATTCCAACCTCAGAAACCACGGTGAGTAAACACTGTGAGTAAAACAGATTTTACTGGAGGTTCCCGAGGAGCCGAAGAACAGGATGACACCTGTTCACACACCACTGCGGACAGCTGCATCGGGTCACCGCAGTCTCTCTCCTCCCCTCTCACACCCTGCTCTCCTTCACGCCCACTCTCCCCTCCCAAAGCGCCTCTATTTTCCAGAGCAATTTGGCAAAACAAACACTGGGGAGTTCCTAACCACACTGTTCTAGCAGCATGGTGGGTCTGTAGGCTCATCTGGCCTGACTTTCCCCAGGCACGACTTTACTAGGGTGTGCCCTCGAGCTGGACGCCTTTGGGAGGGGACAGAGGCAGGATGGGGAAAGGGAGGAATCGAGATGCAGCATGGCCTCAACACGGGCCTCAGCCAACTCCACAGGCGGCTCTGGAGCTGGAGTGGCCCCTTAGACGTGTTCTGAGTTGGGGCAAAGGTCCAGGCCTTCACATCCCTGCGCTGATCAGTCGCTGGGCATGAGCCATCCTGAAAGGAGGCGTGAGATTAGTGAGGCACTTTCCTTCAGCCAAAGCCACCCTCGAAAGGTGCTGACTGCTGAGGACCGATGATGACTCTGTCCTTGACCACACTTCAGGCAGGATCCTCTGAGGCCTCTTCTCAGCCAGGCCTCAAGTTTGGGCCCTGCCCTCGCCTGCTTGGGCCAGCTTTAACGGAGAATGCTGAGAAGTCATTCCCCTCTCCCTTGGCACCTGATCCAGCTCCTCATCCCCCACACTTTACATCTCATCACCATGGCCTGCCTTCAGCAGGGATCCCGTTAATTCAGTTCAGCAAGAAATCCCCTACGTGAGATGTCTCCTCTCACTAACTTTTCCTCCACTAACTACCCCCCTATTCTGCGCACTGGTGATAAATCCTTCGCTATCATTGCTGTGTTTGGAACTGAGCTCTCTAAGGCCATGAGGAATGAGAGGGCATCAGGGCAGAGCGTCCTGCCTGAGTGACCATCCCCACCCTCCTCACTCTCTCCTCCTCTATCTCATAGGATTTCAGCTGCCAGCAGCAGGGAGCCCAGCTCAAAGTGGCATACGTGAAGAGGACCTGAATTTCTGGCCTGCCAAGAAACCCAGGGGCGAGGGAGCTTTAGGGTTGGTCAATGGTTATGAAGGAATCAGGTTCTTCCCAAACCCCCTGCTGCTCCACCACCTTGACACATTGGCTTGGCTGTGAAGGGTCCCCTCATGGTTCCAAGATGGCTGCCAGGGCCCCAGGAATGACATGCAGACAGGACTACACACAACAGGATGGGGACACGGCTCCAGGTGCATCTTCTTTTCAGAACAAAGAAAATGTCCCAGAACCGCCTCTCTTCAGTTCTCACTGGTCACAGCTGGGCACACATGAACCCCTGGAGAAATGGGACTGCCTTGATTGACTAGGCTGGAGCCAGGGCTTGGACCACCTGGACGACGGTGGATCCCTGAACGAAGCCAGGCCACTGTAGGAGAGAGAACGGCAGCATGGCTGCTGGGAAGCAGACGACCATAGCTGCTACATCCTTCCATTTAGAGGCGGGGAAACCGAGGCCAAGGAGGCCAACTGAGTACAGGGAACTTGAACCCTGACTGGCACAACTCAGCCAAGATGTCTTGTTTCTGATTCCAAATGATGACAGCCCCGCAGACCCCTCCAGGGCTCCCATGACAGGTGAGTCAGTCTTGGGCCGGCTTTGCAGCCTGCACACACACAGCCCCACCCTATCCCCTCACCCCTCCCACCCCCGACCCCCCGAGCACTGTGAACCTTCAGCCTTTGTGCCCTCATTAATCCACTCTCAGTCAGACTCCCTGACATCTGCTCCACTCTAAACAAGCCAACTATGCAAGGCCGTCAGCAGGGCCCAGCCTGTGGTCGTCCCCAAATTGTAATATCCACTACGTCCCTGACTTGGAACCAGACGGCCAGGGAAGGAAACGATCCCTGTTTCCTAAGGGTTCAGAAGTTGCCCCCGGTCAACGGTTGCACTTAACACACCCACTTCTGAGGGCGAGGAAAGTTTTCACATCCACAGAAACGCCGTGGGAAATGGTCAGGGCCCTGGAGCCTTCCCGCCTTGCTGAGGGGTGGCGGGCACCATGCCCTCCCCATCTGGCAGTATCATCACTGTAGGGACACCCTGGAGAGCTCCCTTCTCGATGCTGGGGCTGTGTCTACCTGGAATGACCTGGGTGAGAGACTGGACCGTCAGCTCAGGCTCTCAATGAGGACCCACCAGCAGAGCACTCAGCTGCTCACCGCTTGAAGAATTGCAGGAGCAGGTGTGCACTGTAGAGGAAGGGCGTGACTGCATGACAGGCATTTCCCCACGCACCATCAGGGTTACAGCCTGAGACATTCTTGACGCTGGCTGTCTCGCATCTCACCCACACGTGTGCAATCCGTGCGGCCCAATGCAACATCACGCCGTATGCTCAGCAGCTCCAGGGCCAGCACAGTACCTGGCACTGAACCCGTATTTGCTCAGTGAAGGGACTGGGTAAATGAAAGAAAGGACTTTAAATCTCCATGATGCAGGGAGTGAAACAGCAAACAAATGAGGCCCACAGTCTCTGATCACCCTGGGCCTCCCAAGCAAACCCCGCCGGGCAGCCCGTGCACTGTGTCATCCTGACTCAGTTGTGAAGAAACTTTCTGTCCTCAGGCAGCTCCCAAGCTGGGTCAGCTCGAAGATAACCACGTCAGGCCCTTCCCCGCAGATGGGAGGTGTGTGACTGACTTTGAAATCACTTTGGCCTTTGAGTTTTAAAAGAGGTTGATTCCGATCAACTGACCTGAATGTTAATGGCATGGGAGTTTAATTTGTATTCAGACAGGAAGAAAATCAGCCACTCTGAGGAGATGGTGCTGTTTAATTAGGTCTAGTAGTTAACTCAGAATAAAGGCAACACACTGCCAGGAACCAGGAAGGGAAACGACGTCCCCTGGGAACTCGTAGACTTCAGAGGAACTGCGGAATCAGAAGCTGGTGGCTTAGAAATGATGACTTCGTTTCCTGAAAGTCACCAGAGCCTCCCAGCCAGGCGCTGAGGACAAGGCATTTGCTCCTGTGACTCCTGAGTCAGTCAAAACAGTGAAGGAGAAGAACAGTGACAATGCGTGGGTACAAACTCCAGTGCACATGAGTGCTCATGCACGTGTGTGTGTGTGTGTGTGTCTGTGTGTGTGTGATTGTGTGCACAGGGTGGCGGGGAGGAGGGCATCCAGTTTTTAATATAAGGAAGCTAAATCTCTTCTAATGCTGATAGCAACACAATTCCTAACAGCCCACACACTACAAAGAACTGAAATACCCATCCACAATACAACAGATGAATTGACAATGGCAGAGTCATGCAATGGAATACTACACAGCAGTGAAAAAGAGCGGGCTCCACTATGCACATAACAGGGATGAACTGCAGAGACATCATGAGGAGTAAGAGAAGACAGTGCCCGAGGTCACATACTGTATGGTTCCATGTATACAACGTACAAGAACAAGAAGAGCTAATTTACGGTGATAGAAGGGAGAATAGGGATTCCCCTAGCGGGAAGGTCAGCCTGGGAGTGGGGAAAGGGGAACTCTATAGCTTGATCACAGTGGGGGTTAGACAAGCAGGCGTATGTGCAAAAACGCACTAAGTGGCACGTTTTGCAAGACTTGTGTGCTCTATGTATGGTATACCTCAATTTAAATATATGTATATTTAAAGAAAAGCCTATTCTAAGGAACATGGCAACTAAGGCAACCACGGATCGCCTTGGTGTCACACTTCTGACACGTGCAAGCTCAGTGCTGTGTCCCTCCCCATGTGGCCGACACCTGCTGCTCCAGTCATGGGGATAATACCCTCACAATTATAGGTTGAATTTCTTACAGTTGTCTCTCCAGTTCACAGCATAAATTACACGTCTTCCCTGCACCCTCTTCGCCAACAAGGTCTAATAAAGTGGGGGGATTTGGCATTTCTTGCATTTATTTAAGGGCTCCAAGGGTGGGGAGGCACGAAGATGCTGCAGATTACTAACTGATTTGCTCCTTATGAAATTACACGGCAGGCGTGAGGCTGTCCCCGTCGCCACAGGCGCTCGAGAGGAAGAAATGAATTATGCTTCAAAGTTATAAGATGTGAAAATTGATTCAGGAATGCTAGCTGTTTTCAATTTTATATTGCCATTTATTTTAAGAACACCCAGGCTCTCCCAAACAGGAGTTTATAGCAGATATGAAAACATAATTAACACTTAAACTGACGCCGCAGACCTGGGCTGGTGGCCCTTTATGCTCTGATCTGCGTAGCCAAGGCTAACAGGATTCGAACCAGGTTGAAACAAAGAAACAAGAAACATCTGACAATTAATAAAACATAAAGAATCCACTGCCTTTTTTCAGTTTCCCCTCCCCATCCTGTCTCCCTCTGAACTTTTATGTGGAAACTTCTTTGAGAAAGGAAGGACACAGTTAATAAGAGGATGGCAGGGACTTATATATTCAAAGGTTGAAAGGAAGCAGATCTTGCAAAATCAAAGAACCCACTGGAGATGACTTTGCGCAGCTGCAAGATGGCCTGATGGGGGCTGGGGAAGGCATGGAGTTTACAGATAGAAGGAGCTGGAGCTCGATGTCTGCTGGTCAGAAGTCATTTCACACCTCTTAAGCCTCAGTTTCTTCCTTTGTAAGTTGGGGATAATAGCAGGACCCAGCTCTGAGGGCCCGTGGGAGGATTAAGTGAAGTAATGGATGCAAAGCCCACTGCAGGGCACTGGGGCATTCAGCAAGCGCTGGTGCCATGTTACATCCTGTGCTGTCTACGCCCCATGCCCAGTTCCCAGCAGCAAACAGGTCAGAATCCTGGGCACAAACAGACTAGAGAACCAGGGCCCGGCTCGTTGCTGAAAGCAGGACAGCTGCATCATTTGTGGGGGTCAGTGCAAAATAAAAACGTCAGGTCCCTTGTTCGAAGGCAGGAAAAAAGTGCCATTCAACCTACTCAGCTATAAAGCTTTTTCCTTTTCTCTGCAGTCTCTCTCTTCACTTACCGGGGCGTTTTCTATTTGCTATTCAAAATCATCCTAAGTAAATTAAAATATTTAAATAATTAGCATGAATTTGGTCATCCATCTTTATATGACGCAAGGTCAGTATTAAATACAAATGTAAGGGCATTTAACCTGTGTGCAGAATCCTCAAAATTACACAATTTGTGTTTCATGGCCTGTGCGTGCACATGGGTGTTCTTGCCCGTAACTAACAGTAGAAATATTTGCCATCGCTCACTTTTACTTAGCTTCTCGATATGCGCACATTCTACCAACACCACCTACCTTTGGCTGTGCTGTGTCCCTCCCCATGTGTGGCTGACACCTGCTGCTCCAGTCATGGAGATAATACCCTCACAATTATAGGTTGAATTTCTTACAGTTATCTCTCCAGTTCACAGCATAAATTACACATCTTCCTGCACCCTCTTTGCCAACATGGTCTAATAAAGGTGGGGGACTAAGATGCGCCATTGTTTCAGCGTGGGTGGTCAGCTGACATGGGGAAGTGATGTGAGAAAGGGAATGATGGGGTCCCTCTGTTGCTCATGGCGCATGGTGCCCCTGCTTTTTCTCTGTGTCCGAAGCAAAGCGTGGCCTCTCCGGCAGTCATAGATGCAAACCGCTCATCTCACACAAGCTTGGGTCTCACTCACCTTGTGAATCCACAGAATTCTGTGTACATGGGCATCATGAACCCTCCATGCAGACGGGGCGCAAGGGAACGGGGTCACGCTTGTACTGCTAACACACATGTGTCACTGTCCCTGGTCTTACTTACAAAACACAAGCTCAAAGACGAAATGATCACACCTGTCAGGATGGCCACACAACAGAACACTAGCCCAGGGTGGGAATGTCCAGATCCCACCCTCGTGAGCCCTCCGTCCCCGGGGGGCTTTGCTTCTGCTCCCCAAGTGAGAGTCTCAGTCCCTGGCTCATTAAAGGTCACGAGTGCTCATCCCAAGTGTCCTGGCCCTGGGGGCGAGGCGTGAGCAGTTGTGACCCCAATTTACAGATGAGGAAACAGAGACCCCACAGGTTATCTGCTTAAGGTCACTCCTCCCACAGGTGCCTTCCTCGAATCTTCAAAGGCCCGGGTGTGACTCAACCAGTGGCCCCAAGGTCAGAAAATGGGCCTCTCGGGCCCCTCCTGCCCTCCCCAACCAACTTCCTCCCCTACTTTCTCCTTCTCTTCCTCCTTCCCTGGGTCCACTCAATTCTGTGCCTGTGGACATCATTGATTGCCCATGGATGGGACAGTCATCTCTCCCTCCCTCCCTTCTGTCCTTCCTTCCAGGGTCAGAGTTGGTGAGAACAGGAGAGGGAGCCGAGTGAAGTCACAGAGGGCAGACCCCACCTCCAGGGCAGGGATAAGAGTCATAGATTCCCGAACTAACTATGGGACCCTGGTAAGTCACTTCCTGCCCACAGCCTGTGATCCGGAGAGGCAGAACTCCCCTGAGCCCCTCCCTCTTGGAGCTGTGGTGGCCCCGGGCAGCCACTAAGCTGTCCAAGTTGGTGAGTGCACGGTGGTAACGACATGGTGAAATACTGAAGCCCACGGCCTCCTCAGACCGAAGACCTGGGCCACAGCCTGGCTCTGCCATGCACTAGGTAGTGTCCATGGGACAGGGGACTGAAGGCCTTCCAGGCAGAGGGAGCCACCGGGGCAAAGGCCAGGGCTGGGATAGAGCCTGGGGCCTTCAAGGAACAGAAAGAGGCCAGCGTGGCTGGAGGGCAGCAGGGCAGAGGCAGGAGAGCTGGGCACTGGGAGGTGGCTGGAGGGGTCCACAGGCCTTGGTGTGCGTTGCTGAGGAGGGTGGGGTCTGCTCGGGGGGCTGGGGGGACTAGGGGCAGGCCTAGCTGAAGGAAAGGGTGGTGCGTGCTGTGTCACTGCCCCTCAGCCTGCCGTACCCCACATGTTCTCCATCCACACACATCTTGTCCCACCCTACCCCACCTCCCCACCTCCACTCTCGCCTCCACTCCTGCGTCCACCCACCCCATCCCTCTCCACCCCTCCCATCCATCCTCCATCCCCTCCTCTCCACCCACCCCGCTATTCCTCTCCACCCCTCCCATCCCACCCTCCATCCCCTCCTCTCCACCCACATCCCCGTCATCCACCCCACCTTCCCCACCCTCCATCCCCCTCCTTCACCCACCCCTGCTGCTGGGTCTTGGAGTCCCCTCCCCTCAGACCCCGGCAGGCTTGAGGAGCATCCTGGCAATGGTTGCTGGGAAGCATGTGGCTGGTGACTATTCTCACTCTTGATGATTTCACAGGGTGGGTGAAGCACCCCTCCCAATCAGGCCCATTTCACCCCAGCCTGGGTGTCTGGGGAGGGGCAGATGTTTGCAGACTCAAGCCCCAAAGCCGCAGCTGTCCTGCCCTCCAGGGCCAATGGGTTCATTTTGTCTGGTTCTCCATTCATTCCTCCAGGCCCATGATTTTAGCTTTTTCATTCCTCCTGTACCTCCCACGGGTGAGGGGGAGGCCAGGGCTCTCTGGGAAGTGGGCCCATTTAAAGACTTGGGCCCTTTCAAACCCTGCAGGCCCCACCACCTTCCTCACCTGGGGGGCCGGGGTAGGAGCCTGCAGAACAGCCTTCCAGGGTCATCTCTTGAGAGGGTGGGTGTAGCCCTGGGCTCCTCCTGAATCTGCCCATCACTCTCCCCTGGGGGAGGAGGAAGGCTGGAGCGACCTTGCCCTGAACTCCCAGGAAACATGCCCGGAGGAGCTGCATGCCTTGGCTCACAGAGCCCACCCAGCCTGCAGGGAAGTTGGGCACAGACTCCCAGGTCAGAGCTCCTTCCACCCCACTGGTCCCCTCCAAACACACCCCTGGAATTCTGCTACTGAGGCTGCCCACTGGGGACAAAAGGGTACAGGCGAGTCCTCGGCTGAGTTCCTTCATCCTCCTGAAGAGGCACGATTCTGACTCCGCAGCCAGGAAAGGCAGTCTGAGGTGGGTGAAGTCCAGGCTGAAGCTCTGGGCCAGGAAGAGGTGTGGAGAATTGACCATGACCCCGCTTCCTAAGCCTCAAATGCCTCATCCCCCACCCCAGAGAGAAGAGGCATGGGAGCACCTTCTTTTCTACACCTCATTGAGCAGCCACGTCTTCCGCTTGAAAAGTCCTAAAATCTTGTTGTCATAATTTCCCACTTTCCCTTTCTTTTGCTCATCCTTTTTGAGTCTGCATTTAAAAAACAACAACAAAATCCGCTGTCAAAGGACTCATTCAGAATACATGAAAGAATTCCAACAAATCAGTGAGAAAAAGACAGACAACCAGTTTGCAAAAACTGGGCAAAACATTTGGAACATGCACGTCACCAAAGAAGATGCATGGTTATAACAGTTCCGGTTCCTAGCTGGGTGTGGTAGAGCCAGCGTCGTGGGGGACAGCCCGGAAGGGCCTCGAGCTCAGAAGGGCCCTGCCTTTGGCTTAATGCTTGGCTGTCACTGTTTTGAAAGTCCCCATAATTTTTTAAATAGGTCCCCACAGTTACATTTTGTGCTCACAAACCCAGTAAGCCATCCTGGTGCAGGGCTTGGCCTCAGTAGGAAAGTCCCCCACGCCTGTCTGTGTCAGGATCAGCCACGGTAACCCCAGCCGGTGCTTGCGGTGGGGTCGGGGTTCGGCACAGTCATGACAGCTTCCTTTCATTGGGTCTCACCACCTTCCAGACCCTGAGCAGACAAGTCTGCAAGATCATGCATAGCATTCTCACAACATCCCTGGGACTGATGTTTGCCCCACTTTATAGATGAGCAAACCAAGGCTAGGAGAGGTAACGTCACTGCCCCAAGGTCATAAAGCCAGGAAGTAGCAGATGGGATTTGAAACCAGGTGTGGTTCTGAGGCAGCAGGACTCCAAGCCTTGCCTGTATTCCATCACACCGTCACTGCATGTGATGTGACACTGAATATCAAAAAGCAGACTCCAAGGAGTGTCCCTTCAGGATACCAATGATAGAACCAGAAAGGGAGTCCAAGGAGGGTGGGGCTGCAGTCTCCGGAGGTTTGATCAAGCCATTCCTGAAGTCCCCCTGCTCCCCTGCCCCCCACCACCGCCGCCCCACACACACACAGATTGTGCTTGGGAGCCCCAGTCTTATTTTTCAGCATAATTGCTCCCAGCGACTCACAGAGGAAGTTGGCAGGGATGGGTAAATAAACCATAACAGGGCTGGCACTCACTGGGCTCAGCTGGGTTCAGCATCAAGCCCTACGCAGAGCCCAGGGCTCCTGTCATTATTTTTTTCCTCTGAAATGAGGTCTGACTCTGTCACCCAGGCTGGAGCACAGTGGCATGATCATAGCTCACTGCAGCCTTGATCTCCAGGGCTCAAGTGATCCTCGTTCCTCAGGCTTCCCATTAGCTGGAACTACAGGCACGTGCCACCATACCTGGCTAATTTTTTTTTTTATTTTTGTAGAGACGGGGTCTCGCTACGTTACCCAGGCTGGTCTGGAACTCCTGTCCTCAAGCAATCCTCCTGCCTCAGGCTCCTAAAGTGCTGGGATTACAGGCAGGAGCCACTACACAGCCTCCTGTCTTTATTTTGAAAACACAGGAGAAAATCACAGAAAAGGCCAGAGCCTGAGTCTGCTGCTGGCAAAATCAGGGCTTGCACCTTGGCTTTAGCATTTACCCTGTGACTTTTCTGAACCTCAGTTTCCTCATCTGTAAAATGGCCTAACATTTACCCTGTGACGTCTTTGGGGTATGAGATGAGACCACATGCACAAAGCCCTTAGCTCATGACCACCATGTCATTCAAGAAGCTTGTGGCTGTGGCAACTGCCAAGGGCCTCCCAGATCTTGGGAGCCAACTGTTCTAGGAGGCCAGGAGTGGTCAGTGCAAGGCCTCTCAGCGTCAAGTCCCACCCCGAGAGCACCTCCCATCCTTGGTGGCTGACAACATCCTCCGGCATATGAGGAAATCTGCTCAAGGCCTGCAGATGGGCTCTTGCTCCTGATTCTTTTGCTTTTCTCTGATGAGGAGTATTTGGCTTTACCTCCTCTCTCCAGGGTGCAAACCCACTTCACTCTCTTCTTTGCTGGTAGCAAACCTTCAATGGGGAGGAGAAAGCGTGCCTTGTCCCTAGGGGCCTGATACAAAGCCATGACTTAATTATGTCCAGTTGATAACTGGCAGGCTGTCCCCATCTTCTTGCTTGGCAGCCAGATGGCTTCCTTTTGTTGAATGTGAACAATATTTTGGGAAATTTTTGAACCAGGTTCCCAAGGAAAAATGGCTCCCTGCAGTGGGGAGATGGAGACAGAGGCTCTGTGGGGCCATTGTGGGTACCGAGATGACCCGTTCTACGTGCCCTAAACCTGACTGTGCACTACTGCCAGCCAGACCTTCTCTTGGCTCCTTGTAGGTGCTGAGAACCTTACCACCTCAGGACCTTTGCACTTGCTGATGCCACTGAATGAGCAGTGTTTCCACAGTTGTCTTCAGAACTGCTTGATCCTCATCTCCTTCCCATGCTCTGCTCTCTAAAGATGGCCCCCTCCCCGCAAAAAACACACATTTGCTTGTTTGTTTCCTGCAAAGCACTTACCTCAACCTGTAATTAGTTTAGCCTGTTTGTTTCACCCACTATGACGTAAGACCATGAGATCAGGGTGGGATGTCAGACTCACACCACGCCCCAGCACAGTGCCTGGGGGCTGGCAGGTGCCCCATCAATGAATGAATGAATGGGCTACATATTTAAGAAAGGGGAAGAGGGAGCAAGGAAAGAATGTGGCACCTTCTCCAGACCTCAGTTTCCCCCTGGACTCACTTGCTTTGAGCCAGTGACTGGACCAAGTCCCCAGCTTTCTGTTTCTGCGGCAAACATCCTCGCTTCCTCCTGCCCCAAACTCTGCCCCCAAAAGCAAGAGCTGCAAAGCTCAGCCCAGCGTGTCATCAAAGGGAATTGGTTTTCCCCAGTGATGAGTCTTAGAGATGAGTCCTGGAGATGAGGAAAACATCATTATCCCAACTGCTGGAGAGTCACTGAGCCCAGGCTGAAGTCCTGCCTGCCCTAGTCACTTGGTAGCTGTGTGAGCTGAGCAAGGTCCCACTCTCTCTGAGCCACTGTTTTCTCATCTGTAAAAAGGGGCTGATAATAGCACTGACTTCCCAGCGTCATTGCATAAGAAGAAAAGGTGACAGGCCTGCTGGCTGTCTTATCCGTGGTGGGCAAATGTTAGTTCCTTTCTTTCCTACAAAGGGATTATTCCCAAACTCTTCAAAGCAAGATCTCGGGGTCCCCTCAGAATAGTACTATCCCGAGCCCAGACAGGATTTAGGGAGCACTGTCTTGGTTGGGGTACCCCAGCAACAGATCCTGAGACAAAACTCAAGTGCAAGTACAGTAGTGTATTTGAGAATCAACACCAGGGTGCAGCAGTAGGGGGGTAGGGGGGTAAGGAGGTGACGGGGAAGGAAAGGAGGCGAGTCAAGGCACCTTATCCCCCGGGGCTATGCCCATGGGCAACTGGAGCTCAGCCCTGCAGAGGAACTCAGGGGACTGAGGGGGGTACTTTTCATTGGCCAGGAGCCTGTCACCTGGGGCCACCTGCCCTCCTCCTGGAAAGATCCCAGGACAGCCCAGGCTCTCGGAGACTCACCCTCAGCCCCTGGCCATGGCCCTTTCTGCACCCTCTGGCTTTCTGTCCAGCTGTCAGCAGCCCCTCCTTGAGAGACGCTGTCCCCCTGACCATCAGGGCCCTCTCTGCCCTCTGGCTGACACCCTTCGTCTGCCCTTATGCAGTGAGGTGGGGTGGGGGTGAGCACCCTGGCTCCCTTGCCCCTTGCTGGATCACTCTGTGGTGTGTGTGCTGTGTTCCCCACAGTCTCCAGTGCTCCCTGGAAGGAGGGAGCCCACCCAGCTGGCCACCGAGGGACTGGCTGAGGGCACGCCCCATCCTGCCTGCCCTTCCTGCCTTACCTCCTCTGATCCCAGCCGTGCTTAACGGGGGTTCACCTTCCCATATCTTACTTCCACTCAAATCCTCCTCCTAGAACCCGCTCCGGAGGAAACCCAACCCAAGACAGCCCTTGAAGTGAGGACCCAAGTCAGCTCAGCCAGAGGCCCCAGCTCCCTGGCAGCAGCAATTGGTCCACGACTGGACGTGGGGACTGAGTGGGACCCATCCGCATCCACACGTCAGAGTCACTGGGGCTGACGGAGCAGTGGCTGCTGGGTTCCCTGCACTGTGGACAAGTCAGTCGGCAGCAGGAGAGAACGTGGCCCTCAGAAAAGACAGTGAGAGTGACAGCAAGCTTGCCATACCGCCCCGGTTCCAGTCCCTGAGGGTCTGGTCACCACAGGTGCCCTTCAGTCTTTCACGCTACCCCAGGGACCTGCTAGCTGCAGGCGGTGGCAGTTGAGCAACTGGGTTTCTGCTGTGTGCAGACAAATTGTCTTGATTAATCCAGAGGACTTCCTGGGCAAGGCAGCTTTGGGGAGCGGGGAAGGGAGTGTGCATTTCAGCTAAGGAAAAGGCATGGAGGCTGGGCCATGGTGGAGCTCAGGAAGGAAGGTGTGAGGAGCACTGGGCAGGATGCGCCCAGTGGGCCAGCGGAGGGTGGGGAAGGAGGCTCCAGGGAGTGCCTTCCAAGCCTCTCTGTTGGAACCTGGGAAAGTTCAAGTCGGTTCAAGCTGGTAAATAAGCCTGTGGGTTTTATGTCACCTCAGAGGTGTTGTTAGTTTTCTCTCCACACCCAGAAGGTTCTTCAATGAACTTCTTTCTGCTTATTTTTTAAAATGACTTTAGCTACCATGCATGAGAAACTTTTCTGCTCTAAATATTTTATATTTACTTCTGAGAACACCGAAGAAGGGGGCTGATGAACCTCCTGGGCCAGGGTGATGCCATATGTCTGAGGTCACTCAGATGTCTCTCATCGCCAGCGCCCCCTTGACTGCAAGCTTTCCTCTGTTTGGAGCCCCGCTTCCAACACACAGCCTGGTCACCTCTCAGGTAAACCTCACATACACTCAGATGCCACCTCCTTTGTGAAGCCCCCCATGCTTTCTCCCACACCCCGGTCTGCTCCAGGCATTGCTCCTCTCTTATATTTGCCAATGCAGTTATTATCTGGATGAGCACCAGCTGCTCGCCACCTCACCTGCCTGCCCTAACCAGGCGGGAAGCTCCATGAGGGTACAGCCCTTTCTCATCTGTGTCCCCCAATATCTAAGACAGGGCCCGGCAACAGTCAGCCTCAGCACTTGTTGAATGAATGTGTAAGTAAATGCGTAAATGAATGAATGAATTCCTAAGCTCCTCTCTCATTCCCTACTCCAAAAGTGACCACAATTATTGATTTATCCTTTAACTTCACTCAGGGGCTGGAGGCACTCATTTATTTATCCAAACACATTTATTGAAGGTATACACCATACTTCACATGTGCTGGCTCATCATTTCCTCACAAACAAACCTGGGAGTCAGTCACAAAGATTAGCTGCAATTCACAGTTAGGGAAACCAAGGCCCAGAAAAAAGAAGTGGCTGCCCAAAGTCACCTCACTGGTACAAGAGAGCCAGAATCAACCTGGACAGCCTCACCCTAGAACCTTCCCTCCATCCATATCAGCACTATCACATATCACATATAATATATCATCCATATCATCACTATCATTATCACCATCACCATCACCATCTTCACCACCACCATCATCATTATTTTCTAGGGAAGCTCAAACCAAACAGATGAGTGGATGAATGGATAAATCAGTAGTTAGGTGGATGGATGCATGAATGGATGGACAAACAGACAAACTGATGAATGTATGGATCAACAGTTGGATAGGTGAGAGATGGGTTAAAAGATGGATGAAAGAATGGATGGGCATGTGGATAGATAGACGAATGGACAGGCAGGTGTCTGGGCAAATTGATGGATGGATAAATGGATGGGTGGATAAATGGATGGATGGATGGATGGATGGATGGATAGGTGGATGGATGGATGAATAGGTGGATGGATGGATGGATGGACGGATGGATGGATGGATGGATAGGTGGATGAATGGATCAATAGGTAGATGGATGGATGAATAGGTGGATGGGTGGATGGATGGATGGAAAGAAGAATAGGTGGATGGATGGATAAATAGTTGGATGGATGGATGGATGGATGGATGGATGGATAGATAGATAAGCGGGCGGGTGGGTGGATGAATAGATTTCTGGATAGATGGATGGGTGGGTGGATGGATGGATGGGTGGATGGATGGCTGGATGGATAGATGGATGATAGGTGGATGGGTGGGTGGTTAGATGGGTAGATGGGCGAATAGGTGGATACAGGGATGAACAGATGGGTGGGGACTAGCTGCAAGTGTCCTGATTTGATTTCTGTTGTTGGGGACAGGCATTCTCACAGCCCAGGACAGTCGCAAGAGCAGTCGTCTTCTGGGCCCCTGTGCAGCTGGCTGTGCTCCTGCACCCTCAGAGGCAGCACACTCCTTCCTTGCAGCCCTTCTCTTGCCAGAACACACCTATCCCCTACATTGTTTCCCTGTTGCAATTTAACGTCAGTGTTTCCTCCAGGAGGCTTTTTTGCCAAATGAACAGCTGCTTCCCTGTGAACCTTTCTCCTGCCTGGACCTGAGTCCCAGACTGGGCTGTGAAGGCCTCAGTTGGGCCGTCTTGCTGGAAAGAAGAGGAGAGGGGCATTATCCGGCACTTCTCAGCAACTGGGGGCAGTCATAGGGTTGTATGTTCTCACTGCTGTCAGGCCAGAAACCAGGAGATGATTTTTCCATCCTACAGGCAACCAAAATTTCTAGAGGAAGTGGTCTTGGCGTGGGCAGGAATCAGCCGTTTGCCTTTGGAATGTGAAGGTCTCTTCATGAGAGTATGGGTTCAAGCGTCCTTTTCAACTGAGTTATGCCAAAGTGCTGGTTTTATTTCTTACTATTCGGTCTTCCTATCACCACAAAAGTTTGGGGATTTTTTTTCCTTCCCATTACAGATCAAATAAAGCCCTGACTTGGGTTTTGTGGCTGATCTCGAGTGCTTTGCCATTTTCTTCACCTGAGTTTCTTGTGCTTACATCAGCTGCAAAAGCACTGGAAAGATGGGGCTGCTGTTGTCCCTCTTGGTGTACGACACTTACGAGTAACAAATCTGCAGGTGAGCTCTGCAGGCACCCCCAGGGGAGAGGCCATACGTGGCTTCGAGAATGGACCCAGAACTCAAGAACACGGTCACGAGTTTGCACTTTGCATGTTCCAAGGCCCCTTTGCCCCCATAACCTCAGCTGGTCCCACGGAGGGAGGAGAGAGACAGATCACACATGGGGAGACTGGAGCTTAAATGGGCAAATGTTAAGCATTTACAAGGTACTTACTGTGTGTCAGGCACAGGGACTCTCCACTCATCCCTTCGTTCCCTCATTTATTCATTCACTCATCTATTTACCAAGCATTCATAAAGCACCAATCACCTGCCAGGGCTGCCCGGGAGGTGCTGAGGAATGCAGTGGGATGTGGTAGACAGAACAGACAAAAGCCCTGCCCCATGGACTTTCCAGTCTCCAAAGGTAAATAAACAAGATGTGATTCCTGCCCTGGAGCTGACAGTCTGGGGAAATGCTACCTGCACAGGTGAAAAATCTCAGCCTCAAACCCTCACCTGAGGTAGGGTGGGGAAAACAAACAGGGACCCCAAGTTTTGTACATGATGTTAGGAAAACCATCTCCCTATATAAAGAATACAATGGTGTACCTGCTTAAACTGCATACAGGTGGACTCCAGGTGAACTGAGTACCTAAATGTTTAAGGAAATCTACATGTTAGCATGGGAACACATGTAGGATGATCTCTTTGGGATTTGAGGGTAGGGGCCATTTATTAAGCAAGTTAAACTCAAGTGAGAGTTTACCCAAGTTGCCTCCAGCCCTTTCTAGCTGAGCAGACACCCCCACCTCTTCATTTCTCTAAACGACAATCAGATCTATGGTTTTTTTTTGCACAAAGACACTCCAGCTTGAGTGCACTCAATAACAAATTCCGTTCTCCTTTATCTGGAGGTGTTCTGGCTGGTGTAGACAGCTCCCCCAGACATACTCCTATCTATTGGGCTCAGGGTGCGGAGGCAATCTGAAAGGGGCCAGCACAGTGTCAGGCACAGAACAACACCCCAATATCCAACTGATAACAAAGCAGCAGAAATGCTAGAAGCAAGATCGACTGATAAAACTCAAAAGCACTGCTCTACACTTTCTAGTATTGAACTAGAAAATAAAACTTTAGGAAAGATATCTTTCTATGAAATTGGGCCCTTATCTCGCAACATAGACAAAAATCAACTCAAAATTGCTAAAATATCTAAATATAAGACTGAAACCATAAAGCTACTAGAAGAAAGCATAGAGGAAAGCTTCACAGCATTGTTCTGGGCAATAATTTCTTGAACAGGACTTCAAAAGCACAGGCAACAAAACCAGAAATAGACAAATGGGATTACAACAAACTAAAAAATTTCTGCAAAGCAAAGGACACAACAGAGTGAAGAGATAATGTGCAGATTAAAAGAAAAATGGCCAAGCCATACATCTGATAAGGGTTTAAATATCTTATTTTGATAAGATATTCAAAATATCTAAGGAACTCAAACAATTCAATAGCAAGAAAACAAATAACTTGATTTTTGTTTTGTTTTGTTTTTTGAAATGGAGTCTCACTCTATTGCCCAGGATGGAGTGCAATGGCATGACCTCGGCTCACCGCAACCTGCGCCTCCTGGGTTCAAGTGATTCTCCTGCCTCAGCCCCCTGAGTACCTGGGATTACAGGCATGTACCACCACACTCAACTCATTTTTGTATTTTTAGTGGAGACGGGGTTTCACCGTGTTGGTCAGAGATAGAATGGCCAACTGATACAGGAAAAAATGCTCAACATGTCATATCATCAGGGAAATGCAAATTAAAACCACAATGAGATACCATCTCACACCTGTTAGAATGGCTAGTGTCAAAAAGACAAATGGGAACAAGTGCTAGTGAGGATGCAAAGAGAACACTTGTACAATGTTGGTGGAAATGTAAATTTGTACAGCCATTTTGTAAAGAAGCATGGAGGTTCCTCAAAAAGCTAAAAATAGAATTACTACATGATCCAGCAATCCCACCTCTGTGTATATATCCAGAAGAATTGAAATAGTATATACACTGAAGAGAAATCTACACTCTCATGTTCATTTCAGCATTATTTGCAATAGCTAAGAAGTGGAAGCAAGCTAAGTGTCCATCAATGCATGAATGGATAAAGAAAATGTGGTATATATATATATATATATATATATATATATATATGCAATGAAATACTCATCAGCCTTTAAAAAGAAGGAAATTGGCCAGGCGCGGTGACTCACGCCTGTAATCCCAGCACTTTGGGAGGCCGAGGCAGGTGGATCACCTGAGGTCAGGAGTTCGAGACCAGCCTGCCCAACATGGTGAAGCCCTGTCTCTAGGAAAAATACAAAAATTAGCCAGCCATGGTGGTGCATGCCTGTAATCCCAGCTACTAGCGGGGCTAAGGCAAGAGGATCACTTGAACCTGGGAGGTGGAGGTAGCAGTGAGCCAAGATTGTGCCACTGCACTCCAGCCTGCTGGGCAACAGAGCAAGACCTGGTCTAAAAAAAAAAAAAAAAAGGAAATTTTGTCATTTGCAACAACATGGATGGAACTGGAGGAATATGCTAAGTGAAATAAGCCAGGCACAGAAAGACAAATACTGTAATGATCTCACTTATATGTGAAATCTAAAAAAAGTGGATCTCAAAGAAACAGAACGATTGGGATTCACAGGGAGGAATGGAAAGTGTTGATTAAAGAGCCCAAAGTTTCAGTTAGACTCAGGGAGTAAGTTTTAGCGATCTATTGCACTGGATGGTGATCAGAGTTAATACCTATGTGCTGTATATTTCAAAATTGATGAAAGGATAGATTTTTAAATGTTCTCGCTACAAAAAAGATAAGTTGGTGAGATGATGAATATATTGATTAGCTTGACTGAATCTTTCTACGGTGTATACATAGATCAAAACATTGCTTTGTACCCCACAAATAGACACAATTATTATTTAATTAAAAATAATCTTAGAAACATTTTTAAAAGGAAGATAACTTTCGCAAGAGCAATCAAAACTAGAACATTCCTGAGAGTTTATTTCACCAAGAGCACAAAAGAGCTCTATGTAGAAAAAAAATTTAATTTGAATAAAAGATGACTTGAATAAACAGATGTATCTTGCTCTGATTCATATGTTGAACCTATAAATTCAGTACAACTTTAATCAAACTGATCAAGTTTGATTTTGATGAAACTAACATTCATTTAGATGGAGGAATAATAATCCATGAAGAAGAGCTAAACCCACTTTGCAAAAGGAGAGTAAAAAGGAGTCTTCCCCAGGGCCAGGACTAGGGTACCCCAAGTGCCTCTTGCCTCATAACACCCACTACAAAGACACAGTCATAAAAACCATGCAGTACTAATACAAGGACAGACACATAGACCAAAGCAGCCCGGCAGAGAAAGTCCCATGTACCGACAGGGACTCAAGATGTGGTGATGCAGGGGCCGGAAATCTATGGGGTCATTTTATAGATGTTGGAATAATGGACTTGAGAGCTAAAGAAAAATAGGCATTGACCTGCCTAATACAACACATAAAGTGGACTCCATAGAAATCAAAGACCTTACTTAAAAGGAAAAACCAAATGTTAGCGTGCAAGAAAATGGGGATAATAGCTTTGTGACCTAGACATTGCGAATGGTTTATGAAACAAAATTTCAAGAGCACAAACCATAAAGCCAAAACCTGATTCATTTAATTACATCAAAACTGAGAATTTCTGCTTCATCAGCTGACAAAAGATACCTTCGACAAAATTAACAGAACAATGATAACTTGAGAAAAGATATTTATAATATCTAAAATCAACAGGGGAGTAATATGTGGATTTTATCAAGAACCTGGCACATAAACAAAAAAAAGAGAGGAACCCCAATGGGAAAATGGATGAAAGATACGAACAGGCAAATTTACAGACAAGGAAACCTAAAGAGCTGATAAACATATGAAAGTTGTTAAATTCATTAGTAGTCAGAGATATGCAAATGAAACAATAACTGACAAGAATTTAAAAGGCAGTTATTGCCAGGGATTGGGAGGGCATGTAAGGATGTAGGAGTTCTTGGGCTCTGCCCAGGGAGTTGTAGGATCTAGTAGATTTTCTGGCATTCTAGCAGCTCTGACTTCTGGGCCTCTATGCCCAATAAACCATACTCACTTCCAGAGGTAGATGTGTCTGAGAATGTGCATCACATATCTGCATGTGGTGTGGGTCCTGGAGACCCCCCGGCCAGCCATCTCTGGGAGATGAACCCCCTAGACTGCTGAGATGCAATGGACCCAATGTACACACAGCAACATGGATGTGCTTTAAGATGTGATGTTGAGTGAGAAAAGAGAAGAAACAATGAGATCTATGTCACATCTGTCGGTCCCATAAAGTAAAATACATGCACAGACAAAACAACAATATGTCTTTTGCAGGAACACCTAACAACAAAAAGAGTCGCATCAAATGTTGAATACTGCTGGAAGGCGCCAGTTAGGAGCATGAACTAACTGGAATAAATACACAGAAGAGAGTAAAATCTGGGGTTAGCGATTGTCATTTCTCCTGTTCAGGGCTGGTCTGGAAGCTACCACTTGTCTGGCTCAGGGGCAGGCTTCGCTGAGGAAGGTCTCGCCTTTGGTGAGGGGGGCCCAGGGGCCTCATTCTTTCCACATCAGCTATGGGGGAGGAAGCTGGCATGATGTCTTCTTCCCGCCCTGGCACAGCCTACCCACCTGCTGACAGCAAGTCTTAAAGCATCACCCCTCTGTCCCAACCCAGGCCCTGGGTGTGCCTGGGTCATGCATGAAATCACTGGGACCAGCAGGGCTTGGGGTGCAGCAGCTCCTGAGCCCCCTCCTCAGACCAGAGTCCTCACCTCCCAGCCTGGCCACCCAGACACCCGTCTCAGGACCCATCACCAGCCCCAGGACTGAGATCTCTTGCTTTTCCTTTGGCATGTCTTTTCTTTTCCTCTCAAGCAAGCAAGAACTGAGTCACGGTGCATCCCAGCTTGTTGCACCATCTTCTACTTCATCCTCATCAGAGCTTGTTCCACAAAGCACCCATTCTGTACTCTAAAACTTTCACACCACAGGCTCAGAGGTTCTTGCTTGACAATACCCTCTTTACTGATTAAAACACTGAGGCTCAGTGGGTAGAGGGACTGTCCTGGGTCATGCAGCTATGAAGAAGGGAGGCTAGACCCCACTAGGCCTGCCTTCTGGGCCTTCACGATCGGCACCTGCAAGGCCAATGGTCCCCAAGACATCTGGAGCAGCCAGGGCACTGGGAACAGGCTCTGCTGTCTCCTGCCAGAGGCTAAGGTGACCTCTAAGGTGACCAACTATCCCAGTTTGCTGGGGATTGAGGGAGCTCCCAGGATGCAGGACATTCACTGTTGATAGTGGGACAGTCGATCCCAACTGGGATGAAACTGGGATGAGTCCGTCACCCTGGTGGCCTCTCGCAAGCCAAGCTCAAGCCTCCTGCCCTCTCTCCGTCTCCCAGCCAACAGGTCAGGGCTAAGGGACAAGGAATCTTCTAGGTCCCCCATCCCACACACCACAACTGACCTTCAGGCCATCCCATCACACCTGACCCCCACCGCAATGAGCTGTGCTTCCTGCGGTACCAGATGCAGGTCCCACACCGCCCTGGGGATTGTGGCTGCTGGAAAATGAGCCTCCCACAGGGCCCCCTTTCCACACTTGATCTTAGCCGAAAGGCTGAGAAGCGACAGGGCGCCCTAGTCCCCCTAACCATGGTGGACAGGGCACTGGGGATCTGAGCACACAGAGGGTGCCCCCCACCCCCAAGATGATGGGGAAGGAAAGCCTCCAGGGGCCCCAGAGGGCTACATCCCTGAGATGATGGGGAAGGAAAGCATCCAGGGGCCTGAAATTCCGGAGAAATTAATCCACTTATCCCGTGACCAATCGGCCCAGTTTGCCTTGGATTGAGGGGGTCCCAGGGTTGTGGGACTTTCAATACTAAAAACCAGGTCTGCCCCAGGCCCTTCTCACCCTTTTAAGCCCCAGCTCCAGGAGCTCCAGGGACTCCAGCAGGACTCACTGATTTGATTCAGGTACAGTTTGAGGAGCAGTGGGGAGCTTCCAGTAAAGAATTCTAGAAAATATATCAGTATCTTTGCAGTTCAGGTTGGCTCACAAGGAATATTTTTGGTTCTGGAAACTTAGGAAAAGATAAAACTTTGAGTTTGGTTCTATCTAGTTCAAGACTCTGACAACCTCACCGCCTCCTTCATAGAGTCAGAAAACTCACAGATCAGCCAGATGGTAACCTCACTCTCGGCAGGGGTTGCAAACTGCAGCCCAAGGGCCACGTGCAGCCCACAGCCCGTTTCTGTGCACTCCATGAGCTAAAACTAGTGTTTACATAGCTAAATGGTTGGGGGGAAAATCTAATGTCATGTGACATTTGAAAATTACATGAAGATTATTTGAAACTCAAACAGCGGAGTCAATAAATGAAGTTTTATGGGAACACGGCCATCCTTCGTTATTTGCATGTTGCCTGTGGCGGCTTCTGTCTGGCCCGCAAAGCCTAGAGTATTTTCCATCTGGGCTTTGACAGGAACATGTTTTCTGACCTCCTGCTCTTGACTTTCACCTTGCCAGCTTCTCTGTTGACATGACAGGGAGGGAAGAAAGCAAATAACATTAACTGAGCATCTACTATATCCCAAGATTTTTCATAAGCTCTGTCTCATTTAATCCTGGAACAGCCCCAGGAACCAGGCACTATTCTTGTTCTCATCTTACAGAACTGTTGTCCAGGCTGATGGTCAGTGGCACAAGCACAGCTCACTGCAGCCTAAAACTCCTGAGCTCAAGTGATCCTCCTGCCTCAGCCTCCTGAATAGCTGGGACTACAAGTGCACGCAACCATGCTCAGCTAAGCTAATTTTGCTTATTTTTGTAGAGATGGCGTCTTGCTATGTTGCCCAAGCTGATCTTGAACTCCTAGGCTCATGTGATCCTCCCAGCTTGGACTCCCAAAGCGCTGGGATTACAGGTGTGAGCCACCGCATCTGGCCCCTTTAAGTTTCTTGCACTGGAAGGAATTAATCTTGCAGACAAGACGCTGTCTGAACCCTGTAGCCTCCGGAAGAGCCACCCAACCCCCAAACTCCCAGCCAAGGAAAAGGTCCTCAGCCTGCTCTTGCCTGGGGTGGATGACTCATTTTTGAATCACAAAAACAAGCAGAGGGTAAGACGTCTGTCTGGGCTGAGCAGCTCTCATTTTGGGGTGGGGAGGGGCTGTGAGCAGGATGATGGCTCTTAGTGACATCAAGGAGCTATCAAGTGACATCAAGCAAGGATCCCAGCCTGGCCGCTTCGTCAGTACCACATCCTCCGGCACCCAGTGAGTGATCGCCCTGTGACAAAGGGCAGCTTCCCTTCTAGTAGCAGACACAGGCAAGATTCCACTCCAGTGCATTTCTCCACCCCGCAGCACCTGGGGCCTCCCCAAGCCTCCGATGCTCAGGGGCTCCCCTGGGCACTGCAGCAGCCTTCACCAGTCCTTCTCTGCCCCTCGCGCGCTCCCATCCGTTCTCCCCAGCATGCAGCTAACCTCCAAATGCTGCCTGGATACTGCTGCTCCCAGCGTAGCTCTACAGCCCACCGTTGTTCCTGGTTTGAGAACAAGTTCATTGCCCTGTTCTGCAAGACCCTGCTCATAGGGTTACCAAATAGAAAACAAGATGCCATTAAATTAGAATTTCAGATAAACAACGAGTTATTATTATCAGTAGTAGTAGTTTTTGTTTTGTTTTGTTTTTTTGAGGAAGGGTCTCACTCTTATGGCCCAGGCTGGAGTGCGGTGGTGCAATCTCGGCTCATTGCAGCCTCTGCCTCCCGGGCTCAAGCAATTCTTGTGCCTCAGCTTCCCGAGTAGCTGGGACTACAGGTGCACACCACCACGCATGGCTAATTTTTGTATTTTTAGTAGAGACAGGGTTTCACCATGTTGGCCAGGCTGGTCTCGAACTCCTGACCTCAGGTGATCCACCAGCTTTGGTCTCCCAAAGTGCTGGGATTACAGGTGTGAGCCACCACGCCCAGCCCAGTAGTAGTAGTATTTTTGAGACAGGGTCTCACTTTGTCACCAAGGCTTGGAGTGCAGCGGTGTGATCACGGGTTACTGCAGCCCGAACTCCTGGGCTCATGTGATCCTCACCTCAGCCTCCTGAGTAGCTAAGACTACAGGCATGTGCCACTCTGCCCAGCTAATTTTTAATTTTTTTTTTTAGAGATGGGGGCTCTTGCTATATTGCTAGGCTGGTCTTGAACTCCTGGGCTCAAGAGATTCTCCAACCTCATCCTCCCAAAGTGCTGGGATTCAAGGTGTGAGCCAGCATGCTGTGCTCAACAATGAATACTTTTCTAGTGTGAGTATGTATAAGTATGTCCCATACAGCACTTGAGACACACTTATACTAAAAAAGTATTTGACTTTTTCCTGAAATTCAAGTTTAACTGGGCATCCTGTATTTACATTTACTGAGTCTAGCAACCCTACCGCCCGCTCCCTAACTTCCTATCCTCCCCACATGCCCTCCTCCGAGCTCCAGCCCTCCAAGGCCTTCCTGCAGTTCTGGAACTTACCATGTCCCTTACCCCAACAGGGCCTGTGCACAGGCTCTTGCTGCTTCCTCTTGTCCTTTCCCTCCCACCCGGCCAGGCAAATTCTACTCAGCCATCAGACCTCAGCGTGACCCACTAGCCTCCACGACCCAATCAATGCCTATCTCGGACACTCACAGGACACCCCCGCCCATTCCACTGATCACAGTTGTGGTTTTACACCCAGGCACGTGCCCAGCGCTGTGAGCAGAAGTCCATGCTACAAGGGCGGGCTGTGTCTGCCTTGTTTGCTGCTGTGTCCAGCACCCAGGGCAGGGACCACCACACTGTAGACTCCCAGGAAGCAAATGTCCCATAAACAAATGAGCCAGCTCCCGGCCCAGGACTGCAGAGCCCAGTGGAAGCCCTGCCCAGCTCCAGAACCAGATTCCATAGGCTCCGAGACCTTGCGACACCCCCACGAAGCATTCCAGGTCCCTTTTTTTTTTTTTTTTGAGACAGAGTCTTGCTCTGTCACCCAGGCTGGAGTGCAGTGGCACGATTTCAGCTCACTGCAACCTCCGCCTCCCGGGTTCAAGCAATTCTCCTGCCTCAGCCTCCCGAATACCTGGGACTACAGAC
This sequence comes from Homo sapiens, assembly GCF_000001405.40. Classification (NCBI taxonomy): domain Eukaryota; kingdom Metazoa; phylum Chordata; class Mammalia; order Primates; family Hominidae; genus Homo; species Homo sapiens. Next base: position 57,770,722 of record NC_000020.11, on the reverse strand, counting down.
ATCCACCACCACGCCCAGCTAATTTTTTTTTTTTTTTTGTATTTTTAGTAGAGATGGGGTTTCACCATGTTGGCCAGGCTTGTCTCAAACTTGTGCCTCAGCCTACCAAGGCGCTGGCATTACAAGTGTGAGCCACCATGCCCGGCCTCCAGATCCCTTCTTGTTTGCTGTGGGCAATAGCTTAGGAGCAGAGCCTATGTAGCAAAGCCGGTTTGGGGAAATAAAGTTTGCAAATCCTGAATAACAACCCATGGCTCTGTATCACTGTTTACAGTTTTATTTTTCGGACAGGAAAGAAACTTAGAGTTAACCATTTGGATGAACTGATAAGGCTTGGAAAATCTGTCCAGCAGTTAGTTTTGGGGGTGTCCTTCCATGAGCAGCAGAGAGATGCTTGGAAAATAACAAGGAGACCAAGCTTGGATCCAGCACCTTACAAATACGTGCATTTGCTCATCGATGCAGACACTATCCTCTGATGTAGAGACCTACGGATGGGGAAACTGAGGCTGACACAAGCTCAGCTGCCCAAGGTCATGCAGCGAGTAAGTAATGAAACCAGGCTGGAACCCAGTGCTAGAAAAGTTGTCGTCTTTTCCACTCTGTCTTTCTGAGAACCAATTCAGAAACAAAAGAACACTCCAAGTACCCCCGGATCCAAACACCTGAAAGCCTGGAGAGTGGAGAGAGCAGGGGAGGAGGCCACTGCTCAAAGCAAGGGCTTTTCTTTGTGGCTTTTGGCCTGAGGCTAAGGGTGGCTGACAAAGTGCAGGCACCAGGCCACAGGGACTCCAGGGGGATTCCGGCCACATAATCGGAAACCTCAGCTTAGGGAAGATAAAGATGTGAACTGAGACAGGAAATGTCGTCCTAGCAACAGGATTTGAAGTTCAAATTCCACCAAGCTAACTGCCTGCTAAAACACAAGAAACAGCACTCATCAGAGAAAAAGCCCAGAATGGTCACAATTTAGCATTCCTTCTGTCCAGGTGTATTCATCTGCTATTGCTGATGTAATGAATTTCCACAAACCTCACGGCTTAAAAACACACATTGATCATCTCACACTAATGTAGGTCTGAAGGGCTGTGTTTCTTCTGGAGGATCTAGGGGAATCCATTTCCTTTCCTTTCCTAGCATCTAGAGGCTGCCTGCATTTCTTGGTTTGTGGTTCCTTCCTCACAGTGCTTTTACCTCTCCTTCCATTGTCACATCTCCTTCTCTGCCTCTGACCCTACTGTTTCCTTATTATAGCGGACCCTGTGACTATAATGGGCCCACCAGGATCATTCAGGGTAATCTCCAAATCCCAATCACATACAGAAAGTCTGTGTTGCTATGGAAGATCACATATTCACAGGTGCTGTAGATTAGGATGTGGACATCTGCATTAGTCTGCTCTCACACAGCTATAAAAAACTGCCCTTGCCGGGCGTGGTGGCTCATGCCTGTAATCCCAGCACTTTGGGGAGCTGCAGTGGGCGGATTATCTGAGGTTGGGAGTTTGAGACCAGCCTGACCAAAATAGAGAAACCCCATCTCTACTAAAAATACAAAATTAGCTGGGCGTGGTGGCGGGTGCCTGTAATCCCAGATACTCAAGAGGCTGAGGCAGGAGGATCGCTTGAACCCAGGAGGCAGAGGTTGCAGTGAACCGAGATCACGCCACTGCAGTCCAGCCTGGGCAACAAGAGCAAAACTCCATCTCAAAAACAAACAAACAAACAAACAAACAAACAAAGACTGCCCAAGACTGGGTAATTTTTAAAGGAGAGATTTAATTGACTCACAGTTCCACATTGCTGGGGAAGCCTCAGGAAACTTAGAATCATTACAGAAGCCAAAGGAGAAGCAGGCACCTTCTTCACAGGGCAGCAGGATGGAGTGAGAGTGAGCAGGGGAAATGCCAGATGCTTATAAAACCATCAGATCTCATGAGAACTCACTCACTCTCATGAGAATAGCATGGGGGAAACTGCCCCCATGATTCAACCACCTCCCACTGGGTCCCTCCCTTGACACAAGGGGATTATGGGGATTACAATGCAAGGTGAGATTTGGGTGAGGACACAGCCAAACCATATCAACATCTTTGCAGGGGGGAATCTGCGGGAGATATTATTCTTTTCACCACACCAGAATATAATCCAAAAATTACTTGACATTAAAAAAAATGAAATGAAAAAAATTCTCAAGAGAAAGTAAAGTCGACTGAGACAAACCCCAATATAAACTAGATATGTTAAAACTGGAATACCAAGATTTTTATACCAACTATTAAAACTTCTAATAAAGTTTAAATATATGTATGTGTGTGTGTATATATATGTATATTTAATGAAAACATAGGAAATCTCTACAGAGAATTAGAAACAAAAAAAGGACCTGATAGAATTCTAGAACTGAAAAATGTAATATCTGAGATGAGAAATTCACTGGGTGGACCTTTAAGAGCCAAATGGAGAAGGAAGGCTGAAGAAAGACTAAATGAACTTGAAGCAGATTAATAGAAATTATTCCATGCAAAACACAAGGACAATAGTGATTTAAGAAAAAAATGAACAGAGCCTCAGGAATGCATTTAAATAGGCAAGTGTCTGACACACATGTAAATGGAGTCTTAGAGCAGAGGAGAGAAAGAATGGGACAGAATAATATTTGGAGAAATAATGGCCAAAATTTTTCCAAATTTGGTGAAAGAGAGAAATGTACCGATGCAAGAAGCTCAATTAACACCAAGCAAAATAAACACAAAGAATCCCAGACCAAGATACATCCTAGTCACACTGTTGAAGCCAAATTAAACAATGCAACTTGAAAGCCACAAGAGAAAAATAACACATTGCATATAGGAAAACAACCATTCCATTAATGGCTGACTTTGTATCAGAAATTATGGAGGCCAGAAGGTGTGGAAAAACATCTTTAAAGTGATGAAAGAAAAAAAAACAAAACTGTCAACCAAGAATTATACATCCAGGGAAAATATCCTTCAAGAATGAAGGCAAAACAAATATATCTTAGATAAAAGAAAGCTGTGGGCTTTGTTGCCAGCAGATCTGCACTACAAGAAATGCTAAAGGAAGTTCTTCAGCCTGAAGGGAAATGACACCAGATGGAAACTCAGATCCTCAGAAAATAGGATCTGGGTGCCTGCAAAAGACAATTATCTTCTTTTTTCTTTATTCCTCTTAATTTCTTTAAAAACCATAGAACCATTTAAAGAAAAAAACTATAACCTTGCCTTGTGGGGTTTATAATATGTGTGTGTGTGTGTGTGTATACACACACAAATATATATATGTGTGTGTATACACACACAAATATATATATGTGTGTGTACATGTTACATACAACAACTAAGATAAAGGATGCAGAAATATGAACTGACACAATTGCAAGGTTTCCACATTTTAAGTGAAGTTGTACAACATTAACTGTAAGTAAAACATTAAAAGTTAAGGACATCTATTCTAATCTCTATAGCAACCATTTTAAAAATGCAGACAAGTTTAGCTAAAAAATCAATAGGAAAATTTAAATGGAACTCTTTATTATTATTTTTTTTAGAAGAGTCTCACACTGTTTTCCAGGCTGGGGTGCAGTGGCATGATTACGACTCACTGCAGCCTCGACTTTCAGGGCTCAGGCAATCCTCCCACCTCAGCTTCCCAAGTAGCTGTGACTACAGGTGTGTGCCACCAAATCTGGCTAATTTTTTTAAAAAAATTTTAGTAGAAATATAGTTTTATCATGTTGTCCAGGCTGGTCTCAAACTCCTAGGCTCAAGCGATCTTCTCACCTCAGCCTCCCAAAGTTTCTGGAATTACAAGTGTAAGCCTGGCCTTAAAACGGAATTCTAAAAAATATTCAGATATTCTGTTTGTGTTTTGGAACAGAACAGAAAAATAATTAAATGGTGGACCCAAATCCAATCATATCAGTAATTACATTAAACATTAATGAAGTAAACACTGAAATTAAAAGATAGAGTCCATACAAAATTATAGGAAAAAAGAATGACCAAACTATATGCTGTCCTCAAGAGAAACAATAAACCATCGATAGACTGAAAGTAAATGGATAGGAAAAACAACATGCAAACAGTAAACATAAGAATGTGGCTATATTAACATTAGATAAACTTCAAGACAAAAAGTATTACCAGAGATAAAGATGGACACTTCTTTATGTTCATAAAGATGGACAGAAGAAATATACTTTTCTACATTTTTTTATATGGTTGCTATAGAGATTAGAATAGATGTCCTTAACTTTTAATGTTTTACTTACAGTTAATATTGTACAAATTCATGTAAAATGATAGAAGGGCCAATTAATCAGAAAGACATAACAATCATAAATGTATGTGTACCTAATAACAGTGCCTCAAATTACATGAAGCAAAAAGTACCAAAATCAAAGGGAGAAATAAATAATACTACAATCATAGATGGAGATTATTAATACTCCTCTCTGGGCATTGATAGAACAACAAGGCCAAAAAAAAATTATTGAACACATAAAAAGTGTGAGCATCACTAAAAATCGTCTTCACTTAATTGATATTTGTAGAACACTATACCCAACAATGGCAGAAGACATTCTTTTTAAATGTCTTTTTAAAGGCACATTTTTTTATTTTTATTTTTTTTTGAGACAGAGTCTCGCACTGTCTCCCAGGCTGGAGTGCAGTGGCGTGATCTCGGCTCACTGCAAACTCTGCCTCCCAAGTTCATGTCATTCTCCTGCCTCAGCCTCCCAAGTAGCTGGGACTATAGGCACCCGACACCACGCCTGGCTAATTTTTTGTATTTTTAGTAGAGGTGGGTTTTCACCGTGTTAGCCAGGATGGTCTGGATTTCCCAACCTCGTGATCCGCCCAGCTTGGCCTCCCAAAGTGCTGGGATTACAGGCCTGAGCCACCGTGCCCGGCCTTTAAAGGCACATTTTTAATGGTATATTTACAATTACAAATCATATGCTGAGCTATAAAACAAGTCTCAATACATTTTAAAAGACTGAAATCATAGATAGTATGTTCCCTGACAAAAAACAAAAGGAATTAAATTAGAAATCAATAACAAGATGATTTTAAAATCCCCCATAATTGTAAAATTAACAGCAGGCAATGAAGAAACTTCAGAGGAAATTAGTAATTATTTTCAACTGAATGAACATTAAATATAACATATCAAAATTTGTCCAATGTAGCTAAAGCAATGATTGAAGGGAAATTAATAACTTTAAATAATAATTATTATTATTTTCTTTTTTCCTAACTGCTAGAACCTGTGAAAACTTTAATTACATAAAAAAAGACGAAAAACCTAAATCATTTATATGAGCTAAGAAATTAGAAAAAGAAGAGCAGATTAAAGCCAAAGTAAGTATGAGGGGGGAAGTTATGAAGATAAGGGCAGAAATCAATGGAATAGAAAAATGAAAAATAATAGAGAAAATCAATAAATCAAAAGCTAGTGCTGTAGAAAGAGTAATAAAATTGATAAGCCTGATCTAGTAAAAAGGAAAGCAGGGACATCATTACATATCCCACAAACTTTAAATGGATTATAAGCAAGTACTGTGAACAATTTTATGCCCTTTTATTCAACAATATAGATGTAATGGACAAATTCCTTTTAAAATATAACTTGCCAAAACTGACACCAGAGGAAACAGAAAATCTGAATAGCCTACATCTTTTAAATAAATGGAATGCGTCCACGAAAGTTTCCCACAAAGAAAACGCCAGGCCAGGGTGTAGCCTACCATAGGAATGTTAGTGAGGGATCCTGGCTGGAGCTGGTTTTCTTGCCAGTTGACTCCAGGATCTGAAGGTTTCAGGAGAAGTATGGCAGACAAAAATGAAACTGTCCTAAGTGCAGTTTTCCACTCAACACAGAGCAGCACTCATAAGTATGGCCCTTGCAAATAAAGAGCCAATAACTGCTTTCATTTCTTGTGCCCTTACTGTGTGCCAGGCCCATTGCAGAGCTTTCCCTCCCCACAACAAACCTGGAACATAGGTACTGTTATTTTTACTCCCATTTTGTAGTGGAGAAAACTGGTCTCAAAGTGGTTAATTGATGTGGCCAAGGTCACACAATGAAGCCCAAATTGTTTGACACCACAGCCTTAATTCTTGGCCTCCCCATTATCTAGTAATGGACTGCCTGGGCATACTACTCAGTGAAAAGAGAATTGTTGACTCCCTGATATGGTTTGGCTGTGTCCCCACCCAAATCTCATCTTGAATTGTAGCTCCCATAATTCCCACATCTTGCAGGAGGGACCTGGTGGGAGATGACTGAATCATGAGGACGGTTTTCCCCATACTGTTCTTGTGGTAGTGAATACGTCTCATGAGATCTGATTTATAAGGGGTTTCCACTTTCGCTTGGCTCACATTTCTCTCTTTGCCAGCCACCATGTAAGATATCCCTTTGCTCTTCCTTCGTCTTCTGCCATGATTATGAGGTATCCCCAGCCACGTGGAACTGTGAGTGAATTAAACCTCTTTCTTTTATAAATTACCCAGTCTTAGGTATGTCTTTATCAGCAGCGTGAAAACAGACTAATACACTCCCCTCCCCAATATAAATCTGCTTCCTCCCAACTCTCTCTCATCTTGGAAATGGCACCAACATCCATTCAGTGGCATGGGTCAAAAACCACAGAACTCTCCTTAATCCTCATCTTTAACCCTCTCACATCACACATGGAGCTTTATGCTTCCAAATTATAGTCTAAACCTGATGTTTCTCACCTCCTCCATGCAACCACCATAGTCCAAGACACTATCATCTCTATCCTGTTCTGGACAAGCTGCACTCCCGGCAGCCCCAATCTTGCCCTTGTCTCCTGCCCATTCTAATAGCAGCCAGCTGACCTTTCTAAAGGATGAATCAGAAGTTCTTTCCCTGCTAAAAGTTGTCTAATGAATTCTCATCACACTTGAAATACAGTCCCCCTTTCTGACCCCGCCTGGTGCTCTTTTCCAGCCTCTCCTTCCACCTCAGCTTCTCCCATCCTCCTCTCACTTTCCATATCCTGCTGCAAGCTTGCTCCTGCCTCAGGATTTTTGCACAAACTGTTCCCTCTGCTTGGATCACCCTTCCCTGGACCTTCACACAGCCAGCTCCCTCTCATAATTGAAGCCTCAATTCCAATGTCACCTCCTCAACGGGTCTCCCCTTCTACCCTGGCTAAAGCAGTTTCTCTATCACTTTATCACATAAATCCTTTTAAATTTTTATTGGCCCTCTCAGTACCTCTGTAGTTTTATTTATTTGTGTAAATATCACAGTGAACAGGCACAGCTCGAGATGTACTCATAAAGTCGTTATTTTTGTCTCCCACCTTCTGTTTAAATTTATTCAGTGGGACTATTTTTTTAGCCTGGATGATAACTTAAAACAGGCCCCATGACTTTCTGGTCATCTTAAATGACCAGATACAAAGTCCTCCCACCTATAATCCAAACGCCAGACCCTGTGTCATGGTCAAAACCTTGACCTTCGTTTAACATGAAGGTTTGCCCCTTGCCAGCTCCAGGCTTGCTGCAGATGGGGAGTCTGTCCATTCGGAAGGAGGTTCCCTCCTGGCTCTGCCCTGTCTGTTGGCTTATCTGCTCTCCCCACAACTCTCTCACCTGGCTTTGACCCTCCGGAGTCTGGATGCAGTCGGAGAGGTAAGAGGCCCAAGAAGTCCTTACTTGCCTGGTGACACAGCCTCATGGACTCTCCCTGGTGGGCACTTTGGAGACACCCACCTCCAATTGCTAAGCCTCTTCTCTGAGGTTCCCTCGTAGAGAGTAAAGTTATCTTCATTCTAGCCAGAGATTTCTTCCCTAGGAAGCCTGCAGCAATGCATGGAAAGCCCAGTGCTTCAGCTGCTTTCTTCTGTGGTCTGTTCACTGACGCCATCCTCAGGTGGCCTTTCAGTCAGGACATTGAATAGTCCTGCACTGGCTCTTGCATGCAGGTCATTGTCCAGGTCATGGCACACACGTGTTCTCTGCTCCCACACACCCTGAGCAGCAGGCTGAAATGCCCTCTGCAGTAACCGCTTCACTCTCTGCAGCAAAGCTGCTGCCCAGGTGTTTCCCCTTTGCAAATCTCCAGAGGGAGGAAGGAGTCAGGCATTGCCCTCTGTGACCTCCAAATAGCAGGGTCCATATATTGGATGCTTTGAGTGGTCCCCTTACACATCCTCTTTCTTGACCTAAAATGCAGGGAATACAGCCCACACCCTGCTCATGGGAAGACACCCCCAAAGCCTCAGCAGCTCCTGCTAAGACCCTTTCTTAACGAGCTTCTTCCTAGTCTCACATCCCAGATTCTTTCACGCCCTTGATGAAGGCGAGGACTTCAAGGGTCCCCACTTGGATTCTCGGCAACCTCCTTTGGGGATGTGCTTCATGGTCTCTCTGCTGACTCACTCTGCCATCTAGAATCCATCCTCTCAGCCTCTTGGCCAAAACTTCCAATTTAACACTACTACATTTGCCAGCCTCTCTCAACAACATATATAAGCTCCAGCTGGGTGCAGTGGCACATGCCTGTAATTCCAGAACTTTAGGATTCCTAGGCAGGCAGATGCTTTAGCCCAGGAGGTCAAGACCATCCTTGGCAACATAGAAAGACCCCCACTGATATGGTTTTGCTCTATGCCCCCACCCAAATCTCATGTCAGATTGTAATCCCTGATGTTGGAGGAGGGGCCTGGTGGGAGGTGATTGGATCATGGGGGCAGATTTCCCCCTTGCTGTTCTCATGATAGTGAGCTCTCATGTGATCTTCTTGTTTAAAAGTGTGTGGGACCTCCCCCTGCTCTCTCTTCCTCCTTCTCCAGGCATGTAAGAAGTGCCTGCCTCCCCTTCACCTTCCACCATGATTCCTAAGGCGTCTCCAGTCATGCTTCCTGTACAACCTGCAGAACTGAGTCAATTAAACTTCTTTTTTTAAAATAAATTACCCAGTCTTGGGTAGTTCTTTATAGCAATGCAAGAACGGACTAATACACCCACCTCTACAAAAGAAAAAATTTTTTTTTAATTAGCCGGGCATGGTGGTGTGTGCCTGTGATCCCAGCTACTCAGGAGCCTGAGGTGGGAGGTTCACTTGAGCTCAGGAATTCAAGGCTGCAGTGAGTGGTGATCACGCCACTGCACTCCAGTCTGAGTGACAGAGAAAGAACCTGTCTCTGTGGTTAAAAAAAAAAAAAAAAGTATAATCTTGAAGTTGAAGACAAGGATTCTCTCTCATTTTTATATCTCAGTGACTGGCAAATTGTAGGTGCTTCACAAGTATTTGTCGGCTGACTCACAATCACATGCTCAGCTCTGCAGGCTGACCCTGTGCAGCTCAAACTCACCTTCCCTGGCAGGTTTATCCCAACCCAGGGCTGGAGGCAGAAGCTTCAAGGAAAGTTGATGAGGACCCAAAAGGCTCGACATGCTGTTCAGTCCAGGGCTCCGAAACCTGGGGCCAAAGGACCAGAGGGAGCTTGGTGCAGAGAGGATAGTTGAGCTGCAGGGCTGGGCATCTACACTGTGAGGCCAGGGTGGCAGGAGCCAGACAGGGTGCATGAGGTGGGGCTGGAGAGGCAAGAAAGGGCCAGGTCCAGAGGGAATTGTGGGTCACATGGAGGAATTAAGATTCCATTTACCAGCCAGCCAGGTACCATTGAAGGACATACCCAACATGGCAACCATTAGCCTGATAACCAAATATTCAGCCTCTCCATCTTCTAGACTTGTGGGGAGGTTTTACTTCCTCACCTCCTTTGATGTTAGGCATGGTCATGTGACTTGCTTTGGCCAATCACTTGGGAGCAGAAGTACCATGTGACTTCCAGACACAATCTTAAGAGCTGGTGCCACTCTCCCTTCCCACTGCTGTGATGGTGGAAACATGAGTTCAGATGGAGATTCTGTCAGACTTTGTCTTTGAGTTACTGCAAGGAACAGAAGCCCCTGCTGACTAGCATTGACAGGCAGCGTGTGTGAGAAACACCCCTTTGTTGTGTTAAGTTACTGCAATGTGGGGATTGTTTGTTACTGCTGCGTAACCCAGCCTGACAGATACACCCTGATGTTCACTTGATATAGGTCCCTCTGGATGCTGTTTAAAGGAAAGATTGAAAGGTGGCAGGATCAGTTAGGAGGATGTTACAGACATTCAGGCAAGACCAGGGTAGAGGCAGTTAGGATCTAGAAAAGTGCATTGATTTAAGGACCATCAATAGGTAGAATTAATAGGATTTGGGGGTGTATTGATTGTGGGATGACTGGAATTGGTTTCTAGCTTAAACACCATGAAGGCAATGGAGGGGACCATTCACCAAGAAAGAGAACTTGAGAGTAGACACCGTTCTGGGAGCTTAGAGAATGTGACAGGCAGAATAATGCCCCTCAAAGATGCCTACACCTCAATTCTCAGAAGCTGTGTGCCTTCCGTGAGAGAAGAGACTTTGCAGATGTGACGAAGGGTGTAGGCCTTGAGATGAAGAATGGTCTGGCCCATGCAGGTGGCCCAACCTAGTCATATAAGGCCTTAAAAGTGGAGGAACCTTTCTTAGCTGGGTCAGAGACAGACGAAACAAGGAAAAGGATCAGAGAAAGGCAACGTGATAAGGACCCACTGGGCATTACTGGCTCTGACAAAAACAGGGGCCATGAGAAAAGGGATGCAGGGGCCTCTAGAAGCTGGCAAAGGCAAGGAGACTGATTCTCCCCTGGAGATCCCAGAAAGGAATGCAGCCCTGCTGACAGCTTGATTTTAGCCCAGCAAGACCAGTGGTCTACAGAGCTGTAAGATGAGAAATCTCTATTGCTTTAAACCACTCGCTTTGTGGTGATTGGTTACACCAGCAATCAGAAATGAATACAGATGAGGGGCTGGTGCAGTGGCTCATGCCTGTAATCCCAGCACTTTGGGAAGCAGAGGCAGGTGGATCATTTGAGGTCAGGAGTTCGAGGCCAGCCTGGTCAACATGGTGAGACCCTGTCTCTACTAAAAATACAAAAATTAGCTGGACAAGGTGATGTGCACCTGTAATCCCAGCTACTCGGGAGGCTGAGGCAGGATAATCACTTGAACCCAGGAGAAGGAGGCTGCAGTGAGCTGAGATCGCGCCACTGCACTCCAGTCTGGGTGGCAGAGTGAGACAGAACAAAATAAAAAAAAGAATACAGATGAGTCTACATTTGGACGTGCTGAGTTTACAGGGCTGTGGGCCTTCCAATGTGAGGGGATACATGGGAGTGACGGAGGGGACATTGCCAGTGATCTGCTCAATCCCCGGGACCTCTTACCCCGTTTCTGGCCACTCTCCCAACACCATGCACCTGTAGAACTCCTACAGGACTTCCCATGGACAGCTGAAGCTGTTCCTACCAGACACGAAGGAAGCCAGGAGTGCTTGAAAGTTTATGTTCCCCTACCCTGGGGCAAGTTGTAGCCATTGATTGGCCAAGAGACCATGAACACCCAACTCCCCCAACTCCAAACAGAACTATTTCAGAGGCATAATTGATACTCCAGACTCCAGAGGATGAGGCCAGGGCTGGGCTTGCCCTGAAATTGCACCTCTGCACCTGCCTTGGTTTCTGCCTCTGTCTTGCTGCCTCCCTTCCTACCCTGTTTGTTCTGGAAGTGCTACCCTTATAAATGGCTTCCACGTGTATCCTTGCCTCTGGGGAGCTCACTCAAATGCAAGGTAATAAAGGAAATAAAGGCCTAGAATGACGGTGTCAAATATAGTAGCCACTAGACACATGCAGCTGTTTAGATTTACATTTAAATGAATTAATATTATATAAAATGACACATTCAGTCCCACAGTTGCACTTGCCACATTTCAAGGGCTCAGTAGCCACCTGTGGCCAGTGGCTGCAGTATTAGAGGAGAATGAACATTTTCATTATCACAAAGATTCTATGGGGACAGTGCTGGTCTAGAGTTCAGGGAAGAGGTTTGGGCTGGAGAGGTAGAGATGTGGTGGTCACTAGCATCAATGGAGAATGAAGACATGAAGATGACCTCGAAGCACCTTCAGGCCCTGCAACCTCCCAAAATAGACAAATCACAGCACTGGGCATTGCTTGCTACGCTTCCTTTAGTCGTTCACAGAGTGCAGGAGAGTTTCTGATGCCCAGTCCAGCTATGGCATGCCTGCCTCTCTGCGTGAGCTCGGAACCCCTGCTTTTTGCCAAGATGAAATATATCACCAGGAAATAAATGAAAAATCAGAAGGAAGAATGTGCAATTTGCCCCTGCAGCCTGTCGGCCCCATCATGAATATAGATGTGATTTGGGAAGCGGGGCCTTTTCTGTGTGCCTGGGAGCTAATTGAGCATCTACAAGCTGACAAGCAAAGGCCTCTCCCCATCATTTTCCCTCCATCCACATCCTGCTAATGCCACCAATCAGCACCAAGCCAAAGCTCTTGCTGAAGGATGTGGAAGCTGCCTTGGGACAGTAGACTGTGTGCTGGAGCCTCAGTGTTCACTGGGCTGCTCATAAGACAGTGGTCAGGAGCACTGGGGCTGGAGTCAAGGCAAACTGGATAGAAATCCCAGCATGGCTACTCAGTAGCAGCCAGGTCTTAGGCACATTATGTAACGTCTTTGAGACTTCTTTTCTTCATCTTTGGCAAGGGGATTGTAGAAATCCTTACCTTACAATATTACTGATGTGCAGAAGAGATAAGACAAGGCAGAAAAGACATAGCATGGTGCCAAGTACAGCAAACATCCTTAGCAAATATTAATTATTGTCAACTTCTAAATATGTAAAAGTGGTTCCTGTGCAGCCTGTTCCTGTCCCATCTCTTCAAGGGGCCCCTGAAGTCTAAAACATAACCAAGCTGGTTTGAATCAACAAGACTCAAGATTCAAGATATTTCCTTAAACAGAAACCTCTCCCACACAGGATTGATGTGGGGCAGAAAAGTCGGGTTTGGCATCACACATACCAGGTGACCTGGGGTGAGCCATCTCATCTGTTTCCCAGCTTCCTTCAGTGACAATGACAAAGGTCCTCCCTCTCTCAGGGGACAGTGCAAGGATCAATGAGAGAAATACATGCAAATTACCTGGCACAAGGTAGGCGCTTCAGTAAAGAATTTCTCCCGAGCTTCCCTGCAAGAGTTATCTACTAGGATCTGGCCTTTTGGCAAACTCATCTAGGAAGTCACCAGGAAAATCCCCATGGAGGACACCAAGGTGTCTGCTCTCTAATCCAGCAGAGATAACCTTTGGCAGAAAGCCCCTTGACTCAGAGAAAGTTCCAGGCTTGTATGAAGATGGGATGTGGGTGCCAGAGCCAAGAGTAGAGAATTTGTAGGAGGAGGCCTGTTCTCTATGCTTTCACATGGAAAGAGCTGAGAGATGATGGCTCCCATAGAAGTTTTGAAATACGTCTACAAATTCTCCTCTCATTAAGAGATAGTGCTTCATTTCCTTCCCTTGAGTGTGGGCTGGACTTTGTGACTTACTTCTAACAAACAGAATATAGCAGAAGTAACTAGCACACAAAAGACATTTCAGCTTCTTCTGAGCCCTTTCTCTTAGATCACTGGCACTTGAGTAAGATACCGCCATCTTGTGAGGACACTCAAGCAGCCCTGCAGAGAGGGCCATGTGGCAAGGAATTGAGTCCTCTTGCCGACAGCCGTGTGAGTGGGCCATCTTGCAAGCAGATTCTGGCCTCAAATGATTACAATCCCAGCCCACATCTAGACTGCAACCACATGAGGTTTTAAGCCACTAAGCTTTAGGGAAATTTGTTACATAGCACTAGATAACTAGTATAGGTTTTCAGTTGGTTGATTGAATAAATGGCTGTGGAGTTTATTCTTACCATGTTAACAAGAGACTTCGTGTAAAGAGTAACACAGTGGACCCTCTTGGCTGCCTAGTAGTAACTGTTGCCCTTTCTTCTTTCTCAATAGAACCTTAATTTTGTTTTGGTGCCTAGGACCCCTGCCACTGCTGTAACTGGGGAAAAGCTGAGCCCCTCCCTAGATATAGTAACTGGGAGAGTCCCTCAGTAATCTACCTAAGCCAGTTGTGGTAATCCTATTTCCCTTGCCAGAAGTTGGTTCAGTTTAGCCCACCAGCTCATAGCAATCACTGGGCAACTATTTCTGTTTCAGTGATGGGCATGTGACATAAATTAACATAGTCAGCCCTAAGCAAAGGGGGACTTGGGTTCCATGGTTGGAGGAGAGGTTTTCTCCTTCTCCCCTTAGAGAGGAACAAGAACGCCTGCTGCTGCTGGCAGCATCTTATGATGTGAGGGATGCCAGCTTGAGAACAAAGCCAACGCATGAAGCAGGGCAGAGCCGAGAGACTTGCAGCTAAAATGGAACCAGAGCCTCTATCGCAGCAGGACTGAAGCCTTCCCTCTCTCTGGACTTCTGGTTATTTCAGAAAATAAGTTTCTTTTTCTCATTTAAATCTTCTTGTTCAGAGTTTCTATTTCCATGTAGGTTGCTAAACTGTTTATTTCCTTCACTTAGCAAAGGTTTTTTGAGCAACTCCTCTGTGCCAGGCACTGTGGTAAGCCCTGGGGCTGTGTCACTGAAGAAGACAAACTTAGGGCCTGACCTCAAGGACTTACAATCTGTTCTAATGTAATAAAGAGTGAGAGACCAAACACCTGTGAAGATATCCCAAGACCAGGAACATTCACTAATTCATCCAGTAAGCATATGCAGTATTGGGTTTGAAGGCATAAATTTAGATCAGTCCCCTGATAGCCCCAAAGGGGAAACCCACAGCTAAACAAGCAAGAGAGAGATGTACAGTGGGACTGCCGAGGCCCTGATCCTGATGTTTAGCACCAGATTTGGAGGCAGACAGCCCTAGGTCCATTGCCAGCCCCCACCACCTACCAGTATGTAATCCCAAACAGACAACCTCACCTCACTGAGCATTGCTGAGCTGAAGCTAAGATTAGGATCTACCCCCTAGCCATGTCATGGGGAATAAATAACCACAATTTAGTTGCAAAGGAGGCTGGGAAAGTGAGTATCTGATCTATAGGGATTGAATGTGGAAACTCTACCTCCCACCAAGATTTATAATGTAGGGGATTCTCCAAACGTCAGGGAAGAGCTCAGACTCCGGGCAGCCAAAAAATGACACACATCCGCAACACTGTGTGAGGACTCAGGGGTCTGGGACAAGAGGCTTGCACATTTGAAAAATACACGGAGCGCACCCACCCATGGCTAAAATTAGAAAGACAGACGATACCAAGAGTTGACTAGAAAGCAGAGTAACTGGAACAGTCACATAAGGGTGGGAATTAAAATGGCATGACCACTTTGGGGAACTGCTTGGCAGGATCTGCTGAAGTGAAACATATGCCTGCCAACAATTCCACTCCCAGGAGCGTACCCACGAGAAATGCACACAGAGGCACTCAGAGATACATACGAGGGTGCTCGCAGCAGCACTATTTGTAATTGCTAGAAACAACCCAAATGTCTATCAACGACAGGTGGGATAAATAAATTGTAGTTTATCCCTACAATGAGATACTGTAGAGTAGGGCTTCATGACCTCGGCACTGCGGATGTTCAGGGATGGAGAATTCTTTTTTGGGAGGGCTGGGCAGTATAAAATGTTTGGCAGCATCCCTGGCCTCTACCCACTACCTGCCAGGAGCAACCCCTTCCCAGTTATGACAACCAAACATGTCTCCAGGCATTGTAAGGTGTCCCCAGAGGGCAGAATCCTCCCAGTGAGACCCACTGCTGTAGAGCAATAAGAGGAGCAAAAGAAGGAAAAAAAAAGGAGGAAGGACAGGAAGGAAGGAGAGAAGGAAGAGGGAAGGAAGAAGTGAAGGAAGGGCTGGGCGCAGTGGCTCACACCTGTAATCCCGGCACTTTGGGAGGCCAAGGAGGGTGGATCAACTGAGGTCAGGAGTTTGAGACCAGCCTGGCCAACACGGTGACACCCCATCTCTACTGAAAATACTAAAAATTAGCCGGGTGTGGTGGCACACGCCTGTAATCCCAGCTACTCAGGAGGCTGAGGCTGGAGAATTGCTTGAACGTGGGAGGTGGAAGTCGCAGTGAGCCGAGATCACACCACTGCACTCACCCTGGGTGACAGAGTGAAAGAAGGGAAGGAAAGAAGGAAGAAGGAAGGAAGGAAGGAGGAAAGGGATGAAGGGAGGAAGGCAGGAAGGGAGGGAGAGAAGAAGGAAGGAAAGAAGGAGGGAGGGAGGAGGGAGGGAGGCAGGAAGGAGGGAGGGAGGGAGGAAGGAAGGAAAGAGGGATGGAGGGAGGGAAAGGAGCGAGCACAGGCAGTGCTGCCATGACGTGGATGAATCTCAAAAACATGACATTGAACAAAAAAAGCTAAAAACAAAAGAGTGCCCAGAACATGGTTCCATTTGTATGAGATTCAAGAACAGGCTAAACTCACTGATAGTGATGGGTGATTGCAGTCAGAATGGTGGTTTTCTTGGGAGGGGTCATTGCCAGGGAATGGTGGTGCAGGAGTCTCCCGGGGTTCTGGGAGATGGTTACACAGGTGTACACATATGGAAAAATTCATCAAGCTGTACAAATACGATTAATTAATTTTACTCTAGACCTCAATTAAAAAGTACTTTAAAAATAGATGCGGCAGCTCAAGCCATCTGGCTCCTGGGGCCTCCTCTTCATTCCTGAGCCCGCCCTCTGGCAAAGAGCCCTGGCATTTACCACCCGAGAACTGCTCTCTCCTGCTCCTCCTCTCCTTCATCCCCACTCTCACCTCTCAAGGCACAGCCCCCCGCAGCAGCTGAGGGCTCCCACACTGCCTGAGAGCAGCACAGAGGGAGGGGACACACCAATTCTCTCTCAGGCAGCCCCAAGCTCCGTTGAGCCCAAGTGGGCCCCCAGCTCCAGTCCACCCTCCTAGGAGCGAGGAGGAAATTTTCCCTCTTGTTCTCAACAGTCCCCAGACTGAATCACAATTGACCCAGGTGGGGCTCAGCAGTGTTGGCAGAGCTCTGGGCTGTGGCCTGGGCATCAGCAAGCAAAGCAGGCTTCTAGCTCAATCATAGAGTCAGGATAAAAGGGAACAAGGCAGAGGTAAGACTCACCCAGCCTGGAATGTCAAAGGGGTCTCACTGCCTCACGAGACAGGTATGTCCACAAGGAGCCCAGCGTGGACCACGGCAGGGGAACACAACTTGTTTATTCTCCTGTTCTTTACTCAGCAGAGCCGTCTGGAGCACTGGGTCCGCACCAGGCCCTGCAGGAGGCACCAGGAATGCAAAATCAATACGCTCTCCAAAGTCGATATACAGACAGCCAACAAGCACAGGAAGAGATGCTCAGCATCATTAGCCATTAGGGAAATGCAAATCAAAACCACCATGAGATACCACCTCACACCCGCTAGAACAGCTAGGATCTTTTTTTAGAGGACAATACCAAGTATTGGTGAGGAAATGGAGAAATTGGAATTCGCTACATTGCTGGTGGAAATAGAAAATGGTTCGGCCACTGTGGAAAACAGTTTAGTGATTCCTCAAAAAGTTAAATATAGAATCACTATATGATCTAGCAATTCCACTCCTGGGTATAGGCTCAAAAGAATGAAGGCAAGTACTCAAATATGTGCATATAAATGTTCATAGCAGCATTATTCACAGTAACCAAAAGGTGAAGACAACCCAAATGTTCATCAGCGAATGAATAAACAAACTATGGTATATCCATATAATTAAATATTATTCACAGCCACAAAAGGAAATGTAGTATTAGCTGGACACAGTGGCTCATGCCTGTAAATCCCAGCACTTTGGGAGACACTCTGATGCGGGTGGATCATTTGAGCCCAGAAGTTTGAGACCAGCCTGAGCAACATGGTAAAACCCCATCTCTACAAAAAAACACAAAAATTAGCAGGGCATGGTGGCAAGCACCTGTGGTCCCAGCTACTCCAGAAGCTGAGGTGGGAGGATCATTTGAGCCCAGGAGGTCGGGGCTATAGGGAGCCGTGATCAGGTCACTGCACTCCAGCCTGGGTGACAGAATGAGACCTCATCTCAAAAAAAAAAAAAAAAAAAAAAAAAGTATTAATAGATATTACAATATGGACGAACCTCAAAACACTGTGCAAGAGGCTGGGGGCGGTGGCTCATGCTTGTAATCCCAGCACTTTGGGAGGCCGAGGCGGGCGGATCACGAGGTCAGGAGATCGAGACCACAGTGAAACCCCGTCTCTACTAAAAATACAAAAAAAAAAAAATTAGCCGGGTGTGGTGGCGGGTGCCTGTAGTCCCAGCTACTCGGAGAGGCTGAGGCAGGAGAATGGCGGGAACCCAGGAGGCAGAGCTTGCAGTGAGCTGAGATCGTGCCACTGCACTCCAACCTGGGCGACAGAACGATACTCCATCTCAAAAAAAAAAAAAAAATTGTGCCAAGTGAAAGAAGCCAGGCACAAAAAAACCACACAATGCAAGATCCCGTTGATACAAAGTGTTCCTAACAAGCAAAATGGTAGAGACAGAAAGTCAATTTGCCGTTGCCAGGGGCTGGCACAGGGGACAATGGGGAGCAACTTCTTCGTGACTACGGTTTCCTTTTAGGGGGATGCAGTGCTTTGGGACTAGATAGAGGTGGTGGTTGCACAACATTGTAAACGCACTAAATGCTACTGAGTAGCTCACTTTAAAGTGGCTAATTTTGTTATGTGAATTTCACCTCAATTTTAAAAGAATCAATAGATAATCCCTATTCTAAAGAATCACAGACAAGGCAGGCCAGTTAGTAAAGTGGACAAGGACACGCTAAAGCCCGTTGATCTGATCATGCACTGCTGGGTAACAAAGTATCCAAAGCTCAGCTGCTTCAGACACTCATTTTATTTTGCTAGCAATTTTATGCATAGGAAACTCAGACAGAACACAAGCTTGTCTCTGTTTCACAGTGTTCAGGCTCTCAGCTGAGATGATTCAAACAGCCAAAGACTCTTCTGGAGGCCTCTTCACGCACACGTCTGGTGCCTGTGCTCGGGGAACCTGGTAGGCTGGCCCCCGCCAGTACTGAGGAACAGAGCACCTCCACAGAAATCCTCTGTGTGGCTTGGGCTTCCTTACAGCATGGCGAGCTCAGAGTGGCCCAGCAGACAAGGCAGAAGCTCTCTGGCCATTTGCCACCTACCAGGGAACCAGATGGACTCAGTTCCACCATGCTGTGTTAGCTGAAGCAGTCACAAGCCCACCCACACTCAAGGGAGAGAATATAGACCTTAAGTTTCCAGGGGAGGAATGTCAAAGGATGTGGTGATGTGCTTGGAAATCCCCACACCCAGCACTAGGCTGTTAAATAACTTATGGCCCAACTGTACAAAGGAATACTAGGGAGCCATCAAAAAGTAGGCTGCTGTGCTTTGTATTGATGAGGAATGATCTCCCAAGATGCAGAGTTAAGTGAAAATAAGCTAGGAGCTGGGCAGCATAGATAGTATGTGCTGCTACTAACGTGCACAGAGAAAGGGGGGGTGGAGACACAACACGTGCCTGTATGTGCACAGACCAGCTCCAGGAGGATGCATGAGAAATCGGCAGCAGGCTTGCTTCTGGGGAAGAGAAATGGCAGCATTGTCAAGACACTTCATTTTCACTTTTTATCCTTTTGCACAGTTTTTTTTTTTACTGTATGTCTATACCATAGGTTTGAGGAAAATCTTTATAAAAATTAAAAATAAAACAATAAGTTATAATAAGCACCATCATGAAGTGATATCAAGACATTATTTTGAAGCTCACTTGGTTTACCTAATATGTATACTACAATCACATGTATGCACAAAATAAAATGGCATATAAGGAGTAGTTACATATCAAACTGTTGAGAAGGGTGTAGAATGAGGGATAAGACCTCTTCATTTTATTCCTCAGGCTTCTGAAATTTTTAATTTTTTATAATGAGAATGTGTTGGCACAATACTTGTGAAAATGTCTTAAGTAAGAAAACACACAACTTTAAATAAGAGAGAGACACTGTCCTACAGTACGATGTATGGTAAGGGGAGAGGAGGGAGCCACTGCACGGAGCTGGCTGTCAGGGAATGTTTCCTGGAGGAGAAGGCTTCTGAGCTCTCAGAGAATGTTGTATCTCTTTCAGTCAATGGAGGATCAGCCCCAGAGAAGGAACCCTCTTGGTCTCACCTGCTTCTTCTCCAAGAAGATTAAGTCCTGATAGGGCTGCCTCCCCTTCCTACGTGCAATGCCGCTGGGATTTGCTGGGCTAAGACAGAGAGGGGTAACCATTGTCTCTAAACACCATAGGGTCCTTGCCTCTGTTTTTCCTCTGTTCCCTGCTGCAGACATAAATTTGGGTGACTTCATAATCCCTGCTTTGTGCCAGATGCTGCTGAAGCCCTTTGTCTTAAGTTAAAGAGGGGCACCATTATGATAAACGTGCCCATTTCACAGATAAGCAAATGGGCACACAGAGAGGTTAAGTGCTGTGACCAAGGTTACACAACTGGAAAATTCAGAGCCAGGATTTTGAACCCATTCAGGCTGGTTCCTTCAACCAGGCACTCCCCCTCTCTTCAGGCACATTTCCTTCCAGCTGCTCACTCTCTTCTGCTGTTACAGGAAAGCGGTCCCCATCCAGACCCCAAGTGAAGGTTCTTGGATCGCAGTTGCGCAAGAAAGGGTGAGTCCACAGTGCAAAGTAAAAGCAAATTTACTAAGAAAGTCAAGTGGTGAAAGGACAGCTACTCCACAGACAGAGGAGGACATTCCCGAAAGTAAGAGGAGGAACGCGTCCACCCTAGGTACAATGCTTGTATATATGGGCAGATGTGCTCTGCTACGAGGGTTTGTGATAAAGGATTAGTTTTCTTAATTACTGTATTTTACAAGAATCGATATTATTATCTTTAAAGTAAAATTAGGAATGCCTTTGTTCTCCAGATATCAGGATATCTGGACACTCCCAAGTCTGGGTCTGTTTAGTAAACATTATTAATTTGTTCCTTAACCATAAACATCTAGAGGCTCAGAATGCCTGACTTTCTGGGAACGCAGCCCAGCAGGTCTCGGCCTCATTTTCCAGCCCTCACTCAAGATGGAGTCGCTCTGGTTCCAACGCCTCTGACACTGAGACACTCCAGTACCCCCAGACCCTCCTCCTCCTCCCATCTCTCTCCCTTCACCCCTCCCTCCCTCCTCTCCTCTCTCCCTGCCTTCCTGCCCTTGCACTGCCAGGCTGGCATTGAGGAAGGTCGGCTTCCTTCCGCAGACAGCACATTTCAGCCAGCTCAGCTTCCTGAAGGCAACCCTCCTCCAAACCCTTTACAATTTATTTATCTAATTAAAAATCTCTCAGCAGCTCAACATGCTTGAAGAGTTCATATTTAACCAACACTCACGGCCACCCCAACCCATCCAGGCAGGGCAGGCCCTCCCAAGAGCCTTGCCCTCTCAGGCCCTGGGAGCTGGGCTGGGCAGAGCCTCCACTCAGCTCCCCAAGTCCACCTAGAGCAGGGGGGCCGGGCACCCCAGGCTCGCCCTGGCCCCCGCCAGCTGCGTTTCCGGCCAATGAACCTGCCGCTCAAAGCCTCCTTTTTAATTAACTCCATATCTCAGGCGGCCGGAGCACGTGGGCAAACTTCTGTCTGACTTCCCTGCGAAGCCCAAGCACACCCCAGTTTGCTTTCTAAGAATAGAAGCGGGAGATGGCGGGGAGGGAGGAGGCCGGAATCTAAAAATGAATGCGCAGCCCAGAGCGAAACAACCCAGGCCAGCAGAGGGGAAAGAACGCGGCGCACGCGTGCACACACACGCGCGCGCACACACACACGCACACACACGCAGAGCCCAGCCCAGTGGAGCTGTCTGCTGCCATCCTGGGTGTGAGCCGCGGACCTGGCAGCCTGCCCAGCTGTCTGGCAGGGATGGGGGTGGCGGTGGCGCTGCTCATCCCGGCAGCAGGCAGCTGGGGACGCCCATGGGAGTCTGGAATTTTTTTTTCTGGGCCGCTTGGTTTTCCCCAGTAGACAGAGGTGACTCACAGGCTGGCAGGCTAAGTGGCTCAGGGGATCATGAGAGCCCCGATGCTGCGGTGCAAAGTTCCAGGAATTCAGAAACCAAAATGCCTGGGGCAGGAGAAAGGGCAAGACTTAGCCCCCACCAGGAAGACCAGGGAGAAAAGGTAACTCCAGCTCCACTGTTGAGGGGACACTTTGGAAGAAATCGGGATGTCTACTTAGCTGCTAGTAATAATAACAATAAAAACAACACCACCACCAGCTGCCATTCATTGAGATTTTGCTCTGTCACGCTCCGTTCTAAACTCTATACTTGGAATATCTCGTGAGCCTCACAACAGCCATGCGTGGTACCACTACTCCTGCCCCCATTTCCCTGATGAGGAAACTGAGGCCGGGGAGTTTGCTGTGTGCCCAAGCTCACATACTCAGGAAGGGCTACGCCAGGATCTGAACCCAGGCGGGCCTCCTGCACCAGCAGCAGCACGTCCCTGAAAGCCAGCCCTGCCCGTGGGTGCCTATGCTTGCAGCTGTGGCACCCAGGAGTGGCCGGCACCCCGGGCAGACGTGCCGGTAGGAGTGAGGTTATGGTTCAGTATCAGGTAACAACGAACCAAACAGAGAGAAAGTTTTCCCCTCCCAATTGTCTTTCACCCTTCCTAATTATCTGTGAAGGAGAAAGTCTCAGTTGGGTGCCAACTTGTCCTCAACACTCCCTGAGCACTTGGATTCCTTTTTTGAACCAAGAGAGCAGGCTCACGCTCACGTAGACATGGGTAACACTATTTTACTTTCGCGGTGTTTATTTTTCCATCTAGTTTTGGAAAGTTACCCAGATTTCCTCTTAGGGTAGTGATACAGAGTTCACTTTTAAGACAAATTAAGTTTTGTAAGTTAGTCGAACATTTCAGAGGGAGAGAGATACTGAAATATTTGTGGATGCAAAGACATGATTTCTGGGGTATGCCTCAGAGTAATCTGCAGTGGAGGAGCGAGTGAAGACATGGAAGAAACAAGATCAGCCACGAGTGGACACTTTTTGAAGCGAAGTGATGGGTATATTACATATCATTTCAAATATTGTATCTTATATTGCAACATTTAATATGACATGTTATATATAATACATACATTATATATTATGAGTATATTGTATTAGATTAGATTACATTATATTATTCAGGCCACTTTTGTATGTATTTAAAATTTTCCATAATGAAAACATTTTTAATGCTATATAAAAACTTTGTTAACTTATCTTAAAGAAAAAAGCGAAGAAATAGTATGAGTGGCAGCCAGACATGGCAGAAAGTATGACGGTGAAGTGCAGACGACTGAGGTGTGCAGAAGGTTAACAGAGGACATGCTTCCAACATTTCCAAGTTCATGATTTCCTTTTTGGGAAGCAGGGGAAGGGGCAGGCCCTCTCTCCGGCCTCCCTCAAAGCTCTGCCCCTCTGGTCCCCGCCAACCCCTGGTGAGGAAGCCCCCTGGTGAGGTTGGGGGTCTGATGTCATCCTGGCAGACCTTGAGGGGAAGGGCAGAAAGGGAAGCATTGCCATTTTCTCTTTTCCTTTCAAGGATATAAAAGTGCACGATTGCCCAAATGATTCCCATCTGGAAATCTAATGTATTAGGAGTAAACAGTCCTGGCTGGGGTGGGGGTGGGGGAGAGGTCATTCACAGGCCACTCTGCTGGCCCCTCTGGGAGTACACAGACCTTCTGGTCCACCCAGAGCCCAGTACCAGGGAGGGTGAAACCCCTTGGTAGAACTAGAGCAGATCCCGAGGGGCTCTGGGCTTTAAGAGTTGGCCTGAGTGGTCTCGCCCAGCAGATCATGAGCCCATCAGGCAAAGGTAGGAGGAGCCCCCAAGTCCCCACCCAGCTTCAAATCTCTGCCCTTCCCAAAGGACAAGACAGCAGAATGGCTCCTTTCACATAGGTATTCATTTATTCGTACATTCATTCATTCAGTTATTTAATGATTATTAAGTGCCTACTGCATACCAGGGACAGTTCTAGGGGCTATAAATATGAAGAGATAATGATACTTCCCAGAGTCTTAACACTGAGAGGTCAGGATGGACAGTCACTGCCTCCATGTTCAAGTGGGAGATCCAAGACATCCCCAGAGGGGGCAGGCATTACAGAGTGAAAGCAAAGCCCTGTGAACACCAGCAGCTGACTTGTGCGTACGGGATGCCCTGTCCTTTGCCCGCACGACACCCTCCCCCTGCCCGCATCTCCTTTGGTCCCCGCAGCAGCCTGTGAGGTGGTGGTTGGCAGGTGCATTCCACATCCTGAGCTGGGGAGGGGGAACGTGCCCAGGTTCACCCGGCTGGCATGCACAGGGCAGCGATTCCAATCTGGCGACAGTGATGGACTTGCCAATTACCATGCATCAAGCACGCTGTCTCAGGGAGTCTGGAATGGCCCTGCCAGACCCACCTAATGATGCGCCCTTGGCAACTAAGGAAACTGAGGCGCAGAAAGAAATGAGTTCCAAACACAGTGGTGCAATCTATCCGGATCTGTGCTGTCTGACATGGCAATAGCAAGACACGAGTAGCTATTGAGCACCCAGAATCCAGCTATTCCAAAATGACCTGTTGCTGTCATTATAAAATATATGCTGGGATTCACAAGTTTGGTATTTTTTTAGAAAAGTAAAATATTTCATTGATAATTTCCTATTTGATTACATGTTGGAACTATAATATTTTGGATATATTATGTTAAACATAATTTTAAAGTTTAAATATATTATTAAGATGAATTTCGCCTGTCGCTTTTTACTTCTTTTTTTTTTTTTTTTTTTGGAGACAGGCTGGAGTGCAGTGGCGCAATCTCAGCTCACTGTGCAGCCTCTGCCTCCCAGGCTCAAGCCATCCTCCTACCTCAGTGTCCTGCATAGCTGGGACTACAAGCACACACCTGTACACTTGGCTAATTTTTTAATTTTTTGTAGAGACGAGGTCTCACTATATTGCCCAGACTGGTCTCGAACCCTTGGGCTCAAGTGATGCTCCCACCTTGGCCTTCCAAAATGCTGAGATTATAGGCATAAGCCACCATGCCTGGTCTCTTTTTACTTTTTTAAATGTGACTACTAAAAAATTTTAAGTTATATATGTGTCTAACTCCATTTTATAGAAGGGGAAACAGGACACAGAGAGGGATCGGCCTCGTGGGTGCAATCCATACAGTCATGCAGGGCCCCAGGCTCAGAAGGGCTCCACAATTGGTTGAAGGCTCTACTGTTATTACCTTGAAATTTTCAGTAACTTTTCAACAAAGGGCTGCACAGTTGCCTTTTGCACTGGTGCAGTGCACAGAGGGAGGCAAACTGACCACACTGACTAGGCGAAAGCGGGGTAGAGTCAGGTCTACACGCAGCAGCCAGACGTTAAGCCTCGGTGCCATCACTGCAGTCTGGGTTTTGCCACTGCGAGCAGTCACAGGTGGAGCTGTCGGGCACCAGAGCCCCTGCCCCCACCCCCTTCACCACATTCTTGGTGCCTGGATGACCATGGTCCTCTTTCTGGAAAGCCTGAAATGGGCTGTCCTTCAGAATGCACATGAACATTTCCTGGCCTTTCCATTTGACTTTCCCAAACTGGGTACAGCTCCTCCTCTGTTCCAGAAGTCTCCATCCAGCCTTCCAGTGGATTCCTGACTCATTCCTGGGGCAAAGAAAAGTAAAGAGGCCTAACTGGGAGCAGTTTATGATAGGTGGGGATATTATTAAGGTACTTAAGTGGTTATTAACACCTTTTATGAACCTCATTGTTTAAAAGCCTGCCATGCTTAATCATTTTAGCACCATAAAATCAGTATTAACAACAACTCCATTTAATAACACTCATAAAATGCAATGTCTTGGAAAATCTCGGCAGAATAGGTGAGCTCTCAGCTCCCATGCGAATGTGTGTCCTGAGCTTGGCAGGCCTCAAATTAAAAGAGGGTGCCTGTCCTAACCCAGGGCTCAGAATCTGCCCCCACTCAGCCTCTCACCTATTATCTAGAGCAGTTCTTGCCCTGTGACCTCTCTGGCAAATCACAATGAGCCCCAACTTGTAAGAATGCCCCTAAGAGATAGGAGGGGGGTGTTGAGAGGGCTTTTGATCCGAATTATGCTAAGCAAGTCACGTTTGATGTTTTTCATGCTTATCAAACAATAAAGACAAAAACAAATACGTGTTTGCCTTTCTCCCTCGTAGTCTGGAATCGAAGAGGTCTGGGTTCAAATCCCAGCTTTGCTACTCAAAAGCTGTGTGACCTTGGGCAAGTGACTTTGCCTCTCTGTGCCTTCATTTTCTCACTTGTGAAAAGGGGATCAGTCCTGTAAAATTGAGAGAATCTGTGCCTTCAGCATAGTGTCTGGAATCTAGTTCATGCTCAATAAGGTATATTACCTATTAAATTCCAGAGGTAGCATGATTAGCAGACTGGGGTGTATCCTTTCAGACGTTTGTTCACCTACAAGATACATCTGTGTGCATGTTTCTACGATTTTGTTGCCTTCCATCGTTGTTTACAAAACTGAAGCCACCCTATTGGCATTCCTGTCCCTCCCCTCTCCCCTTCTGGTCTTTTCCCACATAGCAGTCGGTCAAGGGGAACCTTCCACCTTGGTGTTTATTGATGCTGTCCAAGAGTCAGCAAAACTTTTCTGAAAAGGGTCAAAAGTAAATATTTTCGGCTTTGTGGGCAATATGGTCTCTATCGCAGTTATTCATCGCTGTCATTGTACCTTGAAAGCAGACTTAGACAATGTGTAAACACATGGGTGTGACTGGGTGCCAATAAAACTTTATGTATGAACTCAGGCTGTGGGCCGGACTTGGCCTGAGGACCGTCATTAGTCAGCCCTGCTCTAGCCCTGCCCTCATGGATAGCTCCTGGGTATCCACTGTGACTTGTGTTGTCAACTACTCAGTCCGCACTAAGTGGGCACTTAGGTTTTTTCCAAAGTTTGACTTTTCAAACAATGGTTGTCAATCTCTGATATGGTTTGGCTGTGTCCCCACCCAAATCTCATCTTGAATTGTAGCTTTTACAAGGCCCATGTGTTGTGGGAGGAACCTGGTGGGAGGTAATTGAATCATGGGGGTAGATCTTTCCTATGCTATTCTCGTGATAGTGAATAAGTCTCATGAGATCTGATGGTTTTATAAAGGGGAGTTTCCCTGCACAATCTCTCTTATCTTGTCTGCCACCGTGTGAGACCTGCCTTTCACCTTCCACCGTGATTGTGAGGCCTCCCCAGCCACGTGAAACTGGGAGTCCATTTAACCTCTTTCTTTCGTAAATTTCCCAGTCTCAGGTATGTGTTTATCAGCAGTGTGAAAACGGACTAATACTATCTCTTACTCAGATCTCTGGGCATTTGTGCCAGGGAGACACATTTCTCCCATGAAGCTTGCTAGGTAATGGGGGAGGTGCCCCTGAGAGTTTTCTAGTCGGGTTTTAAATGCACAAATCATAAGCATCTGCAAAGCAGCAGCTGGGAGGGACATCAAGGGATCAATTGCTGCTACTCTGTCATTTTTGGGACAAAGGCAGAAGCCATTCTAGAAACATGAACTCGCCTAGGCTATTGCCAGAGATGGTGAGGAGTGAGGAAATAGGAACCACGTTTCACGAGTGGAACCTCAGCCTTGGGCTGACAGACACAGGCCCCCTCCTGGAGCTCTCGCTCACATAACTCTTAACAGGCTCTGGCAATCCTACGAGGTAGGGACTGGCATCGTGTGCATTGTTAGATAAAGGCACAGAGGTTGTTAGATAAAGGGACAGAGAGGTGACATCAGAACACACTAGGTCATGGCCCTTGGGTCATATCTCCACAGGATTTATTTTACTTTATGTTTTAAGTGGTTACCAAAATTTAAACATGAGGATATTTCACACAAAAATCAGCATTTCAGCTTCTCTTGAATATTCAGAAGGCCAGTGAGCATGACTCACATGCCTCATGAAGGGCCCAGGCTCAGGCGTCTGACCACCTGCGTCAAAAGCACTACTCTACGCTTACCAGCCCCATGGACTTGGCAAACCACTTATCTCTCTGTGCCTCAGTTTCTCCTGCAATCAAGTGGGTTGCCAAGAGAACAACTTTCCTCCTTCCTCCAGTGGCCCCAGAACGGGTCTCCTTCCAGTTTCTCAAACTCACCAAGGTCTCGCCCACCCCCAGGGCCCTTGCACAAGCCAGAATGTTCCCCACACCCAGCTCCTCTCCAGAGGTAACTCCTCATTTTGTCTTCCTCATCTTAGCTCAGCAGTCAGGTTCTCAGGGAGGATCGTGCAGACCTGCCAATCCCTCCTGTTACTCTCTTGTCCAAATCCTTCCCAGTAGCAGCAGGGTCTGCAGTTATCACACACGTGTTTGCTGTTTATTGCCTATCTCCTCCCCCACCTCCCCTTTCCTTCACAGAATGCTCACTCAGCCACTCAACATCTCATCCTTCTGTGAGGAGGCAGAGCCGGAATTTGAATCCCGTCTCTCTGACCCCAGCGATTCTTTCCTCTCCATCATTTTCCCCCAGCATCGTGGTAGGGATGAAGGCTCTAGAGCTTCACCACTAGGCTTGGGTCCCAGCTCCACCTCCTCCAAGCCATGACACTGACCTCTCTGTGTTTCATCTTCTTCGTCTGTAAATGAGATGACAGTGCCTAACTCAGGGGCTTATATAAGGATGAGGTGAGTTAGCAAAGGGTTCTGAACAGTGCCTTGTGCAGGAAAAACACACAATTAGCCAACATTACATTATCCGTATTCTCCGCTTTCCAGCAGGTACCAAGGTCCCCAAGGCACCTTCCCAACTGGCTCTCTGGCTTCACCCAGGAGCCGGCTGGTGCCAGTCCTGAGCCCTGATCACTTTCCATCTCACTGGCTCCTCCCAGCAGCTCCAGGAATGACATCCAATTGTTATTCCCATTTTAGAGAGGAAGAGACTGAGGCACCAGGAGGTTAAGGAATGTGCCCCAGATGAAAACAGTTGTAAAAACAGAGGGGCAGGGCCCAGACTCACCCCCAAGCCCTTGGCTCCAGAACCCACCCTTAGAATCGTTGTGAAGACAGCCACCTGTGCACAACCTTTGAAGCAGCGATTCCACACTCAAGAATTGATCCCAAGGCGAGGATCAGGCAAGTACCCAGCGGGTAAGGTACAATGGAGCATTGTCCTCAGTAGCACTGTTTACACAGTCATGAAAATCCAGAAACAGCCTAAATGTCCATCCACAGGGGATTGCTCAAATAACGTGGGCTGTATTCAAACTCAAATGCTCTGTTGCCATGAAAGATGATGATAAATCTATATTCATTAGCATGGAAAGCTGTGATAGTTAAGTGGAAAAAAAGCAATCTACTAAACAGCATTCGTAGTGTGATTCTATTTTTGCTTCAATATAAATTTAAATATATATATATATACATATATATATATATATATATATATATATATATACACCCATGTGTGCAAATATGCATAGAAATGAGACTGGAAGAAAATGCATCAAAATGTTAAAAGTAGTGTTTCTGGGCAGTAACATTCTGGATTCTTTCCACTTTCTTTCTCCTTATACTTTTCTGTTTTCTCTATTTTTTGCCATGAGCATGTATTGCTTTTATAATTGGGGGCGGGTGGAGATGTAAAAAACAATTTAGCTATTTTCATTTTGAAAAATGTGCAACTTGCTTTCTGTACTTCAAGATAAATCATGGGCGCCTCTCTAGATCCACAGATAGAAACCAAACCCTTTTTTATTACTGCTGCACTATTTTCTGGAGCTTGGAGGTATTGATATTTACTCGACCATCTCCCCAGTAATGGAGCATCAAGTTGGCCAAGGTTAGATCAGAAAGGTTTCAGGGATGGTTCCCCCATTTATTGAGACAAGGGGGTGCTTTAGAGGTGAGTGGGGAGTGAGCAGGGAGAGAGAAGATAGGTGGGCAGTAAACCTGACCCAGTAGGAAGCTACTTAATGAGCGGCAGTCCTCACCCCAGGAATCTGGTGGGTTTTTTGTTGTTTTTGTTTGAGATGGAGTCTCGCTCAGTCGCCCAGGCTGGAGTGCAGTGGTGCAATCTCGGCTCACTGAAACCTCCACCTCCGAGGTTCAAGTGATTCTCCTGCCTCAGCCTCCCGAGTAGCTGGGGCTACAGGCGCACACCACCATGCCCAGCTCATTTTTTATATTTTTAGTAGAGACGGGGTTCCACCATATTGGCCAGGCTGGTCTTGAACTCCTGAGCTCATAATCTGCCTGCCTCGGCCTCCCAAAGTGCTGGGATTACAGGCGTGAGCCACCGCGCCCAGTCGGAGTCTGTGTTTTAACGAGCCCTCCAGCTGATTCCAAGGCACACTCAGGCTTAAGAACCACTGACTTCAATAACTGCTTGACTACTGTCTGTCTCTTCCATTACAACAGTTCTCTTACCCAGCTGCACATTCAGATCACTTGGTGTATTAGTTATACCCAAGACTTAGCAGCTTAAACCAATGAGCATTTGTTATCTCACAGCATCTGTGGGTCAGGAAATCAAAAGTGGCTCAGTTTGATGGAGCTGGCTCAGAGTCTCCCCTGACATTGCAGTCAAGATGGCAGCCAGGGCTGTGGCCATTGAAGACTTGACCACATGGAGGATCTGCTTCCCAGGGGACCCACTGTGTGGCTGTTGGCTGAAGGCCTCAGCTCCTCACTGGATGTTGGCAGCAGGCCTTAGGTCCTGCCATGGGCACGTTCCAAGCCTTCATTCCTTGCCTCTCCGTAGGCAACTTGAGCACTCTTGCAAGATGTCATCTGGTTCCCCCAGAGCAAGTGATCCAAGAGAGAGCAAGATAGAAGCCTCAGTGCCTTTTAGGACTTAAGTCTCAGAAGAGACACACCGTCACTTCCACCATATTCTACTCTTCAGAAGTGAGCATGAAGTCCATCTCACACTCCAAGGGGTGGCAGTGGGGGGAGTCAGCTTTACCTCTTAAAGGGAGGAGTATCAAAGAACCTATGGATTTATTTCAAGACCATCACTGTCGAGGTAGCCTGATAAATATCAACACCTCCAATTCCACTGTAACTCCCGTGGACCAGCAGCACCAGGGAGTTGCTCCGAGATGCAGAACCTCAGGCCCCACCCTAGACCTGCTGAATCTGCCTGTGATTTTGAGAAAGATGCCGCCGGTGGTTCACAAGCTTGCCAAAGTTGGAAAATGGCTACTCCAGACCAATGAAGGGCATCTATGAGGCAGGGCCTGGACCTTAGAACATCTCAGAGTTCCATAGGCCAATTCCACAGAGCAGCCACGCCAGACTTAGCCCTCGACACCCAGTGTTTACTGCTGTGTCCTTGTGCCGAGGGAGGGCCTGGCACACAGGAAGCGCTTGGCATGAAGTTACTTTGACTGCCCACCTTCACTGACACCAAAAATAAAACCAAGTTCGAAATGTGTTTATTTCTGTTGTTAAGAAAAATCACCCAGCACGTCATCCACCAGTGTTTCCACTTTGCATTGGCTTTGCCTGCCACTGGGGTCTAATGACAGCCATGAAACTCACTAATGGCTTGACCCTGGGCAGTTCCTGGGCACTGCCTGGGGCAGAGCTCGTGGGGCTCTTGTGTCTACTGAGTGCTCCCTGTCCCTGAGCTGAGCATTCTTCCTGAATAGCCGCAATCAACGAACCATCTTAGGAGATGGGCACTGTTACTCTCCAGCTTCCAGATGGGACAACAGAGATGCAGAGAGGCAAAACCTGCCCAAGTGAGGCAGAGAAGTATGGCTCAGAAGCCCAAACTCTTAAGGGGGCCTTGAAGGCTAACATCTGGTGTCCACTCAGAAAAGGAAATTATATCCCTGCTGTGAGTAACTGTGTGGGCAAAAGTGAAGTGGTGGGAAACAAAACTGTGTGGGACAGACTTTGAGGTGTCCCTAGGATCCCTAGCTCCTGGTGGCCATACTCATATAATCCCCACCCCTGGATTGTGGGTGGGATCTGTGGCTTGCTGCAAACCTCCACAACACGGCAAAGCTGATGGGTGTCACTCCCATGATGACGTCATGTCAGGAGACACTCCCCCCCATCCACCAGCACTCACTCTGGAATCTTACTCTCTTTACTAGCTTTGAAAAAGCAAACTACCATGAGTCCTCCAGCCATAAAGGAATAAATTCTGGCAACAGCCTGCAAGAGCTTAGAAGCTGATTCCTTTCCAATCCCACACCTTGATTTCAGATAAGACCACAGCCCCAGTCAATACCTTGATTTCAGCCTGGGGAGGGCCTGAAGCAGAGAGCTCAGCCACGCTGTGCCCAGATTCCTGGCCCACAGAGGCTGCAGAATAACCCATGTGTGTTGTTTTAAGCTGCTGAGTTTCTGGTAATCTGTTACAGGGCAGTAGATAACTAATACAAACTCATTAGTTTGTTCATCCAACTCAGCTCCACGTGATAGAAATGCACCAGATTTAGCAAATAAAAATACAGGATGCCCAGTTAAGTTTGTTTGTTAGTTAAACAGTGAATCATCAATCAACAGTATAAGTATGTCCCATGCAATAGTTGGCACATATTTATGCTAATAAATTATTCATTGTTTATTAGAAATTCAAATTTAACTTGGTGTCCTGTATTTTATCTGGCCACCCTATGTTAGACCTTATGGAAAAAATGTTCTCTGAGGTCAGAAGCCTGAGCATATCCCAACTTTCTGCTGAAAAGATCTTGGGCAGCAAACCCAGGGGGCTCCCTGGAAACAACTTTCCAGGGTCAAGTTGGTAAAGACAAAGCCAATTTCCAAGTACTTCTTTTGCAACCCCTAAGGTTCAGCACCATATCCCTGTCTCTAAATCGAAGCTTTCCTACATCTCAGGTCTCCTGGGCCAGAACGTACCCCAAATCCTCCAGGACTCCCAGCAGAGAACAGTGGAGGGCTGGACCCACTTCTCCTTGATGCTCTCCCATCTAATGGGAATAAGCCCACTCCTTTGGAAGAGCTTAGTCAAGGGCCTATGACTCTGCAGTTCTTGGCACCCCATTATAAAGGTAAGTAAGATACAGTCTTATCCCTTAAGGGGATTATGGCCCAGTAGGGGACAAGGAGGCAGAAGATAGGCAAAAAGGAAGGAAAAGAAGGAAGGAAGAAAGCACGGAGGGAGGGAAGGAAGGAAGAAAGCACGGAGGGAGGAAAGGAAGGAAGAAGGGAGGGAAGAAGAAAAGGGATTAGGCAGAAATGACGCCATCTGCTCAGCACCATGTTAAGGTGAAGTATGAGGGTTTGTGGGAGGAGCACACACACCTAGCCTGGAAGATGGGCAGAAGCTTCCTGGAAGAAGCGATGGGTAAACTGAAGCCTGCAGGATGAGAATGACTTAGCTAGGTTAGTTATGAGGCAATATTCCATGCAGCAGGGCAACACTAATAAAAGCTTAGAGAAGAGAAAGAGAGAAACAAGAGACAAAGGGACATTCCAGATGTCGTTCAGACATCTGTGCCAGACACCTGTTAAGTGCTGCCCACGTGGGTCAGTGTGGCCAGAGGGCTGAGAGCAAGGGCGTTTCGGCAGGATCTGAAATCACCCGGATGCCAGGACTCAGAGCCCATAGCCTGTGTGAAATTTGCTGGACAGGGCTTTGTTCCAAGAGCAGCAGGAAAACATTTTGTTGCATGCTTTGGTGCAGGTGAGAAGTGACCTGTGGTTCTGAACAGTTTAAGATGTAGAATGAATGGGAATGGACAACTAAAAATATTCCCTGGGAGGAGGGGAGAGGGGATCAGCGCAGGAGCTCAGGTTTCTGCCGCGAGCAAGCAACACCAGAGAGGGAGCTGCTGTGGGGAGGAAGACACTGCGTTCCAGGTGCCCACAGGACTTTCAAACAAATGTGGCCAGGAGAGAGTTGGAACTGTGGGTCCGGGACTCAAGGGTGGGTTTGGGCTGGAGAACAGTTTGGGGGAGTCATCAACCCACAGACATGTCAAGGCTACTGGACCTCTTGCCTACCATCATCCCTTTCCCTTCCAGTAGGAGCACCTGGATTTTCTTCTCACCCCACCCCCATCAGCATGCTCAGTCCGTGTGGTCCAGGTGGGTTTGACGGTTTATCTTGCTTTGGGGGTGGACTGTGACCTAAGCTTGGCTCCATCCCCACAGCCACATTGATTGGTTCTGGGATGAGCATGTGACACAAGCCAGGCCAATGAGCACCAGCCGTGGTATTTTTGCTGTAATTATTACAAAGAAAAAGGCTTTGTGTGTGTGTCCCTAAGGAGAGGGTGTAGTGAGTGTGTGTGTGTGTCAATAAGATGGGCTTATTTGTTTACTGCAGGAGGACAGAGCCTCACATGGCCTTGGCTAACACAGCTCTCCCACCTCCTCTCATGGTGTTCTCAGAACCTGACCTGTGGTTCTGAACAGTTTCAGAAGTAGA
This sequence comes from Homo sapiens, assembly GCF_000001405.40. Taxonomy (NCBI): domain Eukaryota; kingdom Metazoa; phylum Chordata; class Mammalia; order Primates; family Hominidae; genus Homo; species Homo sapiens. The sequence goes on along the minus strand of NC_000020.11, from coordinate 57,736,276 downwards.
ATGAATGAGAATAGACAACCAAAAATATTCCCTGGGAGGAGGGGAGAGGGGATCAGTGCTGGTGCCCTGGCTCACTGTAGAATATGCCACAAATCCAATGTCCTGAGATTAGAAGGAGCTGTCCAGAACAGCCCAGGCTGTATATATCCTCATTCCTCATAGATCAGGGTGTCCCTCGATGCTGGAACTCAGCAATCGCAGTGTCACCCAGGGTGTGAAACCTGAGGCAGGGTGCTTTCAGGGTCCCTAGGCTGTAGTCCAAGGTGGAGCATGCACAGATGAAACGCCTTCCGCCTTGGGCAGCTTTCCTGAGCCATGAGCAGCTGGCTTGCTAGGTCCTAGGTTTCTGCCTGTTCTTGCTGCCTATCTGTGAGTGATGTCTGCTCTGCCTGACTTCTTGTGTGAGTGTTCCGTCTCACCAGGCTCAACCTTGTGGTAAAGAACCTTTGCATTTATTTTCTGCTGCTCAAGAATACCAGCTCTTTGAGGAAAAGGACTTTGGTTGTTTCATTCCGTGCCTATCGCCAGCTTCCAAAACACTGCTCAGCACACAGTAGGTGCTCACCATTTGTTGGATAAATAAATAAACAATGAGATCAGGCTGTGAAACCAGGGGAATCTAGGCTGGGATTCTGCCCCACCCTCCTTCCAGCCACGTGACCTTGGATGACCAAGTGATATGGTTTGCTGTGTCCCCACCCAAATCTCATCTAGAATTGTAGCTCTCATAATTCCCACGTGTTGTGGGAAGGACCCGGCAGGAGATAACTGGATCATGTGGACGGTTTCCCCCATACTGTTCTCGTGGTAGTGAAGAAGTCTTACGAGATCTGATGGTTTTATAAGGGGAAACCCCTTTTGCTTGGCTCATTTTCTCTCTTGACACCACCACGTAAGGAGTGCCTTTCGCCTTCCACCATGATTGTGAGGCCTCCCCAGCCACGTGGCCCTGTGAGTCCATTAAACCTCTTTTTCTTTATAAATTACCCAGTCTCGGGAATGTCTTTATCGGCAGTGTGAAAACGGACTCATCCCCCAAGTTAATGGTACTTCAACTTCGTGTTTGCATCTGACTATGGAACAATAGGGAGACCCACCCACAGGCTATTCAGGTAACACAGGAGCCTGAGAGGGAGGGGAGGAGATCTGGTGTTCGGTTGAGTGGGAGGGGGTTGGGGGCCCCCAGCCCAGAGCAGGCCTCCTTGTCTGATGAAAAGCTACCTTCCTGCAGGACTGCCGGGGAGGAGGAGAAGCACACTGGGCTTTAGCTGGGACCTTGAAAAGTCCATTTTAGGAGTGTGTCAGGTGGCTCCTTAAGAGGCCCGCGCTCACCATGGGGCAGACCCAGGGGGACTTCCCTCAGTGGAGCTTTCATTATGCGTAAGTCAAGCACAGACCCTGTTCTGAAGTGGACACATCCCAAAGGCATGACTGTCTGGGCTCAAAGGGATGAGGTTGCCTTTGCTGTGAACAGAAGAACAGCTACAAGGAGACAAAGCCCTGCCCACAAGGCGGCCCAAGACCCTCGAGCCCTCTGGAGCCCACCTGCCTGGGCATGAATCCTGATTTTGCCACTTAAAAGCTGTGTGACCTCAAACAAGTCACTTCACCTGTTTATGCTGTGGTTTCTTCACCTGCAAATTCATGCCTGTTACTGGCACTCACAGCAGAGGGTTGCTGTTAGAGTTGACCCAGGAAGCATGAGTAGAGTGCTCAGCACTACGGAAGGCCCTAGGCAGGCAACAAATGTGGACCTTCCATGAGTCACGAAACGCCTAGGAACCAGAGCCACAGCGGGGAACCAAACAGCCAAGGCCCCTGCTCCAGGGACCAACGGGGGCAGGGAGGAGTAGGATGGGGATGCAGAAATGTTCGAACAGGTAAGTGAACAAGGTCATACTGGATAATGCAGTGGCAGACAAGTGGAAAACATGAACAGAGGGAGACCAGGTGTGCAAAAGCCAGGGCCATCTGCCAAAGCTGAAGGGGAAGAAGGCTTATTCCTTGAGATGGGGCAGCGGGGAGGCCAGTGTATCCAGAGAAGGATGACAGGGCGGTGGGCAGAGAGGCAGCGGCTCCCCCATGTCCACGTCCTAATCTGCGGAACCTGTGAATATGCAACTTTACAAGGCAAAGGGACCAGGCAGATATAATGAAGTGAAGGACCTGGAGGTAGGAAATTATCCTGGAGTAGCCAGGGCCCCAGTGCAAGCGCAGGGGTCCTTATAAGGGAGCTGAAGGAGAGCCACAGTGAGAGAGGAGATTGGAGGATGGAAGCCACAGAGGAAGGGGCCTGCAGCTGAGGAATGCAGGTGACCTCTAGAACCTGAAAAAGGGCAAGGACACAGATTATCTCCTAGAGCCCCTCAAAGGGATGGGTCCTGCTGCCTGTTGTAGACATCTGAGCTCCTGAACTTAGGATAATGTGTGCTGCTTTAAGCCATGGAGTTCATGGCAATCTGTCACAGCAGCCAGAAGAAACTCATGCGGGCAGTCAGGGGTGGGACGAGGCAGGGCCTGATGGGCTTCAGGCCCATGAGAAGACAGGGCAACAACATAACCCAAATTGCCATTTTGAACGCTCACTCTGGCTTCCATGTGGAGAGTGGATTGGGGAGGGGTAAACAGGGACCTGTTCAAAGGCTGTTGAAGTCACCCGGGTGCAAATGGCAGCTTCTGGGGCTAGGATGGTGGTGGACAGCTGGAGAGCAAATGGTCTTACAAAGAATTTAAGAGGAAGAATATCTAGTAAAGCTGACCCTATGCATACCCTAGGACCTGGCACTCCCACTCCTGGGCACAGCCCAACAGAAATGAAAACACAGGCACAAAAGCTATGGCAGCAATGTCCGCAGGTGCATTATCTGAAATGGCCAACTACTGGAAACAGCCCAAATGTCCCGCAACAGGGGACCGGAGAAACAAACTGTGGTGTATTCACACGGTGGAATATTACTCGGCTGTAAAAAGGAACACACTACTGGTATACATAACACAGAGAATGAATCTCACAGTCATAACGTAGAGTGGAGGAAGCCAGGCACAAAAGAATAATGTATTGTGTGATCCATTCAGATGAAGTTCAAGAACCCTCAGTGTGATCTATGTGTCAGAACACAGAGGGGAATGGAAGGCAGGGACAAGGAGGGGCTCAGGGGGGATTCTGGGGTCTGGCCATGTCTTGTTTCTTAATCTGGGTGCTATAGTTACATGGATGAGGGTGTGTACTTCATGAAAATGCACTCATCTGGTCACATATCATTTTTTTCAGTACATATAATTTAATACATTCGTATCATTAGTCAAGATTAAATCAGTCTGCTTACAATATCCATCACCTTAAATATTTGTCTTTTTTCATGCTAGAAACATTCAAATTATTCTCTTCTAGCTATTTTGAAATATACAATAGAGTATTGTGAACTCCAGTCCCCTTCTGATCCATCAAACACTAGATCTTATTTTTCTGTCAAACTATCATGAATGTTTTATGCACTTTGCTGTATGCATGTTATGCTTCAATGCATAATTGCATTGTAAAAAAGAGGTAGATTTATCAACAAGTGAATGGATAAACAAACCGGGGTATATCCATGCCACAGACTACTACTCAGAAATAAAAAGCTATGAACTGCTGATACACTCAACAACGTGCACACATCTCAAAATAATTATGTGAAGGAAAGAAGCCAGACCCAAAAAAGTACATACTGTATGATTCCATTTATATATAAAACTCGAGGAAATACAAAGTCATTTATAGTGACTGAGAAGATCAGTGGTTGCTTGGGGGAGAGGGGGCGGGAGAGAGAGCTCACCAGGAGTGACAGAGATATTCAGCATGTGGATGGTGTTGAGGGTTCACAGTGCATACATAGATCAAAAGTTACCAAATGGTACAGTTGATTGTACGCCAAAGATGCCTCAATAGAGCTATTTTTAAAAAGAAGTAGAGCTCCAGGATTTGCCAATGGATGAGATGTGGGGGGTGTGGGGAAGGAGGGAGGCATCAGAGGGACCCAGGAACCAGGCAGCTCGTGGAAGGCAGGGCCTGGATCTGTGTTTTAGCACCACTGTTCCCAGTTCTAAGCACAGAACTAGGCACAAGGAATTCTGTGCAGTAGATGCTGGTTCCCTGATATGGTTTGGCTCTGTGTCCCCACCCAAATCCCATGTTGAATTGTGATCCAGTGTTGGAGTGAGTGTTGGAGGCAGGACCTGGTGGGAGGTGACTGGATCATGGGGATGCCTTTCCCCTTTGCTGTTCTCATGATAGTGAGTTCTCACAAGATCTGGTTGTTTGAAAGTCTGTGGCACTGCCCCCTTCACACCCGTGCTCTCTCTCCTGCTGCCATGTGAAAATGGTGCCTGCTTCCCCTTCACCCTTCCACCGTGATTGTAAGTTTCCTGAGGCCTCCCCAACTATGCATCCTGTACAGCCTGCAGAACTGTAAGCCAATTAAATCTCTTTTCTTCATAAATTACCCAGTCTCAGGTAGTTCTTTATAGCAATGCAAGAACGGACTAATACACTCCCCATGAGAAATGGTTTCTTTCTAAACTTGTACTTGGATTGCAGGGCCTGTCCTCTGCTGCCCATTCTTAGGGTGGTGTCTGTGTTTCCTTGGTCAAGTCACCCAAGGGAGATCCAGGACAAAGAGCAGAAGAAAGTAGGGAGAAGAACAGGGAGGCTGAAAGAGGCCCAGGTGCATCATTGAGGCCCCAACAGCACGTCCTGGCCTTCGCTGAGCATGTCACATGCCTCCCAACCTGTCTCAGCTGTGTTAGAGCCTGGACACGCTGACAAGGTTGGAACTGATATCATACCCATTGTACAGGTGAGGAAACTGAGGCATTGTGGTGAAGAACCCAGGCTCTAGCCCAGTGGTTCCCAACTGGGAACAATGTTGCCCCCTAGTTAGGATTGGCAGATTTAGCAAATAAAATACAGGACATCCAGTTAAACTTGAATTTAAATAAACAATGAATTTTTTTTAGTATAAGTATGTCCCAAATATTGCATAGGACATTCTTATGCTATACTTATGTGTATATTTGGGACATACTTATACTAAAAAATAAAAAATAATTCCCTGCTTATCTGAAATTCAGATTTAACTGGGTGTCCTGTATTTTATCAGGCAACTCAAACCCCAGCAGACATGTGGTGATGCCTGGAGACATTTTTGATTGTCGCAACAGGGGGTGAGGGGTAAGGTATGGGGGATGGGGGGGACAGCCACTAGGACCTAGGAGGTAGAGGCCAGAGACACTGCTGCAGGTCTGATTTCGGACAGCCCCACGGGACAGTGTTCCCTGGCTCCAAATGCCAATAGTGCCAACGTTGAGAAGCCATGACCCAGAGCTAGACCTCAGGGCTTGACATTTGGGATGTGCCACTGAAGGGTGAGAAAGAGGCAGGAGGGGGAGGACTGGGCAGATCCTGCCTCACCCGCAAGCCCCGGGAGGCTCACCAAGGAGAGGAACAGTGAGCGGGTGCACACAGGAACAGGCACATGGTCCAATGCCCTGCACGCGTGTGCCTGACGCTTGCATTTGTCAAGAAAGTGTGTAAAACGATACACAGGCATCTAAAAATAATTAAATAAATAACTAGAGAGGCCCAAATTAGCCATCTGATGGTTTTAGCATGGAGATTTGGTACAGCTTGCTCCAAGCATCCTGGTTTCCTAGGATACGTTGGCCACGCATTAGCTGTCTCAGGCCAAAAATAAAAGATTTGTGAGAAAGAAGCCACAGGACGGTGCCGCTGCCACTGCTGCGGTGCTCATCACTTAAGAAACCAGACGCCCCAGCCTCCCAGGAGAGAGACGGCTTAGCTCTCTCTCTTCCTCCCGTTGGCAGGAGCGCACAGGGACTCAGAGAGTGGCCTCTGGAGCCTGACGGGTCTGACTTCAAACCCTGGCCTGGCAGTAACTAGGCAGCTGTGGGAATGTGATTTGCCCTCCTCAAGCCTCAGAAAAGTTCTTCAGCAAAAGGAAAGACACTCCCCCCATCGTAGGGTGGCACAGAGTTGTTGGGCACAGAGGAAGCATTCAATACCTGGGAGCTGCTTCTAACACCACCAAAATAGATGGGCATGACGGCCAGTGCTCAGCACATGGTACCAGGTGCCACGAAACATGTAGAGATGCTGCTGGCCCATAGAGGAGACGCAGCCCTGCATCTACACCCTCCTGAGCCCACCTGCCAGGAGCAGAGGGAGACAGAGAACCTGAGACAGCCCGTGCTCAGTTACCTGCCCACTCCCCCATGTTTGTTCCTGACTGGCCCCACAAGCCTGAGAGTCTGCAAGTTTGGGCTCAGGGATCTCTGGAAGGAGCCTGGCGCTGCTCTCCCCATGGTGCTCTAATGCCCTGTTCATGCTTGGGAGGTACTAACAACCAAAAAGAGGAGTCCTGATTAACAGCCAGCACTTAGGGAGTGTTCTCAGCCTGGGCTGCCCATTAGAATCTTCTGTCCCAACTGCACTCTTGACCAGTTAAGTCAGAATCTCTGAGGCTGAGGCCTGTGCATCGGGATTTTTAAAGCTCTCAGGTGATTCCAACGCACTGCCAAAGTTGAGACCAATTGGTCTAGATCAGGGGTTGGCAAACCTTTTCCTTTTTTATCGAGACAGGGACTTGCTCTGTTGCCCAGGCTGGAGTGCTGTGGTATAACCATAGCTCATTGCAGCCTCAAACTCTGAACTTAAGCAGTCTCCCACCTTAGCCTCCCAAGTAGTTGGGACTACAGGTGTGTACCACCACACCTGGCTAATTTATTTTATTTCATTTTTTGTAAAGATGGACTCTGGCTTTGTTGCCCAGGCTGGTCTTGAACTTCTGGCTTCAAGCGATCCTCCCATTTCGGCTTGCCAAAGCATTGAGATGACAGGTGTGAACCACTGTGCCCAGCCACAAACTTTTTCTTAAAGGGCTAGAGAGTAAGTATCTTAGGCTGGGTGGGCTGAAAAGTCTCTGTCACAACTAGTCACCTTTACCCTTGTAGCTCAAAAGCCACTATAGACAATATGTGAACAAATGAGCCTGTTTGCATTCCCCAAAATAATTTATTTATGGGCACAGAACTTTGAATTGCATACAGTTTTCATGTACCACAGAATATTATTCCTTTGCCTTTTTCCAACCATTTAAAAATGTAAAGGCCACTCGTAACTGGCAGGTACAAAGACAGGCACCAGGCTGGATGTGGCCCACAGGCTGTACTTTGCCACCCTTGAGAACCATATTCAATTTTTGACTCAAGTTATGTTAATTAAGCATCTGCTATGCACCAGGCATAGTGCATAGTGCTGTGTATCCTGGGGATACAGCTGGAAGCATATCAAAATCTCTTGACTTACAAAGCATGCGCGTGCACTGTTGGGACTGTATTATTTCACCTCTCAACACCAGCAATTCTGTTATTTGCCTTTCCCGGAAGTGCCTGGCAGCTGCCAACCTAAGACTGAACCCAGAGGAGAACTTGGATTCTAGAAATTGCTGTCTGAAGTTCCCCTCACCTTCCAGGACGGTCCCGTCTCTCCCCACTGACTGTTTGCCCAACCCTGTGTGCAGGTGCTGGGGAGGGACTCACAGGGACTGGGGGTTTGCCTCCTTCCTACAAGGGACAGCAAGCAGAGCTGAGTGGCTGCCTGGTGCCTTGCACTGCTCCGAGGGCTTTAATCCATGACAGCATTTGTATGTTTCCACCCATTTTACAGAGGAGCTAACTGAGCCCAGAGAGATGAAGTGATTTGCCCAAGGACCTCCGCTAAGTGGTCCTGGCTTTCAGGAAACCAGACCTACTGAGGCAGCTGAGATGATCAAGTTTCAAGAGTGAAGCTGTGGTCAGACCCAAGGATCCTCCAAGCAACCTTCCCCAACAACTGACCTTGGCTGGACTTGCCTCTTCCACCTTTGCAAGCCACTGGATCACTTCCCCCAGCCTGGAGGTATTTTCCCTGGTGCCAATCCCAGTGTTCCCTTATATTCCTACTTACTTTCAGCATTGGGACATTCCACTGACAAACTGTGAGTGTACATCAACATTTTCTTTAGTTTTTGTCGTTGTTACCAGAAATCAAAGTCCTCTGCTTCTTCATTTATCACTGTAGTCTTCCACCCCACAGGCATTTTTTTCCCCCACAAACATGCTTGCCTCTCCCTTCTCTTCTCTGGGTTGATTTATGACATTTCTAAGCCTGCCCTCAGGCATGGGGGACCCTGGGTTTGCATTAGGGCAAAACCTGCATCTACTGTATGCCAGGAAATGGGATTGGAATCCTCACTTCATCCTGGTTTCTCAGTAATGTGCCAGGGCGGGTTCTTGTAATGCCTTGCTTTCCCGATGAGGCTAAGAAAGGTGAAATCCCCCACCTTTAGTTTATGGAGCTGATCAGGTGGCAGAGCTGTGCAATCACCCAGACCTGGGCTCACATTCCAGGTACCTGGATGCTGTGACCTTGAGAAGTGGCTCCCACATGTCCAGAATTCACCAACTGGCATGACTTTTCAGAAGGGGATGGCAAGAGACCACCATAGGTTAGTAATAATAACATTTTAAAGTTACTTTCTGCAATCAAAATAATTTCATAGGAGAATCTTTAACATCAACGTAACAGAAATAACACTTCTTTTTGCAAAAAGTTCACAACATCTTCCATGTGGCCTAATTTCGCAGCTGCCTGATGGAAACGTCATCCCAGACCAGAACTGGTCCTCAGCGCTGAGCAGGGCAGTCACCAGGCAAATTGGCTCCTTTGAATCTCAGTGCTCTCCTCTGCAAAACGCGATAAAATTAACGGCCACCTAGAGTTGTTCAGTGATTGAGTCAACAAATGTGCAAGTAACACTTCCCAAGCACCCGTGACGTGCTGGCTGTGGGAAGTTGCTGGGAGCGTGGAATGAAGTACATGAAGGTCTTTAACCAGGGCCCGGCTGCGGGCCAGGCTCATAAGCAGCTGCTCCCACGGCCAGGCTATTAGCGTCGCTGGGGTTGTTACTGTGGGCATTGCTAGTGTTGCTCCAGTCAATTCTCCTCCCACCCCAGGTGGTTCTTCCGGGAAACTCCCAAATCTGGGTTCTTCCATTAATGGAGAGGAGCTTCAGTTTCAAACTCCAACAGCCTGAATTAGAATCCTGACTTCACCAAGTGAGCAACTGACAGCTGGCTGAGGTGGCTCACGCCTGTAATCCCAGCACTTTGGGAGGCCGAGGCGGGCAGATCACTTGAGGTCAGGAATTCGATACCAGCCCGGCCAACATGGCAAAGCCCTGTCTCTACTAAAAATACAAAAATTAGTCGGATATGGTGGCACATGCCTATAGTCCCAGCTACTCAGTAGGCTGATGCACGAGAATCGCTTGAACCTGGGAGGCGGAGGCTGCAGTGAGCAGAGCTCATGCCACTGCACTCCAGCCTGGGCAACAGAGCCAGACACTGTCTCAAAAAAAATAAGAAAAAAGAAAAAAAAAGGGAGCAAGTGACCCTCTCTGGGCATCCACTTCCGTGTCTGTAAAAAGGGACAGTACTGAGACCTACCTCATAAGGTTCTCATGAGAACTGTGTGAAGTAATTTAGGTGAATGCCTGAGTAGTGCTCAGCGTGTAGGAGGAATGCAAGATGAACTCAGTATTTAGTATTATTTTGAGACAGGGTCTCACTTTGTCGCCCAGGCTGGAGTGTGGTAGTACAAACACAGCTCACTGCAGCCTCCACCTCCTGGGCTCAAGCAATCCTCCTGTCTCAGCCTCCCCAGTAGCTGGGACTACAGGCACATGCCAACATGCCTAGCTAATTGTTGTATTTCGTGTAGAGATGGAGTTTCACCATGTTGCCCAGGCTGGTTTCAAACTCCTGGGCTCAAACTCCCACCTCAGTCTCCGAAAGTGCTAGGATTACAGGCGGGAACCACCGTGCCTGGACTGAATTCCATATTATTGTGTTGTTGTTGCTGCTGCTGAGATATGCCAGCCCATCAGACTGCAGATCCCATTCTCTTTCCATTCTCTGTGGCAGTCTCCATGGATGCTGTCTGTCCTTCTCTCTCTCTCCTTCTGAAGTCCACTTGACCAAATGACTTCAAGACCCGCAGAACAGAGTAACAGCCTGTCCTTAGCCATGAGCACAGGGATGCTGGCTGGCCACATGGGCCGACGCAGTGCTGTTACTCCAGTGGCCAACTGAGACCTTCCCCGAAAGGAACCAGACCCTCCAGGAAGCAAAGGCAGCCCTGTCCACCCGCCCTTATGGTACCAAAAAAAGCCCTTATATATAAAACCAAGAAAGCAATTTGGCTGTTGGCTGCATCCTAAATGCTGAAACCTGGCTTCTGACGGCCGAGGCTGTTCCCTGCCGGAGAGGCACATACAGACCCCCTGACCTCAGACAGCTGTGTCCCGTCTCCCCACACTAGCTGCCTGGTCACTTTAAACCCTGGGATGCCACCAAAAGGGGCCGAAGCAAATGGCGCTATAAACCAATGGCGTAATGACCCACCCTGGCCAGAGACCACTGCACTGTGGGATGCGCCTCCTTGGAGGCCAGCTTCCCTCCTCCTTGTGGGGAGGTCTGCAGTCATCTGACAGTCAGTGTCTCCATGGAGCTTTCTCTGTGCTAGGCTGGAAGCTGGGGTTACACGTCAAACAAACCAGACAGATCCCTTTTGTCAAAGGGTTTACAGTTTCGTGAGGCTAAGACAATGAGACGGCTGCACAAGCTCAACCCAGGTTCTTACTGGTGACCCAAGGGAAAGAAATAGGGTGATGGGGTAGGACATAACGAGATGAGGGTAAGGCTTCCAGGAGGAGGTGACATTCAGGCTGAGCCCTGAATGACGAGACCATGCCAGGCAGGGGAACAGCAAAGGCAAAGGCCCTGGCGTGGGAAGCAGTGGCCAGGTGCAAGACGGCTGCTAGGGGCACCAAGCAAGAGAACAGGAGGAAATGAGGCTGGCCAGGGAGCAGGGCCGGTCAGCTAGCCTGAGTGCCCTGGGCCAGGGGTGTGGACTCAGTGGGGAGGCCTCCAAGGGCTGCAGCTGTCTCTGGAGGGCCGATACTTGGCCTGGTTCCCCTGGAGGCACGATGTTGAAAGGAGGCCTTGTCTGTCTCCCAGACTTGGCCCGAGCCAACGCTGATCTTCTTCTCAGTGGGAGAAAGGTGATCTTGTCCAGTGGTCACAGGTTTGGAATTTCAAATTGCTTTGTTGGGCTTTGGGTGAGGAGAAAGGGGTAAGATTTACAATTCAGTCCAGAGTGGGCATTTTTTGTTTCTGTCTGTTTTCCTGACAACTTTTGCTGTCAGAAGGATAAGCAAAGAGTCAGGGGGACCTCAGCGTCAGTTCTTGCACCAGAACACATGCTCCCTGAGGTCAGCGATTGTGTCTGCTTTGGTCATAACCAAATCATCAGGGACGGAACACTGAATGAATGAATGAATGAATGAATGAATGAATGAGTAAATGAGGTAAATGAGTGAGTGAATGAATAGTAGAATTCTGGGGGGCGCTGTGGCCATACTGGCATTGTTTAAAGAAAACTTACATAGTATTTCCTAGATTGCTGAAGCAATCAACGTGCATTGATTCAACAACTTTTCCGAGACAGGGAGCCCCAAGTGCTCGTTTCCATTGTAACGTGTGTCCGCATTTCAGAAACCAAAGAGGGTGACTCCTGCAAAAAGGGATGGTGCTGGGCCAGGCGCGCTGGCTCACGCCTGTAATCCCAGCACTTTGGGAGGCCAAGGAGGGCGGATCACGAGGTCAGGAGATCGAGACAATCTTGGCTAACAAGGTGAAACCCCGTCTCTACTAAAAATACAAAAAATTAGCCAGGCGCAGTGGCGGGCGCCTGTAGTCCCAGCTACTTGGGAGGCTGAGGCAGGAGAATGGCGTGAACCTGGGAGGCAGAGGTTGCAGTGAGCCGAGATCGCGCCACTGCACTCCAGCCTGGGTGACAGAGCAAGACTCCGTCTCAAAAAAAAGGGATGGTACTGGGTTGCACAGTGTCACCCAAATTTCATATCCACCTGGGACCTCAGATGTGACCATATTTGGAAAAAGGGTCTTTTCAAATGTCATGAGTTCGGATGGGTCATACTGGATTTGAGTGCACCCTAAATCCAGTGACTGGTGTCCCTGTGAGAAGCCCAAGTGAAGACACAGAGAGTCACACAGGGAGAGGAAGACCATGCACAGACAGAGGCAGAGATCTGCCTGCCGATCTCTGTGACGCGTCCACATGCCACACATCGCCAGAGGAGCCAGCAGCCACCAGGCCAGGAGAGAAATGCTGGAGATTCTCCCTGGAGCCCCTAGAGGGGCCAGCCCCACTGGCATCGTGATTCTGGACTTCTGGCCTCTTGGACTGCGACAGAATGAGCTGCTGTTGTTTTAAGTCCCCCCAAAGACAGAGACCAGGTATTTTTGGCTCACCTTTGCATTTCCCTCACCATTGCCCAAGTCAACGTGGTCTGAATGTGCCACTGAGGGCAGAGAGTGTTGAAATGGGCACAAAGCACCCTAGTCATCGGAAAGACCAATCTCCAAACCTTCTGCATGTGTTTCCTGGGCTGCTGTGACAAATTCCCAGAAACCGATGGCTTCAAGCAGCATTGATCCTCCCACAGTTCTAGGGGACGAAAGTTCAAAATCAGTTATTGCAGGACCAAAATTAAAGTGTCAGCAGGGCCAGGCTCCCTCCAGAGGCCCCACTGGGGTCCCACCTGCCTCTGCAGCTCCTGATGGCTGCCTGTGTGCCCATGTCCCTTGGCTCACAGCTGTATCACTCCAGTCTCTGCCTCCTCTGGGTCTCTGCCTCTAGTCTCTGCCTTCTCCCCCTGCCTGGTCTCTGCTTCCAGTCTCTGCCTCCCCCTACCCCGGTCTCTACCTCTCCCTCTCCATCCTGGTCTCTGTCTCTGCCTCCCTCTGCCTGCTCTCTGCCTCTACCCCGTCTCTGCTTCTGTCTTCCCATGGCCTTCTCCTCTGTGTGTGTTTAATCTCTCTGCACATGTTGAATCTCCCTCTGCCTCCCTCTCATTTTACAGATAAGGAAACTGAGGCTTGGAGGTCATAGCTTATCTGTAAAATGGTGTGATAACACCAACCTCCAAGGGTTGCTGAGGAGTTGACATGGAGCCGCTCCAGCTCCAAAGCCCCCAGCACAGCGCCTCCCTGTAGTGAGTGCACCACAGGGGCTGGGGTTGTTATTGTTGTGTTTCTGAGATGCATTTTTTTCATATTTTAATCTTTCAGGCAGGAGGCTGCAACCTACAATCACTGTGTAAATTTAACATGGCCAAACATCTGTTCTGCTCCCTCCTCTCCTCCCAAAAGTTGTTTTTAAATAGAGCATGTGACGCTGTGAAGAGCAGATACTTTCCTGTTCCACGCTTTTGTTGGGAGAGGACATGAGTGAAAACGCGATGACTGGGAGGGGCTTGTCTAAGAGGAAGCCCCGGCTTTCTCTGCAGTGGGGTCTGTCCTCTTCTGGGTGCTCGTCAGTCACTTAGATGAAGTCACAGAACCCATGCTGGTCAGATTTGCAAGTGTCTCCAAGGGTAAGGGGCACCTACCAAGTGCCAAGACCCGAATTTGCTGCTCCTCACTGACCACTGGCAAGAGCTTCTCAGCCTGTGGCCTTCACCCTCAGCCCCCTTAGGTCAGCTGCAAAATCCAAGGGTGACACTGATCAGAATGGCTACATTAATAAGAGCGGCAAACCGAGTGCTGGGGAGGATGTGGAACACCAGGAAGTCTCCGTCCACTGCGGGTGGCAATGAATGGGCGTCGGTACGACCACCTTGGAAGACTGATCAGGAATATCTATTATAGCTAAATACAAGCCCACCCTCTGCCAGCGTTCCCACTCCTGACAAAGGACCCCAGAGAAAGGAGAATAAGTGTGCAAGGAGCAAGCCAAGAGACAATGGTAAGAGTGTCCACAGCGGCCCCACCTGCAAGAGCCAACAGCTGGGAACAACCCATGCCCATGACAAGAGAAGGGACAAATCACGGTGTCTGCACACAAAGGAAAGCTGCAGAGCCATGAAAAAGAACAAAGCAGCATGCCTTTGTGCTTAGGGTGAACCTAGCACGCCTAACCGTGAGTGAAGAAGTCAGACCCAAAAGAATACATACCGCAGGATTCTGTTTACAGAACATCAAGCCTAGGTGCCTTGATTCATGCCTATAATCCCGGCACTTTGGAAGGACATGGTGGGAGCTTGAACCCAGGAGTTCAAGACCAGCCTGGGCAACATAGCAAGACCTCGTCTCTACAAAAAATTAAAAAATTAGTTGGGCGTGGTGGCACGCACCTGTAGTCCCAGCTACTTGAGAGGCTGGGGTGGGAGGATCACTTGAGCCCAGGGGAGATGGAGGCTGAAGTAAGCCATGATCACACCATTGCACTCCAGCCTGGGTGACAAAGTGAGACCCTGTCTCTAAAAATACAAAAATAAAAATAAAACAATAGAAAGTCAAGCATGAACTAAAGAAATCTACCGTCAAAGAAGTCAGAATCGTGGTTATCTCTTCTGCAGGGACGCAGGCGGGCAGTAACTAGAAATGAGGGGGGCAGTAACTAGAAATGAGGTGGGCAGTAACTGGAAACAAGGTGGGCGGTAACCGGAAACTTTCTGGAGTGACGGGAATGCTCTCAATCTTGATCCGGGAGGTGGTGATCCAGGTATATTCAACGTGAAAAGTCATCAAACAATCGACTTTGGATTTGTGTGCTTTGCTCTCAATATATGCGCCGTCAACAACAAAAAAGCACTACTCTGCCCAAGCATTCAACCTACATCAACGCACTTACCCCTGACCATAACCGGATGAAGAGGGAGCTGTTATCCCCATTTCGCAGAGGAGAAATCCTGAAATCTCCACGGCTCCCTGGAGGGTGGCAGGCTGGGTCCTGTGGGCCAGATTCCCACTGTGAGCTGCAGAGATAGAGGCCACACCTGCAGGTGGGCTTCCCTGGGTCCAGCCAGAACCTGTCCTTGCCCTGCTCAGCTCCGGAAAGACCCCATCTTGTGGTACTGGAGGATGCTGCCATACCATGGACCCCCAGTGAGAACAGAGCCAGCTTCAAGGGATGTAACGTGTAGCCACATGGGGCTCTGCCCTCAGAAGGGGCTCTGAGTTCTGCTGTCACCAACCTGAAGTTCTTGCTAATTTTTGAACATGGAGCCTGGCATTTTTAGTTTGCAATGGGCTCCACAAATGATGTAGGAGAGCTTGAATAGAACACCGTGATGTTTAGCATGGCCCTTAGTTACTGAAGGGCCGTTCTATGGAGAGAGAAGCATGTTTATGCTGCTAGGAAAACAAATTATGGAAGTTATAAAGCAGGCAGACCTCAGCCTGATGTATGGAAGGACTTCCTGCCAGTGACAATGGTTCTAAATGAGCTGCCTCCAAAGAAAGAGTGTTACTCTGTGCCAAGCGTTCAGCCTGCATCAACGCACTTACCCTTCACCATAACCGGATGAAGAAGGAGCTATTATCCCCATTTCGCAGAGGAGAAAAACTGAGACTCTGCAGATTTTATTAGCTTGCCCTGCGTCACTCATCTGGTTAGCAGTGATGCTGGGACTTGAAACCAAGTCTGACTTACTTGGAGTTGGCATCCACCACCAGAGTCCTCAGAGATTCAAGCTGCATGCTGCACATCTGGGGCCAGCGGAGAGGCTTGCAGCCTCGGAGCCGCTGGGCTTCAGAGCTCAAGGCGGTGATTTCGGGATTTCAAACACAGACAGGAGGCAAAGCAAAGAAAGCCAGGGCAGTCACTGTGTGCCAGCCACAGAGCCCCCCCCCCACCCCCCCCCCGCGGGCTGCTGGCATGGGGAGACCAGGGAACAAAGCTGCTCAGGGCATTCAGGAGCTGGTGGGACACATGAGTAAAGCTGACATCTGTGACACTAGGGAGGGGTGGGGACCGAGGCAATTCATGTTTAAAAAGTGTTTAAATACCATGCAGGCAAAACCAAAACCCCTCCTGCAGGCTGCACTCAGGTCACCATTAGTGGTAGCTGGTTTAGACTGACAGCCCCATGAGGGCAGGGAGGGTGTGTCATGCCCAGCACTGCCCCGCACTGCCCCCCACCAGCCCAGCACAGGGCCTGGCAAGCAGGTAGCCTGTTTACAGGACACGTGGCCCCAGTGGCTGTCTGTCTCACTGCCCCTCTTCCTGCCCAATGCCACCCCATAGGGCTGGGCCATGCCATAGGGGGCAGGACCCCAGCTCACCTGGCTCTGCCTCACCCACCTGATTCCTATCCCCTCCTCTCCCACTTCCCACTAGCACAGGCCTAACTTAGAACGTTCTTGGAAAAAAAAGGCTGAGTACTAGACAAGTATTGGGATAGCGCAGGGGTTAAGAACAAGGGCCCCAGGAGTAGACAGACCTGGATTTGAATCAAGCCCCACCACCTCCTAGCCACGCGACCTTAGAAAAGTTACCTCGCCTCTCTCTGCCTTGGTTTCCACATCAGCAAAATAGGAATAATAATGGTGACTAATCTGGTTTTTTTTTGTGAATATTGTTATATAAGACTTGTAATTTTGTTAATGTTAAATTGCATGTAATACACGTGAAATGCCCAGAACACCACTTTACACGTAATAGGCATTCCATCAGTGCTATCTGTTCTTCTTTGCTGTTGTTGCTGTTGGAGACAGGGTCTTGTTCTGTTGCCCGGGCTGGAGTGCAGTGGCACAATCATAGCTCACTGCAGCGTCAAACTCCTGGGCTCAAGCCATCCTCCTGCCTCAGCCTCCCAATTAACTGGGACTACTGGCATGCACCAAGACACCTGGCTAATATATTTCTGTCTTTCTTTTTCTTTTCTTTTTTTCTTTTTTTCTTTTTTTTTTTTAAGAGATGAGGTCCCACTACCATTGCCCAGGGGTCTCAAACTCCTGGGCTCAAGCAATAATCCTGCCTCAGACTCCCAAAGTGCTAAGATTACAGGTGTGAGCCACCGCGCACCTGGCCTGCTATTGTTCTTTATTGCATGAACAATTGCCATTTATCAAACACCTCCTATGTGTTAAGCTCTGTGCTGAGAACTAGTCTTTGCAATAATTATTCAAAAAGTACCTATTGAATATAAACTGGGGCAGACCTTCCTCAAAGCACATGGGTACCTCCCCGTGGAGCTCACACCCTTTTAGAGGAGATACAATAAAAGCCAGGATGGGGCAGAGCAGTGGGGAAGAAGGGGAGGTAATGTTGAACCACCTGCCCATGGTTACAGAGGCAGCAGGCCTGGGACTCCCGACGCTTCCCTCCTGCCTTATACCTGATCTAAGAAGGCCCTGCTGGGCACACAGTAGATGCTCAGCAAATGTTCTGTTGAAGGGCTGGAGCCTCACAAAACCCTACTGATGCAAACAGGCTCAGCGAGGCTGAGTGACTTGCCCAAGATCCTAAGAGGTGGTGGAGGAATCGCCTTTCACAAAAAAGAACAAGCGCTTCGGAGCCGCCGCCGCTGCAGCCCCGGCGGACCCAAAGCCTTTAAACACCGAGGCCCCGCGCCCCGCCCCGCAGCCACCACGTGGATTTAAAACCCACGCAGCCGCCGGGCTCCGGCCCCTCTCCCACCATTGGCCGAGGCCACCAGCACTTGTATCCAATAGATCGTGCTTCTCCCGGAATCCAAACTTGGGATTGGCCGGTTAGCTGTGTCATTTCGGGCTGCCCATGACGTCAGCCTGTCTGGCACCCCCGCCTCTTCGGTGTCTTGGCCGCTGTTAAAGGAGCCGCAGGAGGTAGGACTTGAGAGGTGCTTCAGAGGCACTATTAAGTAAAAATTTTTAAAAATTTTTCTAAATGAATGCTCATGGTAGAAAATAGAGCAAACAATATGAGAAATATATTGCATTTAATCCATTGCACAAAGCTGACCACTGTTAATATTTTGGCAAATATCATTTTAATCCTTTTTCTAATAATATTTTTGTAAAAAGTTGAGATCGGTTCTGCAGCCTATTTTTAAATTTAGTTTATATGGGACTTTATATCATCAGATAATTTTTGAAAACAAGGTTTTGAACAGTTTTATGATCACTGCCTTTTATTTACGCATCTTCTATTTGTTTTTAATTTCATTGCACTTTTGCTTTTACGAATGAAGATAGGATCAACGTTCTTCTCCTTAAAACTGTTCACTTCTCTGATTATTTCCTTAAGATATGTGGTAGACTTACCGGTTGCAGATACACATACTTTAAGGGACTAGTCCACATTGCAAATTGTTTTGCGTTCATTCATTCAGCAAATATTTATTGGGCGTGACCACATGCCAGTCACTGCTAGGGGCTGTGGACACGGAGAATAAGACAGATGTAGCCTGTGCTGCCTTCAAAGATGCAATGCCAGTTTCATTGCCTTTGAAGCCAGCTCTTGGACACCGATTCCCAAGCCCCAAACTGACGACAGATTCACCCGTCCGGAGGGCTCCATGTGCAGATGGGACAGGACCCTGTCTCCAACCCTGGCATGGAGATGTAGGTGAAGGGCACAGAGTGTTTTCCTGGGACTGTTGGGCACCGTCGTGCCCTGTTCCTCTGGGTTCCCACAGTGCCTTCCTGGCGTTCTAGATGGCCTTGCAGACGTCTCAGCATTTGTCCCTAGACCAGACACTGGGGAGACACAGGACACAGTCTAGCTGGGGAGAGACACTGAATGAAGCCACTCACAAATTCACACACACAAAATTATAATTTATAATTTGAGATAAGTTATCCAAAGGGAAGAAGAGGGATTTAGTAGGGTCTGTTTGTATTTTGTCCGGGACGGGGAGCCCCTGGGATGCACAATGCGCAGTGTTAATCAGTCTTCCCTCCTATCCATGGGGGTACGTTCTGAGACTCCCAGTGGATGCCTGAAACCTCACACAGCACCGAACCCTATATACTCTATTTTTTCATACACATGGATACTACAATAAGGTTTAATTTATAAATTAGGCCTAGTAACAGATTGACAACAACAGTTAACAATAAAATAGAACAATTATAACAATATAGTGTAATAAAAATTGTGTGGATGTGGTCCCTCCCCCTCTCTCTCTCTCACTCTCAAAATATCTTACTGTACTGTACCCACTATTTTTGGACCTCGGCTGACCATGGGTAACTGAAACCTTGGAAAGGGAAGCCATGCATGGGGTGGGTGGCGGGGGACTACTGTAATTAGCTTTTTCAAGAGCTTGCTCCAAGCCAGGCCCTGTGCTGAGTGCCCTGCATGAGTTACCCATGTAATCTTCCACTGGCCCTATGAGTGGATGGATACCTGTCAGATCTCCACTTTTAAGATGAAGAAACTAAGGTCCGGAGTAGTTCATTCACTTTCTTCAGCAAGGTCACACAGAAGTGGTAACATGTACTTGCCTGACCCCACGGTTTTCAGCATGCAGAATTCAGGTTTGGGGGAAATGGGCAGATGAGTGGGTAAGCCCATCAGAGGGGATACCGTGGAGGCAGAGCTGGCCTGCGCTAGTCACTGTGCAGCCCCACGGCTTGTTGCAGCACCTGGCACGAGGTGTGGAATTGTCTCTGTGCCAGGTGTGGTGCCTGGCATTAGCACTGCACAGAGCCTGGCAGACACGGTCATGTCCGAGTCCTCTGTGATCAGCATGGCCTTTGCTGTCACACCCAGACCACTCTACCTGCTTCCCCTCAAACCCAGCAGCAGAACACCAAGGGCCAGCCTCCCCTAAATCGCTCTGGTGTCATTGAGAAGCACAGTTTTATATTATTAATTACTCCTAATAACAGTACAATGTGTCATTCATGACAAGAGAGACGCAGAACACTTTTGGTTGGGTATTTCTGGTCCGTGAAATCAGCTTGAGTGACTCATAGTTCTTTCTGAAAGTGTTTCAGACATGAGTTAAACATCTGGAATCTTCCATTCCCCTCTCAAGCTCAACCTGTGGTAGAAAAGTCTGTGTATTAAGCTATTTAAGGTAACCAAAGACCCTGCAGGGCCTGGGCTGCTGTCAGGCACTGAATGGATCCTAGCTCAGCTCTGCCTTTCACTGGCACCTTGAATCTTCTCCAAGTCATGGCCCTCTCTGGGCCTCAGTTTACCCATCTGTCAGAAGACAAAATTGGCTCTAATGTTCCCTTCTGTCCTCTCCTTCTGCCCACCCTTGTCTCCCTGCCTGGCTTCCAAAGCCCTCTCTTCTCGGGAAGAATTCAGTTCCCTGCTGGAATTGAAAAATTGGACAGAAGAGAATGGGATGGCACCCCGGGATGGAGGTGGGGGTGTCATCTGTGGCCAATTTAGCCGAGCATCTTTGGATTGCTGTTGGAGAACTCAACCATCTGACATTTGTCCAGCAGCAAAGCTCCTGTATATTTGTACAGCAGCGAAGCTCCTGTATCAGCGCCTAAACACACACAACACAACCAAGAAAATGCGAGAACACATGCAGATGCACGCACAACACACACATACCCTCATAGCACAAATACTCACATGCGTACCCCAAACATATGTACAATACAACGTGCACCCTCAAACCCTCAACACAGACGACACACACCACACACACACAAATACCCCACAGCGTGAATATGCACATGTACGTCCTGCATATACATGCAACGCACACCCACAAGCTCACAGTGGAGACCACACATGCACAACACGTCTTTCTGGCTGAGACTTCTGGTTCTGGTTGATACCATGCAAACGCTCCTTGCTCTTCTTGGTAGGTGCTAGCCCAGGTGACTGGCTTCTGGATACTCAGCTGCAAGAGGATACTTGGAGGTGGAGAGGGTGAGTGAGCGGGAAGACTTGTTAGCCAGTCATGAAGGCAGCCAAAAATGGGATTTGGATGTGTTTGTGGGTAGGTGTCCCTCCTGCATTTAGTCCACAGAGGTTTGCCAAGCACCCACTGCAGGCCAGACCCCAAGCAAGGCATGCCAGACTGGCCTGCCCCCTGGAGCAGTGGAGGGGATGGTGAACTCACAGACACCGAGTCCAGGGGCCGCTGGGCCCTGTGCTGAGGCCTCCCCACACTGCCTCTCCCTCACTGTGAAATCCCGCTCCTCCCTGTTTAGTGGCAGAGGGGACGCAGGTTCAGTGAGCTGAAGCAGCCTGCCAAGGCTGCCCACGCCAGACCCAGAGCAGGTGCTGGAGTGGCCTCTCACCAACCCAGCCGCTCCAGCCTCACTCCGCTGCAGAGTCAGCTGCCCCTCATGGTCGGAGATGAGGTTTTATGAACAGACACCACCAGCGGTGAGGCAAATGGTGGATCCCCGGGGGCCTCCGTGGAGCTGAGGGGGACGGCGCCAACCGAGTCCAGTGGGACGGCCAGGGGGACGGCGCCAACCAAGTCCAGTGGGACGGCCAGGGGGACGGTGCCAACCGAGTCCAGTGGGACGGCCAGGGGCACAGTGCCAACCGAGTCCAGTGGGACGGCCAGGGAGGACCCAGTCAAAGGCAGTGAGGAGGGAGACAGGGTGCAGAAGGCATCATTTGCTGAGGCCAGCCCATGGGCTTTAGGGCCCAAGTACCTGATTCACATCCCAGCTCCACCTCATCCTTGGGTCCCTGAGCCTCAGTGTCCCCATCTGTCAAATGGGAATAATATCAGCTTGGACCTCAGAGGGTTGTCGTGGGGATCCAGTGAGCTCATTTCTGGCTCTCCGTAGGATCCCAATGCATATTTGTGGAATGACTAAGTGGAAGAATGTGAAGTGGTTAGAACAGGGCCTGGCATGGCACATGGGCAGTGCCCAATAAACATTGGCTCTTACTAGTGTTTAAAAGTAAAACAAGACAAAAAAAATGAAATCCAAAGTTGCTAACCTGTGAAAGTTGACAGCCCCAATTAACCCCAACCTGAGGAAGAAAATGACCCTGCTGGACGGTGTTTCCAAAGGTGCTAAGTTGGGAGGGGAGGTCATTAATCTGCCTAAGGTTTCCCAAGACTAATTCTGCAGAGGCAGCTCCGTCCAGGCAGGCCGGGGGTGGCAGGCAGACAGGGGCACGGCTGGCCCTGAGGAGGGCCTCTGCCTTGTCCCCTCAACCGGCTCCCCAAGCAGGACTTTTGTTGGCTCAGTCAGGCACTTTCCACAGTGGCCAGCCACCCTCGGCCAGCGGGCACAGTCAGAACACTGCCAGCCACCCTCAGCTGTGGCCAAAACCCACACTGACTTCCATGGGGTCCCAACTGGCTGCCAGTGTGGGCCTGGCATCTGAGCAGGACTGGTTACAGATTTGCAGGCCCCCGTGTTCAGAAACTGTTAACTATTAGGAATTTCACGATGTCAACAGTAGAAAAAATTAAACTAAAAAATAAATAAATAAAATAATACAATAAACCCCCGACCCTTCAGAGCATGGGGCCCTGGAGAGTGCAGGGGGGTCACACTCCCACGAAGCTGGCTCTGCACACAAGTCCAGCAGAGCACAGATGCGCGGCGCTGCTGGGAGCAAAGCCCCTTAACCTGCTGAAACAGGACGTTTCCTCTGGAAAATCCCCCCGGCCGCGGATTCAACCCATGGGCAGGGCGGATGGTGGCACACGCTGTCTGGAGTCCCAGAAAGGCCTGTCTCTGCAGTCACCCATTTCACAATCCATTTGCTTCACACACCCATTTCACAACCCCATGGCCACAGCCAGGCTGAGAAATGTGTCCCAAACTCCAAACCTGCTGGGACCATGAGAGTCTCCCAGTTCCTGATGCCCCCACTGGCCTGGCATCCCCTCTCTACTGTCCCCTACATGCCCAGCCCACATCTCCCCAGAGAGGAGGCCCAACCCTTTGGGCTCAAGTCGCCTCCAAACCCTCTCCTTTTATATTCTTCCCAGGTCTCGTCCCTCTCTGAAATTATCACCTGGACTCATCTTTTTACACATGTGATGTCAGCCTCACCTGTGAGCCTCAGTATGGCTGGGGCTGCACCTGTGGGTGGTTGGTAACTGCAGGTGGAATGAGATGCCACCTCCTCAGGGAGGGCTTCCTTGATCTCACCCCAACTCTGGCCTTTGGCCTGTTATCACCATGTCTGAAATGACCTCCTGACCTCATTGAGCTATGAGTTTGCATGTGTGTGTGTGTCTTTAGTCCCTTTGTCCCCCACAATGTCACACGAGGTCAGGGAGTTGGTTTTCTTCCCAGCCCTGTGCCCCATACCCAGCACAGAGCTTCACACTGAATAGGAGCAGAATGTTTGTTCAATGAGTGAACAAAACCTTTTTTTTTTTGCCTCTGACTTGTGGCATTCTTCCCAGGGACTCAGGCCTGCCCAATCGCGGTGCCCCCTCCCCACTCCCACTCCCAGCAGTGAGCCCTCCCTCCTCAGCCCATTAACACCTTGGCTCTGCCCATTTCTCCTGGGTAGAATCAGGGAGTTGTGACCTTCTCTGCCTGTGCCTGACAGTGGGCTCTGCCCTTCATGCCCAAAATGCCAGCATCACAGTCCCTGGCACATCTAGGGTTATCAGATTTCGCAAAGAAAAATACAAGCTATCCAGTTAAATTGAGATATACTTACACTAATCATTATTCATAGTTTATCTGAAATTCAAACTGAACTGGGTGTCCTGTATTTAATTCTCGCAGTCCTGGGCACACACGAAGCCTCCTATGAGTGCTGGCAGTCCAGCCTATGCTCCTTCCAAAGCAATTCTCCTTTCCTACTGCCCCGTCAGGGGCCCTGTCTGTGCTGGAATCATCATTGTCCTCAACTGCAAAATGGAAAATAAAATGATAGTGGTTCCTCCCTCCCGGGGTTGCCAAGATGATTAAATAACATAACAACTAAGATGTATCCGGCCCCTTCTCCTCTACTTGCAAGGCATCGATCCCTTCATTCCTCGCAATCACACCACGTGAAGGTGCCATGAAGCCACCCCATTTTGCAGAAGAGGAAACTGAGGTTGGAGAGGTGAAAGCACTCAGCCGAGGTCACACAGCTATGTCCCACTCATCTTTGGGTGACCCTCAGGTTCGGACCCTGAGGTCTGAACACTGCATTAAGCTCTCCAGACAGAATCAACTTCGGAACTAGCGCCAGAGACCACTAAGTCAATCCCAGGTGACACCATCAGCACTCAATAAATGGTAGCCACTGCCGGTGTCGCAGATGGATCAATGGGAGGTCAAGCGTTGTGGGTAGGTTTGGTTTCTTTAAGCCACTGAATTAACTGGTTATTTTTGCCTGCTGGCAGTGCAGCCTCCATTGTGTAAATGCCATCTCACTTCCAAGACAATCAACGTGTGACTTCTCCCAGCCAGACTAGCCAGGTCTCCCGAGACTTCCCGGAGGGCAGGGGCTGTGTCTGGAGTGGCTGAATTCCCCGGCTCAGGGTTGCAGCTCAGCCAGTTTGTTGATTGAATGAATGAAGAAATGGCTGAAAGCAGGGGTGGTAATGATGACCTCCTTCACCCTAGGAAGTGAATGGGACCCAGGTCATCTCCAGGCCCAGCCAGTATTTGCAGTGGCACCCCAAGGGATGCTGGGGGACCCCTTAGCTTTTCTCTTAAGTTGCAGCGGCCAAACTGCAGCAATATCTTCCCTGATAAAAGACACGCTGGTGGTATTGCCCCTTCCTCAAGGCAGGGGCTGAGGGCGCCCAGTTCACAGCAGGGTGCCATCTGGGGTAGACGCTGGGTATTGCCCCACTCCTGGGCCGGGGCCTGGGTCCTGACCTAGTGCTGGCTGTGGCTCCAAGAGTGAGCTTCTCCTCCCAAACAGAAGACGGTCAGTGCCTCTGAACCTCCCTCTGGGCTGGGCACGCTTGGACTCCTCCAAAGAGCTTGGACCAGCCTGAGCCACATCCCTGGGCTTGACTTCTCCAGAACAAGCCTCCTGGTCTTTCTGGGAGAGCTCTGGCAGCATCACTGTGCCTGTGCAGGGAGAGCGGGAACCCACTTCCTGCACCGGCTTTCTCTGAGTTCTTCAGGATGAATTCGCTCTGGTCTAGGTAAGTTCTACCCCGAGGCCACCTTCACTTCCCAAATTCCAGCTTTTCCTTCTCTATCCAAACTGTTACAAACACAGTAACAATAATTTTTAAAAGCTTTTTTTTTCTCTGAACACACTAAGTCCCTGCTAATTACTGAAACTCCAGGCATTACAGGAATATGTGGACACTTAAAGAATCAGGACTACGTGGGAGAGGGGGAGGCAGCTCCCCAGGGTCCTGGGTTGGCACACAGGCTCCACCACTGTGTGACTTTCAACAAGCGACTTCCTTGACCAGCTGCCCGCTCTGTAAAATGGGGAGAGTAATATTCGGCCACACTGAGTCGGTGTCAGGTTGAGTTAATATTTGGAGAGTTTCTGGCACAGGTAGGTGCTCCTTAAGTGCCTGTTAAATAAGTGAAGCTTTGAGAAAGTGTCTAAAAGGCGACACACTAAATTTTTAAGAGGCTGGAGGTGGGCCAGGGAGGGGAGGTCTCTTATGTAATATTTTAATATCTTTTTAAACCTGAAGAATGTGTTCTTGTAGCACTCCTGTAATTAAAACTTAATGAACTAAAAGTACACCCCTCCTGCTCATACCCCTTTTGAACTCCGCAGCCGCGCCCCCCAGCCGGAGGCCCCTTGGGCAGCAGACAATGGGTGTGGATTCGCCCCAGGTCCCGCCGGCTGGGGCGGCGACAATACACCAGTCCCCGACAGCTATTTACATGACAAGGGCTTCCGGGCGTGTCTACGCGAGTTCCCGTCTTTCCTGGTCGTCCTCCTTGGGTTCGGGTGAAAGCGCTTGGGGGTTCAGTGGGCCATGATCCCCGAGCTGCTGGAGAACTGAAGGCGGACAGTCTCCTGCGAAACCAGGCAATGGGTGATCCATCTTGGGGGCTTCCTCCCCCTTTCTCCAATTTCTCTTCCCTGAGCCCCCAGGGACCTTGTGCTCCTCAGAAGATAGGCTAGCCCCAAGAGCCTGGGTCAAGGACCCCAGGGACGGGGGCGAGGGGAGGGCGCACCAGCAACCCGCCCGGGTGCGGCTGGCACCGAGTTCGGCTCCCCGGCCCCGGGCGTGCGCCGGGCAGGCGTTCCAAGCTGACCGCCGTTGGGGAGAGGGCACAGCGCCCCTCCTCCGTTGCGCGGGTGCCGGGTCTACGTGGGCCGCCTAGCTCTGGCCCTTTAAGAGCCCGCCCCGTTTCCCGTCACCCCGCCCCCCGGCTCGGGGAGGGGGTGCGGGGGAACCTCGGCGGGGATTGGCGCAGCGCGCGCCCCCTCCCCGGCCCCCGCGCGGTGGGAACCGGCAGCCCCGTCTAGCGCTGACGTCAGACCGTCTGCCTGCCTCCGACCGCGGTCTCGGAGCGAAACCCGATCTCCTTGGACTTGAATGAGGAGGAGGAGGCGGCGGCGGCGGCGGCGGCGGAGGCGCTCGGCTGGGGAAAGCTAGCGGCAGAGGCTCAGCCCCGGCGGCAGCGCGCGCCCCGCTGCCAGCCCATTTTCCGGACGCCACCCGCGGGCACTGCCGACGCCCCCGGGGCTGCCGAGGGGAGGCCGGGGGGGCGCAGCGGAGCGCGGTCCCGCGCACTGAGCCCCGCGGCGCCCCGGGAACTTGGCGGCGACCCGAGCCCGGCGAGCCGGGGCGCGCCTCCCCCGCCGCGCGCCTCCTGCATGCGGGGCCCCAGCTCCGGGCGCCGGCCGGAGCCCCCCCCGGCCGCCCCCGAGCCCCCCGCGCCCCGCGCCGCGCCGCCGCGCCGTCCATGCACCGCTTGATGGGGGTCAACAGCACCGCCGCCGCCGCCGCCGGGCAGCCCAATGTCTCCTGCACGTGCAACTGCAAACGCTCTTTGTTCCAGAGCATGGAGATCAGTGAGTGACCCCACGCCCCCCTCCCCGGAGACTCCATCGGGCTCGGACCCTATGTCGGGGCACAGCTGCGAGCGGGGGTCCGGGCCCTGCGCGCCCCCTCGGACCGAACGCCCTGCGCCCGGGCAGCGCCCGCCGCGCCCCGGGCGCGCCCTCCCGGCTCGCGGCAGCTGGCGGCCGGCCCGGCTTTGTCCCGCGGCGCTGCGAGCCTGGCACGGCCCCCGCTGTCCGCGCCCCGCCCGCCCGGACTCGGACCCGGGGCTCAGCGGCGGCGCACGGCGCGGGAGGGTTGGGGCGGGCGGATCCGTGAAGTTTCCATTTTATTTCCCTGAGGGCAGTCGCGATGGAGCATTTAGGCCGGCTCTTTATCAACTTTGGGCGGGGGTGGAGGGGCGTGTGAGACACTGTCTGGTCTGCGAGGTGTCTGGGGCTCCGGGCGTGTGTCTGGAGTGTTCGCGGCGCTGTGTCTCGGGCTCTGAGTGGATGTCCGTGCGTCTGTGGAGTGTGCGTGGCTGCGTGGCTCTGTCTGGGTCTTCGGCGTCTCTCGGGGTGTCTGGGGGTCTGAGTCGCGGTCTTGCCCAAGAGTGCGTGTCACCGAGTCTTCCTGCCTCTCTCTGTGTGTCTTTCCCGTGTCCGGGCCGGGGTGCCTTTCTTGAGCGTGTCCATCTTTCTGGGGGTCTGGTCTGGTTGGGCCGGATCTGGGGACCGTGTGTGTCCAGGTGTCTGAATCCAGGGCTCAGCTCTGGCCCGTCTGGCCCAGCGTGGATCTTGAATGTGTGTGTGTCATTGTGCCAGTGTCTGTGTCCCCGACGCACCTATAAATAGCCTCTGTCTGGACAGCTTGGTTCAGTCTGGCTGAGACCATGGTTACAAAGGAGTCAAAGTTTGGGGCTGTTTGTGTTTGGGACTGCCTGGCCCTAAATAAGGGATCAGTGGACCAACGGTGGGGAGTGGGGTTTTGAACCTTGTCGCTAACGCAGCCGCCTGGGCACCCAAAAGTTCAGATAAGTAAGTCTCTACCTCCTGCACACACAGCCCACCTAGGTGGACATTTGGTTGAGTGGAGAATTGAACCACTACCTCCCGGGTTCTGGCTTCTAGCTTCTAGCCTACACCTTGTCCCCCAGCCCACCTTTTCGGGGACCTTTTGCTTCCCTGAGCTTTAGTTTCCCCATCCCCACCCTGAAGAAGCACGCCAGGTGAAGGGGCACACAGTCCTTCCCTGCTGGGGGCCAGGCTGCCCCTAGCTGGGGCCCGGAGCTGAGAAGCAGCCGCTGTGGAATGAAGGCAGTGTCTGGGCGGCTCATAAGCAAGTGTCCGCAGGCGGCTGCCAGTTTGTGGCCCCTGAGCCTATACAGTGAGCTTCAAGTGGTAAAAATAACCAGGCTGGCCGGGCTTTGGTGGTGGGTCCTTCCATCCATCCACCTCTCCACACTCCCTCCCAGCCTGGAATGGAAAGCTCTCCCCCTACCCCACCTTAGCTGGCCTGTGCCAGACTAGCGAGGTGCCAGGAGGACCTGCCCAGAGCCAGCGTTTGCGGAACCGACTTGCCTTCCCAGAGGCCCTTTGTGAACTCAGGAGGCTAATGAAATGCACGAGAATGTTATTAAAATACGTTCGCACACGTTTGGAGAGTCTTGCCTTAGATGGATTGCTGCTTCAGTGCCCTCCTTGCCTCACTTTTTGCCTTTCGCTCTGTAAAGCTGCCTTGAGGACCTCCTGCTCGAGGGGCACACATCCTTGTGTCACCCTTATTCCAAGGGCTGGGCACAGTGCATCATTTTGCTCTTGTCTCTCTTTATGGTTCAGGACTTAAAAAAAAAAAAAAAAAGCATTGTTCTTATTTCTGTCCTTTCTTAGGCTCATCAGTCCATGATGTTTTTGACCTGACATCAAGGCCTCTTGTTAAATGCCTTGCCGCCGCCCTCTGCACTTTGCCCCGCCGCCGCCAGCAGCCTTTGAGTGATTGGGACCCTTGGGGTTAATACCTGGAACCCTAGCCTGTTCCAGCTGGCCCCTGGGTGCCCCAGTTAGTCCTGTGTTCTGTGTATACACAGCCCCCTACTTATTGGAAGAAAGCTGCAAGGCACGGAGGGAACCAACCAGTCTTTAAAATGCAGGTATACTGTAACAGTTTGTTTTCATCAGATTTCCCCGAGAGACTAGGGTGAGGAAGTGGTAAGGCCTGGTGTCTCCTGGAGTTTCTTTACACCAAAAGATAGGAAGGAAGGAGGGAAGGAAAAAAGAAAGGAAAAAAGCTAGTATTTGGTTTTTCTTTTAACTAGTAGTGGCTGCTGTTTTTCATCTAGTACATGCTGGGAGTTGTTTGCAACGAGAACTTGATGGATGGTTTGGAGTTGGGCTTTGAGGCAGTGTCCAAGTGGCTCCTATCCTGTAAGATACCTTCTTTTGGCAGAAGGAAATTGACCTTGCTAGGTCCTTAAGCCATGATGGGCCTCACTGTCTTCATCTGAAGAATGAGGCCGTGATGGATGAAATCTAGAATTCTATAGTCTTTCAAGATAGGGCCTCTCCCCTGCTGAGCCTGGCTGGAGGTCTTCAGGCTGGACCGGGCTTCCCACCCACTGCTGGTTCCCCTGTGTGGTCTTCAGCTACCCCAAATTTCAGACCTGAGAGGAGCCTACGCAAGCTCGGGGTTCACATCCCTGACTTACAGATGAGGAAAGTCCACCGTGGAAAGTTTTGCCCGAGGTCCAAAACCCACACCAGCCCCAGGCCAGGGTGGTTTCTCTTGGACTGCACGCCCACACCTCTTGAATTTGGTACTTGGGCCCCAGAGCAGGTCCTCCTTGAAATTGGGGGCTGGGGGAAATTGTCAGAGCCCCTTTGTACGCCGGGAGCCACGTCTGCTCTCAGGATGCTGAATGGAGTGGGCTTGACTGTAACAGGACACTCCTGGGGCCCCATTTTTTCTGAGAGTCGAGGGATGAGGCTGCTGTCTGGTGGGAATTCAGTGTTCCCAAAACATACCCGTGGGAAAACCCTTTCTTTTAAAAAGCCAAGGGTCCTGGGATTAAAAGCAGGCAGCACGAGTGACAGCCTTGCAGATGTCAGCCTGGAGCTTGAAGCGGCTACTTTTGAGGAAAGGACTCCTGGCACCTGGTTTTCCTGGCAACCTCATCTACCTCATTTCAGTTCTGCTGCGTCTCAGAGATTACCCCCGGTCTTTCTCCTCTGGTTATTGCCTCAAACTTCTGGGGCCCAGATGGATGCTAAGTTCGCTCTCGGGAAAGACTGAACCTGGGGCCACCCGGTGTCTGCTCACGCGGGAGGCGTTTCCTGAGAGTTCTGGGAGGTGCCCCTGCCCTGGGCCCATCTCTGGTGGTATCTACGGTGGCAGCTGTCTTTTTAACATCACCCACTGGCCAGAGTCACCGAGCCTCTGATTCTTCTTCTCCAACCTTTTCCAAACAAATATGAGAAAATATCAGAAACTCACAGGACACCCAGGTTTCCCTGGGCTTGCCTGGCACATGCTGTTTGACACTTGCTTGAATCAAGTGAGGGTGTAGAGACAGTGCCTTGGCACTGTGACATTCTGAGCCCGGTAATTCTTTGTTGGGGGGCAGGAAAGGCCGTCCTGTGCTCTGTAAGGTGTTACCAGCACCCCTCTCCCACACCCACTAGATACCAGCACCCCTCTCCCAGGTTTGACAGCCAGAAATGTCTCCAGACATGGTCAAATGCCCCCTACTGAGACCACTGTTTAATCAGTTAGTGGTTTCTCCTAAGGGGCTTGAGGGCCAGAGGGCAGCATCTGCGTTGCCAGGAGACCCTTAATTCCCGTCAGACGTTCGTCCCTGTGAAGGCCTGTGGCCACTCCGCAGCCACTCATCCACTCAGCTTTTACTGAGTGCCTGTTGTGTGCCATGAAGGAAAGATAGGGGCTTCCTCTTGAGATGAAGTTTTCCCGTTTTCGTCTTGGATTTGCTTTTCTAAGGAGAGACCCTGGCGTTAGTGAAAGCTGATGTTTTGGATTGGGGTTAAAATACAGATGTCCAACACCAGCTGTTCTCCCCTGTGGACCCGCTAAACCCTGGGACTTTTCACCCACAGGTTTTCTGACTGTCTGGGTTTTAGGTTGTGGTGCAATAGGGGAGTTATTAAGGGAGTTGAGTTCTATGACCCGAATCTTAGGTCAGACAGTTGGCCTCAGCTTCCCAGGAGGTCTGGGTTAAGCCAGCTACACTGCCCAGTGTGACCCAGGGTCGAGGTGAGTTTAGCATTTGTCAAAGCACAAAATAACTAATTGTTCCTGTACAAACACACACGCGCCTGTGAGTGGGTGCTTGCATGCGCACACGTGCAGACACACACACGCGCACACACAGTCATACACAGGCACACACAGCTTCTACCCCATCTGTCTTTCCTGCCCTCTTCTCTTTGGGTTGGGAATGGTTAAAACTTCTGGGCATGTAAGAAGAAAAGGAGGAAGAGTGCACATTCTCCCCTGTAAGAGGTGCGAAGGTATGCACCCTCTCCATAAAAGAAGGAAGGTGGACCCCTGTGTGCCGCTGCCCAGGAGAAGGGAGGCCGTCGGGAGGTCTGTGGAGGCTGGAAGCGTCTACAGCAGAGTTGCCTCCCTCAGGAGCCCCAAGGAAGCCTCCATGCTGCAAGATGCACCCGCCACCAAATTGCCCCAGAGCCACGGGGTCAGGTGTGCCCACATGCCTGCCCCCACCATCTCCACTCCCATCGTGGCCCAGGGCCAGGGGGTTTAAACGTTTATAGTCCGGTCAATAGTTTAAAAGCCAGAAAATGTTTGGAGGAAGGTGCTGGTGGCAGGGTCCAAACCTGAGGATCGGTGTGGCCTTCTCTCTTCAGGTGTTAGCATCCAGAGACCAAGTTTGCAGGCACCTCGGTGTCTGGGATCCTGCCCAAAGAGAAGGAACTCTTACACGGTGAATTTCGGAGGCTGTGCTGCTGCCAGCCTCGGGTTCTGTACGGTGCACATGCTGAGAGAAGGAGATTGAAGCCGAGGGCCCATTTTTTGCTTTTTACAAAGTGTTGCGTAACGCACGCATGGTTGGGGCACGTGCGGGAGCTGTGCGGGAGACGGACCTACTCTTCATGCACCCTCTGGAGTGACAAGGATGGTACCATGCTGTGCCAGGGGCTCCCCGAGGCTGGGGGAGCATGGTTCAGGGAAGCAAACTCAGTTGTCTTTGGGGTGGGCTCCAGGGAACCAGGGGCAAGAGTCCAGTTTAAAGGCACTGTGGCCACTGCTCAGCCCACCATTGCCACATGGGCCCTGAGTGGCCAGATCTTTCCGTTCCAGGGCAGCCGAATGGTTAGATTTTGACATAAAACTCCTGGGTTTTAAGTGCTGGCAGTTCCTTTTGTCTCCCCTGTCACCAAGAAGCCCCACAGAACCTGCTGGCAGACCCCATCTGTCTCATCAAGTGACCTGCCCTGCTGTGGGTGGGTTAGGAGTGAGACCGAGGGCCAGAGGGATGGAGGCGTCAAAACTTGCTGGCCGTGTCCCCTTTGTGCCCCCCTTCACTGTCATCTGATGGGTCTGTAAAGTGGGGTGATAATAGTCCCTGTGCTGAGGGTGCAGAGAGATTCTGGCTGTGTGTGGCCTAGTGTCTGGAGCAGCTGTGTGTTCATAGAGGTGAGCGATGATGGTGGGGCGGATTGGACTCGATGGTCCATTCTGCCTGGTTCCCTAGCGGTCACTCTGTAACAGAGTGCCTAGTGATGAGAAGGCCTTCACCAGAAAAAGGTTGCCCATCCTCGGACTGGCTGGGAAGGTTGGAATCAACAGGCCCATCTGGGGCCCATGGCCTTGAACATGGAGGTAATTGACTATCTGTGTAATACTCCTTGTCCTTGCCAGGCCCACCGCAGACCTGGCTGGCAACGACCCCAGCATGCCCGTTGCTGGCCCAAGAGGCCCCAGACGGTCTCTTCGGGTCTGCCAGCAGGGTTCCCTTAATCCACTGCCAGGCTTGGTGGACAGAGGCTGGAAGAGGGGGTACAAGGCAAGGCACAAAACTGGGGCCGTGAGGTCAACACCGCCCTGACGTCCAGATGCCCCACTGGCTGCAGTTCCTAAGACAGCCTAACCTGGGAGCAGAAAGCCCAGAAGCTTCTGATGGTTTGGGGCTCCCCTTTGTGAGAATCAATTGAAATTTTTAACAGGTGATCATATGTGGGGGCAAACCATTAAAAGAAAGGCCCTGATGTCCCCCACCCCCATCAACAGGTGCAGCGGGGGAGGGCCGGGGAGGGGCCGGTCTTCAGTTTCACTTCT
This sequence comes from Homo sapiens, assembly GCF_000001405.40. Taxonomy (NCBI): domain Eukaryota; kingdom Metazoa; phylum Chordata; class Mammalia; order Primates; family Hominidae; genus Homo; species Homo sapiens. The sequence goes on along the minus strand of NC_000020.11, from coordinate 57,703,196 downwards.
GCTCCAAGCACTCCTTCCTGCCTTCTCCCCAGGGTGGGCTGCACCCCTCTGTGAAGCTGTGACAGTGCCGAGTACTGACAGTCAACCTCATTTTCCCGTTGGATGACACTACAAAGCCAAACCTTGACACCTCAGGGGTCTCGTCAGGGTCTTGTCAGGCAGGCACTGGCAGAACTGTTTGTCACCAAACCGGGAAAAATCCCAGAATGACTTACCAGCCAGGGCAGGGGCTTCAGCACCCTGGGGTGAGCCTGGAAGAGCTTGGGGCATCCCCAGACTATCCGAGAGCCACAGAATGGCTTCTCTTTTCTGTTCCTGGGTTACTGATGGATTTTTTTGCTTCTGCTCTTTTTCCTAGTTGAATGTGAAGAGATTATTATGTGCCAGGTATTAGTGACGCATTTTTCTCAGTGTTCAAAACAACCCTGAGAGAGCTATTGCACCAATCTGCGGATACAAAAATGGGATCAGAGAGTGTAAGATACTTGCTCGAGGTCACACAGCCAGGAACTGATGCTCCATTGGGATTCAAACGCAAGCTCCCTGACCTTGCAGTCCACACTCCCAGGCTTTCTTTTCCACTACACCGACCTCCTGAGCTCCAGGGCTTTCTTTGCAAGATTGGCCATTGCAGTGCTATTTTAGGCTCCCAAGACTGCAAGCCCATATTGGACCATTTGTTAGGGAAGAACACATACGAATTGGCCACCTCTCAGAGCAATTGGGTCCATTCTGCTCTGGCAAGACACCGGCTGACATTCATTGGAAATGTCTCCCCAAAACACACGTGCCTTGTCAGGCTGCATGAGGAGCTGGTGTCTCTGTCTCCAGCTCTCTGTGCATCTCTGACATACCAGCACCAACAGATGTCGTGGCGGGGGTTTGGGGAGTAGCTGGGGAATGTTCCCAGGGAATCAAATGTAGACTTGATAGGGGACATCACTAGACACAGCCTCCGCAGGGGCTCAGCGTTCAGCACCATCTGCCACACACCTCTGACCTCCGGTGCTGTTCCCAGGGCCGCAGAACGTCAGGGAACGACACAGACAAATTCCTGCCCTCTACGAGCTGCTGCCCTTGTAGGGAGACAGGTGAAAGAACACGAGTCATTTCAGAAGGGAAGCTGAGAGGCCACACTCAGAGGCACCTTCAGGGCCTCGCCTAGGGAGACCCCCAGCCTGGTGTCCTGTTTGGGGCCCAGGAGCACCCTGGCCTTCCTCCTGTCACACCTGTCATGGCAGTAATCGAATCTTTGTGTCATTAGCTGTGCCATGTCTGCTTTCCCTCCAGGCACCAAGCACCGAGGGGTTGTTGTTGGTTGTGTCCCTGAACCTGGTAGGAGTCTCATGTGCGTTGGATGAAGGGAGGAAGTGGGCAGGTGAACTTTCAAGAGATTCCAGATTCTTGTGGTCAAGATACAGGCTTTGAAGACCTTCATTCTGGGGGTGAGCGTGGTATCCTCCCGAGTCTCCAGTTGACCCTCTGTGAGGTGGAAGGAAGAATGACATCTGTTCTATGGGGTTGTCAGGACCGTTACCTGAAAAGCACCTCTGGTACAAAATGTGATTTTTAATGCTCCAAAGTTTCCACTATTGGGGGCAGGAAACTGTGCCCGAGTTTCATACCTGCCCTCTCTTCTAGAGCTAAGGGGCAGGTACAGAAGTCAATGCAGACCCACCTCCCCTGCACCCGCTCCAGTTGCCCTGGGTGGTCAAGGTTTCACAGTGATGGCTTTAGTCCTCCAAAGGCCATCAAATGGCAAAAACGCATTGCCAGAGCTTGCTGCAGGCCCCCAGAAGGAGAATTCCTAGGGTGATTCTTCTTGGCACACACTTGCTGCAGACTGGGAGTGTTTTGGGGTTATTGTCCTCACGGAGGAAGGTGGAGTTTGCTCAGAGGTGATGTTGAGATGCCATATGCTGGACCGAGCTAAGCAGCTATTGTGACTCAACTTCGGCGGTATCAGGTGGTGATCAGCTATTCCTAATGCTCCAGCACATTCTAATATGTACCTGTTGTTAATGGGAATGGGGGTAGGAAGAAAGGTGGCTTGGAATCAGTGCCTGCCATAAACTAATAAGGATGTCAGAAAGATTCGAACTATAGTCTGATTTTCTTCTCTTTTTTTTTTTGATGTCTTCTTTTTTCTTTTCTTTTCTTTTTTTTTGAAATGGAGTCTTGCTCTGTCACCCAGGCTGGAGTGCAGTGGTGCGATCTCAGCTCACTGCAACCTCTACCTCCCGGGTTCAAGTGATTCTCCTGCCTCAGTCTCCCAAGTAGCTGGGACTACAGGCATGAGTCATCACACCTGGCTAGTTTTTTTGTATTTTTAGTAGAGACAGGGTTTTGCCATGTTGGCCAGGCTGGTCTCAAACTCCTGACCTCCGGTGATCTGCCCGCCTCAGCCTCCCAAAGTGCTGAGATTACAGGTGTGAGCTACCATGCCCGGCTCCTTTTTTGATGTCTTTTAACTAAAATCATTTGTTATTGTTTCAGTGGGCTTGGGAAATGGCTCTACTGGCAGAAAAGAGAATTTTATTTAGTAACAAGTTGAAAATCCCCAGTGGCTCTGGGATCTGGATGGTGGATAAAGGTTGATTGTGACCTCCACGAACCAACTCTTCACCATCAGCAAGAAACACCTCGCAATCCTCCTTAGCAGTGGTGCTAGACTCCCCTTGGGCTGGACGGCCACAGCTAGAACCACCTAACAGCCATGCAGGTTCGAGATGCCACTTTGCCTTTTAAGTCTTAAGAAACTGTCCTATATCATTTGCCCCCACTATAGGCTTTTGGGGCTTCAGGGGAGGTGGCTGTGCCAAGTGCTTATTTGTGTTGATAAAAGTTGCACGATCTTGGCACCAAATAGATCAATAAACATTTTGACAGTTGGTGGAAGTGGAGTTATTGTGTACCTCAGTTTCCCTGTTCCCCCGAACATGTTCGGTAAAGCATGGGCCTGTGGAGGGGTCTGTCAGTGGCAGCTGTCAGCCTCTATTGTCATTGACAGGTTGTCATGGATTCCCAGTATGCAAGTCGCATCAGCATCAGGAGTGGAAGAGTCTCTGCTGGTCCTTAAGGTCTCCAGGAGGGGCCAGTTCCATCACTGGCTTTGGGAGCATGAAAGTGACAAATCCAGCCATGAATTTGCCTGAGTGTCAGTGGTTAAGAATACAAAAAGGTGTGTTTTTATATTTAGAGCCACGTATCTTCAAGTATATACAATATACATTTGTATTTTATGTATGATATATGTAAAACGCGGACTGTCGAAACATGTGCGTTCCAACCGCCGAGGCCGGGAGGCTTCTCTGAGGTCCCTTGTTGGAGTCCACCACGGACATCCCACCTCCCACAGGTGTGTCACAGGGTGAGCTCAGGTGAGCCTGACCTTCTCCCAGCTTTGCCCCGGGTTCCCCCAGGCAGGTGAAATCAGATTTTCCAGGCCATGTCCTCGGCAGCAAGAGAAGTAGGAAGCTGAATCGGTTTTTCAGAAATTTTGAGCAATGCAAACTGCTCTTTCCCCCAGGAGGTTTTCAGCACCAGTGGTCTCAGTTGCCTAGTTACCCCTCTGCTCATCTAGACCAAATCCCGAGAGACTGCCCTGCACCCCACACGCCTTGCTTGGCCTGTGGGGCAGTCCTGGCACCTGGTAGTTGCACAGGGAGAGAGACTGTGGCGGGGTCCTGGGGCTCTTTAACATAGCTCAGCCGCTTTCTAGATGTGGAGTCTTTGGTCAGCTCCTTACTCTCCCTGATCTTGGCTGACTGATTTATAAACTAGGATTTATAATTACTGCACGGAGGTGATTAAACAAATTGTCTTTTAAGCACCTATCACAGGGCTAATTCCTAGTAGATGCTCAATAAATGGCCACGAGAGTGTTGGTGCCGATGGTAAGTAGGGATTGGTGGTAAGCAGGATGGCTGCCCGAGAGTGTGAGCTGGGCGGAGCTCAGGTTGGCTCCTTCTTGCATCAAGCTGCCCACTAGGCTTGCACATCCTTGATGTGGGCAACACCCACAGACTGCACAAGCTGTCCCATAAGGTTCAGATGCCCAGACAACAAGATTCGGTTCGAGCCCTGTGGGGTGATGCATTCCAGAGACCACACTTCCTTTAGGGAGGCTCAGAATTTGCATGGGGCCACAGCAAACGCCTTTCTTCATTCCCCTGAGTTATACAGCAGGTAGCAGAGCTTCAATCTGAAACACCTCGTGGATGTCAGTTGAGAGATGGCGTGAGAGTTTGGTTGTGGTCAGTGATGTGCTTCAGACTCCCAGAGAAGGGAGACTCTCAATGTCCTCTTATGGCTGCTACATTTAAGGAATAAAAAATAAAAGTTAATACAGAGACTTGCCAAGTCTGTGTGTGTGTGTGTGCCTCTATATGTACGTGCTGACTTCTTAGGATTTCTGCAAGGTCCGGAACAGCTTTCCAGAAGAAGGTGGAAAGTGAAGCCGGGGAGCTTTGCACAGGTCTGGGAACCCTGCAGGAACTTGGTGCCCGCCGCGCCAGTTCCGCAGATTCCCCTCACCGGGCTGAGCTGATGTCTGTAGCTGGCCAGAGTTCTAATTGCCTTCCTAAAAACAATTTAGTTGGTAATAATTCTGTAAATGTCTGAATCAACTTTGCGCAAACACCCTGAGTAATTTCTTTGTTCTTTTCTTTCTACTTTGTAATTGGTGTCTGTAAAAGCCAAAGGTTTGGTCTTGCGGAAGGCATGATTCATTTATTGGTGTCTATGCCTCCTCGTTATTGAGTCATTTCAGATGCCATCACGGTGAGCCAGGGCTGATTCATATGGGGCTGAGCTTAGAAGCCAATAGGGTCACGGCCATAGGAGGAAGCTGGTTTTCTAATCTGTTTATGATATGGGAAAAAGAGGCGGGTGTATTGAGATGATGGAGAGGGTGTCAATTACATGGGTGAATATAACCAATGAAATAACACCAACCAGCCTTTAAACACCACTCCATTTGCTGCTGTTGATCGTTAGGATAGATCGCAGCTCAATGCACTCCTATCTCGGGTGTATCTCTCCCTGTGTTTATGGATCTTGATCTCTGAGCAGGCTGACACGGGAGGGATGCCCCCACCCCAGACCTGGAGAGACGTTTCAAGTCATAAGCCACAGATGCAGAGAATGTTGCCTCTTTAAAAAATGTATCAGCTGGACCTACCATGAAACAAATGTTTAAATGTTTAGGCTCACGTGTAAGGGAGCCTCTGCCCCATTCCCTACTCATTTCTCTAACAATGACAATTATTAGATGTTTGCGGTTGTTCGTTCTTTGCATTATTCTCCAAACTGTGTGAACTTACACATGGTGCCACTTATTTTGCCTAATTTTATTAGTTGCTTTGGCCCTAAATTGTCACTGTCCTCCCGTCTAGAGGGTAATCAGAGTTGTTTGCCACATGGCCCAGAGGTGTAATTATGAGTCCAAATTCCAACTGTCCGTATAAATCTAGGCTCTGCCTGCAAGGGGAATATTTCTTCCTGCAGTGCTTTCCTCTGGTTGGTTCCCCATCTGCATAGCTGCACTGCATCCTCCACTCTGCATCGGGGAACAAGGGTCTCTCTCAGGTCGTTTTCAATATCCAGCTCCTAGCTTAGGGCCAAGTGCAAAGCGTGTCATTGGTGTCTGTCTAGCTGCTGGTTGGATGGCTGTGAGAAAGTTCACTGGAGGAGAAATTTGCCAGTAACCCTGTAGAATCCAGCCAGTATTTATTGAGCTGCCTAGTGACTTCCAAAGTATAGATGAGGGATGTTGAGTGCATGGCATTCCATCCAGTGTCCCCTACTTGCTGCCCATAACAGACATTGCTAATCAATTGCACCCTCCATCCTTGCTGCACTCAGATCCTCACCGAGGTGGTACTCCCAGTGTCTGCTCCCAGTCGGGGTTCAGAGAGGGCTTGAGTGATGACACTTGTTGACCATCGGGTTGTGGATGATCCTTATGGGGAAAACTGGAAGTTGTGCAGACAAATGGCTGACTGAAAGACTAGTGGGGCTGCAGAAATCCTGGTGCATGCAGCCACCAGGACCAACTCCCATCTGCTCCTCCTTGTCACCCTGTGTGAGTCCCAAGGCAGTTCCTTCCATGAGTTCTAAGGACGTTCCCCATCTGTAGATGGCCCAGCCCCACACTTCAGCTACCATGTAGCGGGAACTCCCACACTTCAGTGAAGCAGCATCCAAGGGTGACTCCAAGAGCAAGCCTCCCCGAAGAGCATGGCTGCCCGGAGTAAGCATTACTCCTTGGTTCCTTGACAATATGTCATTTTCCTTTTTTAAAAATCAGGGGTGTAAACGGAAATGTGCACAGAGGCCTCCATTTTCTCTTGCCAGCCTCTCTCCACAGAAATCTTGAGCTCTGCTCTGAGCGCTTCGCGGCATTCCCTTTCACTCTAGTGAGAATGAGCTCTGGATCCTTTTCCCAGAATAGACTCAGAGCGGAGTTGAGGGTGGGGTTCAGGAACAAAGACAAGAAAGGGGAGAATCTGGGAGGCAGTCAGTATTTAGGGAATGAACCCAACACCCAACAGCTTTGTCTCCTTGTTTTTCTGGGTTCTTGCCGGTGACGTCGCGGCTTTTTGAACCCTAGCAATTCCTACTGACAGTGGCAGGTGCTCACTGAGCTCTTTGCACACCCTGTCTCACTAATCCTCATGGCAACCCCATCGCATGGAGGAGGTGGAGCTAAGTCACCTGCCAGGGATTGCCCAGCACACCGCAGAGCAGGATTTGAACTTGGGCTGCAGTGTCTTGGCACAGGGTGGGAGGGAGAGTCACAGAGAAGCGGGACCCTTTGCCAGCCCATGGTTGAAGGGGAAAGTTCTAGACACAAGGTTTTCCTGGCATTCCTGGAGCCCCAGGGGCGCCCAGGCTCATACCTCTTTCTTCCTGAAGCCTGTGCCTCATTTGTCTAGGCAGGGACGAGCCCACCTTCCCCTGAGCCTCAGAACCGCCTGTCACTTGGTTTAAGGGATGGGCTGGTTGGGGGCCTCTGCTCCTTCCTCCTCCTCCCATCCTCCACACACTTCCCTCCTTGGAAGGGTGCCAGCAGCGATCCCTGGGGCTCAGAGCAGGAGGGAGCAGAAATTGTCGGTAACAGGTTGCAGCTGAAGGGAGAAAGTGGTCCCTGTGACCAGTGAGGTGCTTGGGCAGGATCTGAGCTCCCCAGGAGGGGTGAGGAGAGAGTCCAGAGAACATCTGGACTGGAGGGACCCTCTCTAGCCTTCTTCAAAATGCAGTGGTTCTCAGTCCTGGCCACACATTAACACCACCTGAGGGGCTGTGGCAGCACCCCAGACCCACTACCTCTGGGATGGGGCCGGGCCATCTGGGTTTCCTAAAGCTCCCCAGGTAATTCCAGGGTGTGGCAGAGTTAAGCCCGCTAAGCTGCCCTCAGCCCCAAGCTTGCAGATGGGTAAGTTGAGGTCTGGTGAGGGGGAGGAGGAAACTCAGGCCACTTTTCAGCCACAAAATCCTTCTGGTGCTAATCAGAGGAGTACTGCTAGGCCAGGCCCAGTGGCTCACACCTGTAATTCTAGTAGTTTGGGAGATGGGTTTTCACCATGTTGGCCAGACTGGTCTCGAACTTCTGATCTCAATTGATCTTCCTGCTTCAGCCTCCCAAAGATTACAGGCGTGAGCCGCTGCGCCGGGCCAGGCCTGCAGTTTTAAGCAGGGCAGACGGATTGTGAAAGGGCCAAGCTGGGCTGGAGGTCCGATTCTCTAGCGGTGAAATGCCAGGTGCTTCAGCGGGGAAAACATTTTGTAACCTGAATCTGGGCCCGTAACGGGTACCAGAGACCTGGGTGTCTGTCCCAGCCCCAGCCAGGGGGCCCAGGATAGTGGCAGAGCCTTGGAGACTGGACAGACTCCAGCAGCTCTGGGGCTGGGTTGGCCCATCAGCCGCTGTTGCCAGCCCCGCTGGGCTCCAGCCCAGAGCCACCGCCTGCCCGCCTCACCTGGCCTGCATTCCTTTGCAGGGAATGAGGATGTGGGTGACCCCAGACAGGTATGAATCATGTCTTGGGGAGGTGGTTACTCAGAGGCGGCAAACGCCGAGGCTGCCTTCCTCCCAGACAGCGTGGACCTCAGTGTGGAGCTTCGTGTCCTGGGCTTGGGGCATGGCTGCTGAGGTGGGTGTTTGAAGGGCCTCATTGGAGTGAGATGGGCTGACAGGCAGTGGTCCCTCTCCCCTTGACTCTAGCATGCTCTGAAGAAGAAGAAGAAAAGAGCAGTGTGGCTGTGGCACCGGGATACCAGGTCACAGTCATGGCAGCCTCACTTACCGGCTTTGTGGCTCTCAGGCCTATTTTTCATCTAGAGATAGAAGTGCTGGGAAGCAGTCCTGACTTCCTCCTGTTGTGAGGGCAGCATGGACCCCCCTCCCCTTATTTCCTGAATGCCTACCATGTGCCAGGCACAGCACCACATGCAGCCCTGCAAGAGCTACTAGACTTGTCTTACATGGCGCTACATGCAACCCTCCAAGAGCTACTAGACCTGTTTTACAGATAAATAGACTGAGGCTCAGAGGGCAGAAGTCAATTGCCCAAGGGTGCATGACTCGTAATTGGCCCCACTGGATGTCCAGCCCACTGCACCCATCTGTGTCCTAGCCACCCTCCCATGTCAGTTCCAAGAAATCTATAAACCCGAAGCAAACGGTAGCACATGAGAAAACTGGAGATGGCACGTGGATGGTCATTTAAAATTTAATAGTTCCGTACTCATGTGAATGTATGTTAGGAAAAATATAACAAGCACATTGTCGATTTCGTGAGTATTATTGCTTAAGATCGGGTTAAGTAATAAGTAAACCAATTGAATATTTTATTTCAGTTGAAAAGAAAAATACTGAAGAATTTTAATGCCTTTAATGGGGTACTTGAGTATGGCAAAAATCGGGAAGGCTGAGAGTGTCATTTGGGAGCTGTGTCCCAAGTCCCTCGTGGGCCTTTAATCAGCAGTTACAGATCTGCAGCTCCTCCTGTAGGATGGAAGCACTTTGCTCTTTGGCCTTTTGAGGTCACCCAGCTATTTGAAGGTCAGGGGCAACTCGATTCTAATGAGATCAAGGTCACAGGGTCATGTTGCCCCCAGGAAAGTGGGAGATGGAGTTCTGTGGTCCAGGCTGTGGCCCTGCTGCAGGGCTGGGAGGTGGAGAGGTGTGGACAGAGAAGGACCTCCCATCCTCACCGGCAGAGAAAGCTCAGAGATGCTCCCAGCTGGTGATGAGGCTCCAGCCTGAATCTCAGCCTGCTGCTGATGATGGAGAAGCCAGCACTTCACTGAGTACTTCCTTGGTGCCCCGTCACCACCCAACACCTCCTCACAAGGCTTGCAGAAGAGCCTGCTGAGACTCAGAGTGTCTGTATCCTGCCCCAGGTCGCAGCTGTGTGGCATCCTGATCTCTGTGTATTTTAACCAAGATCTCGATGTTCCCTTTTTGTAATGGAAAAAAAAAATCTCCTTAATTTAATTGTTCTGTGATGTCTGAAATGGGTGGATATTCTGCAGAATAGGTCTGTGACTTATTATTTAGCCTCCTCATGTACCTTTTTAGCTCTGGGGAGAAAGACAATTGGAAGCAAGTGAAGAAAAGGGCTCAGGTGTGTCCCAGCCCCAGGCCTTGCAGTTACACCTGCCACCTGCTGGCCGCCACCGTCTGCTGGCCCCCACCTTCGACTTTTACTGCTAGGAAAAGTCCCGGGGCGGGGAGGTGTTGGGGAAGTTCTGCCGCCTGTCTGGCTTGTGGTTTGGCAGACCTTCCTGGATGCAGGTCTCGGATCCTGGGCTTGAGTCTCATCCTACAAGAACTAGGGGGAAAGGTCGAGGAGGCAGCTCCTGAGCCCACTGGCTCTGACTTGTGTGGGGCAGGGAGGGCACTTGGCACTCTGGGCCTGGTCTCTCTGCTCATCCTGTGGGCCTGCCTCCTACCTGACTACCTGTCTAGGAATTTTTATGGCAGCCCGCAGAGGTACTGCAGGTCGGCTGGAATGTGAGATCCTGGCCCTGGGAGGCGTGGGGTAGGCGGGCTTCAGACACAGCTCCTGGCTGCTGGGCAGGAACGCAGAGCGAGGCGGCCACTCCCGGCCTGCTCACAACATAAGCGTGAACATCGTGGTTTTGCCACTTCGGGACTTGGCTGAGTTTTGCCACGTTTCCTTATGCCCTGATTCTGCCAGGTTAATTCTGATTAGGTTTCGGTTTGACCACTGCCTGGGACACCTTGACCCACAGCAGGGATTGAGATAAACAGTTGATTATCATGAGTTGTGAAAGATGGAAAATAGTCCTATTACCAGCAGCACTTAGGCAGCCCCCTGCTCCCTGAGACATTGCTGAGTGCTGTCCTGTAGAACAGAACCCTCCCACTTAGCCTGGCCTGGATCTCTGCCTTTTCTTTCCACAATGAAGAGTATCCAGGCAAGAGGAGGTGGACGGAGGTTCCTCAGGCTCCAGGTGACCATGGCTTCCACAAGCCGCCCTGCCAGTGGCACCCGGCTGGCATGGGGTGGGACAGCCACTTGGCCTCCTCTGCATCTGGCAGCCTCAGCCCTCGAGGAATTGAATCCTCCTGGGGCCAAAAGTGGCCGTGCTCGTGACCCGCCAGCTGCAGGCCAGGTACAGACCTGGGCCCTTGGAAGGAGCAGTGGCCTGGCAGGGAGGGGCTTCAGGGGGACCGGGCTCAGGAGTACTGGGCATCCTGGTCATGAGGTGGGAGCTTCGCTCCCCTGTCTGGGCCGCCCTGTGAGTTCCTGCCACCAGCCCTGACAGACCATTGCTCACCTGCCCCCATGACTCTTCCCACACCTGGTGGGCTGTGCCTTGGTGCTTGCAGCTGCCCAAGTCCAGGGGAGGCCACACCCCATCCATAGGGAGTGAGTGGTCACCACGTAAGAGTGTCCTCGGGGTTGCGTCTCCTCTATGAGCCTCTGTTTCTTCATCTGTAAAATGGGGATTGTAATAGGCACCCACTACACAGGGGGCATCGTAAGAATTAAATGAGACAGTTTGTGGCAAGGGCTCAGCTCAGTCCTGGGTGCTTTGTAAATGCTCGAGAAACAAAGCCTGTTCTGTTTGTAAGACGTAGCCAGTATTGGAGGAGTGGTGGCTCCGTAAGCCCCGGGACCTACCCGTGAAAAGGGAGAAGAGGGTGATGGGATGTGAAAAGTTGGGAGGCTCGTCGGGGAAGGAGATGTGAGAATGAGGCCTGCAGTGTGAGTAGGAGTTCTGCCCAGGGGGAGGTTTCAGGAAGCAGCCCGTCCCAGGCACACCCAGGGTTCTGTTTCCCCTCTCTGCAGATGGAGGTAGTTGTTCAAGACCACACAGCGGGGGTGGCTTTGGAACGAGGGCTGCGGGCACCAGTGAGGTGGGTCTGAGCTCCTCTGTGAGCATGAAATGGACAGTCTGGACCGGGAGATGGTGCACCCAGCCTTAGCTCGCAGCTTCTTCCTCTGAGAGGGGTGAGAGTGAGGGTGAGGGTCCTGCCTCCCCTGTCCTATTCCCACCTCTGCTGCAACCTGTGTAACCCTCAACAGCAGAGTAATGATTTTCTTCGGGGGAAAACGTTCTCCCTACCCCATCCCTGAGGAAGCAGGAAAGGAGTTTTGGGGAGTAGGAGCTGGCATCAGCTCAGGGGAGAGGAGCGGTGCCAGTGGTGCCTGTCCCTGGGGCTGCTATAGCCTGGACACCTTCGCCCTCCTAGACCAGCCCAGAGACTGTGATTCAACTCTCAGTCAGTCTGGGGCCTTGACTGGTCCTCGGTCTGTTCCTCCTCTTTCAGAGCCTGCACAAGAACCCCTAGCGCAGCCCCTCTGCTGGAGGGACCTTCGGAAGAGTTGGGGAGAAGGAGGCTCCCCTCATGCCATGTTAATGGGAGGGGACACCAGAAGGCTGGGTGGCATTTGCCATTTTGCACAATTAGGAACCTCGCTAATGGGTAATTTTACTCAATATTTCACGCCATTCATGAACTCATCTGACACATTCATTGAGCACCTACTGTGTGGTGGGCCTAGTGTTTTGGACACACACAACCGTGAAAAAGACAGGCCAGCTCCTAGTGTGGCAGACTGGAAATCGGCCAGAAAACCAATGACTGTAGAACAGCTTTTCAGAAGTCCCGTAGGAAAAGACCGAGGGGCCGGTAGGGACGAGGAGGAGGCACCAGGACCAGCTTTCTCTAACCCTGCTTCTCTGGTAGCCTTGTAAGCGGGATCCCCAGGCCTCGGGGTGTAGAGGCATCAGCGTTTATCAGGCGCAGTAGTTCTTTCCTCGGATGTGAGCTGAAATGGGGCGAGTGCAGGAACCTGCATGCTCACACATTTTCTCCCAGGAGGTGCAAGTTCCAGAACCCCCGGCTCCTGGATCCTCACCAACTGGTGGGTGAGGAGTAGACGGCCAGGCTCCACCCCAGACTTCCGGCAGGTGGGGGTCGGCTGGGCGTGTCACTTACAAAACTCAGAAGAAGCCAGATCTTCATCTGCACCGAGTGTTTCCCAGGACAGAGCCCAAGCAGGAGAAGCGCAGGCTGGGGTGCGCGCCTGCTCTCCAGGCCCCTGCCACCTGTTTGCACATGACCCTCTACACCCGCCATAGCAATGGAGACCCCGCCTCCTGCTACAGTTAATTAATCCTTCTTTTTTGCTTCACAATAAAAATAGCATGGCTCTTCTGATTGTAAAAAGTGATATACACTCCTTATTTAACGAAAAATTCAAAGAATTTGATAAATGACAGGCGAAAAGTCAAAATGCCTGCAATTCCAGCACATGGAGGTAAGTTTCTTCTCTGGGGATATTCTCAGGAGCATTTGCATGTGTAGCGCTGATGCAGGGCGGGTGGCAGTGGTGGGGGTGGGTGCAGGCACTGGGCCCGGCCCCCCCGGGTGGTCTGTGCCCCAAGCCGCTGCCCAGCGTCTCTTCGCTAAGAGGTGAGGTCAGAGGCTTGCTTGGGAACCTCTCTGGCCTCCCTGTCAGCCCAGCTGGCAGAGGCAGGGAGGGTTCCACATGGAGGCCCCCAGGCTGAAAGCCAGGCAGGTGGGAAGGTTAGATCTGGCTGGCTCTGCCTTCACCCAAGAGCCTCGTCCTCCTTATCCATAAAATGGGGTGACACCGACAGTTCCTAGCTCGTGGAGCTGAGGTGAGGAGTGCATCGGGTGTTGGGAGAAGCTCAGCAAATGCCTCGCACACAGTAAGTGCCCCATGGACCTCGGCTGCTGCCGGGCGATGCAGCCACTGGCCCCTGGGACCCACGTCAGCCCCAGCAGCGCCGTGTCTGTGTCCCTCCGATATATAGAGCTGCTGAATCAGACTTTGATTCACAATCAAAGGCTTCTGTGGTCAAACACGTCTGAAAGGCCACAGCCTCTCTTTTTACGACAGGTCCCTGAGACCCAGAGAGGGTGAGTAGGAGGCAGGAGCATCTCCCCATGGCCCTGGGAGGCAGATTCAGGGCGGCCCCTGGGTCCCCTTGTCCCCGGAGCTGGGAATGTACTTGAAGCTTCTAAGCTGATCATCATGAGAAACAGCTATTTATGTGGGCACAGTTGTGAGGACTCTCCTTGAACTAGTTCCTTTAGCGACGGGCAAAGAGGATTCCCCGAGTTTCATTTGGAGACTGTCCCATCTTGGCACTGACCTAGGTCCGATTCCCGGTGCTGGGTCCGATGCTGGACTCCCCAGGAGGAACGGGGTGGTGTCTGTTGCCACAGAGGTGGACCAGGCCAGAGTCACCCCTCACCTCGCCCCACTCCCCAGCCGACCTTTCTGCCTGGGAAGGCCAGGCCTCTGTCCTGGTCACACAATACCCCCTTCTCACGTTCAGACTGGCGGTCTAGACACTCATGCTCCCTTTGTTCCGAAGGGTCAGGAGTTGGGGGAGGGCCCCAGAAAGTGGGATTTGGGCCGAGATAGAAGAGAGGGGGTGGGTAGTGGGTGAGGGGAAACTGGCTTCAAAGGAGGCGGCCAGTTCTCCCTCCGCCTGCCCAGCGAGTGACCAGCCCTACCAACAAAACGTGCACCAATTTCTAATGATAGAGGCAGCTCCCAAACAGAAACGCGTTTTGAAACCCAATCAAGCTGACGCCCACTCGGGCCCATGCGCCCAGAGCTGTTTAGCTGACACCGTCTAAATAAAACCCCACAGCCTGTGCCAATAAGTCTGGGGCGGGCTGCCAGCGGGGATCGAAGGCCCAGAGGCAGCGCTCAGCCAGGTCTGAGCCAAAGAAACCCCTGGGGAAAGATGCAGAATTCCCACCCCCACCCGCTCAGGGAATGCTCACCATGCCTGGGTGCCTCGTAAAGGGGAGGACAGGCGGGAACATCCCCGAAGCCACCTTGTCCTCATGGCCGTTAGTGACAAGAAGCTCCAAGTACTGACCCAGGAGAGAGGCAGAATCTCCAGTTTGATTCCCTGGCTCTAGGCTTAGTGTTTGCCTATCCAAGGCCTGTACCTCTTTTAGCCTCGGTCGCCTCATCTGTCAAATGGGAATGTGAGCATTTGCCGTGATTCCTTAGGGAGAATGAATGTGAGGCTCTGCCTGGCACAAAGTTCCCTGCCTGGCAGAGTGAGGTCGACCACTGGGTGCTGAGGATGATGATGTGGTAGTCATTCAGCCCTTGCTGCCTGCCGTTCTTTGTGGCTTCCTGATACTCTAACTCTGGGGTTCTCAACTGCCCCCTAGGGACATTGGCAGTGTCTGGAGACTTTTTGGTTGTCACAACCTGGGGCATGGAGGAAGTGCCTACCCCGTAGGCGTCTAGTAGGTAGAGGCCAGGGATGCAACTCAACAGCCTGCCATGCCCAGAACAGCCCACCCCACAAAGAAGTGTCTCCTTCCTAAGGTCAGGCAGGTGGAGGTTGAGGAACCCTGATTTAACTCAATCCAGGCCCCAGACACCCCCCTCTCCAACTTGCTCCCTGCATAATTACTCACATGAGGCTAAATAGAAAGTAGTTGCACTGACCTGAGGAGGAAAACGGAGAAATCTTGGAATGGGGAGAAACACCCAGGTGCCTACTCCCCTGGGGAATTCAAAGCTGGTGGAGGCTGAGCTGAGGCCGTCCCGAGGCGGAGGCTGAGCTGAGGCCGTCCCGAGATGAGGGCAGAGGTAGCAGAGAGGCCTGAACCACCCGGCCTGACCTTATGGTGCTCACAGTGAGAGGGGAAGAGGGAAAGACACTGAACCCAGGGTGGATCCAATGTCAGGGCCCGATCTAGATGCAGGTTCAGACTTACTTCCCTGGACAGGGAACCCATAGACTAGAGAGAGCTCATGGCTCAGGAGCCCTGCTGGGGGCCCTTGTGGGCTGGAAATGAGTTTGGGCAAGCTTGGGTCAGCTTGGAGTTGAGAAGGGCAGGCTGAGCAGGGCCCTGTAGCACAGGTGCAGAGGCTGGACATTGCTGTGGATATTTCTGGTGACTCCTGGAGCCCAGCTGTGTCAGTTGCTCCCCAAATGCCCCTGATCTTGTCCTGCTGGATTTCTCATCTTTCTTCTGAGTATTTTATCCTTTCTTTTCAGGTCAACCACCCCATGACTATGTTTGGGGAAGAGTTGGCCAAAAAAGTTGTATTTGCCTGATGGATAGAGCCTTCCTGGTGCAGTGGGGAGAGGAAGCTCCTGGAGGCAGGGCTGGGCTCTTTGAGAAGGAGTGTGGCAATTGATTAGTAATGTCAGTCGTGGTTGCCAGACCAGGGAGTGGCTGTAGGTATGTGTAGGGGAAGTCACACATGCAAAAAGCACCTGGGTTCTTTCCTGACCTGGTTGGGTTGCTCTGGGCAAGTCATGTCCCCTCTGGCCTTGGGGTCCCTCTGTTAAATGGCAGGGCTGAGTCAGTGGCTTCTGGGTCACTTCACTGATGTGCTATCTTGCGGAGCCTTGGACCAGCCCCAGGCACAGGTGCCCCAGGCACAGGAGATCACCTGGAGAAGAAGGAAGTCGCTCAGTTGAACCCCTTAACGGAAAAAGAACATTGCTCCACATCTTGAACTCATTCCTCCGCGTTGGCAGATCGGTTCTAGAACCTACACATCCACGTCTGGGGCAGAACCAGAGGCTGTGCCCACAGACGGCAGAGCTTGTGGGCTGCTTGCTGCAAGAGGAGCGAAGATTAGGAACAGTCGTTTAAAAGCAATTATTAAAAATGAGAGTGCGGAAACCAAAAACAGAAATGGGGGAAAACTCTGCAGTCCTCTGACATAGCCCATCACCCTTTTGGGAGGCTGCTGTAAGGAGCAGCTGGAGAAGTCCTCTGGGTGTATCTCCCTGGTGCACTGTCCTTCCCACGGGATTAGTGTAGACAGCTGTTTTTGGTGGGGATCCTAAGCCTGACCATGGTTTTGTTTGTGGGGTGTTCACTGCGGGTCCAGCACTGAGCTCCACTCTTTGGTGTGCACTGTCATCTCCTCTTCATTGCATGGGATTGAGGCAGGTACTTCTGGTCACTCCATCTCACAGGTGAGGGCCTTGAGGCCCAGAGAGGGGGAAGGAGCCTGCCCAGGGCCTCGCTGTTGAAAGAGGCCGGTGGATGCCGTGTTAGTGGCTGGTTAGTGGGTTTAATGCACAAGGGCATTTAATCCTCACAACAGCTCTTTAGGACAGGTGGTTGAGACCCCATTTCACAGCAGGGTAAACTGAGGCTCAGGGAGGTGACTTCCCTTGGACCACACAGCCTGAAGGTGGTGGAGATGGGCTTTGTCTGGTTCCAGCGTCTGGGCTTTACAACATTTGAGAGAGAAAAAGGAAGGAAGGGAGGACAGGAAGGAAAGACAGAGGAAGGAGAGCAGACCAGTCTCATATAGAAGCTGCCATGAGCAGGGCAGGCATGGAAAGGAAGTGACCGCTTGGCCGGCACCCCATCAGAGAAAGGTCGCTGGAGTGAATGAGCCCTCACTGGGCATCTGGCAGGCAGCAGGTCTTTCTCTAGATTGGAAGCTGACAGTCCCAGGGGAAGAAACTAGTTCCCCCATTTAGGAGAACCACCCCTGTCCGGCTGCCCCGGAGTGTAACCTGAAGGAGAGGTCAGCGCACGGCTTGTGTTGAGGCTCTGGGAGCTCCTGGATGCTGTTCTTCCTCCCTTGGAACCTTGGCTGCATGGAGGCCCACTCCCCAGTTTAGAGGGTGTTTGGGTGTCACCCTGAGTGTGTCCCCGGGCCACACCCTTGCAGCCAGCCCACCTCCAACCCTGTCTTTCTTTCCTGGGAAGGGAGGGTGACTCATTTTATAGTGACCCTTTGTATGAGAAGGGCTAAAATGCAAAGTTGGAGGTGAGACCAGATTCCTCTCCTCTTGGTTCTGGTCCACCCGGAGCAGGTGGAAACAAGTTCTCCCCCATGCATTTTCATGTAACCTTTTTTTGCCACACGCCCCCTTTAAGTGAACAGTGCTACAACAAAATTGCTGCTACTAGGTGTTAGAGACATCTTAGCAGGCGCCTTCCCAGAACAAGAAGAGCCAGAATTATTTGCTGGGCGGCCACGTACAGTCCTATTTTAAGAGCGACCTGGAGGGCAGCCCAATCACAGATGATGGTTTCTAGTTCTCTGGAGCAGCCAGCCCCCTCCCCCCAGCCAGTCCACCAGCAGACCCCAAACCAGACCGATAACTTAGCATTTTCATTTAAGTCCATCTGACAAATCGTTTTAGGCCGAGAAAGCAATACTGCATCTTTAAATGGCTACTTTGTCAGCGCGTCTCTGTGCGCTGTAAAAAGTCCTTTGTTATCTGTGTCTAGACAGCACGCCAGCGGAATATTTGGTCTGCGTGAGGGGAGAGAGATCTGACAAGGTTGAATTCATTTACCGGCTTATTTAAAGCGGGATTTCAAAACACTTGCTCATAAACTGTTTTCGGCCCAGACTCCCCGGCCTCCTCCTAGCCCACACTGGCTTTTCTTGCTTTTATAATTTTTCACCTGCTCGGGCAGTTAGCTGGAGGTTGCAGCCGGGTGGGTACCCTGGCGAGGAGAGTGACTGCGGCTTGCAGCTTTTTTCTTTTTTTAATTGTCCTCTTTATGACTGTCTAGACGTTCTGCAGATGCACGTTCTCGGGGGAAATGGCTTTTCCCTCTGGTTACAGTACTTGGGAGGGTTGCAGACGGCACCCCCTCCAACCGTTTGACCACCCAGCCCCCTTTCTAAAACCCCTCAGCCATTCTTCCTCTCCTTAAATGAAGGCACTTTGCCTCCTGGCAGCATCTTTGTGTTTATAACACATTTACTTGACTGTGCTAATTTTATACCATCATCGAAAAAGGAAAAGTGACATTCCAGGTTTTCTTCTCTCTGAGGGGTGGGCAGAGACCCCCCCCTCCCAGCTCCTCCCCACAACTTCCCCCATTTCTTCTTACAGCTCCTCCTTTTGTGGCAATGTTTTGTTTTGTGGCATGCCTACATGCCTAGACAAATAAAACACCAGAGGTTGGCTTCTTAAGGATGAAAATATCAGGGCTAGTTGAATGCGTCCGAGGTTTTAGTTCTGCCAAATAGATGCATTAATTAACCTCATTGCCATAGCGACTAGGTCATTGTTACCGCAGTGAAAAACTGGCAAGCTATGGGGGTGGAGGGTCTCCCGGGCCCCCCAATCACCCATCACCCGCCCAACAGGAACCGGTGCAGAGGCCAAATAGGCATCGTCCTGCCAGCAACCAGAAAGTGGTCCCACTTTGGCTCCTTCAGACTCTGCAGTGGGTGGTGGGGGCGGTTCTCAGAGCCCCCCTCCTTCTTAGGCAGCTACACAGCCCAGTGGACTTGGGAAATTCAGTTGACTTCCAGGCCCGCTACATGTTCAGGTCAGGAGGGAAGCAGGCTTCCGAGTTCCCTTCTGGAGCGAGGGCTGCGGGGTGGAGAGAAGTCACCCTGCCCCCCTCCCAGCTAGACCCCTAACTCCCCGACCCCCACCCGTGAAAACTATTGTCATTACCATTGACCTGCTGCAAAGCCATAAATTTCCACCCGCCTCCCCTCCCGCAGTCATCAATCTGCCCTCCGGTTTTTACTTGGTAGGGGGCACAAAAGCTGGGGAGGGGGAGTCAGGCGTGGGCAGCTGACCAGATGTCTCCTGGGATCCCTAAACTGCGTCTCATTTCTGCCAGATGAAGCGAGTCTAACCTATCAGCCTACTTGACTGCGGTGTTGCGGAGCCGGGGGTGGGGCGTGGTGGGACATTTCGTCTGCAGGAGATAGAGAAGGACATCCCATAACACTCCAGGTTTCTTGGCCAGATCTTTTTATTTCTACCCCCAAAACAGACAGCCCACAGGCAGGAGTGGTCTGTTGAGCAGCTACTCCCATTGTGCCCCGCATGGGTTTATGATGGACTTTGTGCAGGTGGCTGGACAGTGTGCTTCGGAGGCCGAGAACTCCAAGAACTCTGAGAGCTGCTGGGCTCTAGTCCTTCCCTCTTGGTGGCAGCCTGGAAGCCTGTAAATTTCCCCGCGGAGTGGGGAAGTGGGGTGACTGTGCTTGTAATATTTCAAGTTATACAGTCATTCGGGGGTTCTTTCTGCTCTCTCATAATTACAGCATCTTTAAGAAGAAATATCAACATGAAGTATTTTCAGGGGAAGAGACTTTTAAAAGAAACACACACACACACACACACACACACACACGCACACAGGCCAGAACACCACCACCGAGTTAGTATAGTAATGCAAGTTCGTAATGCATGCAGGGCTGCTCGCTCCAGGAAGCTCCCAAGCAGGAATGTTCCTGAAGGATGGGCTATTAAATATTGGATCCTCAGGCTGGCAGATGCGTCTGCGCTGTAATTGGGTCTTTCCTGGAGTAATTAAAGGAAAATGATTATATTAACCCAAGTCACCAGGCCAGCATGGCATAGAGAACTGAATGGCAACAGTATTGATGTTTCCCTCCAAAAACTGGCCTCTCTCAGCACATCAAAAACGCACCCTTGGCTTGAGTTTAGGGAGCTTTCCTTTCTTTGCACTTTTTATAATTGATCGCGTGTCTCCTGGCCTTCTTTTTCTTTTTAAAAAGCAGTGGGGGATATCCGTGCCCTCTAACGTGAGCAGCCTCTACCTGCTCAGGGAGATCTGAGCTTAAGGACAAGTGTGGCGTAAATGCCCCCGGAGACTGCGGCGTGAGAGATGACATTGAAAAAGGTCTGGCTTTTAGAGCTCAAACCTGGGAGGCTTGGACTCTTTTTTCTTCTTCTTCTCCTTTTCTGAAGAGTTGGAGAAGCCGGAGTTTCAAGACCGTCTTGGTGTGCTGCCTTATTTAGGAGGCGAGCTGCTGCTCATTTGTCAGGCAAAACAGATGTGGTGGGGAGACAACATCTATTTTCATAATTCGAAACAAATCTGGCGAGCCGCCTTCCTTTTCAGCGGGGCCTGCTCATGCAGAAAGCCCAGCTCCCAGGCAGCATCTAGCAGAAATATTTATAGCTCATCCATTGAACTTTCCTTCCTCCAGGAGGAGTTGGTTTCTGCTGGCGATGGGGACACAGACTTGACAGGGAGTGGGTGCTGTTTCAGGGATTTTTTTTAAATCAAAAACTGGAGGAGTGTGGGTCACAGCCAGCGACGCAGCTGTGCCTCTCCTTCTCGTGT
This sequence comes from Homo sapiens, assembly GCF_000001405.40. Classification (NCBI taxonomy): domain Eukaryota; kingdom Metazoa; phylum Chordata; class Mammalia; order Primates; family Hominidae; genus Homo; species Homo sapiens. Next base: position 57,682,594 of record NC_000020.11, on the reverse strand, counting down.
CCTTTCGTCTTCCAGGTGTGGGGCGGTGGGCACGGGAGCCTGCTCTGTAGCATTCAGCAGCCTCTTTACTGGGAGGGCAGTTAAAGGCTGACTTTGAAACTCCTCTGGGCCGGCGCCTAGGACCCCGACACTCCAGGGAGACCCAGAACCTGGGCCCCTAGTTACCAGTGACTTTGTGCTTAGGTATGCAAGGGCAGCGGGCTGTCATTTCCCCATTTTATGGATGAAACCACCGAGGCTCAGAGAACAGCTTGCCCAAGGTCACACAGGGAACCGCTGGTGGAGCTGGTCCCCCGCTCTGAGCACCATTCACACTCAGCTCAAGCCTTCATTCCCACTGGGAGCCTTTGCTACGCCGTCACCTCCCATCGAAGGTAGCTGTGTCTGTCTGTGTGTAATAGTGACCTAAGGAAGGAGGACAGACCCGGTATTTGGGCGAATCACCCATCTTCTGTTCATTTATCCAGTAGGTGAGCTCCTTCCCTGTGCCACTGGAGATGGGAGGACCTGGTGAATGGAACAGGCCTGAGCCTGCCCTCAGGGAGCTACTAGTCTGGTGCAGATGGGAAACAGAGTCAGATACTGAACGGAGGAGGAGATTCGACAGTGTCACATGACTGTGCCTGGGGGCTGCTTTATTGGTCTGAGAGGGTCTCTCAGCAGGGCTGACCTTGTGCTGAGAATGAGGGATGAGAAGGAGTCAGCGGTGGGAAGACCTTGGGGGGAGTACCTCAGGCAGAGAGGAGAAGCCGAGAGGGTGAGGTCTGCTAAGCTAGGTGTGGTGGCCATGTCCAGTTCCCAGCTGGCCGTGTCACCTTGAGGGGGGACTGACCAGGTTGCAGTTCCTTCTTCTGTAAAATGAGGGGGTGACTAAAGCGTACACAAGTTCTGATTCTGGGAAAACCACAGAGAATCGAGTTTTGTAAGGTGCTGCCAGCAGGGGAGGAGGTGGAGGGTACGTGGAGAGCTCTATTATTGCTTACAGAATTGAACGTGAAACGACAATGGTTGCTAAATTAAAAAGTTGGTTATTTTAAGCAGTGAAAGGTCTGGGAGGGCCGTTCCCTTCTTGATGCTGGGACCACCCTTGTAAGAGGCAGCGCCACACCATCCTCACGGTCGTCTCAGGCAGGGGACACCCTAGAGAGGTCTCTCGCTGTCACCCGCAGATGGCAGAAGTGGGACTGGCTCCGGGGCAACCCCTGGTTGCCTCGCACAGGGCTCCCTCCCTGGCAGGAAGGAGGCCCATGCAGGGTGAGGGTGCCCTCAGGAGCTCAGGCAGGCGGCAGGTTTGGAGGGACGGGGGTTCCCAGTGGCAGTGATGGAGGGGTGTTTCTCATTCCCCACTGCCGTGATTCCATGCAAGTGGATGGAGCGTGCTGGAGAGGTCAGGAAGGAGCATGGGCGCCTGCCTCACCCCTGCCCCACCAGCACTCAGGCAGGCCTCACAAATCACAATGGGCCCTGTCCCTGGTAGCACCCAGGGTTGATGAATGGGGACTCCCAGGCCCTGGGGCACTTGGAAATCCCTCATGCAAAAGGTGGAAACTAGAAGTTGTCCTGCAGATTGACATTCTCAGAACTCCTTCCCTCCCTTCCTCACTGACCCGGCCCCGACCCGTGGGATGATTTTCATTCTCCTGCCTCCAGAGAAGGACCTGTGCTTACGTCCTCACGCAGACTGCTCTCCGCCACTTTCCCTCACCCATGTATTCATTTCACAAGCATTTACGAAGTGCCTCCTGTGTGTCTGGCATGGTGGTTGGTGCCAGTGTGCGTTGATCGGTGATCAAGGTGGTTGCGACTCCAGCCTACAGAAATGTACAATCCAAGTGTGAAATGAACAACTGCCCTTTCCTAAGCGTTTGCTTTCAAAGCAGATGTTTTTAGACTAAGTTGTTGTTATTCTTCAAACCGGTTGTGTGTGGTTTCAGTCCCTGCTTCTGTCTTCACATTGAGGCCTAATTAGGAATCAGCTGTTGCCTAGCTAATGTTTATTGAGCAAGCACTATGCACCCGGCACTGTGCCTGAGATATTCACTATCATCTGATTTAATCCAGAGTTTCTCGACCTTGGTGCTGACGTTTGGGCTCAATAATTCTTTTCTGTGGGGGACTTCCCTGTGCGTGGCAGGGTGGATGTTTAGCTACTTCCCCTCGCCCACTGGATGCTAGTAACACCCCCTCCCAGTTGTGGCAACCACAAGTGTTTCCAGATATGGCCAGATGTCCCCTGGGGCAAAATCATCTCCGGTAGAAGAACCACACCTTAGCCCTAGCAGCTGCCCTTGAGGTCCCAGTCCCTTCATCTGCAGAATGCGGGTGTTGACGGGACTCCCCAAAGCGGCTCCTTGGGAGCTTTGAATGATATAATGCACTTAAAGCTCTTAGCACAACCCAGCTAAAGCTGGAGTGGCTGCAGCTCTCCCCGCTGGTGTGTCTGAGTGTCTGACGGGCAGAAGTCGTTTTTACCATCCACTCATCCCCCGACGGTTCCCTGGGGCTTGCAGTGCAAGCCAGACTCCATGCCACAAGCTAGGCTCACCTTGCAAAGATGGTCAAGGTCACAGCCATTGTGACCCTCACTCCCACCAGGGATGCCTGCGTGGACAGCCTGTACCCAAGGAACTGGAAGGCGCAGGCTCTGGCTCTAGCCAGCTTTGCACGGTTGCTCTGTGTCTCTGGGCAACTCCCTCCCCCTCTCTGGCCCTGTCCTTTTCTCATCTGACCCATTTTAGGGGCTTCTAAGCCACTCTCCTCCCCTAGAAACTCAGTATCTAAGAGGGTGAGTTTTTTCCCAAGGTTTTCCCCTGGGTCGTTTACAATTCTGATCACTTAGGGATCTCTGAGCCACTCACAGTGCCAGGTGACCACCCCCTTCCAGCATAACAAATTCACCTATGTGGCTCCAGCAGTTGCTTTCACATCCTGGGCTTCATAATTGAACAAGTGGTTCCTTCACTAAGGAAGCGAGCGCCTGGTTGGAATCTGTTCATCCATAGCGGGCGCTTGTAAGTCCATTCCCTGCAGGTCCCGGAACCCGCCACTGAACGATGTCAATTTCAGCCTGTTGGACACGGCTCCCGCATTGTCTGAAAGGAGCTTCCCCAGCAGGTCTGATGTGTGCCGTGTTTGGAGAGTCACACTGGAAAATGATACCTGAATCGTTTCAAGTTCACGTTGTCTATGCTGCCTTTGCCCCAATACACACCCATGGCCACCTGCAGGAAGTCTCAGTGCAGCTTTGCCAAGCCCCAAAGCAGCTAGCTCCTCATTGTATCTTCATGCTATGCCCCAGGAGGTAGGGTTTCTTGCCCTTGAATGAGACAAAGGTTTCCTACCTCAGGGCATTTGCACTTGCCATTGTTTGGCCAGGAGTGTTTTTTCCCCAACTCTCCTCATATTTAAGGTCTCTGCTGAAAAGCCACCTCCTCCGAAAGGCTGTCCCTAACCAGATCATTTAAGGAGGTCCCCGCTCCTAGGTGCTCATTATCACAAACCTGCTCTAGTTCTGTTCCATGTTCTGGAGAAGACAGAGGAGGACTCTTCTTCAAAAACACTCGTGTTGTTCAGAGATCCCTGCAGTTCCTGGCTCTTCTGTGCCTGAAGTGCTCACTGGCAGAGACGTCCGCAGTTCTTCCTGAACAATATGTTGATACTTTACAGTGATGCTTTCTCTTGGGGGTACAGTGGTAGTTTGGGACATCCTTTTGGGAGTATTTGATTGTATTGGGGAGGCAGTGACACTTTACATCGGGGAATCCCAAGCTGCTCTCCCTCCCCTGGCTCTTGTCACCTTTAAGACAGAGGTTGGAGGTTCCATGCTTATTACTTGGGGCAGACAATAGGAGCCAGTGCTTCCAGATTACTTAAAATCTCCTTTCCTCGTTTCTAAATTTTAAATGACGTGTTTAGAATTTAATCTTCAAACCTGGGAGCCAGACCTGCAAGTGGAGAGATGACAGCCGAGAGATGGTTTCGTGTGGCTGCAGCAGCCAGATGGCAGATGCTGTGAGCGGGAGGCGAGGGAGGCTGCGAGAGAGGGAAGCGGCTTCTGTTTCGGCTCTTACCCTCCCTTTGCAGGAAACTAACCCCCTCCCCCAGTGCCAGGCCTGGGCCAGGCCCTAAGGACCGCTTAAGGCTGCTGGCCTCAGCCTCTGCCAGGGCGATTCTGGTGATGCCAAGGGACAGGGCACTCCCAGACCGTTCACTTGTTTTCAGAAAACTTTTTATTTTGAGACAATTGTTTGTTAGCATGCGGTTGTAAAAAATAATACAGAGAGGTTCTATGTAGATATCCTCCAGCTTCCCCCAATGGTACCGTCTTACATAACTGTAGTACAGTGCCAAAGCCAGCAGTTGACATTTGTCACAAACCATCAACCTTACCTTTCCCCAGTTTTACACACACTCATTCGAGTGTGTGTGTCTGTGTGTGTGTTTCGTTCAATGCAGTTTTATTGTATGCGTAGATTTGTGTAACCACCAGTCAAGACACAACAGTCCCATCACAAGAACATCTCATTCTACCCTTTTCTAACTGTATCCACCCCCTTACCCATGAAACCACTAATCTCTTCTCCATTTCTATAATATTGTTATTTTAAGCATGTTATAGAAATGGAGTCATACACTATCTAGCCTTTTGAAATTGGCTTTTTTCACTTAACGTAATTCTCTGAAGATGTCTCCACGTTGCTGTAGGTGTCAGTAGTTCATTCCTTCTTGTTGCTGCGTAGTGTTCCAAGGTATGAATGCACCATGGTTAGTTTAACCATTCACCTGTTGAGGGACATCTGGATTGCTTCCAGTTTTTTTTGTTTGTTTGTTTGTTTTTGCTATGAAAAGTAAAGCTGCCGTGAACACTCATGCACAGGTTTTTGTGTGAACATTAAGTCTTCATTTCTCTGGGATAAATGCCCAGGAGTGCAATTGCTGGGTCGGATGGGAGTTGCAGATTTAGTTTTTGAAAGACCCTTCAGTTTCCATTCACATCCATGCCCTCCTCTGGTCTCTGGCTTTGGTGGAAAGATGCGAGTGCTGGGGAATGGACATTTTGCAGAGATTCCTTCCTCTTTCACATGTTAATCGAGGGCCACTTCTTGTGTCAGGTGTGGTGTTAGCCCTCACGGATACAGCGCCAGGGTAAATAAGGGTCATCGAGGCGCTTTCTTGCTGGTGAGGTGCACTTGACAATGAACAAGCAAGCACTTAGAAAGAAGATGGTTTCTCATAGCAGCCAACACGTACTCAGTGCTTCCTACACACCAGGTGCTTTCTGGGTTCTTTACGATCCTCAAACAACCCAATGAGACGGGGCCATAGTTCACTCCATGGTACAGACAAGGAAGTGGAGACACACAGCTGCTCCCACAGCCAGAATAATCCATGCTCCTGACCATACTCTGCACTGCCCCTCGTGACCAAGACAGGCCACCAGGCGATGCAGAGTAAGAGAAGAGGTGAGAGCACATGTGGGATGACAGACCCAGGGCAAGTCTTCCCACAGACAAAACTGCATGTGCAAAGGCCTTGGGGTGGGAGCAGGCGAAAGGCCAGGCTGGCTGGCGCATGGTGAGCGAGGAAGGAGATGGGAAGTGCAGTGGTGAGGTGGGGTGGGCCTCGCAGGGTTTTAACCTGAGCATAGTGTGGGAAGTCAGAGACTTGATTTTTTTTAAAGATTGTTCCGGCTGCAGGGTGGAGAATAGACGGGGGGTGTGTTTGCAAGAGAGGAAGTAGGGAGACAAGGAGGCCACGTGGAGAAACCTTCTGCTCTTGAGGGATGAACGCCAAGGTTCTCTCTCCTCCTCCTTTGGCCACAGGGTCTCTGTGTGGGTGCTCAGCAGTGCAAGGAGGCCTCTCGTCATGGGGGGTCCAGCTCCCAGTGGCTCTCCCACAGCTCCGCCCCTCGAGGGCAGGAGAGCTGATCCCCAGCCAGTCGGCCCCTTGAGCCTCTGCAGCTGGACCGTGAGCTCCCATCTAGGTCTGTCTTCTGATGGATGTTTCTGGTTTCTTGAGTTTTCTCACCATTTCTCTTTCTTCCTCTTTTCGTACCAGTTGTGATTCTATAAATTGAATTTACCTGCTCAGTATCAGTCACTCCAGATCGTTAATAAACGTGCGCCTGACATCCTTGACGCATTCACCATGCTTGCCCGGTCAGCATGCATGCTTTGCCATGTCATGATGCCTGCTTTGCCATGTCATGATGATCACCATTTATTATGCACTTGCTGTGTACCAGCTAGCGTTCCGAGAGCTAGTACCTATGTCCCTGTTGAGTTCACCCTTAAGCAGTCCTGTGAGGCAGGTACTGTTGTTGATTCGTGCCTTACTGTGAAGAAGCTGAGGCAAGGGGCCAGGTCACCACAGACACCACACATACAGCAGGTGGCTGCATCTGGATTCGAATCCAGAGCCAGGCTCCCTGCCTTCCACAGCTTTGCTGTGTCCCCATCTCGACGCTCAGAGAAAAGACACCTCCGGAAGCTTCCCCTGCTGCCTTCGCAGAACAGTTGGTCAGAACCTCGTCTTCCCAGAATTTGGGATTTTCTGCTTCTGGAAGATGCTGCTTCGAAAGGAAGTGATAGCAAGGGCTGGAATAGCCTCGCCTGTGGGGCGGGGACAGGGAGAGGCGGCTGATGTCTGGGAGGCTTAGAACTTCCTTCTTGGAATCTGTTTTTCACGTTGCCTGAAAAAGAAAGAGGAAGAGACTCATACAGATGGAGACACAGGGAAAGACTCAACGGATTTAGACCCCAGACAGTCACACACCGGAGACAGACAGACAGACAGATGCCCCAGAGGAAAGGACACACCCCCAAACAATCAAAGGTGGGAGGCAGACACACAGACACCCTTGGACACGTTTGCTGCCCTGGAGCCCCCTCTCTAGCGAGGTCGCCCTTCCCATCTGAGCTCCTTCCCTCCTCAAGCTGCCGCTGGGCCCGGCAATCCATTCAGGGGCCGACTGTCAGTGTGGCCAGCAGCATTTCCTAGACCCTCCTCCCCCAAACCGGAAAACACTCGTAGCAAGGAATGCCCCGCCTGTGGGCCAGGGGTCTTCCTGGGCCTCTGAGCCCCACATGAAGGTGATGAGCCAAGCGCCAGGCTAGGGTCAGCAAGTTGGCATGGTTGGGGGGCACGTGGGTCATGATGGCAGTGACCTTCCAGCTCAGTCGGGCTCCTGACGGACTCAGGCCTTGCCTTTTGCTGCTTCCAAGAGGTCGGAGGAGGTGAAGGCATGGCTGCCGGTGGAGGGGTCGGGGCTGCTGGAGGCTGCTTTTCGGGGTGGGTACTTTGTTTTGAGTTTGTTGTCCACTCTTGTGACTAGTGAGAACAGATATCACAGCACCGGGCTCTGTGTCCCAGGCACAGGGAAAGTCTGGCCCTTGCCACCTGAACTTCTGTGACTTTTCTGGGCGGGACGGGTGGAGGGTGGGCGGTGACATTGTTGCACCTCTCCGAGCCTCAGATTCCTTATCCCAAAAATGGGATGATAATAAGACAAGCGTACTTCCTGGGAAGCTGCTGAGAAAATTAAATGAGATGACAGAAACCCCTCCATATGGGGCATGAAACACAGCAGGAGCTCACTGTACCTACTGCACGTTCACTGTGGTCAGAACGGCTTTAGAAGATTCCAAGCTATTCCTCGTATGTCCACATTCATCTGTCCAGATATAAGTCCAGCCTGATTTCTGGGGTACAGGATCAAATTGCTGTGCTCCAGAGAGGACAGATCACAGTAGAATTTGCGTGCCCTCGCTCCTGAGGCCTGGCCTCAATCATCGTGAATTCTCAGTGCTCATGCAGGGCCTGGCATACAGCAGGGGCACGATAAATATATGCGCTGCCGCAGTGAGGGAATAGGAAGGGAAAGGGCCTGAGGATAGATTTAGATGACAGAAGAAAATGTCTTTCATGGAAAATAAAATAAGACATCCCCCTGGGCGTCCCTGCATGGAGACAGAGGGCAGGTTGCTAATATTCTGTCCCAAAGGGGTGTAGCTGGGATTCTGCAAGTCCATCATCCAGGGCAGGGGTCCTGCCTCCTCACCTTGCAGCTCATTTCCCTCTGTTCAGCCCCCTCTGTCTGTCTAAACAAGGTGTATTATTCTGCTCAGGCCGCTGTAATAAAATAACCCCGGACTGTGTGGCTTAGACAGTAGACATTTGTTTTCCTGCAGTTCTGGAGGTTGGGAAGTCCAAGATCAAGGGGCCAGCAAGTTTGGGTTCTGGTGAGAACTGCTTTGTGGCTTGTAGATGGCCACCTCCTGGCTGCGTCCTCACATGGCCGTTCCTTGGTGCCAGCACATGGAAGGAGGGGGGAGAGAATGAGCTCTATGCTGTCTCTTCTTATCAGGTCACTAATCCTGTTGGATCAGGCCCCCACCTTTATGACCTCTTTTAACCTTAATTACTTCCCTAGAGGCTCCGTCTTTACATGCAGCCACACCAGGGGTCAGGGCTTCAACATATGTTGGAGGGGCACAGAGGTCTATAACACGAGGTCCTTTGCTTTCTGCTCCAAACAGAGGGTTTGGGAAGGGAGGTGGGAATGGCCACCTCTATAATGTTACTATTAGCAACAACCCAATAGTGGCCACCACTTGTCAGGCTTTGGGAGAGGCATTTACTATGGAACTCCCATGTTGGTTGCATGAGTGAGGCCCCATTTGCTCTTGGGGTCTGAAGGTGGGAAAACAAGCCCAGAGAGGGGAGGGTAGCACTCAGGTGGCAGGTAGCAGGGTCCGGACTAGGGTGCAGGTGTGTGCCACATCCAGGTTCACACCGTGAGCCTCTGTACTGCTCTGGAGGTAGTAGCTTGGCTGATCATGTGTTGACTGGCTGTGGGTCTCTTTGCTGGCTGTGGACCAGGTGCCAGGGACACTGGTAAAGGGACACTCATGATGGGACACTCTTTTCCTTGTAGCTGGGAGTCCCACGTGGTGGTGGCCTGTGCTTGACACCACAGTAGTTACTACTACTATGCAGGATGTGGCAGTTCTCAGGCGACCAGCCCTGGGCTTTGAGGGTTAAAGAGGAGTCTACCAGTTAGAGACTGGACTCCTGCATGCCGGGCTCATGCCGGCTTTGAGGAGGCTGCAGGACGAGGCGATTGCATCTGACAGAGTGGCCACACCAACGATGGCAGCAAGACATAGACCGAGGAAAGGCTAAGTCATGACTTAGACATTTTCTTAGAAGTCATAGCAGATGTCTTGGGTGGTATTTACAAAATTAACCACCACATGGGAGAGTTTAAAACTGCCAGAGACAGCCAGAGAAGGAAGTGGCTGCAGGGGCTGGGCCATTGGAAATGGGGTAGACGCAGGCCACCGAGAATGGGCAGCAGGAGGAGGGCAGGCACCCCAGGCAGGTGGGCCAGCCCGGGCAAAGGTGTGGCCCCAAGAAGGCAGGCCTTCTGCTCCCAGTGCGGCCAGGGTGCTGGCGGCCAAGAGGCTTGGACCACAGTCAGGGGCAATTGGTGATGAAGTCGGGGCGGGGGCCCAGGAGAACCGGCATGTTGGGCCCAGGGAGCAGCCCTCTTACTGGCGGCTGATACTTACTGCGCACCTAAGTATGCACCAGGTGCCGTTCATTGTACTTTATGGCTCTTCACTCCACTGCATCCACACAGCAACCCGTGCGTGGGTGCTAGTGGTATTCCGCTTTTCCAGATGTGGAAACCGAGGCACAGAGAGTGAACGAATCACTTCCTGATGCCCTGTGTTTGGCCATGGGGAGAGCTGGGGGTTGGATCCAGGCAGGACAGCGCCAGGATTCCTTTTAACCGCTAAGCTACTCCGCTGAGTGTTTACTGAATTGGATTCGACTCCTGGGAGCCCGATGGTGCAAGGGGCCTGCCCAGACCCTCACTGCTTCCTCCAGCCTCTCTGACGCCTGACCTTGCCCATCTGCCCACCTCCCTGCCTCTGCCCCAGGGGAGACCGAGAATAGCTGGGCCCCTCTTGCTCCCGAAAGACAGAGCCACCCCGGGTTAGCGGCGAGACCCCTCCAGACGGTGCCCGTCGCCGACTGACCCTCAGAGGCTCTCCAGCACGCGGCGGGCATCAATGAGGCCCCGGGGATTGAATGAGGCACTATTGAGAAGCGGCTAAATACCAGCCGCATTGTGCTTCCTGATCCAGGGCTTCGCTTTTTGTCCAAGAGCCTTGGAAACGGAGCCCCGGTTCACTTCCCCTCCCCTGGGCGCCGCCCGCCATCCTGGCTCATGTCAGGAAACACCAGGCTCTTGAAAATCAGTAATTGAGAGAAACATCTGCTGGTTACCAAGGAGCACGAGGTGCTTGCCGAGTGGCGAGGGCATACGTGCGTCACTGTCGGCCGGTTGGAAACACACATGTGAGTGCATGCAGGCACACACGTGCGCGTGCGAGAGTCTTTCTGGTATGTTATTAAGATTTAAAAAATTAGAAGTGTTATGCCTGTTATAAAAATGCAAACAATTTACGAATACAAAAAAGTAAAAGGGATAGCCCCTTCATCTAGAAGAAGTCATCATGAACAATTTAATTTTTTATCCTCATTTTTGCTATAAAAATGGATCCATATTTTATTTACCATTCCAGTTTCATTATTTCTGCCCCACAATAATTGCCAGCATCCATCCATTATCAGACTGAATTGGATTCAATTCCTGGGAGCCAGACAGTGGACCAGCAGTTCTTAGCCAGGGGTGACTTGCCCCACAGGGGGCGTTTGGCAATCCCTGGAGACATTTTTGAGTGTCGCAATGGGGATTGATGGTGCTTCTAGCCTCTAGTGGGTAGAGCCCAGGTTGCTGCTGAACACCCTGCTGCTTAGGACGGCCCCACAATAGAGATGATCCAGCTCCAAGCTCAGTTTCCCCTGCTCAGAGCTCAGCGTAGATTTATGTCATCAGTTTTAATGGCCTCATCCCATAATGTGATGTACCAAGGTGTGTTTGGTGGCATTTAGATGGTCTCTGGTTGATCATTTGAAAAACACCCCATGCAATATATATATATGAACAGGGATATATATGTGTGTGTATATACATATTTGTTTTGTGTATATCTATATATACGTTTTGGGCCCTTCTGTGAATTTTTCCACTGGATATGATTCTGGAAGTTGAACTTGCAGGGTTGAAAGGTGAAGTGCTTGTGTAATGTTGACAGGCACTGCTCAATATCCTCCAAGAAGACTGTGGCCGTCAACACCACCACGGACTCACTCACCCACGCCCACCCGTTCCCCATTTGTCGTCCACTCTCCTCAATTAACAAACACATTTGGTTTATTTTAAATAACTTTCGGATGTTATGCACCTCCGACATGTCCACTGACTGCTCGCTCACTGTGAGTTCACTCCGTTCTGCCAATAATTCAAACGGTGACTGATATTTTGCTGACAGTGGATGTTTAAAGGTGTTCGATGTCAGTGACAATAGAAACAAAAATCCCATTAGTTCTTTCCATTTGGATAATAGCAAGAAGGATAAAAGGCACAGCTTTGTCTTTTCTCATTGGAGGAGTATTCTAAAATCATCAGGTTCTAAAATGATTCTAGAGACCGTTTACTTTCCTGTTCCCTGAATGCACTTTCAGACGCAGGGCTCACCCACGGCCGCGCTGCATCCTCCTCCAGGTCCACCTCCTGTGTGATGACTCGGGACACTGGTTGGGGGTTGGGGGGGCGGTGGGGAAGAACGTGTTTCTCTGTGTTGCTCAGGAACTCCCAAAGCTTCGGAAATGAATGGGGTTCTGCACAGTTCTCTCTGGGTGGTATAAAAAGGCAGCCCGCCCCTAACCTGAGTGGGCCTTTGCAAACTAGAACAGGGTACCAGTGAAAAGAGAAGCACACAGAGGCCAGGTATGTGCCGTTCATTGATCTCTGAAATCCCTTGGGTCTGTGCTGGCTGGGGACGGAATACAACGCGGAGTCAGGCACACCCAGCCTGACAGGCTCAGACCATAGGGCAGGGGGCCAAGTGGGAGTTAGTGTGGGAGCCTGGAAGGGGAAGACCAAGGCCGACGGGGCATTGCAGGTGTGCATGCGACCTGAGGGTGGAGGCTTGTCAGGCGTGTCAGCCTTGATCCTGGCACCTAGGAGGGAGGGAGGTTGGAAGGAGGGAGGAAAGATTGTGGTGAGTCAGCCAGGTGAAGAAAAGGTGGAAGTGGTCTCTAGACAGCGGGCATGAGTGTGGATCCTGGGGCTTGAGGCCGGGTGGTGAGACAGCACACTCAGAACCATCATCTGCCAGCCCATTAGCTGTGCTGCACCACGGAGGCCTAGAGAAGACACCTTCCTCCCTGGAGTGGCCCAGTGAAGGAGAGACAGTGGACCGGTGGGTGCCACAGGGCAGCCTGCATGCCTGGCTCCATGTACTACCCCCCCCACCCCACCCCTACCTCCAGGCCAGGAGAGGGAAGGCCCAGGAAGCGAGATGTCTGGTGCCTGGATGCCACCTTGGGGCCCTCAGCCAGGGCACGTGGAGGGGTGGTCAGGTGCCCCTCCCTGCCCCACCCATTCCCAGTGCAGTATCTGTGCTCCTAGGGTCAGGCAGAGACTGTCCGGCCTTCCCACCCTAATTCCGAGCCCCTCCCGCAGCAGCCCTTGTCAGCCCAGGGTGACAGCACCTCCGCAGAGACCACCTGGGAAGCCTCGTTATGGGAGCAGCTGTCTGTTTTGGATACTGACAGATGCTTCTCAAATCTTTTTTTTTTCCCTCTTTTACTATAAATATAATTATATGTGCTCCAAAATGCTGAGATTGCAGAAATGTATTACACGGAAGGGATGTCCCCTGGTGTCTGTGGTCCCTCCTCGAGGGACCCACAGCTGGCAGTTTCATGCATGCCCTGCTGGTCCCTGGTCTGTGCAGACGTGGACAGTCACTCATAAATATAGGTGTGTATCAGAAGGTTTCACCTGTATTTTTAAAAACATATTTGTTGTTCTTTTCTAACCCAGTTTGGGCTCATCCCGTGAGGATACAGACTGACCGGTGGCTGTGCTTCCCAGGGTGGTGTCATCCCTGCCAGGGACATTTCAGTGGTTCCCAGTTGATTGTGACCTTTTGTGCAAACCTGCAGGGGGCCTTCTTGCACACTCATCTGTGTACACCAGAATAAATGAGCTTCAGTTGGGTGCGGTGGCTCACGCCTGTAATCCCAGCACTTTTGGAGGCCGAGGTGGGTGGATCCCTTGAGGTCAGGAGTTCGAGACCAGCCTGTCCAACATGGTGAAACCCCGTCTGTACTCAAAATACAAAAATTAGCTGGGCGTGCTGGCGGGTGCCTGTAGTCCCAGCTACTTGGGAGGCTGAGGCACAAGAATTGCCTGACCAGGAGGTGGAGGTTGCAGTGAGTCAAGATTGCACCACTGCACTCCAGCCTGGGCGACAGAGTGAGACTCTGTCTCAAAAATAAATAAATAAATAAATAAATAAATAAATAAATGTGCTTTTTTATTCAGTGTAGTCATTACGTGCCTGCCTTGGGGAAGGCACCATTCTAGGTGCTGAGGACACCATGGAGAATGAGTTCGCTCTGAGCCACTGATATTCCAGAGGGGAGAGGCAGAGAGTGCAGTGTTGGGTGGGTCATATACAGCTTCCAGATCAGGGCTGCAGAGATCAGTAAAGCAGGCACAGGGATGGGGGTCCTGGAGGCTGGAGGGCAGAGGGCTGTTTTAGTCTGAGGCAGGGACCTGGGGGCCGGGATCAAGGCAATGAAGGGAGCAAGCCATGAAGATATTGAGGAAAAATCATTCCAGGCAGGAAGAATGGCACGTGCCAGGGTCCTGAGGTGGGTCATGCATGGTGCTTTTATAGAACAGAAAACAAGTGGCTGGAACAGAGCACATGGGGGAGGAGCCCAGGGGAACTGGAAATGGGTGATCAGCACCCAGCTGTCTATATGCTGGAGCAAAGGTTCACACCTGAAAATATCCAGAGTTTGCTGTTTCACTCTGCAGAGGTGCTCCAGCCTACACTGCACATAAGTGATGGCGCTGGACCGGGGCCTGCTTAAGGGAACCTTCTCCACCCACTGTGAGTTTGGATGCCTGCAGCTCATGTCTTGTGGGGACAGGGGACAGGCGTAGGAGGAGCCTAGCCCAGAGCTTGGAGTTCTTGACTCAAGAGGTTCCATCCGGGAAGTTAACTTTCGTAGTTCTTGCTACAACCTTGTGTACAGGGGACTTAGTTATCTCTCCGTTTTCTTCTCAGATGAGGGTACCAGGAGATTTACTGAAGGTCACAGCAAATGGCAATGCGAGGACTTGAGCCCAGGACCACTGGGTGCTAGCTGCATGCTGTTAACCTCTATCCCAAGATTCTACCAAGAACAGCAGGGCAGGGAGCCAGCGCAGGCCCTGATGTGGGCCCCAGTCCCCACCCTGGCTGACCACGTGACTTGTCCCCTCTCAGCGTCCCTCCCCAACATGGGACAGTGTCCCAGGTTCACCTGTCCGGGTGCCAGGTGCTCAGCCGTGTGCTTGCCACAAAGCAAGCACTCTGAAAGCAGTACAGTCTGGTTTTAAAAACGAGAAAACCGGCCTAGATTTGCCGCCCGCCCCCCAAACCTCAAGAGGAAGACAGAGCAAATTTTTTTACCCATAAAAGGTCTTACCCTAAGAAATAGACATGCCGTCGGGGGTGTTTGAAATGGCACCAGGAGTGATCAGAAAGTTATTCCTTTGACGGCTGGTTTGATTGTACTTAAAATTCGGGGGGCTGGGGTGGGGTGGCAGGGAGCTGGGTTCCTATTCAAATGTAGTGGGGGTAGGTAGGGGAGAGGGCAGTAAATGAAGTGGCTGGAACCCCAGGGCCGCTGGGGCTCTGCAGAATGACAATGAGGCCCCGCCAGGCGGGTCTCATCCAGGCAGGCCTAACAAGATTAGATTTTCATAAATTTCAGACAGCGCCAATTCCTAATTCCTCGGTGTGCGGCCAGGAGGCCAGACAGGGCCCCATGCACTGGCTGCTTGTTAACCAGGAAGGACGCCAGCTGCCCCTCCCCTGGGACAGACTGTTGGGGTGGCGGTGGAGGGGGGTCGTCTGGTCTGGAAACCTCCATGGGGCCGGCAGGAGCCGGGTGGACTCTGCTCCCAGCTCCCCAGCTGAAGAGAGAGAAATGAGCCCCAGCACCCCATTGTTGCCCCCGTTATTTCTGAGAAACTCAGTCGCCGCCGCACCTCCCCGCCTAGTGCCCCCGTGGGCTGGGTGGGTTCTTCTTGCACATTAACAAATTTTCCAGCGACCCTCTCCCCGTTTACAGCCATGAAACGTCCCAACAGGGATCTGAACCCTGAGGCCCCTGCTCTGCCCTCAGTTCAGGTCCAGGCTCTGCCCCCAAGAACAGAGGTCCAGAAACTTGGATGGGAAAGAATAGTGTCTTTGCCTTACCTGAGCTCTAACTGAAAGGTGGGGTCCCCTTGGATCCCAAATGCAGGCACCTGACCATCGTCTCCTTGACTGCACCAAAGACACAGCTGGAGGTGGGAGCCACCATCTTCACTCCACAGGCCCATGTCCCGTACAGGCCTTCCAGCTCTGGACGCTGTGGGTGTCCACTGCGAGGTCATTTAATGCAATTATATTTCTGTATCGCACACGTGCCATCGTGTGTATCATTCCCGTGTCACAAATCTGCTTCGGAGTTTGGAAACTATTTCCAGGCCCGTCCCCTCGCCTGTGATTGGGGCAATGCTGCCCCTCGGGGCTTGTCATGAAAAACTCAGAGACAGGGTGAAGTCTTTCGTGGTGAGGGGCTTGGCACACAGGAAGAGGCAGAGGAGAGGGCAGCTGTCAGCGTCTGTGTTATGCCATGGCAGGTGCCCATAACTCCTGGCACCCGCTTCCTTCCTCACCGTCCGGATTTTGCTCTGCGCTGGCTCAGAGGTGGGTACCACAGGCCATGAATACCAGCTTCATGGACTGCGTTGGGGGCGACACGCCAGGCACTTGTTACTGACCCCAAGATCAGTCACATTCAACACAAGCCCTTGGCTCAATCTCCCGCTGTTTCTGGCATTTTGGGATAATCACACTCAGGACTGCTGGGGGTCGGGCAAACGGTCAGGCTTTGGGGTCAGAGGAACTCATTTCTGAGCCTTGGACTGTGCGGTCTTTGGCGGTCGCCTCACCTCTCCCAGCCTCAGTCTCCTCATCTGCAAAGTGGGGGTCCCATAAGTACGGACCTCACAGAATGACGGTGAGAATTCAATCAGATGATGTGCATAAAGGGTTCGGCCCCCCTGCATGGCATCTAGGGAGTGGCCTGCTCACGGTTCCTCTCCTGCCAGTGTAGGACAAACAGGACAGGGCAGAGCTGTGCCCGCACCTCCCAGAGGGACTGTGCCTGTCTCTGGAGGAGACCATGAAAAGGAGGATGGGGCCTCTCCAACGAGGCACACGA
The DNA here is from genome assembly GCF_000001405.40 of Homo sapiens. Taxonomy (NCBI): domain Eukaryota; kingdom Metazoa; phylum Chordata; class Mammalia; order Primates; family Hominidae; genus Homo; species Homo sapiens. The sequence goes on along the minus strand of NC_000020.11, from coordinate 57,666,181 downwards.
ACCTGTTAATGTGAAATTATTCACAAGGAAAGAGGACACTAAATTAAATTAGAGTGACCTTATTTTGTGTTTGGAAGATGGGCTTGGTCACCCCCGAGAGCCTGCTGCATTCATCACCCTCCCCAAGGGAAAAATTACGAAGAAAAATGGCAGGAGCCCCCGGGCCCTCCAAGTGATGAGCACAGCCTTGATGCCCAGAATGAAATGAGAGCGAGATGTTTCTCCTTCCCAGCGGCTTGTGTTGCCACGGCGGGCCCTTGGGGGAGAGAAAGGTGCCTCCCCGCAAGGGCCTCAGAGTCAAGTTCAAAACATGATGTGTGTATGAAGCGGCACCAATATAAACATGGGATCCAGCGCATGTTAGCCCCTGAGGGGCCTTGGGTCCAGCCACCATCCTGGGTGACCTTTGGGACTGACTTGAGCTCAAATCTCCCACCTTGGGGACAGAAGCCAGTCAGGGAACACCTGGCTAAGCAGGCTTGTACTCTGCAGCCCAGCAAACCTCAGCATTTCCAGGGACCATCAGGGGAACGAGGGATGCTTTTTGTCCCCAGAGGAGTGTCAGTAATTGTGACAATGGTGACAGTTGAGTGTGCTACGTTCTGTCCCGTTCTGAGCTCTCGCATCCATTATTTCACCCCTGCCCCGGTTGGTTCTTTTTTTTTTTTTTTTTTGACAGATGAGGTAACTTCCTCTCAAGGAGGTAGATGCGCACAGCATCACACAGACAATGGATGCACGAGGACTGGACCAGAACATCAGAACCACATCCTCAGATTCCCGGGGCAGGGGGCGGGCGGACTAACGCCGTGGGCGAGCTAGGAAAATTTAGCAGGAGAATGAAACCCTTCCCCCTTTTGAGTTCCTATATGGCGGCTCTGGGCTCAAGTCTCAACCTTGCTCCTAGTTGCATCTTCTAGGGCTACTTCTCCCTAAGCCTCAGTTTCTTCATCTGCAAAATGGGCATGGTGATGTTACCTAAATTGGGGAGGCTCAGCTCAGTGGCCCCGGGTCATGTGTTAGAATCATGACAATACTTACAGTGACTACAGTGAGTTTGGGTGTGCCCTCTCCTGCTCTGTCCCCTGTGGCCTATGACTGCTTGGCAATGTGTCCTGTGGTCACAGCAGAGTTGAGCCTAGGTCAGGGACAGTGGTAGGACCCACCCCTGCAGGTGTCATACTGGGCATTTGATCTGGGATGTCTTTGTCCATGCCTTGGTAAAGGGGCAGTCTGTCAGATTAGGGAAACTGAGGCAGGATTGGTGTGGCTCCATATCTGCCAGTAGTCACTAAGTGACCTGGGGCCCAACTCTTGGCCAGAAGTCCTGAAGCCGCCTGCCCTGCAGATGCCTTGGGTGTGGCCTGCTTGGCCCTTTTAAAACTCTTAAATGAGGTTCCAGCCTTAAAGGACCACAGCTTCACAGCCGGCTCCAGGGTCCTCTGGAGAGAGGGAGGGATGCGGCCGCGCTGGGCCTTCTCTCCTTCCGCCTCGCGTTGGCAGTCCTGCTGGGGTTCCTTCCCTTGCCCGCGAGGCATCTGATCCTGAGAGTCCGGCTCTCAAGCTGCGACTGGGAATGGGCCCCAGCAGCCTCCCTGCGCTCCTCGGAACAAATGCAGGCACGAAGAGGATTCTGCGAGCTGCCGCGGGTGGAGAGCCGTGTTTATATTGGTGCCGCTTCATACACACATCATGTTTTGAACTTGACTCCAAGGCCTTTGCGGGGAGGCACCTTTCTCTCCCCCAAGGGGTCTTTGCTGGTGGATTCACGGTGCCTGCCCAGAGGGATGTGTGGGACTTAGTGTGGGGAGGGAGCCCATGCTTGATGAACTCGGCCTGAGTGGGCCCTGATCAGTGCGTCGTAGAGGCCCGCATGCTGAGTCTCAGGCATCCCTGGGGTGGTGTGGGGTGGGGACCGACAGTGTCAGGGCGTGGCTGTCCCAGGCCAGGTGAGTCCCGGGACCAGGCCTGTGGAGAGGGTGGCTGCCCACAGCCCTGCTCCCGTGATGCCAGGTGGGAACACGGCTGGGGCCAGGGACGGTCGGTGCGCGTGCCCTTGGGTCTCTGGTTTGCGACCGACCTCGCCAGCAGGCACTGCATGGTCCACTCCCCAGAGAATGCATTCCTGTCCCCTAAAGCTGAGCGTCTCCTGGAAGCAGCACCATGGGTGTGAAAGTGCGTGGAAGGTGCCTCCTCACCCCATGCCCAAGGGTGGTCTTCGTTGGACCTGTTTGTGGGCCCCAATGCTGCTGTGCCTGACCAGCCTTCCTCCCGCACAGCATCCGCGCCGGTGGGGCTTGACTGGAGCTGGATGGAGATTTCGGGGCCTCCTTGGCCCAGGGTGTTGCCTTCCTGATGGGTGGGGGTGACCCGGCTGCTGGCTGGAGCACCTCTCTTGCCCCCCTCAACACCTCCAGGTCTGGGCATGTCCAGGGGCATCCAGGAGGGTCTGGGTTCCGGCCTCTGCTCACCTATACCCTCTGCCTGTGCTCCACTCTGCCCCGCACTCCGTGCCCTGCACCAAAAGCCTCAGTGCCCACCTTACAGGGAGCCCTCCAGGGTCTTCCATTAGATGCTCCCTCTGCGATTCCAGAGCAGGTCATGTCTCTTTGAGGGTGGATGGGTTTGGGCCACCCTTGTTCTGGTGGAGCCAGGATGGAATTGAGCATCCCGTGTCTGGGTCCACCTCCAGGGAGCACTACATGCTGAGCACATGTCCCCCGCACATCCTGCTGCCCACTGTCCCCCTGCTGCCCACCGTCCCCCCGCTGACACAGGGAGACTGCGATGGACTCAGAGAGGGCCCCCAAGAGCCAGGCTGGGACCCGGGCCCTCTGAGAGAGCCACTGTGCTTCCCTGCCACCACCCTGCTCCTCTCCAGGGTGCTCCTGAGCCGTAGTCTCGGCAACCCTTGCAAATCTCCATCTCCCTAAGCCTGGACCCAGGCCCTTGGCTCACCAAGTCTAGCCAGCAGTCAGTTGTAGTTTCTCTTTTCTAGAGAGTTTTTCTCTCTCCTCTCCCATGTGAATTTTCCTGGGCCAGTGACCCAATGGGAGTTGGTGGCCCAGGGACCAGGGTGACGCTCTTATGCGCTACTGAGCCCGGTGCTCATTTCTGGGAGCGTTTTTCTCACTCTGTGGATACAGACGTCCAAAAGTCAGATCCCCCTGCCCCTGGGGCCGAGCCTGGCGGGGCCAGGAGAGCCGTGAGGGTTTGTCCACACCCATTCAGTCTGCAGGGGCCTCCTCCATTGCCCCTGCATCCCACCGGCCCTGCAGCCCCAGCTACCGTCTCACTGCTGTCTGGGTCCTGCGGGCTGCCAGGGCCCGGGACAGGGACAAAAACAGCCACACACCTCCCTCCCTCCAGGGCTGATGTGGGCTGGGCCCCTGGAGACAGCTGGGGAAGGGGGAACTGGGGTGAAGAGTGCACAGGGTTGGGGGGCAGGGAATTGCAGGCCCCGGGGGTGGGGGGGCGTGGGTGTTACACAAAGCCAGCCCTGTGTGTACCCTGAATGCGGCTTTATCCTGAGTGCTAACAGACGGACCTGGGCCCTACAGAATCAGGCCAGGCTGCCCCGGCCCTGGACCTGCCTGTCTGGGGAGACAGGAGGTGTGGCCACAGCGACCTGGGTCTGAAGCCTGATCTCTCCTGGCCAGGAACATGCGGGTGTCCCACAGGCGGCCCAGGGCTTGGGGCCTGAGTTCCCAGCAGGCAGGGCCGAAGCCTTCTCGGGGCTTGGGAAAGCCCCACCAAGCCTAGTGGGAGGACGCGCCAGCTCTAGGGTCTTGGACTTCTCGAGGCAATCACTTTTCCCTCTGAGCCCGTGTCTCCTCACCCGTGAAATGGGGATGATAATAAAAACGCCCGTTCTTAGGTGTGCTCAGCCCACAGCATGACCGACTGGATTGGATCATTCTTTGTCATGGGGGACAGTCCTGTCGGTGCAGGACGGTTACCACAGCCCCTGGCCTCCACCCACTCCATGCCAGGAGTACCCCCCAGTTGTGACAACCAAAAATGGCTCCAGACATCGCCACATGTTCCCTGGGTGCAGACGTGGCCCCAGCTGAGAAACACTGGCTCATTAGCAGTGTAGACAATGGCGCGCTGAGCCCTGGGTGCAGATGCGGCCCCAGCTGAGAAACACGGGCTCAGTAGCAGTGTAGACAGTGGCACGCTGAGCCCTGGGTGCAGACGCGGCCCCAGCTGAGAAACACTGGCTCAGTAGCAGTGTAGACAATGGCGCGCTGAGGGTGGCACAGATGCATAAAGTGCCCGAGACGGGGAAGTTCTGGAAAACCTGTTGGGGAAGAAGGAGTGGCAGTGGACACAGGTGTGGGAGTGCTTCTGTGTGGAGAGGCGTCTGCCACTTCACAGACAGTGACATTCCCACCTAGGATGGGCTGCTTTCCTGCCTTGGGGAGAGCGAGGCTGGTGGCAGGAGATGGCTGGGCCCCCCGGGTTTGGAGTGTGCTTGCCTGGGCTGTCTGATGGCCCGAGCGCCTGGCATCGGCTCTGCACGGCCTGTTTTTTCTCCAGTTGCCACCTGACACCTGCCCACCCCGATCCCCCTCCCCCGGCTTTGGTTCCTCGGTCCTGGGAGGAGGAGGAACTGAGTCAGTGGCACTGGGCTTGAACTGGGGCCCCCAGGGAGCCTGGCTAATTGCTTGTTAGTGCCAGGGAGCCCTGGGGAGTCCTCCTTGCCCCCATGCCAGCCGGGGTCTGGGGAGTCACATTCCTGCACACCTTGGGCAGGGTGTCCTGGGCAGGGCGAAGCTGGAGGAGCTTTGGCCCCGGACGCTGCCGGCTGGTGCCCACTCTGCCGTGTCAACTCCAAGGGACCCGGCGTCTTGCCCATTGCTGGGGGCTCTGCTGGCACCGTGCTCGGCCAGCTGCCGAGGCCGCTTCGGCACAGACCCGCTTGAGTCAGCAGAAACTGCCCGGCTCAGGCAGGATCAAAATAACCTTCTTCCTATTCCAGCACTTGAGGGTTTTTCCGCCTTCTAGGGGAAAAACAAATCAAAAACCAAAAAAGAAAAAACAAAAAAACCCAACCTTAGAAAATGCGAATGGCAACATCCGCAGCCATCTGGAATGTGGGTTTTCTGAGGCCTTTTCACCAAGAGGAGGGTCCTGACACCCCCGTCCTGTTGAGCGTGGCGTGTGTTTGTGAGTCCTGGGATGGATGTGTGTGTGTGGGCACGTGTGGTGCGCTGTGTCTGTGTGTGTTTGTGTCTGTTGGGAAGTGTGTGTTGGGATGTTGACTTGGGTGTGGGACTGTTGAGGGGTGTGTGTTGGGGTGTTGATATGTGTGTAGGAGTGTTGGGTCGTGTGTTGGTGTTGACGTGTGTGTAGGAGTGTTGGAGTATGTAGTGTTGTTGACGTGTGTGTAGGAGTGTTGGGGTGTTGTGTGTGGAGGAGTGTTGGGGTGTTGTGTGTGTAGGAGTGTTAGGGGTACGTGTTGGGGTGTTATTTGTGTAGGAGTGTTGGGTCATGTGTTGGTGTTGATGTGTGTGTAGGAGTGTTGGAGTATGTAGTGTTGGGGTGTTGTGTGTGTAGGAGTGTTAGGGGTACGTGTTGGGGTGTTATTTGTGTAGGAGTGTTGGGTCATGTGTTGGTGTTGACGTGTGTGTAGGAGTGTTGGAGTATGTAGCGTTGTTGACGTGTGTGTAGGAGTGTTGGGGTGTTGTGTGTGTAGGAGTGTTGGGGTGTTTTGTGTGTAGGAGTGTTAGGGGTACGTGTTGGGGTGTTATTTGTGTAGGAGTGTTGGGTGTGTGTTGGTGTTGACGTGTACTTAGGAGCGTTGTGTGTGTAGGAGTGTTGGGGCATTTGTGTTGGTGTTGTGTGTGTAGGAGTGTTGGTGTGTTGACATATGTGTAGGAGTGTCAGGTGTGCATAGGTTTGTGTACACACGTTCACATGTAGCTCCTCTTTGTTTAATTCCACAAAGCTTCACTCCCAAACTCAGTGCCAACTTCCTCTCTCCGCACTCAGGGGTCCCCTTCTCCTCCCAACTGCTCCCTCCCTGGGCCCCTAAGAAGGGTCTGTGACCGTCTGCCCGAGCCTTTGCCCAGCGACAGGAGCCAGTGCGCAGGGCTCCCTTTCTGCCAGTCAGCTCACGCTGTGCATCTGCAGAACGGCTCCAGGAGGCTCTGAGAGCAGAGAGCAGGGCCTTCCTCCTGCCTGTCCCGTTACCTCCTTCCGGTCAGTCCCTACAGAGGGGGTGTCTGGGTCCCAGGACACCTTTGAGGTGCTCTCCCAGCCAGCAGTACCCCCTCCTCCGCCGTGAGAGCAGCTTCCCTGCACGTACCCCAGCCCCAGGCATCGCCTGTGACCTTGCCGGGAGAGTGGCGGGGGCTTTCCTGAGTCTGGGTTGCACTCTCGTCCCCCTAGGTGGGTGAAAAAGCTCAAAAGGGCTGAGCCCTGAGCACAGCGACCTGCAGGTGTCCAGGGTCTCACGTGTCCCTCTTTGTCTCCACAGCGGAGCTGGAGTTTGTTCAGATCATCATCATCGTGGTGGTGATGATGGTGATGGTGGTGGTGATCACGTGCCTGCTGAGCCACTACAAGCTGTCTGCACGGTCCTTCATCAGCCGGCACAGCCAGGGGCGGAGGAGAGAAGATGCCCTGTCCTCAGTAAGTGCCCCGCCATCCCATCTGTGGCCTGAGGGTGCGGCAGTGGGACGCCCCTTGTAAAAACTCAGACGGGATCCAATGGCAGCGTTTGCAGGAAACAGATTCAGGGCAGGAAGACAGGGGCTGGGGAGCCCACCTGACAGCAGCTTCCTCCCCTGAAATGGGAGGAAAGCACCCGCCAGGCGGGCCTCAGAGATGCTGGAGGAACGTGGGGAATGAAGAGCTGGGCTGGGAAGAGGCTTCGTGATCCACTCACGCACTCAGCTGACTCTCGAGCAGCCTCGGGTCGCAGGCTCTGTGCAGGGCCTGGGGAGAGGGCAGCACACAGGTCCTTGCTGTCATGGAGCTGACGTTCCAGGAGGGAGATGAGACGCCCAGTGGTGATAGCGCCATGCAGGAGATGCGACCACTGGGACCTGGGGGAGCCTCTGCGAGGAACCCTCGGCTAGGGAGGCAGGGCTGGGCTCACAAGCAGCGCAAGCTGACCCCCGTCTTGACCCACATCTCTCGAGGCTGAGTGGAGACAGACCTAGAGAGATGAGGCTGAAAGCAGGGAGGCACCTGGGGCAGGCAGCACAGGAAGGCATTCTGGGTCCACACAGAGGCCTGACACAACAGGATGGTGGAGACGAGGGGCCGGCATTTGGCTCTTACCCACCGGGGTAGTGGTGGGAAAGGTGCCTGCAGTCCTGCAGCCCTGACCCAGACGGAAGGGAGGTGGCGGCCCTGCCCTCGTGCCCGTGCTATGCTGACATCTGGTCATGTGGTCACAATGCCTTGGAGAGCCATAGAGGCAACAGGACACCAGGTCCCGGGGCCTAAGTTTAATCCCATCTCCACCAGTACTGGCCACGTGCCCTCAGACCTGTCCCTGATCTACAAAATGGGGCTTCAGATCCCCCATTTGTAAAATGGGCTGACAGTCACATCCACCTCCCCAGAGATTCAGGGCTTTAGCACAGAGCACGGGTCTGGTCATTACTGGCTATAAAAGCACTTCCATCCATCCATCCATCCACCTGACAGATCTCTACCCAGCACACACACGGGGTATGCAAAATTCCCCCTGCGTTTGGGAAGTGGCTGTGAGCCAGTCCCAGGGGGTGCTGCTGGTGAGTTGGATGGGCGCAGACAGGAGCAGGTGCACGGATGAAGGAAGCCGAGGGCCGTGGCCAGGAAGTTGGGGCGAGCTGCTCTTGAGGCCGTGCTGTGCAGGACCAGGTGAAGTGGGCGCGGGAGTGTGAGGAGGACAGAGCCCTGCAGGAGGGACCCCGCTCTCCATTACAGTCCTGGGTGTTGATCTCTCAGAGTTGTGAGCATTGGTGGGTGTTCTGGAAACCCCAAGAATTTCCCTTTCGAATCTCCACAAAGTCAGGGGCAAACAGGGCAGATCTGGGTCGGTGGGAACTTGCCCGCCTCTGACGGTGAACTCCCGGCTCCATGTCGGCCGCCTGAAGCCCGGCTGTTCGGTATCCTTCAGCAGGTGGACCAAAGGGCGGCACAGAGTTAATCTCTTAATGGCTTCCATCTCTGCACCCAGGATGTGTAACTCAACCACGTGGGGCAGGAAGCGGCTGTTTAAAGAGCAGGCTGGGAACTGTGGGGAGGAGGTGGCACGTGGCCAGCCCTGGGGCTGCGGCACGTCTCTGAGCCGGGGCTCACCAGGTGTGGGGAGGACTCACAGAACAGGCAGCACTGAGTGTGGCCTCCCCACTTCTGGGGACGCCTGGGGTTGGTGGTGGCGCCCAGAGTCCCTGGGCTGAGCCAAGTCAGCTGAGAAGCCTGTTGGCCACAGTCCCTAGCCGGAAGGCCTGTCCCTGGCAGGTCTGGACACCTCTGCTTGCATCAGGCCCCAGCCTCAGTGCGTCACCAGGTTGCCAGGGCAAGGAGCATCAGCCCTGGGACCTCTGATGGGAATGCCTGGCCCACAGACCCGGGGCCCACTGTGCGTCCCAGCACGCTGTCCGGAGGGCGTGCTGCAGACCTGCTGCTCTCAAGCCCCGACGTGTTTATTTGCTGTTGCTACCACTCCAGCAACAAGCACTGGTTACGTCTGCCCAGGGATGCCATCAGGGACTTCAGGGGTTCACCCCACTTTCCAGAGGAGAAACTGGGGATGAGAGAGGTGGAACATTTGCCGGAGGCCACACTGCTTGTCACTGCCGGTGTGAAGAGCCCACAGCCTATTCCGTCCTCCCTCAAGTGCTGGGGAGAGTGACGGTGCCTGGACATTCCAGAAGGCACCAGCCCTGGAGGGGCACTAACTCCAGGCTGGACTCACCTTGCCCCTCGGAGCCTCAGTGTGTGCATCTCCACAGTGGGTTGAAGCTAGGCCTGTGCGGCCCGTGGTCATGGGGAGGATGCAGTTAGTGGAGAGTGTACCGTACCCAGAGGCCGACTGCAGGGGCTTCACTGTTGTGGAGCAGGAGACGGCACCTGGGATCCTGCTGCCAGGAAGGGGTAGGATTCCGTCACACCTTCGGCCAATAGAAAGTCTCCTCCCACTGTCTACCCAGCCGCCTGCACAGCCGCCCGGGATGCCTGGCTGGGTAAACGTGGAGCCTCACTAGGCCTAAAGCAGAATGTGGCAGCTCCCCTGGGGACCCCCTGCCAGACAGGAGTCCCTGGGCCCCGCGGCCTTCCATAGAGATCCACATACAGCTCTTATCTGTCCCGGGCCCAGTCTACATCCCCCCAGCCCATCCATGCTCTGCCCCTGGCATGGCTATCCGACCATGGCCCCTTTTCAGGGTGACCCTGGGGGTCCCCTCTTGCCTGTATGGAGACAAGAGCTCGTGCCTCACCCACCTGCCTCACCATCTCAGGTAAGACCCTGAGCTCTGAGGTCTTTTCTCGGCCTTGTCACCTCCTTGTTGTGTGACACTGGGCAAGGATCTGCCCTCTGAGGGTGAGGCTCCAGTGCAGGCAAGCCCCTCGACCAGGGATGGCACTTCCACCCTGGCGCTGCTCCGAGGGTATTCGGGACATGATGCAGAACGTCACTGCAGTGACCGCCCAGCCACGGAGTGGCGCAGACTTCAGGTTTACCCAGAAAGGCAATCCCAGTCTTTGTGCCCAAGGCCTGCTCAGACTAGGAACTCAGGCCTTGGATGGGGTGACCCTTTGTCCTCTTTATCCCCCAATCAGTCCTCAGTGTGGGTCTCCTGCTCCCGAGAGAACCCAGCCCACCAAGGGCCCATTTCCCAGGGGCAGGGACAAGACTGTGGCCAGGCCAATGTGCGACAATCTGCCAGCAGCGGGAGCCAAAGACCTAGCGTCCACTCCCATGGCCTCAGGAGATACCGAATTCCCCCAGGCCCCTTGTGCTGGGCTGTGGGGGAATTCAGTATCTCCTGAGGACATGGGAGGTACCGAATTTTTTAGGAACATCTCTTTATTCTTTAGAAACATCTCTGAGTCCTCGAAGTTTGATAGAAGGCCATCCCGTCCCCTTGGATGTTCCTGGGGACTCCAGGGGAAGAATGGGCAGCTACGTTCTGGCCTCGTGGTGTTAAGACTCTGGAGGGGTCTGGGAGGAGCTGCCTGAGCGTCAGCTCACTGCGGCTGCCTGGTTTTGTCAATGAGGTCTTTTCTGAGTGTGAATGAAGTGTTTTCGAGTGCGTTTTGCCCATAGCTGCGCTTGGCTGTAGCAGCAGGGTTCAGTGGTATGACAGAGACCCGCCGGCCCACAAACCAGAAAATATTTTACTCTCTGGCTCTTTATGGAAACAGTTTTCAGACCCTTGGTCTAGAAGCATCTAAATGGGGAAGGCGCAGGTGGACTGGGTGCGCCCACTTCAAAGAAGAGGAGTCCACCCCGAGCCCTGGGAGTCTGGGAGTGGTTGGAGGCTGCTGGGAGCAGGGGGCTCGTCAGCAGTGGCTGTAGGATTGGAACCTGTCCTTGTCCTCCACCTGGGGTGACTGGCAGACATAGCCAGAGGCTGGGGAAGGTTCCAGACAATTCTGAAGCTGGGCCCACCTCCCCCGACTTCTCAAGCCACTTTGGAACCTAATTCCACAAAGATGACTTGCACGGGTCACCCAGCAACTTCCGCACTTAAGTAGCAACCTGAGCACTCCCTGACTGCATAGCACGCCGGCGCCTGGCACTGGGGAAACGGTAGCAGCTCCTGCAGGGCGAGTGAGACCCCTGAATAGGCCACCGGGGGCAGAGGGACAAAGGCTGTGGTGCAGGAGGGGACTGGAGGAGATGGGAGGAGGTGCCTGACCCGCCTGGGGGGCTAACGGAGAGCTCTGGGGTTAGCACACCTGGGCAGAGGCTTGAGGGGCCAGTCAAAGTTCTTCAGGAAAGGGAGGAAAGAGGGGCCATTGGTCCAGACCCAGGATGGGCTCAGATCCAAAGGCAAGACGTGAGAGTCTGTGTTCACTGGGCACCTTGCAGAACACACTGTATGGTGCATTGCAGGCGCTGTCATCAGCCCGCTATACAGATAGGAAAACCCGTTAAAGGAAACAGCTATACTACGGCCGTGGACATCTAGGGGGTATGGGCCTCGGTAAGGGGTTGGAACTTTCTCTCCTGGAGGCAGCGGGGGGCCCAGACGGTTTAAGCAGAGGAGTGGCAGGGTGTGGGGTGGGGGGCATGAGGGAGATGTTCCCACTTCTGTGAGGAGGAAGGGCCCTGGGGAAGGGCAAGAGTGGAGGAGACCCTGGGAGACCCCTCAAGGACCTCAAAGACCAGCGGCACTCGCAGCCTCTGGGAGATGGTGAGACACGCAGGCTCGCCAGCCCTCCTGCTACAGAATCTGCATTTTTGCAGGCTGCAGATGGACTGTCTGCACATGGAGGCCCTGGTTCCATAGGACTTTGCTGTCCACTAGGCACAGATGCTGGGGAGAGAGGTGGATAGAACTGTCTAATAGAAGGAGAAGTGAGAGGGGATCAAGGGTGGGTGGAACAAGGGTGGTGGGGAGAGGAGCTGTCAGGAATGATCCTGTGGATCTGGCTTTGCAACTTGAAGAATATCAGAGCCATTCGCTAAATCAGGAGACGAGGCAGTTAAGACCTCCTTAAGGGGTAGGAGCGGTCCTGACGGGACAGTTTTGAGGGGCCACAGAGCCTCCTAGTGGCCATATGGGAAATTACCACCCTCTGGCCGTTCCTACCCAGGCTGCAGGTGAGCGGTATCCTACCTGGGAACCCTCAAAAAACCTGCCCCAAGGGAACGTTTGAGGTGATGGACATACTCATTATCTTGATTGTGGTGAGAGGTTCTTGGTATAAATATATGCCCGAACCAAATTGTATGCTTTGAATATGTCCATTTATTTGCATATCAGTTATATTTCAATGAAGCTATAAAAGTAACAGACATCCCTTTCCCCGGGCCCAGGGCTCACCGTCATGGCATTTGGGGAAACTCAGAGGAACTGGTCCTGGCATGGGGTCTCATTTTCCTCAGAGCAGATGGCATAAGCTTCATGAAGTGGCAGCTGTGCCCCTGCACCCAGACCAGAGCTTGGCGCCACAGTGGAACCACACACCTCCTTTGCCAGAGGCTGAATCACTGTTTTATGGCAGAGCAGCCGCCTTGGGCACTTTCCTCAACTCTCCTGTTTTTCACCTGTGAACTGGGACATCAGTAATGATGGGCTCACTAGATCAAGGGAGAGAAAGACTGTAAAGAAATAAATGCATAGAAGCAATGATTAAGTTAGGACAGGTGCTGGAAAGGGAATCAACAGATGACAAGGTTCACGGGAGAGGCCCTTCAGATGCTGGTCTCCAAGGGTCTGCAGGGGACGCTGGAACTGAAAGTGGACAGCAGCGGGCCGTGCAGCCTGGCCTGCCGTGTAAAGGACCTGGGGCTCGGGCTGAGCTTGTTGAGGCCCCAGGGGGCTGGTCAGCATGGCTGGTGGGAGTGTGGAGGTGACACCCAGCACATTCACATGCTACCTGAGTGCCACGTGGGCTCCGGGTGGTTTTTACATTCAAATTCAGCAAGTGCTTGAGCAACTATGAGGCAAGTACTGTAATCTCAAGAACTGTAATTCAGGTACAGAAACTGCAGCGTTGAAATTAAGTAACTTGACGCAGGTCACACAGCCAGCAGGGGGCCCAGGCCCAGGGGAGTGGGGCCAGGGGTGAGGGGCTGAGGCCATGTTCAGCCTGGTGAGAAGCCACTGAGGCCCACGGGAAGCTACAGGCAGCTTTGAGAAGGGGGCCCCACAAGTGGGTGTATGTTTTGGAAAGTGTCAGGCTGGATTTTCAGGGGACAGCAGAGGGCACCTCAGGGATCAGTGAGGAGGTGATTGCGCTCACGTCCTGGAAAAGCGCCCAGGGCCAGGGGCTGGGGAAGCTGGTTCCGATGCAGAGAGGTGGGCGGGTTCAAGAGCTGATTCCAGGGTAAAGGCCTAAGAGTCGAATCTGGGTTGAGCCTTTGCTGTCCCTCCTGCCCACCCCACTGACCCTGCTTGTACGTTTCTTCCTGTGCAGGAAGGATGCCTGTGGCCCTCGGAGAGCACAGTGTCAGGCAACGGAATCCCAGAGGTGAGACCTCCCTCGGCCTCCCCTCCAACACCCCCATCCCACCCTGGGCTGCTCCCGCTGCGGCTGGAACAGTGTGGGCTGCTAAAGGCTCACCCCTCCGCCCTCCTCTGCAGTGCCCTTGCTGCTGGGATCCTCCTTGCCGGAGATCATCTGCTCCCTGCCCCTGAGGGAGCAGCCCAGCTCTCTGCTCTCTGCACACGGGAGCACGGACGCTGCCACTGTTTGGAGGAGGGCGGTGCAGCTCTGCAGTGCTGCCCCCCAGGCCAGGGCCCCCGCGGGATCAGGCTCTGGGCTCCCGCCCCCGCCAGCCCTGCTGCCCTCTCCCTTTCCCCAGAGAGCCAAGTCCCATGCAGCAGAACTCCAGTCTCAGGATCGCTTCTGGACAACCCACCTGAGACAGCCGCCCTCCCTCACTCCCGCTCTGCTTCCTCCAGCCGCAGGTCTACGCCCCGCCTCGGCCCACCGACCGCCTGGCCGTGCCGCCCTTCGCCCAGCGGGAGCGCTTCCACCGCTTCCAGCCCACCTATCCGTACCTGCAGCACGAGATCGACCTGCCACCCACCATCTCGCTGTCAGACGGGGAGGAGCCCCCACCCTACCAGGGCCCCTGCACCCTCCAGCTTCGGGACCCCGAGCAGCAGCTGGAACTGAACCGGGAGTCGGTGCGCGCACCCCCAAACAGAACCATCTTCGACAGTGACCTGATGGATAGTGCCAGGCTGGGCGGCCCCTGCCCCCCCAGCAGTAACTCGGGCATCAGCGCCACGTGCTACGGCAGCGGCGGGCGCATGGAGGGGCCGCCGCCCACCTACAGCGAGGTCATCGGCCACTACCCGGGGTCCTCCTTCCAGCACCAGCAGAGCAGTGGGCCGCCCTCCTTGCTGGAGGGGACCCGGCTCCACCACACACACATCGCGCCCCTAGAGAGCGCAGCCATCTGGAGCAAAGAGAAGGATAAACAGAAAGGACACCCTCTCTAGGGTCCCCAGGGGGGCCGGGCTGGGGCTGCGTAGGTGAAAAGGCAGAACACTCCGCGCTTCTTAGAAGAGGAGTGAGAGGAAGGCGGGGGGCGCAGCAACGCATCGTGTGGCCCTCCCCTCCCACCTCCCTGTGTATAAATATTTACATGTGATGTCTGGTCTGAATGCACAAGCTAAGAGAGCTTGCAAAAAAAAAAAGAAAAAAGAAAAAAAAAAACCACGTTTCTTTGTTGAGCTGTGTCTTGAAGGCAAAAGAAAAAAAATTTCTACAGTAGTCTTTCTTGTTTCTAGTTGAGCTGCGTGCGTGAATGCTTATTTTCTTTTGTTTATGATAATTTCACTTAACTTTAAAGACATATTTGCACAAAACCTTTGTTTAAAGATCTGCAATATTATATATATAAATATATATAAGATAAGAGAAACTGTATGTGCGAGGGCAGGAGTATTTTTGTATTAGAAGAGGCCTATTAAAAAAAAAAGTTGTTTTCTGAACTAGAAGAGGAAAAAAATGGCAATTTTTGAGTGCCAAGTCAGAAAGTGTGTATTACCTTGTAAAGAAAAAAATTACAAAGCAGGGGTTTAGAGTTATTTATATAAATGTTGAGATTTTGCACTATTTTTTAATATAAATATGTCAGTGCTTGCTTGATGGAAACTTCTCTTGTGTCTGTTGAGACTTTAAGGGAGAAATGTCGGAATTTCAGAGTCGCCTGACGGCAGAGGGTGAGCCCCCGTGGAGTCTGCAGAGAGGCCTTGGCCAGGAGCGGCGGGCTTTCCCGAGGGGCCACTGTCCCTGCAGAGTGGATGCTTCTGCCTAGTGACAGGTTATCACCACGTTATATATTCCCTACCGAAGGAGACACCTTTTCCCCCCTGACCCAGAACAGCCTTTAAATCACAAGCAAAATAGGAAAGTTAACCACGGAGGCACCGAGTTCCAGGTAGTGGTTTTGCCTTTCCCAAAAATGAAAATAAACTGTTACCGAAGGAATTAGTTTTTCCTCTTCTTTTTTCCAACTGTGAAGGTCCCCGTGGGGTGGAGCATGGTGCCCCTCACAAGCCGCAGCGGCTGGTGCCCGGGCTACCAGGGACATGCCAGAGGGCTCGATGACTTGTCTCTGCAGGGCGCTTTGGTGGTTGTTCAGCTGGCTAAAGGTTCACCGGTGAAGGCAGGTGCGGTAACTGCCGCACTGGACCCTAGGAAGCCCCAGGTATTCGCAATCTGACCTCCTCCTGTCTGTTTCCCTTCACGGATCAATTCTCACTTAAGAGGCCAATAAACAACCCAACATGAAAAGGTGACAAGCCTGGGTTTCTCCCAGGATAGGTGAAAGGGTTAAAATGAGTAAAGCAGTTGAGCAAACACCAACCCGAGCTTCGGGCGCAGAATTCTTCACCTTCTCTTCCCCTTTCCATCTCCTTTCCCCGCGGAAACAACGCTTCCCTTCTGGTGTGTCTGTTGATCTGTGTTTTCATTTACATCTCTCTTAGACTCCGCTCTTGTTCTCCAGGTTTTCACCAGATAGATTTGGGGTTGGCGGGACCTGCTGGTGACGTGCAGGTGAAGGACAGGAAGGGGCATGTGAGCGTAAATAGAGGTGACCAGAGGAGAGCATGAGGGGTGGGGCTTTGGGACCCACCGGGGCCAGTGGCTGGAGCTTGACGTCTTTCCTCCCCATGGGGGTGGGAGGGCCCCCAGCTGGAAGAGCAGACTCCCAGCTGCTACCCCCTCCCTTCCCATGGGAGTGGCTTTCCATTTTGGGCAGAATGCTGACTAGTAGACTAACATAAAAGATATAAAAGGCAATAACTATTGTTTGTGAGCAACTTTTTTATAACTTCCAAAACAAAAACCTGAGCACAGTTTTGAAGTTCTAGCCACTCGAGCTCATGCATGTGAAACGTGTGCTTTACGAAGGTGGCAGCTGACAGACGTGGGCTCTGCATGCCGCCAGCCTAGTAGAAAGTTCTCGTTCATTGGCAACAGCAGAACCTGCCTCTCCGTGAAGTCGTCAGCCTAAAATTTGTTTCTCTCTTGAAGAGGATTCTTTGAAAAGGTCCTGCAGAGAAATCAGTACAGGTTATCCCGAAAGGTACAAGGACGCACTTGTAAAGATGATTAAAACGTATCTTTCCTTTATGTGACGCGTCTCTAGTGCCTTACTGAAGAAGCAGTGACACTCCCGTCGCTCGGTGAGGACGTTCCCGGACAGTGCCTCACTCACCTGGGACTGGTATCCCCTCCCAGGGTCCACCAAGGGCTCCTGCTTTTCAGACACCCCATCATCCTCGCGCGTCCTCACCCTGTCTCTACCAGGGAGGTGCCTAGCTTGGTGAGGTTACTCCTGCTCCTCCAACCTTTTTTTGCCAAGGTTTGTACACGACTCCCATCTAGGCTGAAAACCTAGAAGTGGACCTTGTGTGTGTGCATGGTGTCAGCCCAAAGCCAGGCTGAGACAGTCCTCATATCCTCTTGAGCCAAACTGTTTGGGTCTCGTTGCTTCATGGTATGGTCTGGATTTGTGGGAATGGCTTTGCGTGAGAAAGGGGAGGAGAGTGGTTGCTGCCCTCAGCCGGCTTGAGGACAGAGCCTGTCCCTCTCATGACAACTCAGTGTTGAAGCCCAGTGTCCTCAGCTTCATGTCCAGTGGATGGCAGAAGTTCATGGGGTAGTGGCCTCTCAAAGGCTGGGCGCATCCCAAGACAGCCAGCAGGTTGTCTCTGGAAACGACCAGAGTTAAGCTCTCGGCTTCTCTGCTGAGGGTGCACCCTTTCCTCTAGATGGTAGTTGTCACGTTATCTTTGAAAACTCTTGGACTGCTCCTGAGGAGGCCCTCTTTTCCAGTAGGAAGTTAGATGGGGGTTCTCAGAAGTGGCTGATTGGAAGGGGACAAGCTTCGTTTCAGGGGTCTGCCGTTCCATCCTGGTTCAGAGAAGGCCGAGCGTGGCTTTCTCTAGCCTTGTCACTGTCTCCCTGCCTGTCAATCACCACCTTTCCTCCAGAGGAGGAAAATTATCTCCCCTGCAAAGCCCGGTTCTACACAGATTTCACAAATTGTGCTAAGAACCGTCCGTGTTCTCAGAAAGCCCAGTGTTTTTGCAAAGAATGAAAAGGGACCCCATATGTAGCAAAAATCAGGGCTGGGGGAGAGCCGGGTTCATTCCCTGTCCTCATTGGTCGTCCCTATGAATTGTACGTTTCAGAGAAATTTTTTTTCCTATGTGCAACACGAAGCTTCCAGAACCATAAAATATCCCGTCGATAAGGAAAGAAAATGTCGTTGTTGTTGTTTTTCTGGAAACTGCTTGAAATCTTGCTGTACTATAGAGCTCAGAAGGACACAGCCCGTCCTCCCCTGCCTGCCTGATTCCATGGCTGTTGTGCTGATTCCAATGCTTTCACGTTGGTTCCTGGCGTGGGAACTGCTCTCCTTTGCAGCCCCATTTCCCAAGCTCTGTTCAAGTTAAACTTATGTAAGCTTTCCGTGGCATGCGGGGCGCGCACCCACGTCCCCGCTGCGTAAGACTCTGTATTTGGATGCCAATCCACAGGCCTGAAGAAACTGCTTGTTGTGTATCAGTAATCATTAGTGGCAATGATGACATTCTGAAAAGCTGCAATACTTATACAATAAATTTTACAATTCTTTGGAATGAGGCTTTTTCACTTCTTTGGCCAAATGTAGCTCTTCTCACTTCCCACCCCTTTCTACAATAACCCCGGGTGCATTCAAGGGAGGCGAAGCGATCCCTCGGAGCTGCTGGGCAACCTTGAACAGTTCGTTCAAACTTTCTGTTTTATTAGTTCAGGCAGCATTCAGGGAGCCCAGTGAAAACACTAGCTCAGGCAGGTTCTGGTAAAGGGGGTGGTCGTTGTTAAACAATTTTGCAAAACACTGCATACTTTTCCTCCGTCGGGAAATCATTATTCACCATAGCATGACGAAAGCTCTGATAAGGTCTGCAAGGAAAAAAGAAACTGTCTTAGGTAGGGTTCTTCCAGAAGTAACCCCAAGACGTGGCCTTGTGTGTAAGGGATTAGGACGTTTTAAGGATGTGCTCCCAGGGGGCTTCCGCTAAGGGAGTCAGGGAAGAGGATCAAGGAGGGGGAGAACCTGAGCAAGGGAGACACTTGTGGACAGAGTTCCAGCCTCAGCTTGATCCCAAGAGGACCTGTGGGGGCTCTGGACCCTGGAAAGGTAGAGTCCCAGACCCCTCTGGCTCCTGGTGCACAAGATGGAGGAGTGAGTCTCAGAAGCTGCAGAACTGTCCTCCCAGAAGCCAGCCACTAGCAATGCTCATGGAGACAGGGGGAGGGCTGTACAGACTCCCTAAAGGGTTCCAGTGGGACCTGGGGGCACCTGCAGCACCCACTACAGACCCTGTCTCATTTATTTTACTACACTTGGCCCTTGAACAACGAGGGGTTCAAGGCACGCTGAACCCCCTTGCTGTCAAAAATCCATGCGTTACTTGTAAATAAAATTTTTTTAGAGATGGGGATCTCGCCTTGTCACCTAGGCTGGAGTACAGTGGTATGATCATAGCTCACTGCAGCCTTGACCTCCCTCGAGGCTCACAAGGCCCTGCAGAGCCTTCCCATTCTCTCTGGCATCTCCCAGATGTTCCAGCAACATGCACCGGTTTCTCCCCCCACACACCCCATTTTCTCCCTGTGGCTATGCTCACTGCTGCCCCTTCTGCCTGGGATCCCCTTCTCTCAAAGCCCACATTGCCCTGACATCATTCAGACCCAGACCCAGTTCTGATAGCACCTTCTCCAGAAAGCCTCCCAGGATGCCCCCAGCTTCTCTGTGCCGGCTCTACTGAGGCAGTCACTGCACTGCTTGTGGCGTTCATGGCTCCTCCCCAAGGTCACTGCACTGCCTGAGGTCAGGGCCAGACTCACGTCCATTGTCCATGGGGGATAAACACGTGCTCCCAGGAGGGACCAGGCCTGCACTCCACAACTGCTTCCATTCTCACAACACCCCATTCTTCAGACATGGAAACCGAGGCAGAGAAGTCAGCCGGCCTTCTGTGTCACTGGCTTGGAAGAGTTGGGATGCTCTATCCCACCCACGCTGTTTCCTCATCCAATTTCCTCAAAATCTTCCCATGGATGGACAGTCAGATATGAGTAGACAGATGTGCACCATCCAGCTGCCTGTCCACCCCTGGCCTCCCCCACCCACCCCAGTGCAGCCAGTAGGAAACAGGGGAGGAGTGGGCACAGGAGCTGGCACACTTGTATCTGTCTGGGGGCTTCTGGCTGCAAGTAACAAAAAATAAGCAAACAGGGATTTCAGTGACTAGGAAATGCATTATTTCGATAGCAAGATGCTCTAAGGAGTGTCAGGGCCCTGCTGGGCTCCTGGGCTGTTTGTGTCGTCCCTCTAGACCAGGGGTCACCAAACATTGGCCCATACACCAAATCCCCAGCTGCCTGTTTTTGTAAATAAAGCTTTATTGGAAAACAGCCACACCAGTTTAGTTACAGGTCACCTATGGCTGCTTTTGTGCTGCAATGGTAGAGTTGAGTAATTGCCACAAAGGCCATACGATGTACAAAGCCTAAAATGTTTAGAATCTGACCCTTTGCCAAAGTTTTCTGATCTCTGCTGTATTCGTTTGTTTTCACACTGCTGATAAAGACATTCCAGAGACTGGGCAATTTACAAAAGAAAGAGGTTTATTAGACTTGCAGTTCCAGGTGGCTGGGGAGGCCTCACAATCATGGCAGAAGCTGAAAGGCACATCTCACATGGCAGCAGACAAGAGAAGAGAGCTTGTGCAGCAAAACTTCCATTTTTAAAACCATCAGATCTTGTAAGACTTATTCACTATCACAAGAACAGCATGGGAAAGACGCATCCCCGTGATTCAATTTCCTCCCACCAGATTCCTCCCATGACATGTAGTAATTGTGGGAGATACAATTCAAGAGGAGATTTGGGTGGGTACACAGCCAAACCTTACCATTCCACCCCTGAACCCTCCCAAATCTCATATCCATTTTTACATTTCAAAACAAAACATGCCTTCCCAACAGTCCCCCAAATTCTTAACTCATTTCAGCATTAACTCAAAAGTCGACAGTCCAAAGTCTCATCAAAGACAAGGCAAGCCCCTTCTGCCTATGAGCCTATAACATCAAAAGCAAGTTAGTTACTTCCTAGATACAACGGGGGTACAGGCATTAGATAAATACAGCTGTTCCAAATGGGAGAAATTGATCTAAACAAAGGGGCTACAGGCCTCATGCAAGTACAAAATCCAGCAGAGCAGTCAAATCCTAAAGCTCCAAAATGATCTCCTTTGACTCCATGTCTCACATCCAGGTCATGCTGATGCAAGAGGTGGGCTCCCACCGCCTTGGGCAGCTGCACCCCTGTGGCTTTGCAGGGTACAGCCTCCTTCCCAGCTGCTTTCATGGGCAGGCTGGTGTTGAGTGGCTTTTCTAGGTGCACAGTGCAAGCTGTCAGTGGATCGACCATTCTCAGTTCTGGAGGATGGTGGCCCTCTTCTCGCAGCTCCACTAGGCAGTACCCTAATAGGGACTCTGTGTGAGGGCTCTGACCCCACATTTCCCTTCTGCACTGCCCTAGCAGAGGCTCTCCATAAGTGCCCCACCCCTGCAGCAAACTTCTGCCTGGACATCTAGGCATTTCCATAGATCCTCTGAAATCTCAATTCTTGACTTCTGTACACCCACAGGCTCAACACCCTGTGGAAGCTGCCAAAGCCTGGGACTTCCACCCTCTGAAGCAACAGCCCGACCTGTACCTTGTCCCCTTTTAGTCACGGCTGGAGCAGCTGGGATGCAGGGCACCAAGTCCCTAGACTGCACCCAACAGAGGGACCCTGGGGCTGGCCCACTAAACTATTTTTTCCTCTTAAGCCTCTGGGCCTATAATGGGAAGGGCTGCCATCACCATTGCCTTGGTGATTAACATTCAGCTCCTCATTACTTATGCCAATTCTGTGGCCAGCTTGAATTTGTCCTCAGAAAATGGGGTTTTCCTTTATATCGCATTGTCAGGCTGCAAATTTTCCAAACTTTTATGCTTTGTTTCCCTTTTAAAACTGAATGCCTTTAACAGCACCCAAGTCACCTCTTGACTGCTTTGCTGCTTAGAAATTTCTTCTGCCAGATACCCTAAATCATCTCTCTCAAGTTCAAAGTTCCACAAATCTCTAGGGCAGGAGCAAAATGCTGCTAGTCTCTTTGCTAAAACATAACAAGAGTCACCTTTGCTTCACCTCCCAGCAGGTTCCTTATCTCCATCTGTGACCACCTCAGCCTGGACTTTATTGTCCATATCACTATCAGCATTTTGGACAAAGCCATTCAACAAGTCTCTAGGACATTCCAAACTCTAGGTGTTCATGCTATTATGGGTTCCATTGTTTCTAGACCCTTTCAGCTGACTTAGCAAGGAAATATATGTGTGTATAGTAGCCCATATTTATACATATATTTATCAATATTTTATATTTATAAATATTTATATTTATATATACATATACATATATTTATAAATATTTGTATATGTAACCATCTGTATTTAAATTAAACTAAACATGAATTCATACTGCTATCTCCAATCCTAATCTGTCACCGCATGAATTATTCTAGCCTTCTCCCCTTACTTATCTGCAATCTCTCACCCCAGCAGTGAGAAACATGGGTCCCATCACTCATCATCCATTTATTTAATTATCCAGTTCCTGTGTACTTAGGTAGCAGTATCAGAATTGTTAACTGGTATCCTCATAGGAAATAATTTTATCAACTAGCATCCAGTTTTTATGTACAGTTTCTTTTGTCTTTAGTCTTACAGACTCCACTCATTTCCAAAGTTACTTGGGTTAGCACCCTTTCCCTTTCGGTGAGGTTGTTCCCTACATTTGTAATGCAGTTAGATTGTTCGGTCACATTCTGCATTTCACCCTGAGATTCCCTCAACCTCCTAATCTTTAAAAAAATTACATACATTAAGGTTCATTCTTTGTTCTGCAAAGTTCTATGGATTTTGACAAGTGCATAGTGTCATAAATCTACCATTAAGGTATCATTGATGTACGGCAGGCAAACCCCAAAGTGGGGCTTAGCCTGCAAGGGTTCTTGGCTTCACCCAGGAAAGAATCCAAAGGTGAGTCAGTGGTAGGGTAGATGAAAACAGCTTTTTTGAAGCAGCATTATTAGAGTTCTAAAAGTGTTACAGCCCCATGACTGCTCCTGCAGAGCAGGGCCACCCTGTAGGCAGTGTGCTGAAAGTAGCAGCTCAGGGCAGTTCTGCAATCGTACTTATACCTACTTTTAGTTACGTGTAGACTAAGGGGTGGTTTACACAGAAATCTCTAGGAAAAGGGTGGTAACTTTTGGGTTGTTAGGTCATTGTCATGGAAAGGGGCAGTAACTCCCAGGTGTTGCCACGGTAATGGCAAACTGACATGGCACACTGGTGGTGTGTCTCATGGAAAGCTGCTTCCACCCCATCCCTGTTTTAGCTAGTCCTCAGGTTGGCCTAGTGTCTGAGCCCCACTTCTGGAGTCAAGTCCTGCCTCCTACCTCATCATTATGGAATAGTTTCACTGGCCTAAACATCTCCCATTTTTCACCTAATGAATCTCTTCTCCCCTTTACCATCCCCCCAATCCCCTGGCAACCATTTATCTTTGTACTATTACTATAATTTTGCCTTTTACAGAATGTCAAGTAATTGAAGCATACAATATGTAACATTTTCAGACTAGCTTCTTTCACTTAGCAGTATTCATTTACAATTCATCCATGTCTTTTTGTGCCTTGGTAGCTCATTTGCTTTCATTGCTGATAGTATTCTATTGTATCAATATACCATGTTCTGTTTATCTATTCCCCTACTGAAGGACATTTTTGTTGTTTCATAATCACTAGTTTGCAATTCCAAACAGAGTTGCTAAAATGTTCATATGCAGGCTTTTTTTGTGGTCATAAGTTTCAGATCCTCTGGGTAATACCTAGTACCACAATTGCTGGATTACATAGTAAGACTATGTTTGCCTTGTCTGAAGCTACCAAACCATCTTCCAAAGTAGCTGTACCATTTTGCATTCTCACCAGCAAGAATGAGAACGCCTGTTGCTCCATATTTTTGCCAGCATTGGTATAGTCAGGTTTTCTTTTTATTTTAGTTATTTTAATAGATGTGTGATGATAACTTATTGTTTTTTAATTTGAAATTCCCTAGTGGCAAATGATTTTGAGCATCTTTTCATATGCTTATTTGCCATCTGTATATCTTCTGTGTTGAGGTATCTGTTCAGATCTTTGGCCCATTTTTAAATGGGGTTGTTTGTTTCCTTATTGTTGAGTTTCACAAGTTCTTTGTATATTTTTGATACAAGTCCTTTATCTGATGTGTGTTTTGTAAATATTTTCTCCCAATCTGTGGCTTGTCTTTTTATTCTCTTAACATTGTCTTTCACCGATCAGGATTTTTTATCCTAATAAAGTCCAATTTATCAATAATTATCAATTTTTTCTTTCATGGATCATGCTTTTCGGGTTATATCTGATAGCTCACCACCAAGCCAAAGGTCACCTAGATTTTCTACCCATATTTCTTTCTCAAGGTTTTATGGTTTTGTGTTTTAGGTCCAGGATCCATTTTGAGTGAATTTTTGGGAAAGCGTAAGCATTGCGTCTAGGTTGATGTTTTTGCACATGATATTCAAGTGTTCCAATTGTTAAAATTGTTAAAAGGACCAATTGTTAAAAAGGACTTTCCTCTCTACATTGAATTTCCTTTGCTCCTTCATCAAAGATCAATTGACTATATTTGTGTAGTCTCTTTCTGGACCTCTATTCTGTTCCACTAATCAATTTGTCCACTTTTTTGCCAATACCATGCTATCTTGATGGATACAGCTTTATAGTAAGTCTTCAGATAAGTTAGTGTGAGCCCTCCGACTTTTTTCTTTTCTTCATTATTGTCTTGGCTATTTTAGATATTTTGCCTTTCAATATACAATTTTGAATCAG
The DNA here is from genome assembly GCF_000001405.40 of Homo sapiens. Lineage (NCBI taxonomy): Eukaryota > Metazoa > Chordata > Mammalia > Primates > Hominidae > Homo > Homo sapiens. Next base: position 57,642,019 of record NC_000020.11, on the reverse strand, counting down.
TTTGTCAATATCTACAAAATAGTTTGCTAGGATTTTTATTGGGATTGTATTGACTCTATGAATCAGGTTGGGAAAAATTGACTCATTAATAATATTGAATCTTCCAATTCATGAGCACAGACTATCCATTTATTTAGATCTGTTGTTTCTTTTATTAGGATTTTGTAGTTTTAGACATATAGATCTTATATATTGCTAGATTTATACCTAAGTATTTCATTTTTGGTTGGTGCTGTTTTGAGTGATATTTTTAACTTCAAATTTTAATTGTTCATTGCTGGTATATAGGAAAGTAATTAGCTTTTGTATTAACCTGATACCCGAAGACATTGTTATTATTACTTATTAGTTGCAGGTACTTTTTGTTGTTGTTGTTGATTCTTTAGGATTTTCTATGTAGACAATAATGTCATCTATGAACAAAAACAGTTTTATTTATTTCTTCTGTATCTGTACACATTTTATTTCCTTTTATTGTCTTATTGTCCTAGGTAGTTACCGAGGCCTTTCAGTACAATGTTGAACAATACTGAACAGAACTAGTGAGAAGGTTATCCTTGCCTTCTTCCTAATTTTAGCAGGGAAGCTATCCAGCTTCTCACCATTAAGTATACTGTTAATGGTAAGTTCTTTGTATAGCTGCTCTTTATTAAGCTGAAGCAGTTCTCCTCTTGTCTCAGTTGACTTGGGCTGCTATGACATTAATGCCATAGACTAGGTGGCTTAAAAACAACACAACTGTATTTCTTACAGTTCTGGAGGCTGGAAAGCCCAAGATCAAAGCCATGGTAGATTCAGTGTCTGGGGAGGGCTTCCTGGTACATAGACAGCTGTCGTTTTGCTGGGAACTCATATGGTGGAAGGAGTGAGAGATCTCTCTGAAATCTTTTTTTATAAGGGCACTAATCCCAATCATGAAAGCTCTTTCCTCCTGCGCCCATCTTATGCCATCACCTTAAGAGTTAAGATTTCTACATATACATTTGGGGATACACAGTCCGTCTATTGCATCTTTATTCCTACTACCTTTTATCAAGAATGGATAATGGATTTTGTCGAATACTTTTTCTGTATCGCTGATATGATCATATGATTTTTCCTCTTTAGCCTGTTAGTGTGGATGATGTTGGGTTTTCTGAGTGTTAAACCAGTCTTGCATACCACTGGGTCATGGGTCATGGTGTATAATTCTTTTTATACATGGTTGGATTCAATTTGCCATTATTTAGTTAAGGATTTTTGCTCTATGTTCAAAAAAGATATTGTTTCATAGTTTTTATTTCTTGTGAAGTTTTTATAAACTTTTGTTAATAGAGTACTTCTAGCCTCATAGAATGATTTACATAATGTTTCCTCTGTTTCTATTTTCTGGAAGAGACTGTAGAAAATTTGTATCATATCTTCCTTAAATGTTTGGCAAAATTCACCAAAGAAAACCATCTGAGCCTGATGCTTTCTTTATTGGAAGGTTATTAATTATAAATTAGTTTATTTGTTGACATAGGTATTCAGATTATTTATTCTTGTGTGAGTTTTTTGCAGCTTCTATCTTTCAAGGAATTGGTCTGTTTCACCTAAGTCACCAAATTTGTAGGTTTAGAATTTGTTTTTTGTTTGTTTTTTTTTTTACTTTGTTTGTTTGTTTGTCTGAGACAGAGTCTTGCTCTGTTGCCCAGGCTGGAGTAGAGTGGCACAATCTCAGCTCACTGCAACCGCCACTTCCCGGGTTCAAGCGAGTCTTGGGCCTCAGCCTCCCTCTTAGCTGGGACTACAGGCATGCACCACCATAGCCAGCTAATTTTTGTATTTTTAGTAGAGATGGGGTTTCATCATGTTGGCCAGGCTGGTTTCAAAACCCTGGCTTCAAGTGATCCACCTGTCTCAGCCTCCCAAAGTGCTGAGATTGCAGGTGTAAGCCACCACGCCAGGCAATTTTTGATATTTTTTATTATCCTTTCAATGTCCATGGAATCAGTAATGATGATGACTCTTTTATTTCAGATATTGGTAGTTTATGTCTTTTCTCTTTTTTCTTGATTAGCCTAGCTAGAGGTTTATTAACTTTATTGATTTTTTTAATGAACCAGGGTTTGGTTTTGTTGATTTTTTTAAAATTGTTTTACGATTTTTATTTTCACATCTATTTGCTTTAGGCTTAAATTATTCTCCTTTTTCTAGTTTCTTCAGGTGTTGACTTGGGTTGTTCATTTGAGATCTTTCTTCTTTGCTGATCTTTACATTTTAGTGCTAAAAGTTTTCTCTAAGTGCTGCTTTAGCTGCATCTTATAAGTTTTGGTATGTTTCATGCTTTCATTTATCTCAAAGTATATTCTAATTTTCCTTGTCATTTCTTCTTTGACTCATTGGTTATTTAGGAATGTGTTGTTTGAGAGCCAATCATAATCCCAAAGACACAGTCCCGAATGTTGAAATCTTAAAAGATAAAAGTCACCCAAGTCTGAAATCCCAAAATTTACAATCCCAAAAGATCGAAATTTCAAAAATATAATTCTGAAAAAAAATTTATTTAAAAGACATTTTAAAGAAGAAATTTTAAAGAGGAAATTATTTGAGAAACATAAAAACATAACAGAACACTTCAGAGGCCACCTTACACAATAAAATAGGCAATAATAACACATATTTTTGCAAGCAGGTATACTAAAGACAGCCACATGGGTATAACAGTTATGAGCAGACAAACTGCGAAAAGAAATAGGTTAAAAAGGGAACGTATAAACTTGTATCACTATGGTTGGTAATTGTACGCAACCAGCTTTCTACCTGTGGTTGTCTGCAATATTGTGACAAACAATCTAAGTCTGATGAGATTGTTAAAAACCCACAATTGATTACCACTGCGTATAGTTTCACAAAGAGCCAAGATCTCAAGAAATGTTATCTTTCACAAATGCAGATGTACGAAAAGGACATCTCTTCGTTTATTGAGACAGTTTCAACATTTTTCCATACACGCACAATGCTTACACACAAAGTGAACATTGCGATAGTGCACTTTCATGGAGTCAAATTTGTAAAAAATGCATAAAATGAATTACAGCTCCCTAAAAGTCTCTATACAATTTATATTTTCAGTATTGGAAATGATTCAAACATGAAATACATAGCATAATGAATTGTAAAAATGAATGCTGACAATTTAAAATAATGAAAAAAAACAAACTTGAAAAAAGAAAGTGCTGGGCACAGTGACTCATGCCTGTAATCTCAGCACTTTAAGAAGTGGAGGTGGGAGGAGTGCTTGAGCCCAGGAGGTCAAGACCAGCCTGAGCAACATAGGGAGACTCCATCTCTACAAAAAAAAATTTAAAAATTAACCAGGCGTAGTGGTGTGTGGCTGTATTCCCAGCTGCTCTGGAGGCTGACGTAGGAGAATTGCTTGAGCCAGAGAGGTCAAGGCAGCAGTGGAGTCACACCACTGCACTCCAGCCTAGGTGGCAGAGTGAGACCCTATCTCAAAAAAAAAAAAAAAAAGAAAAAGAAAAAAAAAGGAGAAAAACCTAAAAATCTAAAAAAATTGATGTAAGTAAAAGGTATCTCAGGTATAGATTATGGGTAATTCCTCAGGAATAGCCCATAAGAGCTGGCTGGCTTTCATGGTCATTAACTACGTTTTGCAGTCTTGCATCATGACGAATAGCTGCTTTTTTCCCTTTAGCACATGACTGTCCTCAAAAAGATGTTCACATTCACTTTCTGTATGGCCACTTCTTTTGAAATTCTGTGACTTAATAGACACTGACATGAGCATTCCCGATTATATTTTCTTATCTTCTGTGCCATACTTCTGTGTTGTTTTGGGCATGCAAAAACCCGTTTCACACGCACTTACATACAGACCCCAGATGTGGCAGAAAAAAATACTGGCAATCAAACAGCAACCCCCAAAATAATGCTTTACTGGGATTCTAGTAAATCTACTATTTCTCAATCCAGTCAAATCGAAACCTAAAATTAAGTCTAAAATTTCACCCCTGTCAATTTGGCTCCCGTATACACATCTCTTTAAGCCATACTTAATTTTTAAATGACAATAACAAGGTCATAGTTCTGCCTGACATGATGCAACCATCCCGTGATTGTGATTTTTGGGATTTGAGACTTTAGAGATTTAAACTTTAGAGATTTTTATCTTTGAGGATTTCAACATTTGGGATTATGGCATTCAGCATTGTGTCTTTTGGAGTTATGATCCAAATCTATGTTGTTTACATCCAGACATTGATAACTACTGATATAGTTTAAATCCGTTGTGGTCTGAGAACATACTACGTATGATTCCTATATTATTTTAAATCTGTTAAAATGTGTTTTATGGCCCAGAATTTGGTCCATTTTGGTGAAAGTTTTATGTAAGCTTGAGAAGAATGTTGTAATTTGCTGTCAGATGGAGTATTCTATAAATGTCAATTACATCTTGTTGATTGACACTGCTGTTCAGATCAATTCTATTCCTACGGATTTTCTGCCTTCTTGATCTATCAATTACTAAAGAGAGGTGTTGGAGAGTCCAACTGCAGGAGTAGGTTTTTCTACTTCTTATTGCATTTCTATCAGTTTTTGTCCTGAATATTTTTATGTTCTGTGTTGGGTTCATACATGTTTAGGATTGTTGTATCTCCTTGGAAAACTACCCCTTTTATTATTACATAACGTCCCTCTTTATTCCTGATAACTTTCCTTGTTTTGAAGTCTGCCTTTGTGAAATTAACATAGCTACTCCAACTTTCTTTTGATTTGTGTTAGTATAGTATATCTCTGTCTATTCTTTTACTCTTAACCTGTTCAAGTTTTTTATTTAAAGTGGGTTTCTGTAGACAATATATAAAAGGATATTGTTTTTTAAAAATCTATTCTGGCACTCTGTCTTCTAACTGGTATATTTAGCCCATTCATCTTTAAAGTGATTATTGATATATCTGGACTAATATCTGCCATGTTTGTAGCTGTTTCTCTTTGTTGTACTTATTCCTTATTTCATTTTTTATCTTCCTGTTTTTCTGATGTCTGATGTCTTTGGCTTTAGTGGAGCATTATATGATTCCATTTTTCTCCCCTCTCTTAACAAATCAATATTTCATTTTTAAAAATTTAGTGGTTGCTCTAGAGTTTTCAATATACATTTACAATTATTCTTAGTCCAATTTCTAAAAATGGACTGCTTCATGTAGAGTGCATGTATTTTGTAACAGAGTGTCTTTATAACAGTCTGCTCAGACTGCCATAACAAAATGCCATAGACTCGCTGGCTTAAGCAACAGAAATTTATTTTCTCACAATTCTGGAAGTTAGGAAGTTTAAGATCAAAATGCCAGCTGATTAGGCTCCTGGTGAGGGCTTTCTCTTTGGGTTGCAGATACTTACCTTCTTGCTGTCGCCTCACATGGACTTTTCTCAGTGCATGTGTGTGGGGAGGTAGGGAGTGACAGAGGGACGAAGAAAGACAGAGAGAGAGCAGTGAGAGAGAGAGAGAGAAAGAGAGAGAGATCTTCCTCTTTTTATAAGGCCACTAATCCCATTATGAGAGTCCCACCCTCGTAACCTAGTCTAACTCTTAATTACCTCCCTAAGGTCTCATCTTTAAATATTATCACATTATGAATTAGCAGTTCAGCATAAGAATTTTAGGGGAACATAAACATTCAGTCCACAGCGCAGAGTTCCAATTCCTCCCTCCTGTTCTTTACAACATTTCTGTAAAGTTATGATCAATGAATACATTGTTTCTATTGTTATTTTGAACAATTACCTGTTAAATCATCAAAATAAGAAACATAAAATTTAATTTTATCTCCACTTATACTTTATTGAGTGCCCTTCCATTTTTTATGTAAATCTGAGTTTCTGACCTACATCATTTTTCTTCTCCCTGAAGAACTTAATATTTCTTGCAAAGCAGGTCTATTGGCAATAATTTCTCCAGTTTTTGTTTATATGGGAATGTCTTTATTTCTCTTAATTTTGAGGGATATTTTAACTGAACATAGAATTCTAAGTTGGTAGTTGTTTTCTTTTGACACTTTAACTATTTTAGTCTACTAATTTTTTTGTTTTTGTTTTTGTTTTTTGTTTTGTTTTTGTTTTTGTTTTTGCTTGAATTGTTTCTGGAAAGAAGTCTGATGTAATTATTTTTCTTGTTCCTCTATAGGTAAGATAGGGCTTTTTTCCTTTCTGGCCTCTTTCGTTGTTTTCTCTTTATCTTTGTTTTTTGTCACTTTGAATATATCTAGGTAGACGTTTTGGTGATTATCCTGCTTGATGTTCTGTGAACTCCCAAGATCAAATAGTTGGTGTCTGTCATTAATTTTGGAGAATTCCCAGCCATTATTGCTTCAAGTATCTCCTCTGGTCTGTTTTCTCTTTCATCTCCTTCTGGTATTCCAGTTACCCATATATTAAATCTTCTGAAATTGTCCCACAGTTATTGGATTTTCTATTCTGTTTTCTTCCATTCTTTTTGCTCTTTGCTTTTCCAATTGGGAAGTTTCTCTTGATGTACTTTCAAGCTCTTCCTTTCCTTTGCTGGATTTATTCTATTGATGAGCCCATCAAAGATATTCATTATTTCAGTTAATGGTGTTTTTTATTTCCAGTATTTCCTTTTGCATCTTTCTTAGCATTTTTATTCTCTGCTTACATTGCCTAACTACTTTTCTTTTCCCATTAGAACCCTTACCATATTAATCATAGTTATTTCAATTTTCTGCCTGATAATTCCAAAATCTGTGTCATTGCTAAGTCTGGTTCTGATGCTTGTTTTGTCTCTTCAGATTATGTTTTTTCTTGCATTTCAGCATGTGTGGTAATTTTTTATTGAAAACCAGACATCAGGTATTGGGTAATAAGAATTGAGGTATAGAGGCCTTAAGTGTGAGGTTTTATGTTATTCTGTCCAGGAGTTGGGCTGTATTTAATGTTTTCTGTAGCTGTAGTGCCAGAGACTTCAAATTCCTCTAGTGTCCTTGTTTTCATTATCCCTGTTCACTTGGGGCTCTCCTAAGTATTCCTCCTCAAAGACAGCCTGTGTCTTCCTGCTCTTCCGGGTGAAATCTCCTATTTTCCTGAAGCCCTATTGGTGTGGTGGTATAGTATGGGGAAGATAAGGATTTTATAATCTTATGATTGAATCTGAGTTACTTCGTGTGCTGCTGTTCCTGGGCTGTGACCTTCACAAGTGTTGCTTAGCTTTTTCTCTCCCTGCTTAGGTAAGACAGGAAGGCTGAGGGCTCCGGTGGAGTCTTTTTCCCTGGAGAGCAGGACATTTTTGTGGAGGACACTCTGGGTGAATTGCAGTGGCTACTCTTTCCCTTCCATTGCCAGCCCAGCTGGGGATCTTCTCACTTCTTTACTCTAAAAACCTGGAGGGATTCCTAGAGGTAAAACCCATGAAAATGTGGGGGCCCCCTAAGACTGCAGCTGCCAGGATTAATTTTCATGCTAGTACACACTCATCCTCTGACAATTCACCAAAATTACCAGTTAAGTGTTTCTACCAATTTATTCCAAAAACTTCTTCCCCAGTTAAACAGATATCAGTGGGGAGTCACTGGATTCAGTCATCTCTGCATATTTTAGGGTGGCTGCTTGCCCTCTGACTTCAGTACTCTGAGGAGTCAAAGAAAAGTTATTGATTTTCAGTGTGTTCAGATTTTCTTGTTGTAAGGGTTAAGAGTGATGACTTCTAAGTTGTCAGCATGTCAGAGCTGAAAATGGAAGTTCTCCTGCAACACTTTCTTTCTTCTTCCTTTCTTTCTTTTTTGAGACAGGATCTGCAGGTGTAGTGGTAATCCACTGTGGTTTTTGAACAACCTCATCAAAGACTTCAGTTGTTTGTCACAGTATTTCAGATGACCACAGTTATGAAGCTGGGTGCACACAATTACCAGGTTGCCCATGCTGGAGTGCAGTGGTGCGATCATAGCTCACTGCAGCCTCAACTCCTGGGCACAAGCAATCTTCCCACCTCCACCTCCCAAGTAGCTGGGACTACAGGCACGCACCACCACACCTGCCTATATTTTAGTTTTTATTTTTAGTAAAGACAGGGTCTCATTATGTTGCCCAGGATAGTCCTGAACTCCTGACCTCAAGTGATCCTCCTGCCTTGGCCTCCTAATGTGCTGGGATTACAAGCATGAGCCAGCATGCCTGGCCATCTTTCTTTCTTTTTTTTTTTTTAATTTAAAAAATTGAGACACAATTCACATTCCATAACATTTACCTTTGTGAAATGTACAATTCAGAGTTCTTTTAGCATATTTACAAAATTGTGCAACCATTATCATTATCTAATTCCAGAACATTTTCATTGCTCCGAAGTGAAATCCTATTCCCATTAGTAGCTGTTCCCTCATTTCCCTCTTTTGCCATCCCCTAGAAACCCCTAATCGATATTCCATCTCCATAGATTTGCCTGTTTGGACAGTTCATCTAAGTGGCGTCATATGATATGTGGTCTTTTGTGTTTGGCTTCACTCACTCAGCATATTTTCAAGGTTCATCCATGTTGTAGCATGAATCAGTGCTTCATCCCTTTTTGTTGTTATTAAATGATATTCCATTGTATGGATGCACCATATTTTGTTTATCCACCAGTTGATTGACATTTGGGTAGTTTCTACTTTTTGGCTGCTACAAATCATACCACTATGAATATTCTTGTGCAAGTTTTTGTGTGGACGTATGTTTTCATTCCTCTTGGATACAGACCTGGGAGTGGTATTAATTGCTGGGTCATACAGTAGTTTTATGTTTAACTCTTGGAGGAAGAAACAAACTGCTTTCCTCAGTGGATGCACCATTTTATATCCCACTGGCAATTTATAAAGGTTGCAATTTCTCCAGTTCCTCACCAATATTTGTTACTTTCCTTTTTCTTTCTTAATGGCCACCTTAGTGGGTACAGAGTGGTGTCTCACTGAGGTTTTGATTTGTATTTCCCTAACGATGAATGATATTCTGAATCCTTTTGTGTGCTTATTTATCATTTGTACATCTTCTTTGGAGAAATGTCTTTTCAATGCTTTGCCCATGTTTTATTTGGGCAATTTGTCTTCTCAGTGTTAAGTTGTAATACTTATTTATATACTCTAGATAGTGTATCTCTATCCGATATATGGTTTGCAAAGTTTTTCTCCCATTCCTTATGTTGTTTTTCATCTTTTTGATAATGTTCTTTAAAAGTACAAAAGTTTTTCATTTTCACGAAGTCCAATTTAGCTATTTTTTTCCGTTGGTTCCTTTTAAAATTTCAGTGTCATGTTAAAGAAATAATTGCCAATATATGGTCTATCTTGAAGAATTTTTCACTTGCCCTGGAGAAGGATGAGTATTTCTTGTTGCTAGATTGGGTTTCCTAAACATGCCTGTTATTAAAGGAAACCAAAAATATTTCACCCCAAAATATATCTATCTGACATATTTCTAGATGGCTATTCAGAGGTCCTGTGAACCTAAGGCTAGCCCTGCAAAGATGTCTCTTGTAGGGGAGATCTGCATCTGCGGAGGAAATACAGTGAAGTAAACAACAGATGTGAACAGGCTCTGTCTAAGCCCATCTTGTCCAGATCTAAAAAAAAATTAACTGAGAGTTTGACACCTTTAAAGTTCTGACAGAGAAACATTCCTACCGGCTACCATCTATTCTTTCTGAGGTGAAGTTTCATCTGCAAAACAAGATTGTCTTTGCTCCATGCATTTCCTCCCCTTCTCTCCTTCTCATAACCTGCATTGCCACCATAACGTGTTCCATGCGCCAAACTATTCTTTCTGTAAGCTCACGATGCTATAAAAGCATCAGCCATCTGGACATTTCTTTGAGTTTTCATATTTTGTACGACTCCTGTGCACACAGTGCACCTAACACATTTGTATTCCTTTTTTCCAGTTAATCTGTCTACTCTCAGTTTGTTTTATAGTCTCAATTTTCCAAAACTTCAGGGGAAAAATTTCACTTCCCTGCCTCATCTAGACTCTATTTCTTGTTCCATATAAGGGAATGCGGCTCTACACTCCCCATGGTGCCAGTGCAGAATCCGGAATCCCACCCTGGCCTCCAGCTCACTGCCTCCTCTGGCCTCTTCATTGTTATGTCCAACTCTTCAACACCAATGACATCTGGACTCTGCCCTGCGGCATAATGAAATCATCTGTGCTTTATCCGTGAGATGTTTCTAAATCTGAAACTCAGTAAATGGCGTTTACATTGTGACTATGCTGATATTGTTCATTGCATTGCAAAGTCCCATGCAATGTAAATAATTGATTTTTGCTATTATTTTTATTACACAGTGCTATGGACTGAGTTGTGTACTCTCCAAATTGGTAAGTAGATGCCCTAGCGCCAGTGGGATGGTAGCTGGACATAAGGCCTTTGGAAGGTGATTAGGTTTAGATATGATTATAAGGATGTGGCCATCATGTGCCCTGAGATCAGTGCCCTGAGAAAAGACACCAGAGAGCTTAGTTGGTCTCTCTCTCTCTCTCTCTCTCTCTCTCTCTCTCAATGACACAATGAGAAGGCAGCCATTTGCAAGCCAGGAAGAGAGCTCTCACCGGAACCTGACCATGGTGACTCCCTGCTCCTGAATTTCTAGCCTCCAGAACTGTGAGAAAAGAAACTTCTATTGTTGAAACCACTCCGGCCATGGTATTTTGTTATGACAGTCCAAGCTGACTAAGAAACACAGGTAATCCATTTTTATTATAGAAAGAAAGAAAATCTAGAATACACATCACCTATGTATCTCGGAGACATACTCCATACTCTCAGTATTTTTCTGGGTTATGGATAATCACAGACATTTTAAAATGGAATCATACAATTTATAAACATTTTTTCCAATATACTGTGAACACTTTTCCATATCAATAAATACAATTCTAGATCCCATTTTTCATAGCTTCAGAGCATTTCACTGTACAGACTTCCTAATTCATTGACCTGATCCCTTTTGTTTGGATATCTAGGCTGTCTGTGCCTCCTTCACCTTTGTAACCAATCCTGTGATGAACATCTCATGCGTACATCTTTGAACAATGTAATATTATCTCTAGGATAAAAGAAAGGAACTCTGATTATTAGCACTGCTACACACACAGCGAGTGGCCCATCACTGATGATGAACAAGCAGAGACCACATGGCAAGGTTGGGACACAGGCATTCTCTGGACTGACTACACTCTCTCAAAAATGCTTTTCATCCCTAGACCTTCACCCAGTGATCTTGAACCAGTTGATTCAACATTTTGGTTTTCTGTTAAAACAAAATTAAAATAAGTTTATGTATCAGGTAAATCTTTCTATAGTAAGTGACCTACACCTAAATGAGACCTATTAGCAGAAAAGGACATTGTTGGCGCATATAATTGAAAAGCCAGAGTCTAGAGCTGGGCTAAATTATACACTACTGGATCTAGACATGCTCACGGTGGTGTTAGGGGGAGTTTGTCTCCACCATCAAATTGCTGTTCTCTCTACTGATTTCTGTTCAAATTCTCCTTTCCTGGCACTATCTTTTATCTAGGCTCATTTCCTTACACTTCTAAATCCACTCCGAAGAAATTAGTCCCCAGTCCTTCCTGCAGAAGTCTCAGAATTGAAGCTCATTGGCTTGGCTTAGGTCACATGCCCATCTCTGGACCAGTCACTGCAGCCATAAAAATGGAAGGCTCTAATTGGCCAAGCTTGAGTCCCACGCCCTGCCCTGAACCTTGGAGAGGGAGTCAGCGCCACATGGGTTGAGAAGGGGTGAGGAGGTTTTCAAAGGAAAATTGAGGGGATTTTACCAGAATAAGGGGTTGGGTGCTGGGCAGCTAGCAAGAACAGATTTCACTACACTTGACAAGTAAATGGATTAATCATGAAAAACAGGAAGACTTTTCTAGCTATGGCAATGTGTCCGGAATTGGTGGGTTCTTGGTCTCACTGACTTCAAGAATGAAGCCGCGGACCCTCACGGTGAGCGTTACAGCTCTTAAGGTGGTGCGTCTGGAGTTTGTTCCTTCTGATGTTCGGATGTGTTTGGGGTTTCTTCCTTCTGGTGGGATCGTAGTCTCGCTGGCTCAGGAGTGAAGCTTTAGACCTTCGCGGTGAGTGTTACAGCTCTTAAGGTGGCGCATCTGGAGTTGTTTGTTCCTCCCCATGGGCTCGTGGGCTCGCTGGCTTCAGGAGTGAAGCTGCAGACCTTCGCGGTGAGTGTTACAGCTTATAAAAGCAGTGTGGACCCAAAGAGTGTGCAGTAGCAAGATTTATTGCAAAGAGTGAAAGAACAAAGCTTCCACACGGTGGAAAGGAACCCCAGCGGGTTGCCACTGCTGGCTGGGGCAGCCTGCTTTTATTCTCTTATCTGGCCCCACCCACATCCTGCTGATTGGTAGAGCGAGTGGTCTGTTTTGACAGGGTGCTGATTGGTGCGTTTACAATCCCTGAGCAAGACATAAAGGTTCTCCAAGGCCCCACCAGAGTAGCCAGATACAGAGTGTCCATTGGTGCATTCACAAACCCTGAGCTAGACACAGGGTGCTCATTGGTGTATTTACAAGCCCTGAGCTAGACATAAAGGTTCTCCAAGGTCCCACCAGAGTAGCTAGATACAGAGTGTCCATTGGTGCATTCACAAACCCTGAGCTAGACACAGGGTGCTGATTGGTGTATTTACAAACCTTGAGCTAGATACAGAGTGCTGATTGGTGTATTTACAAACCCTAAGCTAGTCATAAAGGTTCTCCACTTCCCCACCAGACTTAGGAGCCCAGCTGGCTTCACCCAGTGGATCCTGCCCCGGGGCTGCAGGTGGAGCTGCTTGCCAGCCCTGTGCCATGTGCTCGCACTCCTCAGCCCTTGGGTGGTCAATGGGACTGGGTGCCATGGAGCAGGGGGCGGCGCTCGGCAGGGAGGCTTGGGCTGCACAGGAACCCATGGAGGCAGGGGAAGGCTCAGGCATGGCGGGCTGCAGTCCCCAGGCCTGCCCCGCGGGAAGGCAGCTAAGGCGAGAAATCGAGCGCAGCGCTGGTGGGCTGGCACTGCTGGGGGACCCAGTACACCCTCCGCAGCCACTGGCCCGGGTGCTAAGTCCCTCATTGCCCAGGGCCAGCAGGGCCGGCCGGCTGCTCCGAGTGCGGGGCCCGCCAAGCCCACGCCCACCCGGAACTCCAGCTGGCTCTTGCTCGCAGCCCCGGTTCCCACTCGCACCTCTCCCTCCACACCTCCCTGCAAGCTGAGGGAGCCGGCTCCGGCCTTGGCCAGCCCAGAAAGGGGCTCCCACAGTGCAGCGGTGGGCTGAAGGGCTCCACAAGTGCCGCCAAAGTGGGAGCGCAGGCAGAGGAGGCGCAGAGAGCAGCGAGGGCTGTGAGGACTGCCAGCACGCTGTCATCTCTCAGCAACACTCTTGCATTGTGTAGACAGTGCAGTTTCCTGTGCATGAAGCTGGGGAAGGCAGCCGTGTCTGAACCAGTCCGTCCATTTCCAACGACTTCAGGTTAGTTTTAAGTTGATATTTGTTGAAATTAGTTCAGCATGTGTGTCTGGCTTCCTGTCTCAGTCGCAGGCCTAGACGGAACGTTCAGTGTGAGGAAGCATGTGTGAGCCAGCGAGGAGACAGAACACACAGCAAACCCGTGCCAAGTCAGCAATGCATTTTCTTTAGCACTTTGTACAGTTGTTCTGAAGTAAAAGAACTGTTTCTAAAAATAAAACAAAATATTATAAAAGCTTCACAATCAAACAATTTGAAACAAACCATGGATTTAAATGTGCAAATAAATTTTAAAAAGAAAGATCCATCTGTGTGTCTGTTTGTGTGTGTTAGCTCACTTCCTCTAACTTCCCCTTCTCACCCTCACCCCCCACTTCCCTTCCTGCCCCCTCCCCCTCACCATCTTGCCTAATAGTTCTGTGAGCAGAGGGCTGAAATCATGACGTTCAACTTATTAAAAGGCTTTTACTGAGTTCAAACTTATTAAATTTGTCTTTAAAAGCTTCTAACTTGATTGAGTGAGTGAGTGAGTTTAAAAATGAATTTTTTAAATTCATAGAGTTAGAGTCCTGCCTGCCCTTCATAAGAGTCGACAAAGGCAGAGGAATCTGCAAAGCCTGAGGTCAGGGCCTCCAGCTCTGTGGTCATACAATCTGAATTCAAATCCTCTCCACTGCCCCTTTCCAGCTATTCAACCCCTGCATGCTACTTAACCACTCCAGGCCTCAGCAGCCGTAAGGAATAACTTACGCAGAAATCTGTCGCAGGTGTGGTTGGTATCCCACCCACACCCACTTGGCCCTTTGCATTTCTGTCCACATGGGTCCAGCTTCCAGCTGAAGGCATCTGTGCCTTGCCTGGAGTTTCTTCTGGCCCCCATGTAGCAGGCCAAGAGTGCCAGGGAATTAACACCCCCTGCCAGGGGCAACCTCACTGAGTGATGATGGGAGTGGGTGGATCAATACCCCAGTTCCCTTGTCCTATGGGTAGATCACCCTGAGGCACGTGCTCTCCCAGCATTGTCCAGCAGGATTGAGCTCCAGCTGCCCGCAGAAGTCATCAGCAGATGGCACATCCTTGACTGCTCTCCATCCTTCCTGGGCTCACCTCCACACCCACCTCCCAGAATTTCCTGAGACCACCTCTCAGATAACCAACTTGCACTCAAAGCTCTCCTTTGGAGTGTGCTTCTGGGAGTGCTCAGCCTCAGACAAACTAGAAAGCAGTGGTCAGTAAAGTGAGAAAGTCAGAGAACCTTGGAGGAGAAGGGCTCAGGGAGGAGAAAGCACAGAGAGGCTATGTGTGTGTCTGGGGCTGCGTATATGAGATCAGTGTGCACATATAGTCACCTTGTTCTATTTTTAAAAATCTTAATGATTTTTTAACCCAATATATCAAATATCGTTTCAACATGTAGTCAATATTTTAAAAATCATAATGAGGAAAAAATCTTAAATATTAGACTCTCTTCTTCTAGCTAGTCAGCTTTCTGTGCCCCTGAGTACTTGGCACAATGTCCTGTTCCCTTGGGCACATTCAGTCAAAGAAACCTTAGGAAGCAATGACATTGCAACTTACTTTTTCTGACAGGCCTCAAAAGCCATGCTAGATAGCAGAGTTGTCTGACGTAGAAAGCATTTCTTCTTATCTTTGCAGAATTATAACAACAGATTTGTTCCTGGCAATATTAGAATTGCTAAGAGCTTGGATTCTAGGGTCTCATAGCAATCCCATCTTTAATGCTCACTAGCTCTATGATCTTGGCCAGTCAACTTGGTAATTTCTCCATGTCTCAGTTTCCTTGTCTGTGAAATGCAGATTTAATCTTAATTACCTACCGTATAGCATTGCTATAAGAAGTCAATGAAATAGTGTAAGGCACTGGAAATTGAGTACACAATAAGCTCCAAATAAATGTAAGTTGCTGTTGGGTTACCAAGTCTTTGGGTCAAATTTCAAAGGAGGATACCCATTTTAAATGAAAAGAAGTTACACATTAACATGTAAACGCATCTCCCCTTGCCCTGTCTTCTGTCCCGCACTCAGCAACACCCAATGCCACCATCAATTCACACCCTGTCCACTATTCTGGGAGGCCAGGGCCCTGTCCCTTGGATGTGTGTCCCTCCATTTCCCGATCTTACCTTTCAGGTGTGAAAGTCTTAGAACATCAGGCTGACAGACGTTTCAAGAGCCTCTGAAAATGTTTGTGCCCAAAAATATGGAAGAAAAAAAAACCCACTGCAAAATTAAAATCAATAAATGTTTAATTAAACATCTAGAAAACTAACATCATGGCGAGTTCATTAATTGTTCCATTTAGTTCTCATAAAAATTTCATGACACTGCATTATTTTTGAAAAGAATTTATAGGTGGTGAAATTTTCCTCATTTTGCAAGAATTCCCAAGAATAATGCTTGATAAATTGTGGCCAATTGTAATTCAGTGAATTTTTTGTAGGCAAATAATTTTGGAAGCAAAATGATTTTTAAAATCTTTTGATTATAATAAAAGTTAAATATGAAGTGGCCTCCTTCCCTCTCCCCTTGCCCACTTCCTGTCACCTGTTCTCCCAGCAACCAGGGCCACCTTTCCAAATCTTCCACTTGCCTTCGATGAAAATCTTCCCCTGGCCCTTCCCTTACCTCCTGGGTAAAAATCTCAGTTTTCTACCAGGACTGTCCATGCCCTGTCCATGCCCACTTCCCTGACCTCTTACGCACTTGAGAGCAGGTGCTGTTGCCCCCCGCTCAGGTCGCCTTTACCAGTCAGTGCTGGGGCCCTAGGACTTGGTCTGAGTCACCCCATTCATCCCAGGACCAGGCAGTGTGGCCTCTTCTGCAGCCAGAGTGGGAAATGGAGGCAGGAATCAGCAAATGGAACTGCTATTGTTAGAATGTCCCTTGCAAAACTCATGTGGAAATTTAATTGCCATTGTGATGGTATTAAAAAGGTAAGACCTTTAAGAAGTGATTAGGTCAGGAGGGCTCTGCCCTCATGAATGGACAAATGCTATTTTTTGCCATTGTAGTTTGGTTATCTTGGGAGTTCAGCTCCTTTCCTCTCTGTCTCATATGCTTGTATGCCCTTCTGCCTTCCACCATGAGATAATACATCATGAAGTCCCTTGCCAGAGGCTGGTGTCATGCTCTTGGACTTCCCAGCCTCCAGAAGCATGAGCCAAATAAAATCCTATTGTTTATAAATTACCTAGGCTGTGATGTTCTGTTATAGCAGCAGAAAACAGACGAAGACAGAGACGTTTCTCCCATGCCCTGCAGGGCCCAGCATGTGGCCCGATAAAAGGAAGGCATGAGAAAGTATTTGGCAAATGATCAGGTGAGTGAATAGGATTGCTTTATTACCAGAGAGAGGGACAGCTGAGCATCACATGGTGATAACATGACTAGCTCCTGTTTATTGAGCACATACTATGTGCCCAGTGCTCTACTAGGACCTACAGGTACACAATCCCATTTAACCTGTGCAACAATCCCACAAGGTAAGTACTTCTATGACCCCCTTTACAAAGACATAAACTGAGCCTCAGACAGAGCAGTAACTTGCTCAAGGCACAGAGTTAAAAAGCTGGGTGCCAAGACCAGAACCCCAGGTCTCTTCAACTCCAATGGATACAGATAAACAATGGAGGCCCCATCAACAGCTCTGCCTGGAAGAGCAGAGAACAGGGCCAGGGCAGACTCCTCTAGGGACTGCAATGAAAACCTGCTTTCCTGGACACACCAGTTTTACTCAGTCTTCATTCCACCCCAGGAGGATGACTTTGTGACCTTGGGCAATCTCCATTCCCCTCTTCAGCCACCCCTGGTTCTCTGACCCTTGTCCCTGACCAAAGACATGTTATTATTCACATTCAGTACCTTTCCACCTCCTCCCCCTGCATGAATTCACAGAGGAAATCTGAAAATAAAATCCAGGCTGCCTGGTAGAAGGGAGACTTGGGTTTTGTCAACACAATGTGCAGTAAAAATATCTCTCTTTTAAAAGAGAGAGAGAAAAATTTAAAGACTCAAGATCAGTAACATGTAATTATCATCTGGTTTGGGCGGAGAGCTCTAATAGTTTCCAGAAAAACACAAGCCATGAACAGGGAGTGCGCCTTCCAAGGCAAAAGGAGATGAGGACTCCAGCAGGCAGTGGTGCCATCTTGGAAGTCTTGTGGCCTTTGAGGCCCTTTCCAGGCAGAGTAAGGAGGCACAGCAACTGCTGAATAAATGAACCCCGTGAATGGACACACCTGAAGGCACAGAGGAGGTATCTTTGCTCCTTTCTTGGGGACACCAGGGAACCTTGAAATGGCAGAGATAGCTAGGTCTCTGCCAATATCTACTGTCCCCCATTTTAAAGTCATAGAACCCCAATTTTAGCTGAGCACATGGTGACCCACAATACAGACCATCTTTCCAGGCCTCCCCTTACAGATAAGAGCCACAAGACTGACCAATGGGGTATTAGTGGAATGTGTGTGCAACTTGTAAGATGCGTGCTTAAAGGGAGATATCTGCCCTTGTTCCCTTTCCTACTCCCTGCTGGAAGGAATGCAGATGTAATGGCTGGAGCTTAGCAGCCATTCTAAAATGTAAGGCAAACTTGAGAATGAAGGCCACAAATGGCAGACCGACAATGTAGAAGGACCCCAGGTCACCACACTAAACCTGGAATGCCTACAACTCTTTCAAGAAAAAGACACAACTCTATTGTTTTAGCCACTGGTATTTAGGCTTAAAGATAATCCTTAGGGTCAAACTCAACTTAAACAGCTCTTAAATAGAGAAGAGAAATAAAGGCAATCTAAGTATTTAAAAGTAAGACTCCCACTCAGTGGGTGACAAGCACATAGCAGATTCCTGGCTTCATCTCCAGATGTGCCATGGAATGCAAAGAAAGGTGGAACCTACCCACGTGAAATGTTTTCTTCTTTTTGTCTATTGCTCTCTTTTGTTTGTTTGCTGTCTAAAGAGATACTGTGGAGATGCATCATGTTTTCTAACTTATGCAAATGTTGTGAGCACATACTAAGTGTCAAAAATGCTTTTTCTTAGTATCTCTGCTTTATAGTTAAAGAAACCGCGGCTCAGAGAGGTAGCGCCACACAGCTGGGAAGGAGAACCTGCCCTGGAGAAGAGACAAGACAGAATCCTTGTCCAGGGAACTTCCCGAGGCGCTTGGTCTCCACTGGCATGGTGGTCCCTGCTACAGACTCCTAAAAATGGCTCAGGCCCAGAGGGGCTCCATGTGCCTTCAGGATGTGGCCACGGGGACAGAAAGGGGTCATCCAAGCACAGTCTGGATGGAGACCAGCCGTGAGGGGCACCAGCCTCCTCCCTGCAGCAGAAGCCATCTTCCTAGAAGTAAGGCTGGCACCCAAGACCAAGCTAACATCCCTCAACCTGACCTGCAAGCCCACCAGGGACCTGGGGTCAAGGCCTGAGCTGCAGAGGCCAGGGAAGGAAGGGGAGAAGCTAGCATGGGCCCTGGAGATGGGGGGAGAGAGAGTTTCCCCACGGGGGAGTGGTGGGCTGTGTCAAGACCAACACTGGGAGGCCAGGCCGGAAGAGCACAAAGAACTGCCTGGAGGCTTCACAGAGAAACAGCTGGAATCTGACTCCTTCCAGGAAAGATGAGTGAAGAAACCACGATGAGTGACTGAAGAGACAGGAAGAATAAAGGATGATGCAGGACAAGGCAGTGGGAGGGGTGGGCACGTCTTGGAGCTGTGATTCATCAAGTCTGGAGTCCAACCATGGGTTGGGGTAGGAGCTCCTCCCTGCAGATCAGAGGGAACTTGAAGCCAAGGTGCGCCCAAGCCCAGGTTGGTGAGCGGCATCACCTGGTGGCCAGTTCGGGCGTGGCACCCCAGACACCCAAGGGACTCAGCCTTGCAGGGCTCAGCCGGAGCCCCTTCCGGAGGGCACCTTCATCATCTCCCTCAGCACCCCACCTACCCCCCCATTTAAAGAGCACTATTGTTATTTCATAGGGTGATACCTGCAGTTTTCGCTTTTACATAAAAGGAGAATAAAAGCATCCTGCAGTTTGCTGTTATTGACTTGCCCCAGACTTACTGGTTCTCCACCTGGAAGCAGGAAAAGTCACCCAGGAGCATAAAAAATCTCACCCTCGGGCCCCAGCCGCAGAGGTTGGAGTTGACTAGTCTGGGCCGGCCTGGGCATTGAGACTTTTTTTTTGCTTCAAACACTTAACATGCAGGCAGGGCGGAAGACCTGGGCTCCAGGTGCTCGCTCTGCAAAGACAGATAGCTTCAGGATAAACCTCCGGACCCCCTTTCCATTTGTATTTGCCGCTAAGCTGCTCCTTATGCATAAATGGGGTCTGCAAGGAGCACAGACGTCTCTAGCCCTCCCAGCCCTCTGCAGATGAGACACAGACCCCAAGTCCAGGGACTTCCAGGGCTGAGCTCTCAACCCCCTTGGCTGCCAAAAGCTGGGGGGCCTTGTACACAGCATTCACCTCTGTGGGCCTCAGTTCCTCCTTCTGTGATCTGGAAGAGAACAGTGGCTCTGAGTTTTTCTGAGGTCACTGGCCCTTTTGAGAATTATGTAAGCAACGGGTCCTCTCCCAGAAGCATTCCTGTGAGGTGACCACGGTGCCCGTGACTACGGATGGCTCTGGGGCTCTAGCCCGACAGCTGGGCTGTATCAGCCCCTTAGGTCCTCACCTCGACCCCATGCGCTAGGTCCTTTGATTAAGTCCTTTTACACATGGGGAAACTGAGGCACAGAGGGGTTAAATAATTTGTCCGAGGTCACACAGCCGGTAAATGGCGGAGCCAGGTTTGGACCCAAGCATGCTGACCCAGGCTTGCATTCCGAACCACTCGGCTGCTGACCCCAGGCATCTGACTCTGGAATTAATAAGCAAGTTTTATGATGAGGCGGGGAACTCCACGCCATCTGTGCACTAAGGGTGATTCACCAGTGACTTCTGGGTGTTATAGATCAGGAAACACAATTGGGGAATGGACAGGACAAGCTCTGTCATGGACTCTGTGTGGCCTTGGACAAGTGATCTTGCCTTTCTAGCCTCAGTTTCCCCCCTGAGAAGAAGACAGAACTGGCCCCTACCCTGTAGATGGGTTGGAGGAGCACTTGAGATTGGAAAACGCATAATAGGTGTTCATTAAAGAGGCTCACATGGATACACACAAGAACAATCTCAGGGCCTTCACGCACCTAAATGTTCTGCCCCTAGTGTGGGCAAGGGAAACAAACTGGAAGAAGACAAGAAAAGCCACTGAGAGCTGGGGACGGTGCCTCTGTAGCACCTGTGAGTCCCCGAGGAGGAAGTACTACAGGAACCAGCGGGGCCGGGCGTGGGGGCTTGCGGCTGGAATCCCAGCACTGTGGGAGGCCAAGGCAGGCAGATCGCTTGAGCCCAGGAGTTTGAGACCAGCCTGGGCAACACGATGAAACCCCATCTCTACAGAAAATACAAAAATTAGCCGGGCATGGTGGTCTAGGCCTGTGGTCCCAGCTACTAGGGAGGCTGAGAGGTGGGAGGATCGCTGGAGTCCGGAAGGTCGAGGCTGCCGTGAGCCGTGATCACGCCACTGCACTCCAGCCTGGATGACAGAAACCCTGTCTCAAAAACAAACAAAAACACAGAAACCAGATAACCAGCCCCAGCCCCTCACATCATCAGAGTGATGCCACGCCCTGGCATCCCCCTCCACGTGGTGCATGCTCTTTTTTTTATTTTTATTTTCTTCAGTTCTCTGATGCTGATTCAGAAAATAAAAATGTAGAGGTCCAGGTGGGCTGTGCCTGGAACGGGGAAGGTGAGGGAAGTCCTCTGTCTCAAAGGCCTCTTCGGAGGACGCTCTGGTCTTGCCAAGTTTACAGCTCCTCCCTGTCAACATCAAGTCAGGTCCCCAACTCTGTCTTGCTCATCCACCTGGCTTCCACTTTTTTTTTCTTTCAAAAGACGAACAGAGAAGTTTCATTTTCTTTTTCTCCTGAAACCGAATCTGGCCGGCCTGGCTAGGCATCTATTTCCGGGCTGTAAGCAGCTGACACCTGCCCAGTGGAAGCTGGCATCCCTCCCCTTGTGGGTTCAGAGCTGCAAGAAGCACCAGGCTCGGCCACTTCAGAAGCCCCAGCCTCGACCTAGCCCACCCTCTCAGGGCCACAGTGCAGAAGCCTGCACACCTGCCAAGTCTCTCCGACTCCTTGCAGCTGCTGTCAGCATGGCCCAGGCTCCTGCTGACCCGGGCAGAGAAGGTACAGTACTTCTTCCTTCCAAGGACCAGCGGTAGCTCCCGGGGTGAGATTTCTACTTCTCTTTCCTCCTGTTTCGCTTGGTCCAGATCATGATGACAATAGCAGTATCCTAAAGAATAGTAGACCAGCTGGGCGTGGTGGCTCACGCCTGTAATCCCAGCACTTTGGGAGGCGAGGTAGGTGGACTGTTTAAGCTCAGGAGTTTGACACTAGCCTGGCCAACATGGCGAAACCCCATCTCTACTAAAATTACAAAAATTAACCGGGCATGGTGGCGCATGCCTGTGATCCCAGCTACTCGGGATGCTGAGGCTGGAGAATCGCTTGAACCCGGGAGGTGGAAGTTGTAGTGAGCTGAGATGTCGCCATTGCACTCCAGACTGGGTGACAGAGTGAGATTCCATCTCAGAAAAAAAAAAAAAAAATAGAAAGGGACAGCATAGCCATCCCCCTTTGACAGCTGACTGTGCCCCAGGCACCTCGAAACATGCTTTCCAAGCATTTCCTGATGGCCTGCAGGGACAAGTGCCATGTCATTCCCATTTTATAGATAACTGAGGCCCTGAGAGGTGAAATGACACTCTCAGGGTAACACAGCTGGCGAACGCTGGTGTTAGCGTCTGAACACCCATGTCACAGTCATATCGAGAACAAAGCGGTTTGCTTTGATGAGATACATGTGTGCCTTTGTTCCCCCTTGTTGCATCCTTTCCTCAACTAACATTTCATTCATTTTATTCCTGGAAGAGTTGCAATGAAAGCCAATAGTGTATCGAGTAATTGCTGTTCTCTAGGGTCTCCACTAAGCGCTGTGGACTGTAGGTGAAGTGTGGTTTTGCGGTTTGGGGGATGTGTTTGTTTTGTTTTTAATCCTCACCACAATCTTTGAAGTAGTTATTACTGTCTCCATTTCACAGAAGAGGAACCTGAAGCCGGAGGGGAGGTCACACAGCTAGTAGTTGGCAGGGCTAGGAGCTCAAACCCAGGAAATCAGCCATCAGAATTTTAAAAAACCAACACAGAGTGTGCCCCGGGAGGGCTAATGTCAGGGTGTGGCCCAGGAGCCGGGCTGACCGCGGAGGTCCTGTGGAGCTTCCTCTTCGGGGACTCACGGGTGCTGACGCAGGTTCCGGACTCAGCCCTCGCTGGCTTTTCTTGTCTTCCTCCCCAGTTGATTTTCCTTTTGTGACCAAATTGTTGCCTACACCTGCTCCATTTTACAATTTCCCATTTTCAGACACAGTAGCCTGGGACTCAGCAGTCGAGGCCAGCCCAGGGCCAGTGCTTGTCCTGCATCCACACCTCTGACCCCCATCTCCTCTGGGGTGTGTGGAGCCGAGGCAGTGGCTCCCTAAGGTCAGCCTTCCAGAATCAAAACTGCGGCCAGGCGCAGTGGCTCACGCCTGCAATCCCAGCACTTTGGGAGGCTGAGTTGCGGGGATCACCCAAGGTCAGGAGTTTGACACCAGCCTGGCCAAAAAGGGAAACCCTGTCTCTACTAAAAATACAAAAATCAGCCGGGTGTAGTGGTGCGTGCCTGTAATCTCAGCTACTTGAGAGACTGAGGCAAGAGAATTGCTTGAACCCAGGAGGTGGAGGTTGCAGTGAGCCGAGATCACACCACTGCAGCCGCAGACCAGGCAACAAGAACGAAATTCCATCTCAAAACCAAAAAACAAAAAACTCTGCGAGACAAGGTGAAGCCAGGTGTGAAGTCAGGTGCATGGAGGTGCTGCTGGCTGCCGGTGGGGGAGTTTGGTGGGCGCAGGAGTGGGAATTCCCAGGTCTTCTAATTGGTCTTCACCTGCACACGGCAAGCCGGTCAGCGTTGTAACCATCAGGGTGAGGCACAAACTGATTCTTCCCTCCCCTACAAGTGCTGTGACCAAGGAACCCTGGGCAAACCTGGAGAATCCTCTGAACAGGAAAGAAAGCCCAGATGACAAAGGACTGAGTCACTGTCCTGGAAGGGGAACTCAGGTCTTTCCAAGAAGGGCTCTCCCATGCACTGCCCTCAGGTTCCTTGAAGCAGAAGCTTCCTGGTGACAGGTGGGGCCCCCGCCCACAGTGGCTCTCCCAGGCTGCTGGCTGCCAGGTGCTGCCCGTAACCTGCGTCTGCCCCAGCCTCATCTCTGGGCAGAGCAGCTGGCTTTGATCTTTTAATCATTGTGTGAGCTAATGGTTTTGATTTTTAAGAGCTGCCTCAGGAGGAGCAGGGGCCATTTGGAGAATTCCTCCTTGAACCTCTTGGGGTCCTGCTTAGTCCTCATTAAACTCAGGCCAGGAAACAGCAGCACATTGCCAACTGGCCAAGGAGAAGCTACCCGGGCCCTGCCCAGGGTCTATTGGGTAAACGTCTGTCCCTAGAGACAGACACTCACTCATTCAGTCCTTTTTTTTTTTTTTTCCAGAGATGGGGTCTTGTCCAGGCTGGAGTGCAGTGGTGCATTCATAGCTCACTGCAACTGCTACCTCCTAGATTCAAGCGATCCTCCCACTTTTAGCCTCTTAAGCAGCTGGGACTACAGGCATATGCCATCGTACCTACCTGATTTTTCTCTTTTTTTGTAGAGATGGGGGTCTCACTATGTTGCCCAGGCTGGTCTAGAACTCCTGGCCTCTAGGGGTCCTCCCATCTCAGCCTTCTGATGTGCTAGGATTACAAGTGTGAGCCACCACTCCTGGCCCCATTCATTCATTCATTCATTCACTCAGTCACTCATACATTCAACTGCCATTTCCTGAGCACCTACTGTGTGCCCAGCACTGTGCTAGATGCTGAAGGTACAACAGTGAGCCATGCAAGCACAGCAGGGGACACTAGGGGAAGTTCTGCAGGGGACCCACACACAAGCAGCGTCCCAGCCACTCTGGGACACAGAGACAGGCTTTCCCTAGGAAGTGGCATCTGAGGAGGCCTGGAGGTTGAGTAGACATCATACAGGTTGGGGCGTGAGGGAAGGGTGCTCCTGGCAGCAGGAACAGTGTGCACAAAGGGGCTGGGGAGAGTGGGGCTGAAGGGAGCACAGACAGGCCAGCACTTGGAGGGAAGTTGGGGGCAGGTGCAGGCCAAGCTGGGTGGTTGGCAGAGCCAGATCTGGAGGGTACCTGACTGGAGCTGGCGGGCCAACGGGGAGCCTATCACTGTACCTAGGAGATGGTGAAGAGGAAGGGGGTGGTGCTGGCAGAAAAGAGAGGAGTGGGGGGATTCCAGAGAATCCAGGAATGGCATTTCCAGGGCTCCACGACTGGGCACTGGGGGAAAGGTCTGTTTCTGATGTCTGGTCGGTCTCTGGCTTGGATGGATAGTGGCGCCATGGATGGATGGTGAGCTGAGAGGAGGGCACTCCCGGGGAGGATGGCGATGGGCATCAGGTAAACCCAGGCAGGCGTCCCAGGCAGGACTTGCCTTTGCGCTCCCAGGTCCCCCTGCCTCCCTCTGGCTCCGTCCTTCTGCCCTCTACTCCCCTCTGCCCTGAGGACACCTGAGAGCTGAGGAACCCCACTGCCCTCTGGAACCCACACCCGGGGAGGGCACAGGCGAGGTGGCACCTCCCCTGGCCACCAGGCTGCGCAGCCAAGGCCGTTTCTGATCAGCCTGCATGCCTCCCTCTGGGCAGATGCAGCTGCCCTACTGCTCTTAGGGGGCATCTGCTGGGGTCCTTGCCCTTTCCTCTGCCCTGGACCCCTCTCAAAAAGGGGCCTACGTGCCTCCTGGAGCCTCCAGCCTGGGCTCAACTGTGGGGACCTGGGAGACTCAGTTCCCCTCTCTGTCCCCCGCTCGCTCCCCCAGGCCACCTTGAACAAAGAATCCTGCAGGTGCTGACAGAGGCTGGCTCCCCGGTGAAACTTGCCCAGCTGGTGAAGGAATGCCAAGCACCCAAGAGGGAGCTCAACCAAGTCCTCTACCGAATGAAAAAGGAGTTGAAAGTCTCCCTCACATCCCCTGCCACCTGGTGCTTGGGCGGGACTGATCCTGAAGGCGAGGGTCCTGCAGAGCTGGCCTTGTCCAGCCCTGGTAACTGCCACCCCGGGGAGGCGGGTCTGACCCTGCAGGGAGCATCCTGGCAATGGACAAGCACAGATTTGAGCCTGGGTTCGAATCTGAACTCTGCCACATGGGAGCTCACAGGTTTCCTCTCTCTGTGCCTTGGTTTCTTTTTCTGGTTGATGGAGCTCACAGCAGGGCTGCTTGGTAGGGGTTGCTGAGAGGAGGCCCTGCGTCAGGCTCAGCCCAGCCCTGCACACAGGAGGTACTCTGCAGAACACTAACAATTATAATAGAAAATCATCATGATGGAGACAGCAATGACGCCATGGTCCCAATCACAGAACATATGCAGTCCCACCAGCCCCCCTTTTCTAGCTTTACAGCCCACAGCCAGAAGGAGCTGCCATTTATCATGCACTTAAGATTAGCCAGGCACTGTTTTGGGGTTCACCCAGCCCTCACACAACCCCAGGAGGCAAAGGAGGCTGAGCCCCGGAGAAGTTAATCGGCAGGAAGCCGCAGCTGCCAGGGCGCAGGCAGGATTTGAAGTCAAGTGTGTTGAACTCTGGAGTCTGAGTTTGCAACTACCGGCATTGCCACTTACCCCTAGGGAGCTGCCCACCTTTGTGGGGTGGAGGCCTGGTGCTGTCTTCTGTCCCCCACCCCTCTGACCCATCTTTCTTTCTGCAGCCGAGAGGCCCCAGCAACATGCAGCTACAATTCCAGAGACCCCTGGCCCTCAGTTCAGCCAACAACGGGGTAAGTTTTTGCATGTCCCTTCAGTTCCCGGGACACAGGATCCCACTCCCCAGGAACCCCAGGCCCTCCTTGAGGGTACAAGATCTCACCAGTGTTCAGGGGCCCTGTCCCACCCACCAGGCAGCTCCCATACAGTGTTCAGAGCCAAGACCCAGCCCTCACAGTGGGAGAATCTGAATGGCTGAGCAGTGATTTCTCCAGTCAGACAATAGCTGACCCTCACCATGCACCCGCCACATGCCAGGCCCAGCGCAGAGCACTCTGTGCACATCCCCCACCCTCAGGGCACCTCTGCGGTGCGTCATGATGACCCCGTTATCATGACACCCATTTTACAGATGAGGAAACCAGGCCTTGAGGGGCTGGGTCCAGGGCCACACAGCTAGGAAGCGGTGGGGCAGATGCAAACCCTAGGACTACTCCCTAACCACCTGGCCATCCTGCCTCCCAGAGGAAGACATCTACAGGTTTCTCAAAGACAATGGTCCCCAGAGGGCCCTGGTCATCGCCCAAGCACTGGGAATGAGGACAGCAAAAGATGTGAACCGAGACTTGTACAGGATGAAGAGCAGGCACCTTCTGGACATGGATGAGCAGTCCAAAGCATGGACGATTTACCGCCCAGGTAGGCCCCCGGCTGCCTGTGTCTGGGCTGCAGAGGGAAACCATGACACTAGTGCTTGGTCTTTGCTGGGTGCTCTGCTGAGCAGCTCACCGGAAACTGCTAGAAGCTTCTGGAGGTCCTACCGACAATTCACTGCAAGGGCTTCCAGGAGGAAGGGGTGTGCTGGCAAGATTAACCAGGGACAGCTTTTTGGAGGCGTGGCCCAAGGTCTGCAGTTGCAGAAGGCCAGTGAATGGGACGGAGGTGGCCCATTCCCAATGTTCTCAGCTCTGGGGTGCAGGGATCAGTCTGAGTTTGGGAATGGTTTTCTTTGAGCACTTTGCTCAAGTTGGGGTTTAAAAGTTGGCAGAAGAGAAGGCAAGACTAGTCTTGGACCCCTACCGGCTGGAGCCCCAGGGTCAGCGCAGGGTCAGCTTCCCCGTGAGACCTAACACACACAGGGCCAAGATCCAATAGGTGCATGGCATTCTCAGGGGTCCTTGAAAATGTTTTAATTTTAATTTCATTTAAAATCAGAGGAAATGAATACTACAATAATAATGAATATCTAAAAATGGGCCAGGCACGGTTGCTCACGCCTGTAATCCTAGCACTTTGGGAGGCTGAGGCGGGCAGATCACCTGAGGTCAGGAGTGACCAGTCTGGCCAACATGGCGAAACCCCGTCTCTACTAAAAATACAAAAATTAGCCAGGTGTGGTGGTGGGCGCCTGTAATCCCAGCTACTCGGGAGGCTGAGGTAAGAGAATAGCTTGAACCTAGGAGGCAGAGGTTGCACTGAGCTGAGATCGCGCCATTGCACTCCAGCCTGGGCAACAAAAGCAAAACTCTGTCCCCCAAAAAATAAAATAAAATAAAATTTAAAAATCCAGCCTGGGTTATCCTTGCTATACAATGTAATTTAAATATTTGTGTATGGGGGAAGGGCCCACAAAGGCACAGGAGCTGAGACCCTGGAGGGTGGTGATGGGCCCCGCACAGTCTGGGCAGGTGCCTGCCTCAACCTCTGCAGGGCTGACTCTGCTACTCATGACGGGTGCCCGAGGGGGTCTCAGCATCCTAGGGCTGCTGTGAGGAAGGAATAACGCGTGACAGCCACCAGATTTTAAACACTAGTGACAAATTCAAATATTGAAAATGTCATGGGAGCCAAACACGACCGATCTGGCCCAATGGGCTGCTGTTTCTCGGCCATTACTCAAGGGAAAAGGGCAATGGTGCAGGTGCTCGGGGGTCCGGGCTGTGGCTGCCCCCTAGGGAGAGCAGTGTGGGGCCCCTGCGGTCCTCCCAGCCAGCAATCATGGCGGCCCAGCCATGGAGGCAGCAAAAGACACAGGTAGGGTGACTCACAGTGGCTATTTTCAAGTGAGGCTCCCTCTGAGGTACCTGTGGTGTCTGTTAAACACCCAGCTCTGGCCTCCCACTTGGCCCTACTGACTCGGAACGCCCAGGGTATTTTAACAAGCTCCCCAGGAGAATTTGGTGCTGCCGACTGGTATTGGGAACCCCTGACCCATAGACAGTGGCAAAGGGATACAGTTGAATATTATTTTGCAGAAGATTCTGGAAGAAGAGCAAAGTCAGCCTCAATTATTTACCAGCACAATCCAATCAACATGATCTGCCAGAATGGACCCAACAGCTGGATTTCCATTGCAAACTCCGAAGCCATCCAGATTGGACACGGGAACATCATTACAAGACAGACAGTCTCCAGGGAGGACGGTAAGTCACCCAAGAGAGCCCAGGGAGGGGACCTCGGTGGGGAGCCACCGGATCCTCTGGGTGGGGGCAAAGGGTAGGGATGGGGAGTGGGGGGATTCTGCCCTCCAAGGGGAAAGGGTTGCTTCCAGACCCCCACAGTCCACCTTTACGGCCGTCCTGAGAATGAGGACACCTGGATCAAAGCTCTCCTGATTTCCCTGTACTCTGATACTTTCTACCTCATTTTAAAGTTTAATTTAATTTTTATTTTTCTAATAAAATTTTAAAATTAAGATGGGGTATCTCTGTGTTGCGCCTGACCTTATGCCTCATTTTCAATGGGGTCCGGTGTTTTTCATGAGAAACAACTCAATTGCCTTTCCCTCCGCGGAATGCTACAGGGGAGGTTATTGTAGTACCGTATTTGTTCTGAGACACGCTACTTTCCCCCACATTTTAACAGGCTGGAAACTGGGGTGCATCTCACCACCTGTGGCATCCTAGTTTGGATGAAATGCGGTGTTGCACTTTGAGCACTTACCCTGTGCCGGGCACTGTGGCAAGAGGGGACAGAGCCACCTGTCAGCCCAGCCTTGTCACCTGTGAGTGACAGCATCAGCCCCAAAGTCGGGACACTCCCTGTAACCTTGGGAGAACCTTTCCCCACTGTCAGCCTCAGTTGTGAAATGAGGAACCTTGTTCTAGAATCTAGATCATGGTTTCCCTAGCTTTAATCTTCTGAGCCCCACCTTCCTGATTCTGGCCATACCCATGTCTGATTATTTAATTAATGTTGTTGAGTAGTGCACCTTTTTAAAAATTTATTTTAAAACAATTTTATAGTATTATTTTAAGTGTAAATCATGAAAAACACCATAAAAATAAATGTTGTCCCTGGCAGTTAAAACACTGCGGGAGGCTCTGAGCCTTTGGTGTTGGCACCAAACGAGACTTGGTCCCCATGAGGTCAGAAGGCTCGGGAGTGACTGGGAATCAGAACAAGGAGCTCATTGTTTGGGTTTGTGAGTGTCCCTGCAACACCCAGGACCAGCCCCGCTCCTGAGAACTCAGGGAGCCCCAAAATGAGCTATTCCGCCAGGTCCTCTTGCTCTCTAAGCCAGAGCCTGAAGTCTTTGGCCGCCAGTTCGATGGTGTCCAGGAAGAATTCAGAGGACAGGCCTGCGTGTGGTGGTGAGGGAAAGGAAGAAGCCTGCAGTAATCTCCGGTGAGGCTGTGCCACTGTCCCCTGCCAGGTTCCGCCGGTCCACGCCACCTCCCTTCAATGGCACCAGGTGATTCCTCAACTTGGGGGACCCTAGTTGATCCCTGGGGGCCCCAGGACATCCACATGGAGCAGTCCATACTGAGACGGGTGCAGCTGGGACACAGCAATGAGATGAGGCTCCACGGCGTCCCGTCCGAGGGCCCTGCCCACATCCCCCCTGGCAGCCCCCCAGGTAACTGGGATCTAGAGGCCAGACCCAACTCTGCCACCCCGTGGGTCCTCACTGGAAGGAACTGGAGCCAGAATCTTTTTGGGAAGAGAAGCATGATGGGAAATTCCTTTCCTTCCACCAGGCAGCTGAACCAGAGTAGAGCAGGTGGGGCTTTTAAAGCTAGCACTCTAGGCTGGGCGCGGGAGCTCACACCTGTAATCGTAGCACTTTGGGAAGCCAAAGCGGGTGGATCACCTGAGGTCAGGAGTTCGAGACCAGCCTGACCAATATGGTAAAACGTCTCTATCAAAAATACAAAAAAAAAAAAAAAAAAAATTAACCGGGCATGGTGGCTTGCGCCTGTAGTCCTAGCCACTCGGAAGGCTGAGGTAGGAGAATTGCTTGAACCTGGGAGGCAGAGGTTGCAGTAAACGGAGATCGCACCACTGCACTCCAGTCTGGGTGACAGAGTGAGACTCCATCTCAATAAATAAATGAATAAAATAAAGCTAGCACTCTGGATCCCCATCCCCTACGACCCACTGCAGGAAACCTCAGTTTCCTCATTTGTAAAATGAGCAGAGAAGCAGAGGCTGGGCCAACTGGAGCAGGGTGATGGTTTGAGACTGGAATGGTGTTTAGGGAGGATGGAAGACAGGTGCCGTACTAGGAGCTGTGGCTGCAGTGACCAGAGGGCCCCAGGCAGAGGCCTCCCCCACACTGGGAATGCAGAGATGGGCTGGGGGAGAAGAACCAGCAGAGAAGCCAGAGAGGGAGGAGGAAAGCAGAGGCCCCGGGAAAGGAGTCTCCAGAGAGGGGCCAGGCTGGTGAGACCAGGGAAGCATCTGTGGGGTTCAGCGAGAGGGATCGTGGTAACCTTGAGGGGGTGGTTTCTGGGGGCCAGGGAGCAGAAGAGGTCTCGGGGGTGGAGGGGGCGGGACTCAGTGTGGATGATTCTTCAGAAGTTTGGGTGGGAAAGGGCAGAGCCAGATGGCAGGAGCTGGGGCCAGGCTGGGAGCCCCCATAAGATTTCAACCAAAAGTGGGGGCCAGTGTTCCAGTGCAGTGGGAAGCAGGCAGCAGAGGAGAGAGGAGCTGAATCCCAGAGGAAGACACTGACGTCCAGATCAGCCGGGCGGGATCAGTGGGGCAGACCCACTGCGGGATCAGTGGAGCAGAAAGACGCTTCCCAGACAGCACAACAGCACGAGCGGAGGTGTGGCGGGTGGAGGTGTGGCGGGCAGGCACAGGCTGTGCTCCTGGGATGGTGTGGGCCACTGGTGGGAGATCTGGGGAGGAGGGTGAACCAGGCTGGGGGTCAGGGTTCCCGGCCACTGTCCAGCTGCTCCTGGCTCCAGGCCTCTCTCCCTTTGACCCACAGTCTCTGCCACTGCTGCCGGCCCAGAAGCTTCGTTTGAAGCAAGAATTCCCAGTCCAGGAACTCACCCTGAGGGGGAAGCCGCCCAGAGAATCCACATGAAATCGTGCTTTCTCGAGGACGCCACCATCGGCAACAGCAACAAAATGTCTATCAGCCCAGGGGTGGCTGGCCCAGGAGGAGTCGCAGGGTCTGGAGAGGGGGAGCCAGGGGAGGACGCAGGTGAGCTAGGGGGCAGAGTGGACCCCTGTGTGTTCTCTCTCTCTCCCCACCTTCCACTCATTCATTCATTCACTCTCATCGATCATTCGCTAATCTCTGGTTTCCCGGAGTCTGGAGGCTGTGCCCACCCACAGCGAGGAGCAGCAGCTCTAGAGTCAGCGTGGAGGCTCCGTCCCCCTAGTGGAGGGACCCACCCAAGTCATTTCACCCAGGAGCCTCTGTCTCCTTAGCTGTAAAGTGGGATGGCAAGAATAGCCTGAAGCAACTCCTACAGTGGTTGCAAGACTGGGGTAAAATCTGAAGGCGAAGCTCAGCCCTACACCAGCCCTGCCAGCATTCAGGAGATAGGAGTGTTATTGTCTCATCATTGTTGTGGTGATTGTTTTGGGCCCGAGAGAGGTGCTGGGTTGCCATGCAAATAAGGTTCTGCATCAGGGCACAGGCTGACCTGCTGCAGTGGAGATGCCACACACGGTGGCCCCGCCTGCTTGAAGCCCAAGTCTCATGTCCGGGTGAGGGTAGCAGACCAGGGTTTCTTTTACCTCAGTGCTGAGTCGTCCCTTGGGCTCCGTCCTCATCTGTGGGGTTGAACTTAGCACCAGCAAGCAGAGGGGCGAGAGAGGGTACAGAGAGCCGCTGTTGTCTTTGACCAAGCCCACCCACTGCATCTGTGCTGTTCTGAGGGCCTGCACTTAGCCACGGGGGGTCTGGGAAGTGCCGCCTGTGTCAAGGCAGTCTAAGCCCAGCAGAGACTCAGGGGAGGGGGCTCCACTGCCAACAGGAAGAGGGGAGAGGGGAAACCAGTGCGGTTCACCGTCCCAGCCACCGTTTGGTCCCTGGAAGCTGCACAGGCTGGTTGCAGAGCCTGAGGATTCCAACTCTGCAGAAGGGAGCTCGGGGCCTCGGGTGGGGGCAGCTGGAGAGTTGGGCAGGTCCACGCAAGGTGGGGAGGGCCAGGGCAGGTGTACCTGGTGGGTGGAACAGTGTGGACAATGGCCTGGAGGTGAGGACATGACAGTGTGGGAACCCACAGGGGTTTGAGGGTGACCTGAGCATGGAGAGCAGAGCCAGGGCCTGGCTCCAGGCTGCAGTCGATGCTAA
The DNA here is from genome assembly GCF_000001405.40 of Homo sapiens. Classification (NCBI taxonomy): domain Eukaryota; kingdom Metazoa; phylum Chordata; class Mammalia; order Primates; family Hominidae; genus Homo; species Homo sapiens. The sequence goes on along the minus strand of NC_000020.11, from coordinate 57,609,047 downwards.
GGCAATTGGAAGCCATGGGGGGCTTTGAGCAGGAGAGGGGCTGGATGAGATTTTTGCCTCCCATGTGAAAAAAGAATTAGAAGGCGGATTTCCGCTCCTACCCTTTTGGGATCTGGAATAAGGAATCACACCCAGTCCCACCAATGGGTAGAAAACATGGATTCACGGAATCTGGAGGACTGGCCGGCATCCACCCTCCAGTGCCTGAAGGCCCAGGGGATGCATGTCCTGGAAGTCCAGAGGGTCTCCTCACCCCAAGGGCCGTGTCCTTGCTGTCCCAGCAACTGAGGAGACCCTGGCCCCACGTGTCTTCAAACTCTCCCTCCAGGACCCCTGGGAGCCCCATGCACATGTGACACCTGCAGAACGGGGACCAGGAGCGCATTCCTCAGGACTCAGGCCATGAGCATCTGGGAGCATGGACTTCCTTCCAGCAGCAAAGGGAGTCTCTGAGACCTCCAAGGCCACTGGGGACCCTTGGGAGGGCATGTGCCACCAGATGGGGATCCGGCTTAGGACCCCACAGCACAGGCTGTCTGCAGAGCCCTGTGGGTCTCAAGCCAGACCATTGAAGACTTCTCTTTCCGGAAAGAACACAGCACTGTGTTTTTTAAAAATAGCCACACTTCTGGGTGTAGTGGCTCATGCCTGTAATCCCAGCACTTTGGGAGGCCGAGGCAGGTGGATCACGAGGTCAGGAGATCGAGACCATCCTGGCTAACACGGTGAAACCCTCTCTCTACTAAAAAATACAAAAAATTAGCCAGGCATGGTGGCGGGCACATGTAGTCCCAGCTACTCAGGAGGCTGAGGCAGGAGAATGGCGTAAACCTGGGAGGCGGAGCTTGCAGTGAGCCAAGATCATGCCACTGCACTCCAGCCTGGGCGACAGAGCAAGACTCTGTCTCAAAAAAAAAAAATGGTCACACTCCCAGATTTGCCCTGCAACATCCTGACATTCTTCCCTAAGGTTCTAGCAGAAGAGCTGATGACATCTTTGCCCCTTGCCCTGACCCACCCACCTCTCTTTGTCCCCAAGAGACATCAATAGGCATAGCTCAGAGATATTATGGGTGAGTTCCAGAACACCCCAATAAAGCAAGTCATGCAAATTTTTGATTTCCCAGTGCATATACAAGTTATATTCACACGATGCTCTAGTCTATTAGGTGTGCACTGAATCACGTTATATCTAAAAAACAATGTACATACCTTAATTTTAAAATACTTTATTGCTAAAAATGCTAACCATCACCTGTCTTCTGCCAGTCATCATCTCTATGCTGGTGGAGGTCTTGCCTTGATGTTGATGGCTGCTGACTGATCAGGGTGGTGGTTGCTGAAGGTGGAGGCAGCTGTGGCAATTTCTTAAAATAAGGCAACAATGAAGTTCGCTGCAGCAATGAACTCTTCCTTTCATGAAAGCTTTCTCTGTAGCATGCAATGCTGTTTGATGGCATTTTACTCATACTAGAACTTCTTTCAAAATTGGAACCAAGACTCCCCAACCCTGCTGCTGCTTTACCAACTAGGTTTATATAGCAGTCTAAATCCTTTGTTGTCATTTCAAGAATGTTCGCAGTATCTTCACCAGGAATAGATGCCATCTCAAGAAACCACTTTCTTTGCTCATCCATAAGAAGCAACTCATCTGTTCAAGCTTTCTCATGAGATTGCAGCAATTCAGTCCCATCTTCATATTCCACTTCTAATTTGTGTTTTCCTGCTATTTCCACCACATTTGCAGTTGCTGCCTTCACTGAAGTCTTGAACCCCTCAAAGTCATTCATGAAATTTGGAATCAACTTCTTCCAGACTCCTGTGAATGTTGATAGTTTGACCTCCTCCCATGAATCACAAATGTTCTTAACGGCATGTAGATTGGTGATCTTTTCCAGAAGATTTTCAACTTACTTTGCCCAGATCCATCTGAGGAATCACTCTGTGTTGCACTTATGCCCTCATAAAATATATTTATTGAAGAATAAGAAGTGAATGTTGAAGTTACTCCTTAATCCATGGGCTGCAGAATGGATGCTGTGCTAGCAGGCATGAAAACAATGTTAATTCTTTTTTACATCTCCATCAGAGCCCGTGGATGAACAGGTGCATTGTCAACGAGTAGTAAAAAAAAAATTTTTTTTTGGCCCTCAATCCAGGATGCGGAACACTCAGATCCTGTGGTATGGACGATGAGCAGTGAAATGTTCAAAGGAATATTTTGTTTTCTAAGCAGTAAGTCTCAATGCTAGGCTTAAAATATTCAGTAAACCAAGCTATATACAGGTGCTCTCATCTAGCTTTGTTGCTTCATTCATAGAACATAGGCAGAGTCGATTTAGCATCATTCTTAAGGGCCCTAGAATTTCCAAAATGGTAATTGAGGAGAGGCTTCAGCTGAAAGTCACCAGCTACATTAATCTCCAACAAGAGAGCCTGTCCCCTTTGAAGCTTTGAAGCCAGGCATTGACATCTCCTTTCGAGTTATGAAAGTTCTAGATGACATCTTTTTTCAATAGAAGGCTGTTTCATCTACATTAAGAACCTGCTCTGTTGTGTAGTCACGCTCATCAATGATCTTAGCTAGAGCTTCCGGGTAACCTGCTGCAGCTTCTCCATCAGCACTTGCTGCTTCACCTCACACTTGCATGTTATGGGGACGGTTTCTTTCCTTAAACCTCATGAACCAACCTCTGCTCACTTCCAACTATTCTTCTGCAGCTTCCTCACCTCTCTCAGCCTTTAGAATTGAATAGAGCAAGGGCCTTGCCCTAGACGAGGCTTAGGTTTAAGAGATTGTTGTAGCTGGCTCGATCCTCTATCCAGACCACTAAAACTTTCTCCACACTAGCCACAAGGCTGGTTCACTTTCTCATCACTCATGTGTTTGCTGAAGTAAGACTTTTAATATCCTTCAAGACCCTTTCCTTTGCCTTCACAATTTGGCTAACTTTTGACCTAGCTTTCAACTTGTCTTAGCTTTGGACATGCCTCCCTCACCAAGCTTAATCATTTCTCACTTTTGATTTAAAGTGAGAGACGTGCAACTCTTCCTTTCACTTTAGCACATAGAGGCCGTTTGGGGTTATTTATTTATTTATTTATTTATTTTTGAGATGGAGTTTTGCTCTCGTTGTCTAGGCTGGAGTGCAATGGCACAATCTTGGCTCACTGCAACCTCCACCTCCCAGGTTCAAGGGATTCTTTTGCTTCAGCCTCCTGGGTCGCTGTGATTACAGACCTGCACCACCACGCCTGGCTAACTTTGTATTTTTAGTAGAGATGGGGTTTCTCCATGTAGGTCAGGCTGGTCTTGAACTCCCAACCTCAGGTGATCTGCCCACCTCAGCCTCCCAAAGTGTTGGGATTCTAGGTGTGACCCACGGCGCCCGGCCCATTGTAGGGTTATGAATTTTCCTAATTTCAATATTGTTGTGTCTTCAAGGAATAGGGAGGCCTGAGGAGAGGGAGAGAGAGGAGGAGATGGCTGATCAGTGACAGGTTAGAGCACACAGATTTATTAATTAACTTCGTCATCTTCTACAGGTGATATTTGTGGCACCCCAAAGCAAAGCAATTATAATAGCAACATCAAAGATCACTGGTCACAGATCACCATAACACATATAATCAAAATGAAAAAGTGTGAAATATTGTGAGGATTACCAAAATGTGACGCAGAGACAGGAAGTGAGCATATGCTGCTGGAAAAATTGGCACTGATAGACTCGCTTCACACAGGGTGCCACAAACCTTCAACTTGTGAAAAATGAGTGCAATATCTATGAAGTGTAATAAACCAAAGTACAATAAGGTAAAGTGAGATAAAATGAGGTCTGCCTGTCACTTCCTCCTTGAGTGGCGGGCGGGACCTTATCCTGAGATGTGTAAGGCCTGGAATGGTTTTTGTTTTGTTTTGTTTTGTTTTGTTTTGTTTTGTTTGAGGAAATTGCTAATCAGAGACTGTCAGTGCCAGAGCATGTAGAGCCGTCTTTTGGGGTCCCTGGGAGGACTGGGAGAGCCCTGGGATGGGGGCTTTCTGGTGTTATTTCTGCTCCTCCATCTCACTGCTGTGAAACTAGGACAGGACTGGCTACATGATCTGGGGGCCCAGTGCAAAGTGAAAAGGTGGGGCTCCCTGTTCAAGACTTTGTACAAATCTAAAGACAGTAACAACAAAGGCTCAAGCTGAGCTCGAAATCCTTCCAAGAGCGGGTCCCTGTGGAAATGCCCAGGCCACGTGCCCATGAAGCTGATCCCCCATCTTCTCTTCCCTAGGTCGTCGTCCCGCAGACACACAATCCAGAAGTCACTTTCCTCGAGACATTGGTCAGCCCATCACTCCCAGCCACTCGAAGCTCACCCCCAAGCTGGAAACTATGACTCTTGGAAACAGGAGTCACAAAGCTGCAGAAGGCAGCCACTATGTGGATGAAGCCTCACACGAGGGGAGCTGGTGGGGAGGTGGGATTTAGTGCACAGCCTCACGTGGGGCTTGGACACAGGCTGGGGGTGGGCGCATGCTAGGGAGACTAGCCTGCTGCTCTCTGCATTCCTTAGCGTCTTGTTTGACCTGCTTGCTTCCAGACATAACCTGCATGAATCAGTTTTGGGGGAATGGACCTGGCATGGGGATGGGTTCAGGCCAGGTCTTTTGATGGCCAGGAGTAGATGACAGGGAGTTGCCTTGGGGAACCTTTGGTGTGCCAAGAGGAGGTGGGTAGATGGGAGTGGGGCTCGGTCCCCCAGGCCCAGGGGACTCTCTCCACTCTTTCCTGGGCTCGGGGCATCTGCCTGGAGTTACCTTCCATCATGGCTACCTGCTGTGGTTTGAATGTTTGAGTCCCAACAAAATTCATATCAAAACATAATCCCAACTGGGTGCAGTGGCTCACGCCTGTAATCCCAGCACTTTGGGAGGCCGAGGCGGGCGGATCAATAGGTCAGGAAATCCAGACCGTCCTGGCTAACATGGTGAAACCCCGTCTCTACTAAAAAAAAAAATACAAAAAATTAGCCGGGCGTTGTGGCGGGCACCTGGAGTCCCAGCTACTCCGGAGGCTGAGGGAGGAGAATGGTGTGAACCCGGGAGGTGGAGCTTCCAGTGAGCCGAGATCGCGCCACTGCACTCCAGGCTGGGCGACAGAGCGAGACTCCGTCTCAAAAAAATAAATACATAAATAAAAAATAAACCAACCATAATCCCCAGTGCAGTGGTATGAAGAGATGGGGCCTTTTGGAGGGGATGGAGTCAGGAGGGCGAGTGGGATTGTGGGATTAGCGCTGCCATGAAAGGGCTTGAGGGAGCCTGTTAGTCCCGCTTGCCTGTCCGCCATGTGAGGATGCAGTAACAAAGTGCCATCCTTAAAGCCGAGACCAACCCCTCATCAGACACTGACTCTGCTGGCACCTTGATCTTGGCCTTCCCAGACCCCGAAACTGTAAGCAATAAATTCCTGTTGCTTATAAATTACCCAGGGTGAGGCATTTTTTTATAGCAGCCTGAGCCAACTGAAACACTGCCCCACTCTCTCCTCACCTGAGGTCTCACTTCCTCAAGGCCCATTGTGGCCACCTGACCTCCTTATCACCCGACCTTTCTAGAATCTTCTCTCCTCAGCCTTGATCTCTCAGGATCTTTTAGCTGGACTCCCAAAGAGAAAATTCTTTCCCACCCCGACCCTGGGTCCCCAGGCCCTGGTGGAAGTCATTGGCTGACCCATGGGTCAGGTGACCTCTTCTGGCCAATCAGCAGGGAGTGCTTGTGGATTAGCCCATTTTCACGCTGCCGATAAAGATATACCCAAGACGGGGTAATTTATAGGCAAAAAGAAGTTTAACGGACTCACACTTCCACGTGGCTGGGGAGGCCTCACAATCACGGTGGAAGGCGAAAGGCACGTCTTACATGGCAGCAGGCAAGAGAGAGAATGAGAGCCAAGGGAAAGTGGCTTCCCTTATGGAGCCATCAGATCTCATAAGACTTACTTCACTACCAGGAGAACAGTATGGGGGAACCATCCCCATGATTCAATTATCTCCTGCTGAGTCTCTCCCACAACACATGGGAATTATGGGAGCTACAATTCAAGATGAGATTTGGGTGGGGACACAGCAAAACCATGTCAGCTTGTTATTTACCAGACCCCACCACCCCGCTAGGGGCTAAGTTCCCGTAGAAGGGCTATGGGCTCTGCAACATTTCTTGAACCATGGGGTGGGGTGGGTAGTGGAGGGATTTGGTGGGGCATGGTGGGAGGAAGATGGAGAGGGATAGAGGGAGGTGGTGATCAGCTGGGCAGGGTGATTGTGGAACAAGGACTGTGTCCGTCCTTCAGTGTGCACATAGGCACACACACATGCACACACAGGTGTACACACACACATGCACACACACAGGCACTCTGCTGCCCCCAACTCCAATGCCACACCCAGTCCTCAGGTGGGCGTTTGTCACACTCCACTCTGTCTCCTTCACTGGCCTTGGCATCTGACACCCAAAAGCTGATGCCCCTGGGGCTAATGTCTACCTTGGCGGGGAGGGGCTGGCTCATCACAGGGCCTCAGTAAAAACAGTTATTGAACAAATTCATATCTCCTTGCCCAACTCGACTGGGAGGATCTTTAGGGTGGATGCTTTGACATATTGGTCAGAACCTAGACTGATATATAGAACTTACAGTTCATCCCTTAAAGGGGATTCGTAAGACATTGTTTGAGCTCCTTGATCCAGTCATTCCTGAAGCAGAACCTATCCTAGCACTTACCCATTAGAAGAACTGAGATGTCCCCTTAGTGCTGAAGCCAGCTCCACTGGGATTTCCATTTCTGAAGGGCAGCTGCCCCCTCACCTCCCCTACCCACTCCCCTTAGCTCACTGCTACTCAACCTGAGGCATGACCTTACCGAGAGATTTCAGAGCTCCCAGGCTAGCTGGATGCCTCCTGTCTGCTTCTGAAGCCTCCTCTGCTCCCCATATCAAACCCACACTTCATTGCCCCAACATTGCCTTGTCATTAGTCTAGCTCTCGTCCATCGAGACTCATTTGGTCGTAGATGATAGAAAGCTGAGACCTGCTTCAGCACAAAAGGGGATGCACTGGATCTTCTAATAGACAAGCCCAGGCATAGAGCCTGCTTCAGGAATGTCTAGATCCAGGAGCTCAGGTGATCTCTTAGAACTCAGCCTCGCTCCACCCCCCTACTGCTTTCCTCTGTTTTCAATGATAGCCCCCAGCAGCTCCAGGCCCCCACACCACTAGCTTAGCTACCCAGTGGAGAGGGATGACTTTCCCGACAGCAAAAGCCACAACAGATGGCTTTATTTGTATGCCCATTCCCCACCAGTCATTGGCCAGAGCAATAGAATGCGGTGATTGGCCAACTGGTATCACATAGCTTATCTCTGGAACCAGGATGGGGAGCAGCCACCCCCAGTCACATGGCCTAAGGGTGATGGATCAGCTGTTTTCTAAATTTACCAGGAAAGGGATGCTGGACAGGCTAGAACCTCAGAAGTCCGCTACACTCCCCAGCTTTGAATGAGGAATTTACTGGACTCAGGGGCCCTGGCTTTCAACTCTTATACCTCCAGGGTCCAATGTATGCTGGACAAGGCCCTTCACTGACCACATCCTGCAGGCTAACTCCTGTGCTGGGCCCTTGGGCTACTGAGAGTGGGAGACAAAGCCCTGTCATTGATAGTGGCTCACAGTGAGTCAGGAGGGGAACGTACACAGGCAGGGAGTTCAGAGCAGGAACCATCACAGGGAATCATGGGAGTGTGGGACAGGGGCCCAGACACAGCCTAGAGGGGTCCAGAAGGCTTCCTGGAGGAGGAGGGAACTCTCAAGAGCACATTTTTCAAGACCAGGCAGAGGGAGGAGGCTGCGTAGGGTGGAAATGGTGCTCTAGGCAGGCCACAGCTGGAGTAAAGCCATGAAGATCAGAACCAGCTGAGTTATTCAGAGAACCACCGTGGTTTGGGTATTGCCGGAGAGCCCAGCACAAAGAAGAGTGGAGGGAGGCTGGCTGCGGAGGCAGGTGGGGACCAGACCATGGCCGCTTGGGAGTTTGGACCAGACACTGCTGTACAAGCCAGCCCACAGGGAGGACTGGGCAGACCTAGGCAACAAGGTCGGTACAGCCATTGGATTGACTCTGGGGGATAGGGTGTCTTGTCCCATGGACTGGAGCTGCTCAGCCATACTGTAGGCAAAGTTATCTCAACCACCATGCTGATCTGGGATCCCCAGAGTATTTTCTCATAGAGTACCCAGTTTGCAAACATGAGTCACTAGGCAGGAGGGGATGAGAATGGGGTTTGTCTATCTTTCTGGGCGTGTCTTCCTGCTGCATGGAGCTGCAAATCAGTTGCTTGCCTCCAAGTTTGGCCAAACTTTGTGGATAACCAGGCCCCCTGTCAATGAGGAATCAAAATGCAGCTTCCACCCCCAGGCTGAATCAGAATACTCATTTTCCCAGCAAGATTTTCCCTGTGTAATTAATTTGTCATAAATACGCTGACAAAGCATTGCTAGCAGTTAATGGGGGCCAGAGGTGAAGGTCAATGTTAGTCTCCTTGGGAAGGAAATTAACTAGATACCATTAAAAGCAGAGAATGATTAAGTCCATCCACCCCTCAGCCCGCGCTGTGTCTAGCCCGCCCACCCACCCCTCCCTTCTGCCATGGTGTGTGCAAACGGAGCTTGTAGCCCCCAGAACTCGATGCAGGGAGGAGGAATTTGCTCCAGGAGTTGGAAATGATTTTCTGAAACCACCAACCTGCTCACAGATGCAATTTTATGTTCTCATTCCAGCTGCTCTCCTCCTCTCTGGGTGACCCCAGACAGGACTCCTCACTTGTGAGATTTTACCAGGCAACCAAAATTGGATGCTTAGAGCAGGAAGAAGAGTCTACAGAGGGACTCACGGGCATTTTGGCTTTGAATGGCCGAAGCCTAGCTCCCCAGGCTCAGGCACAATGGTGAATGTATTTGCTCATGCAACTGGGGAATCAAGGGACACTCATGTTCAGGAATGGTTGGATCCAGAGGCTCAAGCCTTCCTTTCAGGCTTCTTTCTCTCCAGCTCTCTGCTCTCTGATGAGTCTCTCTCCACAGGGCCCCAGCCACCGAAGGCTCAAAAAAAAAAAAAAAAACAAAACAAAACCCTGCATGGGGAGTTGTGAGAATCTGAAGCCTGATACTGCACAGAAAACCTATGAAGCCACTGGGTCTGGCCTGGAATGGAAGGCTGAGTGAATGTGGGAAAAAATTTTCAAGTGGGAAAAATGAAACCAATAAGATTTTTAAAAATACAGTCGGTTATGTATGTGTGGGTTCTGAGGATCGAAAATATCTGAAAAACAAGATGACTGCATCTGTACTAAACACGTGTGGACTTTTTTGTCATTATTCCCTAAATGATACAGTATAACAACTATTTACATAGCATTCACATTGTTTTAGGTATTATAAGTAATCTAGAGATGATTTAAAGTATACAGGAGGATGTGCATAGGTTATATGCAAATACTATATCATCTCATATCAGGGACTTGAGTATCCATGGATTTTGTACCCACAGGGAGTCCTGGAGCCAATCCCCTGGGGATACTGGGGGACGACTGTATGTTTAGGCATCTGTTCAATATTGTAGGTGGGATGTTGCAGATCTATTTGTACTTTTGAATCAAAACAAAAAGCAGGTTTTTTTGTTGTTTTTTTTTTAGCGTGCTTATTGACTCACAAACTAGCAGTGTTCAGGTAAGGCCTCATCCAGCAGCTCAAACAATGTGGTTCAGGACCCACTGTCCCTCCATCTCTCTTCATGGCTTCCCACAGACTCAGCTTTTTCAGGCTCCACACGGAGACTTTCCAGCCACTAAGAGTTCTGCCCTGCTGGGGACAAAATGGCTGCAGTGGTTCCAGACCTCACATTCCCACAGGGGACAAAAGCAATTTCTAAACCACCCCAGTATTTGCCACCTCCAATTGGGCATGGGGATGAGAGTCATTAGCTGTAGCCAATCCAGGCTCACCCCTGAATTTGGGGGTGCTTAGAATGGTGTGGACCTTCTGTGACAAGGGCATTTTCTAAGCATTCTTTAATCCTCCCCTTAAGTACATGAGGAGACTGGGGCCAAGGGAGGGTAAGTGGCTTGCCCAAAGCCACATGGCTGACAAGTGAGACCCATGTTCAAAATTCCAGATTGAAAACCAGATTTTTCCAGTCCTGGTGGTCAACCCATCACGGAGGATTTAACACTCCCATCTGCCAGGCTGCTAGCTCCCACGGATGACAGCAGACTGGCACCCACCCACGGGCAGCCACATCACCTCAGATGGGGAGGGGCCAGCAGGACCAGGATTTTGCATTCCATGAAAACCCTCTTCTGCAAGAGCTCCTGTGAAACAAGGGTTCCTTGGACAGTTGTGGATACGCAGCATGATGCAGCCCCCGCTGCATGATTCCAAGGCAGCCCATTCAGGGAGGTGAAACTACTGCTCAAGGACAGAGATAGGATTCAAACCCACTCAGGGAGGTGAAACTACTGCCCAAGGACAGAGATAGGATTCAAACCCAGCCATCAGGCAGGCTTGCAAGCCAGTGCTCTTAAACATGTTACTGAAAAAGCTGCCTGGGACATATCACCGCGGCCTGGCTGTCACCTCCCAGCCCCTGGCTGGTCAGCTCCCCCACTGTGTCTCATTGACCTGCCCCCCACGCCCACCCCGGGGCACAGTGGCCTTTGCCACAATCAGCTGAATGCCCCCAGCTGCTGGAGAAGCAATCCAGCAGGGCCAGTGCCGGCAAAGCCCTGAAGGCGGGAGTGTCAGCTGGGGGGCCGGGGGTGGGGAAAGGGGGGAGGGGGTCTGGCGCCCCTGGCTACAGAGCTCGAGACAGGCCTGGCCCTCCCAGCTCCACCTGCAGGTCAGGGGTGTGGGGGGTGAACTGCGTGGCTGGGAGATCCTGGAGGTGAATCTTTGATCCCCCCATTTGTGTGACTCCTCTCTGCCCCCAGCATCTGGCTTACCGGCTCTGAACCTCTGTCTTTCCCTCTCACCTCCTCCTTCCTCTTAGATGGACCCCTGTGATGACATCGAGGCCACCCTGATAATGCAGGATGACCCCCCACCTCACTATCTTTAACTTAATCACCTCTGCAAAGTCTGTTTCTCCATGTAAGGTAACATGTTCCAGGTTCTGGGATTAGAACACGGGCATCGTCCTGGGGAGCCTCACACAGCCCGCACTGCTGAGCATGCTTCAATGTGCAGGCTACCCCATGCCCTTCAACGCTCAGCGCACCCCATGCCCCTAACACAGACATCTAGCCCAGAGTGCCAGCAAGGCCCAGACTGAGAAGGTCCGTTACAGGCGCTGCTGCTGCTGTTAATATCACGAATATAAAAGAATAAATGGGGAAAAAAATAATGGGGCTTGGCGTCACAGCCCCTGGTGTGTGTAATCCCAGGCAAGTGAGTGTAATCTCAGGCAAGTCCTGCCACCTCTGAGCCTCAGTTTCCTACTCTGTTAAATGGGCAGAAATAGGGACAGACCCTGCCTGGTGGGAGCTCACGCTAAGAATGAAGGGAGCCCTTGCCCAGTGGTGCCCAGACCTGGGGGCTGAAGCCTAGGCCCTCCCGGGGATTGATTGACAGCCGTCTGTACAGGTGGGGCTAGGCCGGGAAATTGTCAAAATTTCCCCTGTGACACCCGCCCCGGGCTGAGATGTCTGGGCCGGCTTCCAGCTGTGGCCCCAGCTGTGACCCCAGCGGCCCCACCCGGGCTCCCGGAGAGTTAGGGCCAAGCCAGCCCCCGCCCGCGCCCTCCGCAGGTCTCGACTGCAGGGGCGGCCTGGAGGGGAGGAGCGCGGAGCCGGCCTTTCACAGCCTTGGCCCGAGCGCCCTCTGCTGGCCGCACGCCGCCGGCCGCCGCTCACCAGGCTGGGCTCGGAAACTTCCAGGGCCTGAGGTGGGGTCAGGCGGGGTGGGGGGGATCCCGTGTGACCCCCTCCTGTTCCTTCCCCACAAAGCAGCCAGACACACGTGTTTCCCCCACGGTTCCGGGGTGGTGCACATAAGCCTGCAGCCGGTCCACAGGCCCCAGGTGAAAGTTCCTGTTCTGCCCTCCCGGGCCGGGGGCGGGCTCCTTTCTGGCTGATGCCCGTGCCCCAAATTTGGGGGAAGGAGCACAAACCCAGCACCCTTCAGAGGCTGATTTTCTTCTATCGTGGGGAACACCCCTGCAACCTGGGTACCCCCGCTCAAGTCCCCAGTCCAGCTCCTGCGTGACTCCCAAGGACCCTACCTGCAAGCCCATCTGTGGCATCGAAGTCCCGACCCTGCGGGAGCTGATGCCCCCCGGACTCCCGCAGGCACTAACTCACTTCATCCTCCCACCGACTCCACGAAGAAAGGAATCTTTACCCCGTTTCACATGGAGAAAACTGAGGCACAGAGAGGTTAAGCTACTTGCCCAAGGTCACACAGCCAGTGAATGGCCCTCTAGGATTAAACCCAGGGCACAAAATGAGTACAGTCGACCTCCAAGTGTGGAAGAAAACCCACATCATCAACCCCTGTCTGGGAGGTAGGGAGGTGGGGCGGTGCCTCATTTGCAGGACCTGAAGAGAGGGCCCATTTGAGCTTACAGTCAGCCCACAGGCCCCTCTCTGGCTCACCAAGTGGGTGGATGCCTCCCAGGTCTACACAACAGTGTAGGGCCAAAGATACAAACTTGGACCACCCCAGACTCAAGGTTTTGCCCAACCATTTTCTAGCTGTGTGACCTTGGGCAAGTACCTAGTCCTCCTGCGCCTCCGTTTCCACATGTGCAAAATGGGGTGATCATCTGTGTTCAGGATGAAACTAGCAGGGGCCTGCCTCGTTGGTGCGGCCGCATCAGTGCTGTGGGTAATGGTCCCTCACCACGCCCCATCCTGAGCCACCCCCTTCTCTCCATCTGGCCCCTCCTTCTCTGACTCCTAGTCTAGCTCCTTGTTTGAGTCTGACAATGTGCTCAGGTAGGATGGATTCAGAAGCCATATCTGCCCCAAGCCTGGTGGACAGCGGGTTTACCCTCTGTGCTGTGACATGCCCAAGTGACCCGCTACCTTGAACCTCAGCACCCCCCACCAGCGTGCACCACACACACATACACACAGCTCAGTGCCCAGGTAGGGCCCAGGCCTCCAGACAGGGCAACTGCTTCCCATCTCACACACACAGCACCACGGCCACACTCTGCTGAATGTCACCTCCTCCCACTCTGCCCAGAGGTCCTGGAGTCACTGACAAAGGAAAGAGGCCCCCAACAAGACCTCCCCGAGTGGCAGCCAGGCCTGGGCCCCAGAGGGCTCCGCCACTGACCAGGTGTGAGATGTTACAAGTGTCATTGAATCCCTGAGTCTCAGTTTTCCCATCCGCAAAACGGGGTTAAATGAGATCATCGGTGGAGAGCCCCAGAGCAGGGGACGTCAGTGGGTGTCAGGGGACGTGGCTGTGTTGTCACAGCGCCCGTGGTTCCTGGCACAGCCACAGCCTCATGAATAGCAAAGGGTGATCTAACTCGGCACCCAATAAGTCAGGCCCCACCATGACCCCCAAGGAGGCATTTCAGCCCTTCGGCAGGTGACGAGAACAGGCCCCCATCCTGCAGCCGGTGACGAGAGCACAGGCCTGGGGGGCCGCAGTGCTCTTGTCCCACACCCTGTGGTCCTTTGAATGGTAACAAAGCTGACAGTTACCAAGGGCTGACCACAGGCCGAGCCCTGCGTGGAGTGCTTTACAAAGACCACCTGTTGAACACAAAACAGCCCTGTGAAGCATATGACCTGCCCGTGCGTCCATTTCAGGCAGTGTAAACCAAACCCTCAGGCTCCAAGAGGGGCCCCGGGCAGTTCACAGGGTGAGTAGCAAGTGCCCCTATGCTCCCAGCTTCAGACACAGGGAGGCGGGGGGCTGGCACCATGAAGTTTACCCCTAAATGTGGATTTGTCAAAACCCGTTTTGCACCAGAGAAATGAGGGCTTTGAAGTTCCTGTCTTCCCCAAGGGAGGCAAAAACAAAATGAAAAAACTCTGGAAAACTCACTTTGCTCCAAAGAAATCCAACCTACAGGGGCTCAGTCGACCTCAATCACTTTCTGGCCACACCCAAAGTGCGTGCACAGCTGCAGGAATGATGTTGTAAAAGTATATTCATTGGCACGAAAGAGAGCCACGATCTAGCGGTGAGTGGGAAACAGCTCGGCAGGTTGCAGACTCTCTGTGGGGTATGATTCACTTTTTGTATGAAAATGCCTGGATGGATGAAGAAAAGTCTAGAAAGAAATCCGTGCACATGTGAAGAAAGGTTTGTTCTGGGTGCGAAATTCCAGGTGGTTGCTTTCTTTTGGCTTTATCTGGGTTTTCTACTGTATCTGCAAGGTAAACATATTAATTGTGTAACCACAAACATCTACAAAATCGGAAGTGACCTAAAGGGACCGGCCTACTGAGCCTTGGCCACCGTGGACCCCGGCCTGGGCTGAAGCGGCCACGGCCTCAGCTCTAGCCACCAGGTGGCGCCCTTGATCTGTTTTTGCAAAAAAAAAAAAAGGCCCACAGAATTCGCAGGGCAGGAGGGCGCGGGGGCAAGGATGCCGCCCTCTGCCTCAATTCGGTTCCAGACCCCTGGACCAGGGGCTGGTCCCCGAGGTCCCATCCAGGGTCAGAGTTTCTGATTCTGAGACCCCCTACACCCACCCCATCTCTGCAGACCCTCAAATCCCAAGTCAGGCCGTTCGTCTGCGGAGCACAGGTGATGCTCTGCGCATGCCCGTCTGCCCAGAGGTGATGGCCTCAATGCGTCCTTCAGAGGCTTTGGGTCCAGTCCCTGCAGGGGCTGCCAGGGTCCATCTGTTCTGGAGGCTTCCCACCCACTTCTGAGACCTCTCCTCTGGCTCACCTCGGGGACTCGGTTCAAACGACCCCTCTCCCAGCCCAGGCGCTCTCTACTGTGTCCTGGTCTATCTGCTTGTGAGCACTCAGAGGGATCTGCCATTATTTTATTTCCTATTTCTTTAATTACAGTCTCTGTCCTCTGATGACACTCCTGTCTCCACCAGGGTAGGGGTCTCATCAGTCAGTTCCCCACGGGCTCCCCAGGGCTGAGAACTATGTCTGGCCCACAGTAGCACTCAATATGCACCTCTTGAATGAGTGAAGGAATGAACTCCCACAGGTGACTCTGATGCCCAGTGGGTGTGGAAACCTGGCCGATTAACCTGTCCCTTGGGGCCTTTCAAGATCTGGCCCGACCCACGCATCTTCCTTTTCTTACACCTTCTTCCTCGTTTGCTCCAAGGATCTAATTACTGCAGCTAGGAACACCCCTCTCCAGCCTCCCGGCCTCCGTTCAGTCAGTGCCTTCTGCCTGGATGTCCTGCCTCTTAACTTGGCCCATTGCCCTCCTCCTCCTCCCTGTAGCCCTCCCGGGCCTTTCCCTGAGTCGGAGTTTCTCTCTGTGTCCTGTAAACTCTACCCCACATCTCATGGGCCCCTCGTGTTCTGCTTGAGACACTCGTGTCTTCTCAAACGAGCAGCACCATTCCGGGGGCCAGGCCTGCACTAAGACCCTAGTGTGAGTGGTGGCTGACATCTGCCAAGGAGCTGGATGCAAATCACAGCTCCAAGGCCCCGCCCCCAGGCGCTGTGCGGGGAAGTTGGGTGTGACCAGGGGTTCAGCAGCCCCTCCCCAGGAGGCTCTGACACAGGCTGTGGCTGGCAGCCTTGGGGACTCACCTCTTACTTGGCCCAGGTCCTGGGGTGAGATTAAGAACAGAGAAGGGGCAGTTCCTGACCTTGGCCCTTTGTGGGACCCGGGGCTGAAGGGTAAATCGAGGCCTCCTGGTCCTCCTTGTTCTGCGGCAGAGCTGTCTGGGTAGCTGAGCCCTCTCCCAGGCTGCTTGGCTCTGGGCAGGTGCCCACCCACCCCGTGCCTGGTTTCCCATCAGCACTGACCTCGCAGAGTTATTATGGGGGTTTTAGGGAGTGGACACCTGTCACGCTTGGACAGGCCTGACACACAGCAAGTGAGTGTTTGTTGGACAAGAAAAAGCCTCACACAGAGAGCAAGCCCTCGAGTGAGGCACGCTCCCACCCAAAGAGGTGGCAGCTGCAGCAGGCTCGCCCGGCTTCGCATCCCTGCTCTGCCACCTGCCTGCAAGCCACCCTCCGAGCCTGGGTTTCTGCTTTTGTCATGGGGACCCTCATCCCGCTTGTTCTCCCACTGCACCATGAGCTCCCCAAGGCCCGGTGTCCTCTCACCTTTGTGCCCTCAGCTGGCGGCCCCTGGGTGCCATCTCTTCCCTTCCTTTCTCTGGCCCCTGTGCCCAGCCAGGCCGGTCCCATCCCCCCAGCCCACTGTGATTCCTGGACCAGGGCCATGGCAGCCAGGATGCATCTCGGATTCCCTGGGGGCCACAGTTGGGTCCGGAAAGATCAAGGTGCCCGGTAAGCCCCACAGCCTCTGAACCCACTTCCTGGGCTGCCACGCACCCCCACGCAGAACCAAGTGCACGATCTCTGGACCTCAGCTGGGGTTTGAATCCCACTAACCAGTGGGGGACTTTGAACAAGGACTTCACTCCAAGCCGGGGTATTTACAAAAACCCAGGTCTGGGTCCAGGTTCCGAGGTGGTGGCCGATGTTCCTCTTGAAGTCACCAGATTAAGCATTGATTTTTCTGGCTGATTCCAGTTTTGGACAGAGGATACCTAAGGCCAAGGCTGGAGGTGTCATAGACCGTCCAGAGACTTTCTGCCAGACATGAGGGGCTGCAGGATGGGGCTGGAAGTGACAAGCTCCCTCCCACCTCCTCTGCTGACTGTCAAGGTCCAGACGAAACCACCTTTCTGCCCCCACCCCAAATCCTGAACCTCAATCCCAGCCTGCACATCCAGAGGGGCCTCCAGGCTGGCCCACTCCTTCCCCGCCAGCTTGTCCTCCCCTGGTGGGGGATGGGCAAGGCCCAGTGCAGCTCCCATGTCCTCCTTGCCCTTCTCATTGCTCTGAGGGCTTCCAGCCACTCCTTGGTGAGATGGGAAGAGCCTGTCTCCCCAAAGAGGGGGCAGGAGCGCTCAGAGCAATGAGAAGCGCGACAGGCCCCCTCCCGGCGCCCCAGCAGCAGGGTAGTGTCCCAAGCCCTGCTCCCCACGTCTTCTCTTGGGACCCAGGCAGATCTCTGCTTCTGGTGAAGCCTCCTTGGGGAGGGTCCCATCAAAACCCACTTTTAGAATCCTCCATTAACCCATTCTCCCCACTTCCAAAACCACCTCCAGCCAAGCCACCACGTCTCTCTTGGCTATGGAAGGAATCTCCCCACTGGCCTCCCATGTCCCTCTGGCCCCTCTGTCCATTCTCTCAGCATCCAGGGGACCCTGGGAGCTACAACTCTAGTCCTGTTACTCCCTGGCCCCAACCTTCAGTGGCTCCCTATTGCCCCCAGGATCAGAACACTGAACTCCTGAACTCAGCCCTCAGTTAGCCAGACCCGGCCCTCCGACCGCTCTTCCTCTTCCTCCTCCTCCTGCTCCCCAGCCAAAACTCAGCACACCAGATGCACCCGTGCAGCCAGTTCCAGGCGCACTTGGCCTGGCCCTTGCCTCTGAACCCCTCTATAATGCTGTTCCCTCTCATGGAGCTCCCTTCCCACTTCTTCACACGCTCATGCCCTCAGGCCCCCAGGCCTCTTTCAGGTGCCCTCTTCCCAGCAAACTTTGCTCATGGGCCTGTAGCGTAGGCTGCTCTCCTAGGAGAACCGCCCCGGCCCCACAGAAGAGCTGCTCAGTTGGAGGCAGCTGTGTTGGGCAGACATGGGCCTGGAGCGACAGAGGCTGTGGGTGTCCCTGTGAAAGAGGACAGAACAAAACAGAGGGAAAGGCAGAGGAGTCAGTGGGTGCAGCTGCCTGCCCGGCTTGGTCCCCACCGGGCCTTCATGGGGCCACACTGCACCCACTGCCCAGGGTCCCTCCCAGTGATGTCCCCTCCACTCCAGCTGGTGGCAGTAGGTCTTCGTCCTGGCCTTGGGGTCTGTGATCCCAGGATCTAAGAGTTTCCAGCCACTCCTACACCACATCACGGGGAACTGGCTGTTGGACCAGGGTCTCTGAGGGGACACGTGCACCTCACCCCTCTCCACCCAGGCCTGTCCCACACCTGGCTTGGAGGTAGGTCCAGCCTCCTCTGCCATTTCCTACCATGGGGCCTGGACAAGGATCTAACCTGACAGAGCCTCAGTGTTCCCCCTCAGAAGTGGACACAGTGACAGTCCTTACTGCTCGCGTGTCGGGAGCATTAGACAGGTGGCTCCTGGGCGCAGGGCACCGTGCCTGGCATGCAGTGAGTGCCCAGTAGGCATGAGCCTCTCCTTGTTGATCTCATGCACCTGTTACCATGCTTCTCTTTTCTTTCTCATGTTTGAATCCAGCATGGTCCACTCCGCAAGGTGCGCAGGGTGTTTAGGAACACACAGAAGTCTGCTCTATGGGCTGCAGGAGGGCGTCTCTGCGCTGTCCAGCTTCAATTTCCCAGCCCCATTTCTCGTCTTATCCCATCCCACCCCTCTGGCTCTGGAAGGAACATGGGGAAGGAGGTGTGGGCAAGCCCAGGGGACCACTCCTCTAGCATCACAGCAGGGCCTCCCTTGGCTACGTCCAGCCACAGGGTGGGCATTCGCTCTCCCCACCGCTGCCCCTGCCCCTTCCCTGGGCAGGTCACCAGAACACCCCCATTGGAATGTTTGTGCCATCCTCGTGCTCAACCCAGGCCGTCCTGTGGCCTGAAAACTCCATCCAGGCCAAGTCCCGAATCCACGGAGAATGATTAACGGAGCCAGCTCGGGCTGGATCTCTTGCTGGAAACTTCCAGCTCTCAGAGACTCTGGCTATGGGTTAGCTGGGAGCAGCCCCACCCCATCTAAGCTCTTCCCCTCTGCTCAGGACTTTGGTCCGGAAAAACAAGGCCTTGCAAAGCCACCTGAGAGGGAGGTGGTTGTTGAAGGGGACACACAGGGGACACCCCCACTGCCGGGACAGCAAAATCCCCAGTGCTGGATGGCGCTCACTGGGGGCAGGGGGACTGGTATTTTTCTCAGCACATGGGTGTGTTTAAATCTGGAGGCATTCCTGGGGGAGGGGGCTACTTGCAGGCCAGGAGCCCAGCAGGCCAGGGGCTCACAGAGGGCCACTCCCCCAGACGTGGTACCTCTGCCCTGGATACCTCCTCTCGCCTGGCGAGCCAGGCCCTGGTCAGAACACAGCCCAGAGCAGAGGGTGGGCAGTGGGGGTGGCCATGGCACACAGCAGGAGTGGGGCCTGTGAGGAACCTGCTGTGTGCCCAGCAGTGCTAAGAGCCTTACATGCTTGACCTGGAGGCAGTGGGCAGCAAGAAGCTGGGATGGACCAAGAGCCACACTGGCTGGGTCAATCCCAGCCGTGCCATGGTGCTCTCCTCTGCTTATCCAACTCTGAGCCAGGTTCACAGCAGCAGACACAGGCTGGGATCACACAGGTGGCAAGTGGCTGTGCAGGATGCCAGCCTGGGCAGTGCAACTGTGGGGTCCTTATGCTCCCCATGACACACCCCGGCCACCAACAGCCTCAACCGTGGCCACCTCCAGGTGTGTCATGGGGGTGTCAGCAGAAACGGTGCAGCCTTTGGGCGCCTGCTTCAGGGGGATCTTGGCTTTCTGCCTGTGAGAAGGAAGCAGTAGGGGCGGTAGTGTGTGGTTGTTAAGCACTCATGCTCTGCTGTTTGAGAGACCTGAATTCAAATCCTGCCTCCCTGTGTGGCCTCAGGCAAAGGTCTGGTCTCCCCATTTATACAGGGAAAGCACTGATAGCCCCTCCTTAATGGGGCATGCTGGGAAAACACCACTGTCTCGGCGTGCACAGCCTCATTTTCATCCTCCTTACTGGTGCCCTGATTCCCTGGACACATGTTCAGGGTCTGGGCTGCATCCAGCGTTCGAGTCCACAAGGAGCATGGGATCAGGGGTAAGGAGGACCAATCATAAACCCAGCTTGGTCACTTATCCTCTCTGGCTTCAGTTTCCCCATCTGTAAAGTGGGACTCAGGAGAGGCTTGCACCTGTCACAGCTCACCAGGCACAGGGCTCCACGCTAAGCCCTCCACATGTGTTTTCTCATTTAATTCTCACCATGACCCCACGAGCCAGCTATGGGCATGAGAGGTGGCCCCCACCTCCCATGGCTGTAGGGAAAAGAGCACGGGCAGAGCTTACAAGGGCTGGAGATGCAGTATAGGTGGCTCTATCACCATCCCGAAGACAGCGAGGCTGAACCCCCTGCCAGGCCTCCCCAGGACATAGTGGGGTCTGCAGGGCCAGCTTGAGGGTCCAAGCTCACTTGAGTGGGTGCCCCTTTTCCATCTTGCTTCCTCTTCACTCCTGCTTAATGTTGGGCAACATCAACCTCAAAAGCCTCGTTAAAAGACCAGGGCTGTTTAGGACAAATCGGTGGGCGGGGGGGGGGCCTGCAGGGTGGTGGGGGCTCCTTCCGTGTCTGTGGCCCTGAGGTGGCGTGTTCTGAGAGGCTGGACTGGGCAGCTCCCTAATGCAGCAGTTTCACAGTGGAAGCCAAATGAGCTCATCCTGGTTGAGCATTTAACACAGTCCCTGGCTCGTAGCACCCAAAACACATTGGTTATTTTTTAAAGATCCCTTCCGGTCCTAAATCGTATGACTCTGTGGCTTTGTATATGTGCATAGCATGAAGAAGGGACACCCAGGCGAGAAAGTGCTGAAGGCTTAGGATTAAGTGAGAGACCAATTAAGAAGTGAGTCTAGATGCTCCCTGGCCCCAGCTGCTTCGTTGCTAAGACATCTGTGGGAGTGTGATAAGATGGAGAAATTCACATTTATTCGAGCCCCTCTCAGGGTCAATTGTTTGTGGTTGTAAGGAATTCCAGGATAAATTACTTGAGCTGGAGATGAGGCCTCTTTCCTGAAGATGTGCCAAGACAACAGCACATACCACCTCAGACGTCTTCTAAGGAGGTACAGCCATGCCCCAAAGGGCTTTGGTTTGGCTGAGCAAGTTTGGGCTGAGCAGAATTGCCCAGGCCAAGGAAGGAGGCTGAAAATTCTGACAGCTGCCTTCTCCACCCTTAGTCTAAATTCATCCCATGCCTCCTGTGAATTCAGGATACATACT
Organism: Homo sapiens; assembly: GCF_000001405.40. Classification (NCBI taxonomy): domain Eukaryota; kingdom Metazoa; phylum Chordata; class Mammalia; order Primates; family Hominidae; genus Homo; species Homo sapiens. Next base: position 57,587,825 of record NC_000020.11, on the reverse strand, counting down.
TAGGATGCCCAAGGGGCAATCTGCCTGGGGGGCACCCTCCCCTCAGTCTGTCTGAGATTCAGCCCCAAATTAAGAGACCCCTTTCTGTATGGAGAAAGATGGGAGAAAAGTAGGTTCCTTATGGTTAAAGTTCCACCAGCAGCAAGGAAACATCTCTTTTCTTTCCAGAAGAATCCACAGGGTAGAGAGTTCACTACCCTCTCCTGAAGTTGCCAAGGAGGGCACTGGGGCCACCTGGTGCATCCACAGTGTGTTCCCAGGAGTCCCTGCTCAAGGACAGGCTGAAAGGCACTGAGCTGGCGGTCAGGGCCTGGGACTCTGATCCAGCCCTGTGTGACCTTGGTAGGTCCCTCACCCCGTCAGGCCGCACCACAATAACATCACGTGATGCTCTCTAAGCTGTCACCCTCAGAGTGTATGCTCTGTGGACAGGGCCATGTCTGTCCAGTTCACCATTGTATCTTCATGTGTACAACTGTGCCTATATGTGGTAGGTGCACAATTAATATATGTTGGATCAGATTGAGTAAAATCAAAGATTTTATCCCCTTCCAGAGACAAGTGTCTGTTTTCCTTCTCTACCTGCCAGCCCTGAGAAATCGCACTCCTGTGCTCAGTGAATCCGCACCTACCTTTCCAGTCAGACCTGCTTCTTTACCTGGCCCATCGCAGGTATCTCCTACTGAGCTCGGAGGGCCACCTTGCCAGCTGATGGCCAGACACGGTCATTCCCACCGCCATCCCTTTCTCCGCGGCAGTCCTCCTGCCTGGTATGGCGTCTCTTCAGATCCTTTCCATTCTACAGCTCTCCACTGAACTCCATATTTCTGCAAGTCCTAAGCATTCCCCTTTCCCCACCACCCAATCCTTGCCCGTGTGTCCTTGTGTTGTAATGGAGATTGCTTTCCTAGACATGTGAACACTGCACACAATCAAATGATGAAAATATTTTAAAATGCTATTTTAAAATAATCACCTACTTTTTAAATCAGTTGCTGGTGTTAGCATAACTCTGTTCTCCATTGTGAACATTCACAGGGAGCCCACTGGTGTCCCAGCCAAAGCCCTTTTTGCGCAGCAGGGTGGCCTGCCTTGGGGGCTTCCATCTTTGGGTGGCAACCATTGTCTGAAAGCTTTGAAATGCAACGGTGAAATGCAGCTATCTTTTTTTGCCCCGCTGAGCTTTAGATGTTTCGGAGTCAGGACATCACAGCCAGGGTGTGGGGTGAGCTAGCCTCTGCCTGATCATTCCTTCCAGGAACAGAGGTTCCCCGAGTACCACAGTTGTTGCTCGCTTCACAGGCCACAGGACTGGACTTTGCAGCGTGTGCACCACCCCTCCCCCACACCACCCAGTGGCCCTGGCTACTGCCCCAACCACTCCTCCCCAGGCTGCTCAGCCAGGCCTGTTCTCAGAGGGAGTCAGGTTCCCAGAAAGAGACTTGCCTCGGGAAAATGCAGGGTTGGGGAGGGGGGCAAAGCAGAATTGTCAAGGGGGCAGCCCCCCTTGAATGCATGCCACCCCCTCATTTTCACATGGACCCCTCGGCCCTGCCCAGCCAGCTTCCCTGGTGTTCCCCACTCAGGATGGTGCTGAGATCCACTTGCTGGCAGAAGCCAAACATCTAGGGGTCATCTTTGGTTTTTCTTCCCCTCACCCCCAACACCCCATCCATCTCCAAGTCTGTCGGCTCAACCCCAAATGTGGCCTGAATCTGACCCCTTTCCACCCCCCGCGCCCCCTTCTCTCCCCTGAAGCCTCTCTTCCCTGGGATGGAGACCCCTCTGCTGCCTCCCATTCCTCTCCCGCACGTCGTGTCTACACCACTCGCCTATGCCAGTGGTTCTCGAACTGGAGCATGCACTAGAACCTCCCGGGCCCACCTCAAGACCCACAGAATCGAGCTCTGGGGGTGGGCCACCCAAATCACTCTTTCAGACAAATTCCCAGGTGCTGCTGCTGTCGCTGGGGAAGAACCACAGCTGAAGAACCGCTGGTCTGCATGAAACCCCTGCCTACTTCAAATCATAGTCAGGACCAAATATAAACGGTGCTGCAGGCAGGGGGGTCAACACACAGACTCGGAGCCACCATGGAGCTCAAGTCCCAGCTCTGTCATTTCCTGTGTGTCCTGGAGCAAATGACTTAACGTCTCTGTACCTCGGTTTGATTTTCTTCTCTGCAATGGGAGCAATGATAGTGCCTCCTCTCTGGGATCACTGTGAGGACTAAATGAGCTAATTCTGTGTCTCAGACTGGGTTGTCCCAGGAGCAGACCAGGAGACAAGAACATGAGCGATCCCAGGAAGCCCTAGCAGAGGAGGAGGGAAAGTGAGCCAGGGAAGGGGAAGGCAGACAGCAACACAGGGCACCTTAGCCGGTAAGTTATCCCTGTGGGCTCAACTTTTCTTGGGAACTTTGGGAGCCAGTGAAGAGTGCACAATTAATAACCCTGAGATCAAGTTTATTCCAGCCGGGAGGTGAGGGAGCCAAAGTATTTATCCACCCATCTTGGCAGAGATTGATTGCAGGATGCTTCTAGCCAGGGACTGTGTGAACAGCCTGCCGGTGCATGGGAAGAGCAGCTACAGTGGTCTGAGAAAGTCTCCAAGCCCAGGAAGTGACAGGTGTTTGCTGCTGGTCACCACTGGGTGAATGGTGAGGGCACACAAGTTGGTACCAAAAATATCAGTTACAACATGCAAAGCACTGGGTAAGAGCCTGTGTAGTACCCGCTCTTCTTACAATTCCCTGACCAGGGTCCCCATGGTCTGATCCCCTCACCAAAAATCCTTCAAGAGCGGCCCCTCCCATTCCAGCCTCCCCATCCCCTGACCTGCCTGGGCCACCCCCAGCCTAGAGCTTTTGCACCGGCTCTTCCCTCTGCCTGGGGCACCGTTCCCAGCTCTCATAGCCCTCAGTACCCCCTTCCTCACTTCTCAACCTCACCTCCCCTGATCAGAGCGTACTTTCCCATCTCTTCTCTCTGAAGCCACCCTACCAGTCACTTTCAATTCCATCTCCCCTTTGACTCCCTGCCTAGCACTTTGTAATCTCCATGTCTGTTTCTCTGTCTGGTGGCTCATGGTCTATCTCCACCTACTAGTCTGTTTCACTCCAGGATTCCACAAGCTGTAGTGTTTACTACCCTGTCCCCAGCATTTAGCAAGCATATTGTGAACACTCATTGAGTGAATGAAGAAATGGATGGATGGATGGATGGATGGATGGATGGATGGATGGATGGGCATGACTGACAGTCAGAGGCAGCAGTGTCATCTAAGGAGCACAGGTCCAGGATCTGGTACCTCAAGACTTGAATCCTAGCTCATTCCTTCCCCTCACATCCCTCTGACCCTCAGACCCACACCTGTCACTCCAGGGGCATGAGTGATCCCCTGACCTTGGGAGTTGGGCAGATTAGCCTCAACAGTGCAAGTGGGAGCTCCTTCTATAATAATTGAAGAAACTCATGGAACCCACTTATTTGAGAACAGCCTGGGCAGAACCAACATCTGTTCCCTTTTCCATCCTGGGCAGTCTCAGAGCCTAGAGGACTGGTTAGGGTTCAGTGTGGTGCGTGGAGCAGAGACTCAGGGGCAGCATGGCTTAAATGAAACAGAAGATGACTTCACCTTCATGTAACAGAAGCCCAGCTCAGCGTGGTCAGGCAACTTCTAGAAGTCACCAAAGACCAGACCCCTTCTACCGTGTTGACCCTCCATCCTCAACACAGAGCTTCTGCCTCATTGTCCAAGGCAGCTGCTTGTGCTCCAGCCATCATGTCCCACCTTCAGTCATCAGGAAAAAGGAAGGGATAAGCAGGGTTTTGCTTCTTCCTGTAAGGACACTTCCTGAAAGACTTCACACAAGACTTCTACTTACATCTTACTGGCCAGCACTTGGTCACACTCCCATATGACCAGGAGCTAAAAGTCAGGGGCCTTGTTAGCAAAGAATATGGGGAGAATGAATGGTGTGGTGCAGCCGGCAGCCTTGCCTTGGGAACCTTTCCAATGAGCCATTTGATTGCTCTATGATTCGTCTGCTCTGCGCCAGGGCCTGGAGCCACAGCAGGGAGCAAGTTCAGGAACCCCCCACCTTGAGGGGCCCACATGCCAGTGGGGGACAGTGAAGAGGACAAGTCAATACGCACGCAGTCACGATGCTTGCTAGGCCAAGTCCTGTGGGGAACACGGCAGAGGGGTAAGAAAGAGCATCGGAAGAGCAGGGGTGAGAGCCTACCCTAGCGCAGGGAGACAGCGAGGGCCCTTCTGAAGAGGTGACATTGGGACAGAGGCTCGAGGGATGAGAAGGGGCCACTGAGCATTTCAAGGACTAGGAAGTGCCTTGCGTACCCCAGGTCAGCTGCGGGTGGGCTGTGTACCCCTGGGCAAGTCACTGGGCCTCTCTGAGCCACAGTTTTCTCAGCTATGCAATGTGAGCAGCAGCCGTGCTCTCACCGGGTTGTGGGGTAGAAGGCTTTTTTGTGAGAATGTGTGTCTCCATGAAGAAATGAGGCTCAGAGAGCCTGAGAACCCTGCACTACATCAGTAGATCTCAGCTGGGGTAGATTTTGCCTGCCAGGGGTCACGTGCCAATGTCTGGAGACATTTCTGATCGTCGCAACTGGGGAGGGGGCTGCTGCTGCTGACATCTAGTGGACAGAGATGGCGGTGAGACTGAACATTCTCTAGTGCACAGAGCAGCCCCCACACTGGAGAAGCACACAGCCCCTCATGACAGCAGTGCCGAGGCGGAGGAACCCTGCCCTCCACAGCCAGGAGGTAGACACAGGGCCATTCACCGGAAGCCCACTCTTCACTGTGTTCCAGAGCCCCCACCCCAGACCCCTCAGCCTGTGCCCTTGGCAATAGGATCTGTCTGCTTTTTAAACAAACATCTCCAATGACTCAGACATCCACTGAAGTTTAAGGAGAACTAAACTTCTTTGTTTATCAAGTACCAGGCACGTAGTAGCCACCACCTCCCACCAAACCAAAATCCATTACAAGTTTAAAGTACAGCTATTATTTTTACAGCATTGCTTAGAAATGGCTTGCGATCTCTAATTTGCTAAATTGATGCGTATATTGACTAAATAAATATTCGGCACGAAGCCCGAGTTCCCCTCCACACTTATTAATCCTCAGGAAATGGAAACACAGGACACAAAATGAGCTTTCGCTCAGAGCTGCAGACAGGAATACATTATGTTGTTTTTCAAGCGTTCGGGGACTTGACTTTGCAGCAGAGACGGCCCAATCACCAGCCTCCAAGTTTTCCATGACGCACGCCTCTGCCCAGGAGACGTGCCTGTGTTGCTGAGGTCCCTTCTTGGACTTTAGAAGTCTAGGAAAAGAAACTTTTACTTCAACGGGGGGAATCTGAGGTGACTGTTTTTTGGGGAGTTGTTTTGAGGGGAGTTGATGGATGACAGCAATATTCGTACATAGAAATCAGGGCTGCTGGCAGGACCTACAAAGTGAAGACCCTGGGACAGGTCCCTTTCTTCAACAACTGGGGCTATTAGTGCTCTCGGCTCTGGGGAGAGAAGGCAGGGCTACCTGGACTGGGTGGGGGGCACTGTGTCTTCTGTCACCAGCCTGCCCCGGATGGAACAGCATACGAAGGGACTAGAGTACATGGGACAAGATTTGCTCTAGCTTGTCCCACCTGCGGAGACTTTGACCTCTGGGATGTTGATGAGTCCTGGGGGCTGGTCTTGTACCAGGATGGACAGGGGCTCCAGATACCAGGGGAACCCTAGTGGTGCTGGCCACCTCTGTCCTGTGTTAACTTCTAAAGCCTCCTGATCCCACGGAACACTTGTCTGTGGTGGGGGCTAATGGCAGTGAAGCAATATGGCCCAGAATTAGGAAAGAAGTTCATGCTGAGTTGGGAAATGGGGAAATGTTCTCCAAAAGAGGAAGAGGCACGAGTGTGCTTTTTGCCCTACTGGGGGAGTGTGAATCCCAAGAGGAGCTGGCATTTCACATCATCTAGCCTCTGCCCAAGGCCAGCCCAGAGCTTCCTTCCCAGACAAGATGCCAGGCCACTCCGGAAGAGAGGATGATTCCACAGGCTTGAGATGAAGGCTGGTCTCCTCTCTGCCCCCGACCTGTGGCATGACCTTGGGCAGTTCCAGTGACCTTGCTGGGCCTCAGTTTCCTGGTCTGAAGGATGAGGTTCGTGATGGGACCCCCCTGGTGACCGTGCCCAGCACCTAGCCCACAGCAAGCTCATCACTCTCAGAGGCAGCAGCCATTCCTTCTACCTGGACACAGCTGCCAACAGAAGGGGCTGGAGAATGGAATCCAGGCAGAAGGAACAGCCAGGACAAAGGTCCTGGGTGGGACCTGATCCCAGGCAGTAGATCAGAGCATGGTTAGCAGGTAGGATGGTGGCCTGGGGTGGCAGCAGAGAGGTGGCCAGGGTCAGATGACACTGGGCCTCGTGACCACCGGAAGGAGAGTGCATTGCATCCTGAGAGCAGTGGGCAGCCATGGGAAGGTTCTTAAAAAGGCAGCTCTGGGTCCCAGCCTCGGCAGCCCCAGGAACACGCGGCAGCCCGGTGGGGAGGGCAGATCGTGGGGACTCGGCTCCTGAACTCAGCCACAAAGATGAGCTGCCTTCCCCAAGGGCTCGTGAGAGGACAGCAAAGGCTGTGTCCCAGGACCAGTGGAGACTTGGTGAATTGAGAAAAGGTGGGGGGGGGCGGTCTCCTGGTGAGATGCCACTGCACTCACCTGAACAGGTGTCATAAACACCGCTGGCAAGGATGAGGACAGAGCGCCAGAACTCTCATCCGCTGCTGGCAGGAATGCAGAGGCACAGTCACTTGGAAATCTGTCTGGCAGTTCCTTAAAACGGTAAAGCCTATGTCTGCCTTGGGACCCAGCCCTTGCACTCACAGGTGTTTACCTGAAACAAAAGCACCCAGAAAAACCCTTGCAGGAATTCACAGCAGCCTCTCAGAATAGGCAAAAGTGGAAATAGCCCAGGTGGCCATGAAGGGTGGAATGGCCCATACCATGGCGGCAGACCCTTGCCATGGGGGACGGCGCAGCAGAGCAGGACAGGGAGCTGCTCCCAGCTCAGCCACGCAGAGAAAGCTGAGCAAAACAGGCAGACAAGTCCACGCCCTCCACAGAAGTCCACATGCTCCAGTGAGAGGAAGAAGAGCAGTGGCTGCGTAGGGCTCAGGATGGGGGGTGAGCAGGGAAGAGTACAAGGGAACTTTCTGGGGTGATGATGGGGCGTTCTAGACCTTGATCTGGGTGGTGATTATACACAGTTGTCCAAACTCCTCCCATGTTCCACTTAAGACCTGTGCATTTTACTGCAAGTAAATGATGCCTCAATAAAACATAATCCTCAACATGGGGTCCGCGTTTGGGTCTGGGGTCCACGATCTGCTCTCCTCCCTCTTCTGAGCTGCCCAGATTTCCCAGGCAGATGCTGAAGTTATGAGCAAGTGCGGTGCCTCATTCCAGGGCCGAGGGCTTCTGAGGCCACCACGCCTGCCTTCCTGCCCACATCCATCTTGTTATTGTCGGAGCCGGGGAATTGCTCCTGAGGCGGAATCTTGAATATTCATTTGATTTACGGCCTGCTGCCGACAGCTTTATGAATCCGCCCACCAATACCTGCAGCCGGTCATCAATCTTCCCTGGAGATTGTGCTTCTGCCAGTAACTCATGAATTAAAGAGGCCCCTGACGGCCCCCACGCCTGCCTCCCCTCCCATGCTGGAGCGTCGTGATGGAAGGAGGACCTGACCAGAAGTCAGAACATTGTTGTTTTGCCGCCGCGGCAGCTCTGATGACCTTGGGTGACTCTCTTTGTCTGCAGGAGGAGGAGAAACTCAGAAGCCCTCAGATCTGCCTCCTCCCAGCCCCGAGCCTCAGTTTCCCCATCCATAGAGATGCAGGGCACAGCACCACCTCCCTCTGCTTAACTGGGCCGGGGGCCAAGGCAGGACGGACTGCCAGCTTATACGAATGTGGGATGCCTGCCACTATTGTTATGATTATCTGACTTGGAGATGTTCGAAGGGACAAGAAAGATGGTGGTGCTCACGGCTCATTCCCCATGGTTGTCTCATTGACAGCATGGGAATGAAGACAGCATTTCCCTCGGGCTTTCAGGGGAGACCATGGGAGGGGGCTCAGCACAGCCCCTGGCACCTGGGGCAAACTCCATAGGGAGTACATATTCAGATTTTGCTCCAGGAAGGAGAAGTGGGGCAGGCTTTCGCTCTGGCCTTGGGAAGCAGCTCCAAAGTGTTTCCAGAGCTGACTCCTGGGCAAGTACCCCTGGCAGAAAACCATAGCATGTGCGGTGGCCTCAGAAGCCCTTGGTCCCAGTTGGACTGTGTCTGGCTTTCCCGTGAGTCCCCCAGCCCCTGCTGTGGAGACGGCACTCAGTAGATGCTCCAGGGTTGGTCCCAGTTGGACTGTGTCTGGCTTTCCCGTGAGTCCCCCAGCCCCTGCGGTGGAGACGGCACTCAGTAGATGCTCCAGGATTGGTCCCAGTTGGACTGTGTCTGGCTTTCCCGTGAGTCCCCCAGCCCCTGCGGTGGAGACGGCACTCAGTAGATGCTCCAGGGTTGAGCCAGCCTTTACCAACCGGTAGACACTGGTAACATCTGCAAAGCAGTTGGGGCCAGCAGATGGAGAGAGTGGTGGAGGCAGTGCCTCTGGGCTCAGACACATTGGGGTTCAAATCCCACTCTGTTCCTTAGGATCCCAGTGACCTTGGCTATCTTGGCCCCCTAAGCCCGGTGAGCAGGACACAGGTGATGGCTGCCTTAGAGGGTAGACTGGGCTCGGAGAGGCAGCCTGTTGGAAATGCCTTCTCTGCTGGTACACAGGAGCCCTTGGGAGGGTCAGCTCCAGTGGGTGTCACCAGGCAGTGTTCTGGGCACCAGAGTCAGAGGAGGTAAGGACAAGACAGCTCCTGCTCCTCGGGGGTTCACTCAACAAATGTTCATTAGATGGATGACAAAGAGCTCTTAACACTTGTCCCCGGGTTTTGCCTGTGAAGAGAGTTGTGAAGGACACATGCAGGGGAACCCCCTCCCAGGGACTAGCTCCCACCCATCCCTCAGCAAGGTGGCAGCCTCTCCCGGGATTGCAGTTTGCCACAGTGGTGGAGGAGCTGTCAGGCCTCAGGGTGCCCTTCCTGGGGCTGAATGACAGCAGATCGATCCTCGCTTCTCCTGGCTCTTCAGCCTCCCGCAAAGTGCAGCCGCAGCCCTTCAGCCAGCATGCAGCAGTGGGACTCCTCTGCCCAACAAACTTTTCCCTGCAGAATTCCACTACACACAGGAGACAAGTACTGCACGGAGCCCACATTTATTGAGTGCCGAGAGTATCCAAAGCACTTGGTGTACACCCCTTCTGTGAGTCTTCTCAACCCTGTAAGTAGGAAGAGGGAGTTGAGACACAGAGAGGTTAAGGGACTCACTCAGGGTCACACAGCTCAGAAGTGCCTGGCTGACAGCGGAGCCCACTTATCACCCCTAGGCCCACTGCAGTCTGGCTCCAGCTGCTGCCTGCTGATATCAGGGTTCGAGATGAGACTTCTCTCCCTGAAACTAACCATGTGACCTGGGGAGAGTTACTTTGCCACTATGAACCTCAGTCTCCTTCTCTGCAAAGTGAGAAGACTGAGACCCGCCCCCAGTTGGGATGTTGACTGAATTGACTATGAGGAAGCACCTGAAGCCCCAGCGCAGTGCAGTGCTGGGCCATGGGGTGCTCAGCTGCACACCCCTCTCTCCCCTTCCCCACCCCTTTGATGTGAACCTGGACTCCCTGTGCATGGGGAGTCACGGCCAGAAAGAAGGAGGCCAAAGTTTACTGGAAGAAAGGCCTCAGCTTCTGGGAACGGCACTTCCCAGGGGGGCCCGGTTTCTGATCCATGGACTTTTCACCTTGGCACCAGCAACCTGACCACGCTGGCAGTGTTTACCCCGTGGGAAGAGGAAAGGCCTAGGTATGTGCAGAAGGGTGTGCTAGGGCAGGTCAGAGCCAGGGCATTTGGACCTGGGTCACTGACAGCCCCTGGCCCCTGGAGCCTGAGACACAGGTCCCTTTCCCAGTGCTTCAGCCAAGCTCTCTGTCCCCACCCTCCTTCACATCTTGTTCTCCAGGCTCAAAGATGCAGAGATAGATGATGATAAAAGCCACTGCCCCTCTCCTAGGAATTTGCACCCAGGGTATAGACAAGAGTTAAAATCCAAGCTCTCACCTTTGCTAGCTGTGAGAACCTCTCTACTGCCTCATTTCTGGAATGGGGCACATTCCAGAAGTCACAGTGTTGAGGGAAGGATCTAAAGAGATTGTGCCTGGAAAGGCCTTGACATACCTTATCTCTCAGTGAGTGGGAGATGTTGTCACTATAATTATGGATGCTTAGGAAATGTTTACTTACTAGATGGATGGGCAGGAGATGAACTGATAGACGGTCGGATGGAGGATGGATGATGAATAGATGATGGATGGATGGACGTGTAGGTGGGTGGCTGCATAGATAAGTAAATGGAGATAGGTGGACAGATGGATAGTAGCTATGCACTCATCCACTATCCATCTGTCTATTCTCCACCCACTCATTCACCCCTCCCATTATTCATCCATCCATCCACCCATCCATCCATCCATCCTTCCATTCATTGATATGCCCATCCATCCAGCTGTGTATGTGGGGAGAGTGGGTAGATGGATGAACAGGTGAACAGATAGATGGATGAGTGGATAAACAAATACATAGGTGGATGGCTGGCTTGGTGGGTGGATAGACGGTGGGTGGATAGATGTTCAGATGGACAGATGAATGAACAGATAGAGAGATGAATGAATGGACAGATGGATTGCTGGATGGCTGGGACCACAAACTAATTGCCTCCTTCCTGAAAGTGACAGAAAACAATTGCTGAAGCTCTCTCCCGATACCACATACATTAACCTGGCTGCAGGGGGCCAGAACACTGCAGCCCTTCCCAATCTGCTCATTAACTGACTCATGGAGCTTTCACCTATTCAAAACCAACAGGGTAGCAGCGTGACATTTCAGATTTCCTTTCCTTGGCCTTTCACTGAGCATGGCTCACAGCTGTTTGCTGGTCTGCCTTCTCCAAAGGTGCCTTCAAGGCCCTCACATGCAGTAATGGATGCAGCTTCCCCCAGAGCTAAGGGGGTTGTGTGCCCTAAAAGGTTGGGGGCTCCTTCCCTCCGGCTGCCTTGCCACATTCTCTCTGCAGCAGTGCCACCAATTACCTTAATTACCTTTCAGTTAGGGGCTTAATTTACAACATGGTGGCAAGGAAGTATTGAAGAGAGAGTTTCCTTGGCAACCCAAGTTTTTAAACATAAGATTCTCCATGTTTTAAAAGCCACTTCTCATCTAATTTCCTCCCTGAAAATTAGCTTGGGACTTTTCAAATACTGGAAATTTTAGCCTAACGGCAGGGTAGCACTTACATCTGAAACCATCAAAGACCTCAATTTCTCCCCTGCCAGAGGCAAGACCCTGGGAAGGTGTTTGGTTTCCTCTGCCCCTTTGTTCTGAAATGGCCATTAAGAAATGACCATGGGGAAACTTTTTCTGAGCTCCAAACCATCAATCAGTCAAACTCTTGACAACAGCCTGTTTTCTAGACTTGTGTTGTTCAAGTTCCTTGTTGGCTGGAGTTTTAGCCATGAGCACTTGATTGATGGCAGACTGCAGAATAGCTAGAGGGTTAGGGCCTGTACTCCATGGCGTCTCTGGCCCCCATATCCCCAAGTTGAGAAGAACAGCACTGATAACCACCCCCAGTGCAGAGGGCATACAATACCAGAGGAGCTTTTGGAAAAGGCCACTCTCCCTGGGGGCTCGCTCATCATCCACAAGCTTCTCTACCTCCCTGTCTAACAAAATCAACCCTTGCTCAGTTACACGGCATGGTTTTTCATAATCTGCCCTAGCATGGGAGGGGGCCACACTACCTTTCTTCTGTTCCCACTTCCACACCCTTTAATCTGACCAAACCTCTCATCCATCCTTTCAACCTCCAGCCGTCTACACAGCATCTACCTCTCTACTCACCCTCTGTTGATTCTCCAACCACTCTACCTCCATCCACCCAATCCTCACGCAGATCCCATAATCCGCTGGAATGCCTACAGTTTTCCAGTTATATCTTGACTTTCCAAATATGATGTTATTTTATGAGAGTACTCAAACACTGCTTCCTCTGAGGAGCTTTCCCTGATGCTCCTTCTCCTTCCTCTGAAACTTTGAAACAACCTGTCTACACCTCTCAGGACACCTAGCTTGTCTGCTATGTCTGGGTGCAGTTATTTGTATCCTGAGGGCATGTGGAAAAACCAGGCAGGGCTAATTCAAACTCGGCTCTCACAGATGGGGAGCTATGTGTCCTTAGTGATAAGATGAAAGGATGGATTGAGGATGGATGCAGGGTTGATCATTGATGGACTGGATGGAGATCAGATGAGTGACTTATTGGAGGTTGATGGACCATTAGATGGATGTACAGATGGATGACAAGCATCCAGAGGCATAGATAGTTGGAGAATATGAGAAAGAATAATTAAATGGAAGAGTAAAGGCTGGAACAATGAATACAAGGGTGGATGAATGGATGGAAGGAAGGAAGGATGGATGGATGGATAGATGGACAGAAGGATGGATGACTGGATGGATGAAAGGAAGGAAGAAAGGAAGGAAGGAAGGAAGGAAGGAAGGAAGGAAGGAAGGAAGGGGGGAGGTGGAATGCAAATGCACCTTCCCTCACTGCCCAGGCAGAATTCCAAAATGTGAGGGGATGGAACAGGAGACTGACCATCAGGCAGTTCTGAATGGGGCAGAATAGTAACGTAGATTCTCCTTAGAGAAAATATTACTCCTTATACCTTGAGGCTTGAAGTTTTTCAGTGACCCTGGGAAAAGGACAGGGCCCCCTGTGGGACCAATTCATTAGGAAAGACAGTCCTGATCAGCTCATCTAAGCACTTGGGCTGACTCTAAGTGCCAGGCAGTCAGAAGCTGTTCGATAACTATTCATTGGAAAGTGACAGATTGATCTTGGAGAATTGCCATTCTAGGGAGGCATCCGCCAGCTGGGAACAGAACAAAAATGTCACTCCTCAAAGCACATTCTCTCATGCTCAGCAACACGAAAAGTTGACCCTGCTGTTACCAGCACAGACTTGAATCAGTAGTTGTTCTCCACACTTATGCAGTGACTGTAACCCCCATGTTAGAGGGGCCCCAGGGACCATCACTTCACTGATAGAACCCATACCCATGGTGCAAGGAGGTCTGACCTCTTCTGACACATCTCAGGGCAGGACATGAAGGACATGAGGTTGCATCAGGTGAACCCACCGAAAGTTGAGTTATATGTAACCCAGTTCCTGGGAGTCAGTTTGTCCATGAGGCCAGGAAGACCCAGTAGAAAGAGAACCCCTGTTCCCACAGCCCGAGTTGTTGGGGAGTTGAGTGACACAGGAAGTCTGTTCTAAACCAAGTTAGAAGGACATCTGGACCCAGTCCCTTTCCAGGAAGGAAACTCTCACTAGCAGCTGATCGCAGACAAACTCCGAGGCCAAAGGAAGGTGGAAACACCTTCACCTTTCCTCCTGAATCCCCATCCCAGCCTGCAAGGCTTGACTCAGAACAGCTGTGTCTCTCAGCTGTGCGCTCTCATCTGGGCTCTGAGAGGAGAGGTGCAACGCACACCTCTAGGGGGTGCTGTCCACAGGGCCCCTTGGACAGAACAGCAGGTTTCACTGTGCATTGTGGTCACAGGAGGCTTTAGGGACTCAGATTCCCAAATGCTGCCTCTAAAAGACCCAGAAGGCTTCCTAACATAACTCAGCACTTTGTGTTGTCCATAAAATTCGGTCTCTCTACTTCTCTCATCAGACCCCCTCCCCACTAGAAATGCGGGTTGGGGAAACAAAGAAGGGGAAAGACAAATTCACTTCTCCCTTATCTATAAAGTGTTTAGCTAAGTGCTGGGCACACAATAAGTGTTCAATAAATAATCACTATTAGGAGAGGGTGAGATGGAGGAAATTGGACAGATCAGAATTTAATTCTGCCATGCTGATTTATTGTGCTTCTGCCCGAGGAAAACAGAAAATGAGTAACTCCACTTTCTCTCTCCCTCTCTCTTTAAGACTGACTTCGCAGCAGCGTCCTCCTGTCCCCTTTGCCTGCAGCCTGTTGAAAAAAATAAAAAAGAAAAAGGCAATCCGGCATGCTTGGCTGAGCCCCCACCCCTCCTGCCCACAGTTCCCTCCAACTTGATGTTCAATTTCCCTGGGTCGAGAAGAAGCAGTCTGATGATCCGAGTTAATTCAAAATGTAAATTTCATCTCCTATCGGCTAATGGCTCTGAGCTCCACTTTACATAACAGGGGAGCAGCTGCTGAGTGAGTCACCGGCCCCCCGGCTCCCCGGTCTCCGTCCTTAATGGTGATGAACCCTCGTTGAGGCTTCAAACAGACAGCCACAGCCTCCGCACCCATGGAGGCCAGACCTGAGTTCTATTAACCAGGGGAACTATGGGGCAGGGGACTAATGCCAACCCCAAGGGCTAGGCTCAGCCCAGGAGGCTCCAACTGGGCTAGACTGGTCTCCCAGGGCCAGTCTTGGGCGGCCCAGGCTCATGTGTCCGCTCACCTAGATTTGAGAGCCTTGGCCTTGGCAGAGAATTTCACGAGCTCTTCCAGCTTCCACTGGGTGCAAGGAGCTATCTTCACCCGTCCCTGAAAAATAGCCTTGAACCCTCCAGAGGTTGGCAACTGGCATGGCAGACAAGGTCTTCCAGATGCTGGCTTCCCTGGGATGAGGGTCCTCATGCTGCCCTCTGGGCCATAGAACAGGTACCCTCTCATCTCCCTGGGAGAAGCCAGGAGCTTCTCTTAAAGATAGATCGATATCTTGAGGTCTGAGCTAAACCCCTCACACATGCCCCTAAAGACAAACAACCAGCAGCAGGTTGGGGATTTCTAGCTGACTTTTGAGGCCTATGGATGAACCAGGCTTTGGGCCAGAATGGAGGGGACCTGGGGTTATACCTATGAGTCTGAGCCTTGTGTTCCCCACTGTCCTTTCCCAGATCAACTCAGAAGCAGGTGGGGATAGATGGTGTCATCAAGTGGGGCAATAGGGGATCCCGGTAGTGGGATTTCAGGCACACTGCTGAGCTACAGTGAACTACTTGGGGAGGAATCATTCTCATCGTGTCTCATGAAGTCAGCCGCGCTCTCTGCCTTGTCACTCTCCCCACGCCTGGACCTGGGCTCACTAAATCCTAATTCTAAGGGTCCCACCGAAGAACCATGTGACTCCAACCTCATGGCAGGGAAGGCTTCCAGGGACCAAGGCAGAGTGCTCATTGTACAGCTGGGGAAACAGGCTCAGAGATGAAGGGACTGTCTTCAGGCCACACCAGAAGCTTAGCGTTGTAGTGAATACTTCCATTCCAGAGATTTCTGCTGCTAGGGAGAGGGGAGAAGGAAATAGGACCCCTCCTGCCATATTGGAGCCTCTGGGTCCAGGGCCCCTGCCCTGTGTCTAGACCCTCCCCTATGCAGTGACACGAGCCAAACCCTCCCTGCAGCTGTCTAAGCAGTTTGTGTGGGTTTCCTGATGGGCTGAGAGGCTGGGGTGGGGTTCTTGGTCTCCTGACTCAATGCCAGTGGGGTCAGCCTAGAAGTTGAGGCTCCTGGTGGCTCCCACTCTCCCACCTGCTAGCCAAGTAACTTTTGCAGGTCTTTGCCCCCTGTGGCCTCAGTTTCACATCCAGTTGCTGGTGACATGACATAATTTTATGGTACTTGTGGTAGTTTTAGGAGGATCATTGGCCTGGCATTAAATGACGTTGAATCCATAAGGAGAAAGTCCATCCTTTTTCCATTTTTTTTTTACTCCTCCAGATTCAAAGGACAGAGTCTCAGTGGGGTGCACACACCTCTTCCTTCCTCAGCTCTCTTTTCAACATGGTGAATGCAGGCCTCTAACTCAGAATCTTTGGTATATTTTGTCTTGGTTATATTATTCTTCTACTTACAACTTTATGGAGCTGTAACTTACATATCATAAAACCCACCCATTTCTGGCCGGGCACGGTGGCTTACGCCTGTAATCCCAGCACTTTGGGAGGCTGAGACGGGCAGATCACGAGGTCAGGAGATTGAGACCATCCTGGCTAACATGGTGAAACCCCGTCTCTACTAAAAATACAAAAAATTAGCCGGGTGTGGTGGCGGGCGCCTGTAGTCCCAGCTACTCGGGAGGCTGAGGCAGGAGAATGGCGTGAACCCGGGAGGCGGAGCTTGCAGTGAGCCGAGATCGCACCACTGCACTCCAGCCTGGGAGACAGAGTGAGAATCCGTCCCAACAACAAAACAAACAAACAAACAAACAAACAAAAAAAACCCTAGCCATTTCAAATGCATAATTTAATGCTTTTTCATATACTCACAGGATTCTGGAAACTCTACTACAATCTAACTTTGGAATATTTTCATTACCCCCCACAAAACACCCTGCAGCTGTCGGGGGTCAGGGGTCAGCAGTCCCTCCCCACTGCTTCCTCCCCTGACCCCCGGCAACTCCTAAACTACTTTCTGTCTCTACAGGCTTCCCTATTCCAGACGCTTCATATCAACGGACTCATGCAATACAGGGGTCTTGTGTGGCCAGTTTCTTTCACTTCGCATTGTGTTTCTGTGGTTACCTTAGCAAGGAACACTGGTTTTGGATTCAGTTGGGATCTGATGTCTTTTTAAGCAAATCTCTTTCAATCTACTAATATTTTTCCACTTCAGTGAATGAATCGTTGGCTCAAGTTACCAGCTGTCCGTGGAGCGTGGAATGTGTGTTGGGCATTTGGAAGATAGCCCTAATCCTCAGGGAGGATCCGCGAGGCCCCACACCAGTGGTCCTCTGATTCTGGGACCTTTCCACACCCTCCTCTCTCCCACAGACAACCTCTCCCCAAGTTCCTTTCTTCGTTCTCCCTGTGAAGAGACAGGGGCCAGAGAAAAGTCTCTGCAAACAGTCTCTCTATTGAAAAAGCTCTGAAGGGCAGCTGCAGGCTGGGCCCTCCTCTGCAGGCATTCTGTCCGGAAGTAGCATCAACAACGAGTTTAATTATGCAATTAGAGTAATTTTCCCAGGCTGAACAAATATTTACAGCATATTTTGCTGCAAATTGCCTCGCCTGGAGAGGAGTTTTGCCATTCAGACTGGTGAACATTCACATTTACATATCCCTTTACCAAGGGGCTCACAGACGAAACAGCTCTGAGGCGGCCCAGGCTGTGTAGGCCCAGCACCCCCAGGAATAAGTGTCCAGTGCAAAGACGCAAGCAGGTGTCAACAAGGCATATGTGTTCCTGGTCCCACTACGGTGCTACTGTGGACCAAATGACGTCCGCCGCTCCTCTGTGGCATCCCTAAATCCCGGCTCTGCAGCATCAGAGAAACCTCTGAGCTCTATCGTGGAGCTAAGAGAGGGCCCAGATTGTAGAGAGAATATGGTGCGTGGAAACAGTTCTGTAACAATCAGTCCCGCATCGATCCGGTGCCGGCCACTCTTCCTGGAATCTGCCCAGTGGTCCCGGGAGCGGGGCCTTCACAAGTGCCTGTGTTTTGAACCCCTCTCAAAGGTCCACGCTATGCTGAGCTTCCTGTGTGAGGAGGAGCAGAAAATCTCCAGACAAAACTTCAGGAAAGCAGAAACAAGTTTATCTGCTTGAGAACCCATCTGAAATTCATCTCTGTCTCAAGCCCCCATTTCATCCCGTGGAAGAAACTTTACCTTAGATCACTGGGGTAAAGTCAGTTCATTCAGGGTTTTCTCAATTTGGGGGCACCCCCTGCCTCTGCCAAGCTCCCCTTTTTGCAGCAAAGTTCTGTAGCCTGAATGATGTGGTGAAAATATGAATGAGGCAACTCAGTTCTCCCAATCAAACAACCCAGGACCCAGCTGCTACTGTTACCATTGTATGGTATTTTTAAAGTTTTTTTTTCTAAGCATAAATGTACAAATACTCGATACCCTTTCATTATCTACCTTCACAGGTGAAGCCGGTGGCAAATATTGCATGTCAATAACTTATCTTTTGCAGAGTCATTTTAAATGGCTGCCTAGTTGTCTGTTCTCAAAAGGACTACAATTTCTTTTAAGTAATCTCCTATTGTTGGGCATTTAGGTTGGTTCCTAATTTTTGGCCATGATAAACAACTCCATAATGAGCATCCTTGCAACTAAATCTGTGCAGACTTTCATGATTTTTCCCTTAGGACACATTTCTTAAATATAGAATTCCTGGACCCAAACTCTGAGTCTTCTGCTAAAATGTTTGAGAAGGGTGAAGGTGGCTCCCTACAGGGATGGGCTCGCCATACGAAGAGAAAAAAATGCTTCTGATATTCCTGATTGACTTCGCTCTTCAGCTCCTTTTCCTGAAATGCACAGTGAAAGTAGGAGTTGTGGAGGCTGCACAGAGGACAGATTTCGACTCCAGAGCCACAGCCGGTCATCAGTGGGACAGCCGGCTTGGTGGGGAGCGACCTCCCATACCCCGGAGAGGTGGAGTGAAATAAAAATGAGAACAACCGCCCCCACCAGGCCCAGCTGTGTGCCAAGTCCCTGGCTGGCATCATCTCATTGGAGCTTTTCAACAACCCCCTGAAGAAAGTAATCATCACTCCCATTTTACAGTTGAGGAACCTGAGGCTCAGCATTTCGTGCAATCACCTAAGGGCATACTTCCAGGGAGATGTAGGGCCTCGGCTCACACGCAGACCCTCCTGACTGCAGATTCGGCACTGCGCTGGGCTAGTTTATTTCATCCTTATCGAACTCCACCAGAGGTAATATGACCCCAGTGGCACAGAGGAGACAGAAGAAGACCCCACTGGCCAGCGGCAGAGCTCTGCTGTGTTCAAGGTTGTCAGTGTTTACTGCCCCCAGGGAAGGAAAAAGGGCAGGAGGGAGGAAGCAGGTGGCCAGCTCTTTCCCATAGATGAATTCATCGCTGCAATTGCTAAAGGTGAGGACAAAGCAAAAGCTGCTCCCCTGGCTCGGTGCCCTCTGGCAGGGCTGCAGGTCAAGGGAGCTCAACAGGGCCCATGACCTGCGGTCTTACAGCCAAAACCGTGCACTCTGGAAGGTGCATGCTGTTGGCATCCAGAGGGCCGAGTGAGCAGCCCGGGGGTGTCCAGGTTAGGGTGGGTCCCCAGGGAGAGGGAGAGAAGAGAAAGAGCCCTGTAACTCCTGACTCCCAAGTGTGCCCCGGCCCCACCTAGCCACCCCGCCTGCCTACCTGTCAGTGCCCCCTAAGTGACTCGACTGGGAATAAGGGCAGGTTTGTTGTCCTGGTTCAACATTTGCTGTGTAACTATTGTTTTCTGGTCTTTAACCCAGACTGCAACACAGCTTCCTGGAGGTCAGGGGACAGCTCTTACACTGGACTCCAGTAGAGGACGTCAGTCACAGTGTTGGTTTTGGAGTCATGTGGTCCAGTGGTAGACCAGGAATCAGGAGACTCTGGGCTTTCCATCTCACTCCAACCGTATTTTCAAGTGATGAGCCTCTTGCCTTCTGTGAGCTTCCTGCAAGTGGGCTTAGCTTACATACTTTGCATCATCTGAAGGCACGACAAGAGAACATTGAAGAAAGAAGTCATAGGATCCTGTTTATTGTAGACAGGGGTCCGCGCACAAAAATCAGGATTTGGAGACAGAGGGAGCACTCAGGAGGCATGGTTTGGGGAAACTGAGTCAGGAGTTAATGACATATATTGAATCTTTTTGGTCTCCTGAAAACTCTTATGCTGTGTATGTAAGTCACCTCCTCTAGGCTGTCCCCCAGGCTTGCAGGGCCTGCTGGCAAATGGTCCTATGTGAGACTGCTTGCCAGGTGGCTGATGCTGTGCAGGAGGGGAGGGAATTTGGAGATGGCCAGTGTCTTTGCCTGCCGAGGGAGTGGAGACTACTGAAAGCCCGTAATAGGACAGTGGGGCACAAGGCATGCATTTTAACAAAGTTTATCCTGGTGGCCTCTTTCAGGGGTCCAAGGAGCTGCCCAAAGGCCCCCAAGGGGCGGGGAAATGGAGACCAGGTGGCTTGCACTTTGGACTCCCTCCCCAGCTTCAGGTGGGCTGCCTTGGGCTCTGTCTCCTTTAGACATGGGACTCTGAGTCAAGTACATGTCAAGAACGTGTTCCGCAGTGAAAAGGAGAAACAAGTTTGAACGCCACTGATTTAAACTAATACAGCAGATAGCATTTAATTCCAGTAAGTGGTTTTTCCCCTTCGGTGGTTTTGATATTCTAACAAGCCAACGTGTCTGGAGCTAAGACTCTCAGCTCCTTAATGGGGAAGGAAATCCTGGCAATTTCTCAGCCCCGCTGGACGCTCCTAGCTTGACCTCAGTTTCCTCACCTGTAAAATTGGGGTGATCTCAGCTTCACCTTCCATATGAAGCCATTGTAAGGAGCAGAGGAAGTGAGGAAAAGAGGCAAGTTTTCCAGTTGAGGAGACTGGAGGGGTGGAGTGTGACATAAGAACAAGCCTGCCCGCTGGGGTGTGGTAGGGGTGAAGCCAATTTCACAGCCTGGGCCCAAGAAAGAAACTACAACTTGAAGATAATAGTATTTACACAGATTGAATCTGTGATATAAAGTTTATGGTTCGTTTGGACTGTTCTGGAATATCCAATAAACACTGGGAGTAGAGGAGAGCAGGTGAGGGTTCAAGGCAGAGCTGGGGACCAAACCACCCACCTCTCTTCTCGGGCAGCCCATGGTGTTGGCATGATGTCCGGGATACAGAAGGCGCTCAATTAATGCTTGCTCAACCCAGATCCTGTCCCCTTTTCCTTCTCACTTGTCTTCCTCTGCTCCCCCGCGGGGATGACAGTTGAGAAAACTGTTGCTTTGAAGAGTTAAAAGGCAAAATCCTATGAAACTGTCCACAATGTAATTTTTGTGGAAGCCTGAGACCCCTCCAGATCCAAACTGTCAAAAAGCATGCATTAAACCCTCCCAGTCCTGCCACATAAGCCTCACCATCTAAAGGTTTGTAGAATTGTTAAAGGATGCCAACTAGTGGCTTCAGCAAATTCAGAAAACCCCAACCATGGTTCCCTGCCTCATTCCTCCCCATCTGCTCCCTCCTTCTCCCTGGGACCAGGCAATGCACCCCCTCTTCAAGTGTGATTCTGAACGTCCCCACCTTCTTGGGGAGGGGGCAGGATTTAAATCACAAGATATTTAATCAGAGTTCTCTCCTCTTGGTAGCTCAAATAAGAAAAACCAAGCAAAGCAAATCCATCTTTTCTATAAAACTTCATTTTGTAATTTTTTTCCAAGAAGTAGTAAGGGGGAAATATTGCAATTATGTAAAGGTAAGGAACAATGGTGTATAAAAATAATTTAAGCACAATATTAATAACAAAGCAACTTTTTTTCAAGGAAAACTAGTAGGTCATCTTGCCCAAGATTTTTCCAAAGGTATTAAATATATTTTCAATAACAGTACATACAAATACACATACACAAATATACCACACAGACACATGTGCACATACATGCACACACACACACACACACACACACACACACACACATATATATATACAGCTCAAGTATTTTTTTGGTGTGCATTCTAGCTAATCCACATAGCTAAAGTGAAAAAACACTGAAAAGATCAATGCCTGAGTAACCTTAAATTTGAACAAACTATGCATTGGATGTGAATTTTTGGAGGCATGCTAAGATTTCCCTTCTCAATTTCATTAGCTACTACCCAGTGTTCTGTGGTTCTTATCCTTAAAAAAATCAAAGTGTGCCTTTCAGATCTGCTCACGGTGTGGTGATGATTATTATGGTGGCGTCAATTTGGGAACACTTGCCCTCTCTTGCTCCTACTGCACCTTATGGATGGGAAAGGGAATGATTTTAAAGGTAAAGCACTCAGGCCCTGATTACATCTGGCTTATTCTTTGCTTCAAGGCAAGGATCTCTCTCTCGATTTCACAGGGGAGGTCGGCATTGACTTGATCCTCCAGATACTTCTCGATGTCTTCCACCTCCTTCTCCCAGAATTCCTTGGAGATGCTGAAAAGCTCCATCATGTTGATGTGCCCCAGGCCTTTCAGGTTCAGGGCATCCTCCTTGGGGATGTAGCCTATGGGCGTGAGCTTGGTGCTGGCTTTTCCATCGATCCGGTTGAACATCCACTCCAGCACCCTGGAGTTCTCTCCAAAGCCTGGCCAGAGGAATTTGCCTTCCTTGTCCTTCCGGAACCAGTTGACATGGAAGATCTTGGGCAGTTTGGCTGCTGGGTGCTGGGCCATGCTAAGCCAGTGGGCCAGGTATTTGCCGAAGTTGTAGCCAAAGAAGGGCCGCATGGCAAAGGGGTCATGCATGATGATTTTGCCTGTTAAACAGAGAGGGAGTTCATTAGTAAATGAGGCTCTCCTAGGCAAGACTGACGCCATTGATTGTTGACATTAGCATGCTTTGTTCTCCTCTCTCTCTTTCTCTCTCTCTCTCTCCCCACACACAGACACAGAAAAGGAGAGAGACATAAGAGTGACGAAGAGTGCTCTAATCCCACTTCTCTGTGGTTTCAGATCAGGACTTTGATTTACCTTTATGTTCTGCAGCCGCTGTGGCCTCTGATCTCATGGCCGCCCCCACAAAGACTCCATGTTGCCAGCTGAGAGCTTCATAGACTAGAGGGACACCTTTAGCAGGAAAAAAAAAGAGAAATGTTCATCAGAGGCTTTGAAATTCAGACTCCACAACCAGTGGTGTTATTCACAACACGGAAAGACACGGCAAGACAATAACTTTGTAATCGAGCTAGTTTTGCGTTCACCAAGCTAAATTGCAGAAAACTGCTAACTCAAAGTTACATGACTGAGGCCACAAAGTAAAAAGTAAAATTTGATCAAGCTACAATAGATCAGGGATTCAGAAAGGTTCCAGGTGACCAGAAGGGTTGGTTCTACATTTGAACTTGCCAATTATTCTGGATCTTTGGGAAGGAAGCTCAAGAAAGGAAGCCCCTGGGCACCCTCTGACAAGGTCATGGAAAAGGAGAGATTTCACAGATGCCCTTCGGTACCCAGCACACCCATGTTCCCAGCCTAAATGAAGGAGAGCCTCACCAGCAGGTCTACGGCCTCCAAAGATAATGCCTTCAATGGGAACACCTTCCGGAGACTCCCAGGCAGCATCAATGATGGGGCACTGGCTGGCAGGGGTGCAGAACCTCGAGTTGGGGTGGGCACAAGGTTCCCCTATAAGACAGAGAAAGGCTCGTGAGTGCCTGGCTCAAACAGGCAGTCCCTGCAGCCCGGCACACCAAGGCCTCTGGCAGGGACACACCATCCTCTGAGCTCCACTCCTTATTCTTCCAGGACGTGATGGTGACACCTGAAGCTAGCGGCTCATCAATGCCTTCCCAGTAAACGCCCCCGTCGCTGGTCTCGGCCACATTGGTAAAGATTGTGTTCTTCTGGATGGTCTTGATGGCATTGGGGTTGGTCTTCACTGAAGTCCCAGGAGCGACACCGAAAAAGCCATTTTCTGGGTTGATGGCCCTTAAATGACCTGGAGAGTTTTAAACCAGAGAAGCAGTAGTGAGTGCCAGGCAAAGCAGAACATATACTCTTATATATTGCCGGACTAATTTCTATGCCAACTTCTCAAATCTTTTTTCCCTCCCTAGAATATGCATTTATCTCTTTTCATCCAAGCATCATATGCAACTTTGATACGTTTACGACTCTTGCTTCCTCCACAATTTTCCACCAATACCATTTAAACAAATGTATGTATGTAAACAAACAGCAACATATGGCCCAGTTTCAATCCAGATTGAATATTAAGTTGAAGAATTCTTACAGGATCCATATTTCTAAGGCTTGGCCAACTCTGGACTAACAGAGTTTAAAAATCCAAACACTGGACTGAGGAGAATGTGACATGTTTCGAAGGCCAACGATTCGCTTGAGTCCAATCGTTACCAAGAGTTGGGTCTAAAAGAGTCACCTTGTGCGTCAAACTTCATCCAGGCAATGTCATCCCCGACGCACTCAACCTTCCACCCGGGGAGGCTGGGGTTCATCATGGCCAGGTTGGTCTTCCCGCAGGCGCTGGGAAATGCGGCCGCCAGGTACTTCTTCTCACCCTCAGGGTTGGTTATACCCAGAATCTGTTGGGGACAAGATTCTTTATTGTGATCTTTGTTTCCTTCTCCCCGAGGTTGGTACTTCAGCCCAGAGGTTGGAATGTAGGCCCTCAAGATCTATTTCTTCAGGTATCAGTGCAAACAAACACTCCCAGAATCATGAAGTCCAAAGGATCTCTATGGTCCCCTGGTGTTTGGGGGCCTTCAAAAGCGATGTATATGTGTAAACTAATCATTACTGGTGGGGTTTCCCGATCTGTCCGGGAACCTGCACGCTCAGAGAGGTGTGCTGACGGGTGGGAACTGTAATGCTGTTTGTTTCTGCCACCCCCCAGGCCTCTCATCTGCACATCAGGGCTTCCTGCAGGCTCACCAGCATGTGCTCTGCCAGCCACCCTTCCTCCTTGGCCAGCCGGCTGGCCATCCTGAGAGCAAAGCACTTCTTCCCGAGCAGCGAGTTCCCGCCGTACCCACTGCCAAAGGAGATGATCTCTCTGCGGTCAGGCAGGTGGGCGATGAGCGTCAGCTCCGGGTTGCAGGGCCAGTTGTTGACCAAAGGCTCTGTGAACAAGGACCCCTCCCAAGTCAGTGCGCCAGGGCCCTGCTTGGGGGTCCCCGAGGCACTCACTGGGGTTTGCGTTCAGCTTTCTTTTTTATTTTGACTTTTGATTCTGAAATAATACACTTACTTTGTAAAGGCAGAGGGCACCCCACAGAATGGAGGCATTTGACAAACTCCCCATCGCCCACTGCTTCCAGGACGGGCGTGCCCATCCGCGTCATGATCCGCATGCTGGCCACCACGTAGGGTGAATCCGTCAGCTCGATGCCGATCTTTGACAGAGGCGAGCCCAGCGGCCCCATGCTGAATGGGATGACGTACATGGTGCGACCTACAGGGTGCGATGGGTGGGCACTGGTGAGAAATGACCTTGGACTTCGAACACGACCAGCATTTTTTTCCCAGGTAGACCCATTTTCACGGTGTTCCACTAACACCACCACACCCTGCTGGTCACCAGCCCCCTGGGTTAGAAGAGGCCACTGGAAAGTGAACAGCCTGCTGAAATTAAAGAGTTTTCATAAATGTGCAATTGGGTCCCACCAAGCTATTTAAAACCCATATGCATGGAACTAGTTTTCACGTTTGTATAAGACAGTCTGTAAAAGCAGAAGAGGGATGTGCATTTTCAATACATTGCCAACTTCATGTATGGAACTGAAAGACATCTGAGGTGGTGGGAGCTTCCATTATTGTTTGAATTACCATTAGGATAGATGTAAATAAGAAAAGGCTCTCTGCTGTTTTACCCAATCAAATCAATGTTCCGCTCACCTTTCATGCACCCTGGGAACCTGGCATTGAACGCTTTCTCAAAATCCTCCTCTGACATCCAGCGACCGAGCTGGCTGAGGCCTGTTTTGGGGATGGGCACTGTGTCTCTTTGCTCTTGGGTGACGATAACCGTCTTGCTTTCGATCCTGGCCACATCCCTGGGGTCAGTGAGAGCCAACCAGCTGCAAAAATCACAGGCTTCCTTTCAGCCAAGCACCACGGGCAGCGAACCATCTCCTTCAGTACCGTGGCTTTCCATGCCTAGCAGAGTGCTGAGCACGCTAACAACAGTCCATCAGTGTGAACACACAGACCATCTAAGACATGGCCAGGTGGACATTTACTCCACTAGGACCTGGTCTGTAGGAGAGGGGCTGCCTTTTTTTTAATCAGGAATCTAGTTGGCAGAGCTTTTGTGCACACACCTCATTTAAAGCTTGGGCTGGCCCACTAATGTCACAAAATTCAAGTCTGTATGGTTCTGACCATTGCATTCATCTTCTCAAGAGTCTGAAACTACCCGAAGGCCTTCATTCACCTTTCTCCACCAACTCCCAGGAGACGCAGGGGAGCCCTGCCTGCAGGGTGCTGGGACAGGCAGCGGGGGCCGAGCTTACCAGTTGTCATACTTCTTCAGCCGCCTGAGGATGCCCTCTTCCTCCATCTGGCCCAGAAGCCGCCCATTCTCCTCCTCAGAGCCGTCACAGATGTGGATGTGATCAGGCTGACACAGCTCAGCGTTATTCTCGAGAAACTCCCTCACTGCCTGGGGTAGGCTGTCCAGGCTTCCCTGGACAACTTTGGCCGAGAGGTTCAGGCCGTTTTGCAGCTGAGGAGGCATTTCTGCAGAGTGCTGCTAAGGGGCACGAATGTGAGGTCACCTGAAATAGAAAACGCAAGCGTCCTGAACAAAAACAACAACAGACACCTTCAAACACATTCGACGGCCTTTTGCCAGGGCTGTGCATTGCCAAATAGTTATTGCTCTCAGGAAAAAAATGAGTTCATCTTTGTAATTTTTCAAAATGTAAATGCAAAGCTCTACTTACCTTTCTTCTCTTTGGATGATCTCGAAGGGAGATCCACAGGTTTCTTTCCGGGCTCTTCCCGCCAGCAAGTTTGTGTTCCCAGTGGGAAGGCCGTGCTTGGTGGCAGAACCTCCCAGCTTTAAATACTGTGGAAAAGAATAGCCCTGCCCCTCAGCTGCACCCAGGGAGGCTCGCCACTGACGTCAGGGGGCAGGTCTCTGGATCACGGCCAGGGTCAGTTATGCTTTGGGCCAACTCACTGCAACACGCCCCAGGGAGATAATCATTGAACAGATAGTTGTTAAT
Source organism: Homo sapiens (assembly GCF_000001405.40). Taxonomy (NCBI): domain Eukaryota; kingdom Metazoa; phylum Chordata; class Mammalia; order Primates; family Hominidae; genus Homo; species Homo sapiens. The sequence continues at coordinate 57,560,918 of NC_000020.11, read as the reverse complement.
GAATGCTGGGAGACTTCGAGCCCTCAACCAACCATAGTGAGTTTTGACACAACTTCCAACTGACTAAACCTTGACCCATTTTACTGCTGTTGCAAAACACAACACCCTTTTCTTAACAGGCAGGTGGGTCAAGGACAAGGTTGGCCGGGGCACCTGCTAGCAGCACATTTTGTGTACCAAGAGCTGCTGGTTGGCAAAACACCACAGCTATAAGATGTCACCCCATAGTCAAAGGTCACAGTCAAAGTTCATGGGAAGGATGCACCCTAACTTGGGCAAATATGTGGCTTATTGGCAAAGATTGGAAATGCCTAACCTAACTGGGGGCTAATCACTGTATTGATTGTCTGCTCTGTGCCGCCCCCGCCCCCTGCCCCGATGTAAACTCCATGAGGGCAGGGATTTCTCCCTATTTTGTTCATTTTTCTCTCTGTAGTGCTTGGCATAGAGTAGGCACAGGATGCACACATGCTGAGCACTGTTCTAAGAGCTTGGCATCATTACTACCCTCTGAGGTGGAGGCTATGAACAACCCATGTACAGATAGGGAAACTGAGGCAGAGATTGTGTAGCCACTCACAGCCGGCTGGTGGGTTGCAGAGTGAGGATCTGAACATGAGCAAGTTGGGCCCTGGAGCACCACGTCTCTCCCTGTGAGGTACCGCCACCTTTCCAGAACCTTCCCTGTGTCCTCCAGGGAGTTCTGGGCTGAGTGCAGTTACTCCTGCAGTCCACTGGCCACTGTTCTCTTCCCTGGCAAGTCTTAGAGTTTAGGGAGTGGAGGGGGCTTGGCAGTTTTGCTAGATTATATGCTTAAGCAATGAAACCTTTATAACAGTTGTAAAGAATTTGCTTTGCAAGCCATCAGACCTTCAGTCAAATTTAATGAGCTATGGAAGCTGCTTGCTGGAGTTTGGAGAACACAGGGTGAAATGTCAAAAGAACGGGGCTAGGTCTCAACCCCCCACAGCCAGCCCACACTTCCATGGAAGCCTCTCTACCTAAGATGAGGTCAGGTGGGGACTTGGCCCATCTCCCCGCTGGGGTGTGGGATGATCCCTGAGATAATCCCAGGACTGGGCTTAGAAAGAGCTGCTGTGGCAAATACAAGTCACTGTGAATGGCAGCCTCCGACCAAACTCACTTAGAGAACCCTCCTGGGGGCTTGGGTCACACTGTGTTGGGCGTGGGTCACACATCATCAAGTTCCACCAAAATTATCAACCCATTGCTATGTTTCCTGTATTCAGATTTTATTCAGCCAGTTGTGTCTTTCAGGATAAATATGATATGAGGTGCTTTTTGTTTCATTTGAAGTTATTCCCCGTTTAGGTCACTGGCATTTGTTATTAGTGGTGCTGTCATCCATACATAAGATCGTGTTGTGTCTAAACCCAACAGTGACGTGATGCTCAGTAGCCGAGGCCACTTCGTTAGCATCTGACATCAGTGAATTAGCCATCCCGATGCATGACCACAATTCCGTGACACACACATCACTCCCGGCGAGACTCATCCCACCAAATTGGTAGAAAGTCCCATTTTGCTGATAAAACGGTAACAGGTTTGAGTACCTGAAAGAGCACATAGATTGAAAACAAAAAGGGAAAGCAGAACTCATTTGGAGTCCTAAATGCGACCCATCCATTCCAGGTGCTTATGTTCTGAGTCTTCTGGGAGAGAAACAGCTAGTTCAAGTAAAACGTCAGAGCAGTGAGTCACCAACGACCTTCATCCGATCCTTTCATTACCTGCATTTACAGCGTGGAAGGACGGTAATGATTCCCCCGCAACTGTCCCTTGTCAAAATGTTAAAAAGCAAACATTGGTTTACAGACTTGCCTCAAAGGACAGAGTTCTCTGGAAGAAGAATCATGATAAAGTAGAGGGGTTTTGAGGACACACAGGCAAAAGTATGGGTACAGTTGCCTTAGGTCTTGGCAGATGATGCCCTCGGGCCCCCATTTTTCCTGTCCTTAGAGACTCCCTGCCCCAGTGGGGACTCATTGACAACAATTTCAAGGGGCTGGCCGGAAGCATGGGTCTTCCTCATCTGACTGTCAGCTTATTTGTAAGTAAGCCTCAAAACTAACTACTGTCTGTTGGTTTCAACAGGGACCCGAAGAAGCAGCCAAACAGCCACCCTGCTGGTGGGATCCCTGAGGACCCCCAGTTAACCCGCCGAGTGGACTTTGCAGTGTGTGCTCAGTGGGTGGGGCATGGAGGTGGCTCACGCTGCCTGTGAGTTGCGTTAGTTGTTTCTGGGACGGATGCCATAGAGACCTCCTAGCTTTTGGGGAGCTCCTTAGGCTCAGATTTTCTTAGGTCCAAGGCTGCTCTTCTTTTGAAAAATGTATAAAAAGTTGAGCCCAGATACAAAATTGGGGAAAGAAGGAGAAAGAAAGATCGGACACTAAAATAGTTTCAAACTAAAAGGGACTTCCTCCCTGCACCTTCCTGGGGCCACTCCATGTTTTGCAGTTACTCAGGGATATCGATTGCTTTTTCCCTGCTTTGTGACCACACCAGCTATATCCTGATACGAGATAATTAGACGGATTTAAAAAGGTAAAGAGAAGTTTTGCATCCAATTTGCTGCAATCTCATATTCTCTAGGAAGCCTCAGCTCAAACGTTTATTAAATGCTTGCTATGTCTCTAGCACCGGGCATAATAATCTTCATAATACTGGGCTTTCTCTGCATGCCAGAAATGGGATGCATTCCATGATTTTCTCCGATGTAGGTACCTTTGTTATCTTTCCCATTTTATAGATGAGGAAACTGAGGGTCTCAACCCAGCTGGGTATAGACGAGGGTCGAGAAAGGAATCATATTCATTCCTTCAACAGTGAATGAGCAGCTACTATTGCCAGTTCTCTAGATGTGTCCTCAAACTGAGAGTCCTTTTCCTGTCTATACTCCCAGCACATAGTCATCAAGCACTTGCTGAGCACCTACTTCATACTGATCCTAGGGTCCACTTCATAGTCTCAAGAGCATGCCTCACTCTTGGAAGGGGGCTCTTCTCTTGGAGTTTCATGCTCTGGGGTCACTGTCTTGAAATTCATAGTGATCTTCTAAGTTTGTGTCACTTCTACATTTGAAGGGATGATGGGGCACGCGGCGTGGCTCTTGTACAGTTCTGCCTCCCTCAGCCTTTCTGCTTCTAAGGATGGAGCCTCAGCTGCCCGCTCCCCTGTCTCTTCCTGCTAGGTGACCACTGCTGCCCTCCACCCCGACTAGGGTCTGAGCACAAGGGCAGGGAAGTCAGGTCAGAGTTGTGCGCCCATGAGGGTCTGCACTCATTCCCATGAGCATCCCCTGCCCAAGGGAGCGCAACATCAAACAGCAAATGCAAAACATGCCACAACAGATAGAGAGACCATGGGAGAAAGGAACACAGGTTTTTTTTTTTTTTGTCCTTTTTGAACAAGGGGCCCTGTGTATTTTGCACGTGGTCCCACAAGTTATGGAGCTATCTTGCCTAAGAAACAATTTCCTCAAAGACTTAAGATGGAGTTGGGGAGACCCCCACCCTGATGTTAGAGTATTTGGTTTATCATCAGACCTACATGATGGTCCAATTAAAGAAGTTGTACATGGCCAAGTGCCACATAGACAGTTCCAGTGGGAGAGCCAGGGCCACTGTCTGCTATCTAAAATGTAATCAAGACATTGGTACAGTGCTTTGCAGTTAGTGAGAACGTTCCTCGAACTGCTCATACAAGGCCCCTGCAGGAGGGGGCCAGACAGTCATGGCAGACCCAAGGAAGCAAGGGGAGTTCCAAACACAAGTCCTCTGGGTCCCCCAGGCCAGGGTGCGCCTGTCCACCACACTTAGTCTACTGAGCATGTGTTGGGGAAGAAGTGGTCAGTGACAGGGCCACCTCTCAGGTGTCATTTTGCACCTGTGATGGACTGTAGCCCAATTTCTCCCAGCAGCCTACCATGAAGGGTTCTGGAAGAGTGGGTGAACTGGACTTTGACGAGCCTGTAGAATGCCATGCAGGATGGAGCAGTGACAAAGACAGCAGAAAACACGCGCAGGGACAGCCAAGATGCAGCAGGTGTGACCGGGGAGGTGGGTGTGGGGAATGGCTGCATTCCAGATGAACAACAGAAAACAAAGCCATGACTTTGGCGGGGTCTCACAGTGGAGGATTCAGAGGACAGTCTGATTGCAACACATGTTGGTGTTTCTTGGTTACCTGGAGGCCAATAAAAGAACAGAAATTCTGGGCCGGGTGCGGAGGCTCACGTCTGTAATCCCAGGACTATGGGAGGCTGAGGCAGGCGGATCACCTGAGGTCAGGAATTTGAGACCAGCCTGACCAACACGGAGAAACCCCATCTCTACTAAAAATACAAACAATTAGCCTGGCATGGTGGCGCATGCCTGTAATCCCAGCTATTCAGGAGGCTGAGGCAGGAGAATCACTGGAACCCGGGAGGCAGAGGTTGTGGTGAGCCGAGATCTCACCACTGCATTCCAGCCTGGGTGACAGAGTGAGACTCCATCTCAAAAAAAAAAAACAAACACACACTCTCAACAGCAGTGCTTGGAGGTCATGTAAAGTCAAGGTCCGTGTTTTCCCAACTGGGCTCTAAGGGATTTAGGGGGATTCCACTCACCCCTCACAGAGGAGAGAGAAAGGCTGTAGGAGACGGGCTCTAAGCCCTCCTCACCCATGGCATCTCTGATTTGACCTGTTGTACATTTCCGGCTTCCATATTGGATGTTTGTGGTATAAGGAATTTCACAGCTGGAACATGTTGAAAATCCACACAGCACAACCAAGTTGTGCTGAAGAGTTGAGAACCAGAGACGGCAAAGACACCATTTTCCCAAGCTAAGGCTCTCACACACACAGCCACAACCTCCTCACTTCACCCCAGCCACCAACGGCAGTGACGGGAACACCGAAGGGATGACCACAAAAATGCCCCTTGGTTCAGGAATCTGAATTTGTAGGAAAGCCTGACTCTTATCTGGCAAAGAAAAAAAGGGACAGTGGTTTTCCTGAAGGTGACGAGAAACACACAGTGTAAATCCCATGTCCTGGGACGAAAGGTATTTACGCAAATCTGCCTGGGTCTCTGTTGCCAGGGATACTACTCACTGGGCACCCGACTGGCCCCATCATGAAGCTTCTGACAGCAGGAAAACACCAGTCAGCCCTGTAACGATCAGCCACAAAGTCATCCACCAGGGCGATTCAGGTCATCCACCCCACCTCAATTGTGTTTGTTAGGGACAAATATTTAGAAGTTTCATGTTTGTGGGATTATCTCAATGTCTTTGCAGTCTGGAGGGTGTCTTTACAGAGCTGAATGAGTCAAGTGCCTATTCTGATGCCATAGAATCATATAATTAAAAAGGTCCTTAAAAGATGACGTCACTCCAGCTCAATGGGTTGGGGGATCTCCTCTGGGAGAAATGTTTTGGATCTAGACAGAGGGGCATTACACAACATTGTCAATGTAGTAAATGCCACTAAATTTGCACCTGAAAATGGTTAATTTTTTGTTGTGTGAATTTCATCTCAATTTTTAAAAAAGATTATATCGTTCAGTCTTTTATTTTGAAGATGTGGGAACAAGTAGTGGGAGGATGGTATCCAAAGCCCACTCAGGGTGCAGGCAGGTCCCTAACACACCGATCACCCTGCCCAGACTTCAACCTAATCATTCCCGCTTCGCTACATGGCCTGTGCTGTCGTAAGGCAGTGAGCTCAGGGCTGAATGTACCCAGCAGAGAAAATTCATATCCTCAAAAACTCTCTCCCCAGAAGTTTTGTGATTTTGTTTGTTCATGTATTTTTTCCCACAATAAGGAAATAAAAATGTATCTAGACTTACACCACTTTGCTTGGTGCCTGTTATTAAAGCATGATTCTTGCTGCAAACATGTGCCCAGAAGACATGTTAAATATCCAGGTGTTAGAACCTTTGGGAGGGCTGGGTGTCTCCTGTTTCAATCACCACTGACCCACAGCAAAGTGACTGTAAAAGCTGGCGTATTTTCTTTGGAGCTTTCTCTGTCAGGTTTATGGGGAGGCCTAATGGCGCCCCAGCCATGAGAAACCATGCACGTGCCACAGCCCAACATTGCACGCCACCTCCATCCCAGGAAGGATCTCGCCCTTCAGAGAGCGATGTCACCCCCCTGTGATGCTGACCATTCACTTACATGAAGGCTGCAGCCCAGGGCAATAATAGGAGAATCACCCTCAGAAACAGGACAAGCAGATTCTAGAGCTACTCTCCTGTGTCTGGCACTAGTCTTCTGGGGACTTCTTAGAATGTGAGATAGAAGCATCCCTTGTCGTTTAAGCTGCGTGGAGTTGGGTGACCTTGTTGTTTGCAGCTAAAAGCATCCTAATGAAGACAAGATCCCATAGTCAGTTTACACGGAACAAGACTCAGGAGACCTGGGTTGGTTCCAGTCCCACCTCCCCCAGAAACCTGCCCAGGCCTCATTCTCCTCACTTGGGCAGTGCAGACTTGGATGAGATACGCTCTAAGGTCATTGCCACTGGGGAAGTCCTGTCCCTTTATCACACTGTACGCATTCCCTGCCACAGATCCTGAAGCCCATGGTGGGTTTGATGTCTGCCTTACTCCCCTCTCACCTACGCTGGATGACTGGTGGCCCTGTGTCTGCTAAGCAGCCCTTCTTGTTGGAAGCTCAGGAGGTCTTTGCTCCTATGCAGCATGCGCATATGAAAATGGGCTACTGAAGAAAGCTGGCGGGTAATTTAAGTCCACAGCTACCTTAGGTGGAAAAGGATGACTAAGGAGGATAAGACGAAATGCAGTGTAAAACTCAGGCTTGCCCCCATTTTTTATAGGCCTGCCTTAGTTCTCTCCTTCAGTTTGCATGTCATAGAGCATATCCAGATTTTTATTAAAATCTTTCCCCATTCCTATTTTTTCCCAACCTTTGTTTGCTTATGACTTTTAGAGTTGAGGGCACTAGGTGGCTACATGTAGTCTTTTAAAATGTGTGCACCATCTGTGTTAGACTCCAGAAGGACCGACGGAAGATCTGGCACACAAACAGATGGCTCCATCATGACATTGCTGGGAACGAGGTGTCCTTTGGGCAGCTCACTAGGCTTTGGTTTCAGTTTCCTCCTCCCTAAAACGGACATGGCCCTGGGGATCCACAGTGCCCTTGATTTCAAGTATTACAGAGTAAGCAAGTCCATTCTCTGAGTGAGAACAAATTTGCCACTGAATACTATTTCAAACACACTCACGGAGAAAAGACAGCAGCACCAGGCAAGGCATGAGCAGGAAGAACTAATTGCATAGTTACCACAAAAACAATCCAATGCGCTTATTTTGCAGTGAGAAAATGGATCCACTTTGCAGTGCAGTTAACTCTATTGGAAATAAAGATAATTGCTTGAGAACTGAACGCTACCCTTCCCCGGAGCTCCCTGGTAACTATGCAAATTGTTCCCCTTGCCTGTAATAGTGCAGCGCGGAACAAAAATGTCTTTTCTGATCCACGCTGGGGACAATTCCAAAAATTCAGTAAATCTGAGTCTCCCTGTCAGCTCCTCTACCAAGGAGGGCAGAATTCACATGTGTCAAGGCTTGGGCGATTGGACACATCACCCAGGGTGGGGGTCCGGCCTCAGCATGTCTTGTCAGGGTCACGGGCCTCTATCTTAGCTATAGAAACCTGAAATGTTTCCAAGTTGAAATATAGTGGAAATTGAGCACCCTCAGGACTGCTGTTCGTATAACCTGGTGCAGAAGTAAAGTCCATCCTCCTGCACACAGAAAACACGATTTGTCTGAAAAATGACCACAGAGTCTGATGAAAAAAGGTGCCAGTTGACAAGTGTCCTTCCCAAAACTAGCCTACATTGCTTTGAAGAAGCAACCTAGAAAGATCAATGGTAACGGGGAAAGAAATGTACATTTTGGTGTTTTCAATATTTAAAAAGCAAAATTGTGACGCAGATGAAAAATCTGCTATGGGATAACAGAATCACAAGCCAACACAGATAGGGAGGACTCATCTTCTCAATAAGTTGGTGGTGTTTCAAACAGGAACCTGGGAAGCAGGGTTCAGGGGCACCTGCACGTTCTCGTATAAGGTAAGGTCCGTAATTCTTTAACTTTCATTTCCATGGCTTTCCACCTTCCAATTTTCTGCCAAAAGCCGGCCTAGGTTATACAAGTTTTCTTTCCCTGGCTTGGCACAAGGAAGCAATGATGCAAGAGGCCTCTTTCCAAATCCCTCGCTGCCTATCGGGAGCTGACATGGCAGGGCCAGCAGGGTGAGGACATGGCTGTCTGTTGCAGGGGCTGGCCTCAGCTCCCAGGCCTTTGGAGCTCTCTCTTTAAGTACCAGAGTCAAGTGCTCATGAATTGGAAGGCAGTGGGGTCCCTGGGCTTTTGGACACTAACTTCTATACAGTCTAATCAACCTCACTGAGCAGTTGATCCCACTTGGCCAGTAACAGCATCAGAAGTAAGGATTGGGCCGAGTGTGGTGGCTCATGCCTGTAATGCCAACATTTTGATAGGCTGAGGTGGGAAGATCGTTTGAGTCCAGGAGTTCAAGACTAGCCTGGACAACACAGCAAGACCCCATCTCTATGTTAAAAAAAAATCGTTTTTTAGAAGAGGTACAGATTGGCTCAATATTTTTTATCTGTAGGGCCCATGGGGTGGTTTGGGGAGGCAATGCCATGTAGCGGCCAACAGTGTGGGTTCTGGAGGCAGGTGTTTCCTTTTACATCTTGACTGTGTAGCCCTAGGCCAAGGCATACCCTCTCTATGCTTCCTCAGTTTCCTCAACTGCAAAATGAGGATAATTATGGTACCTGCTTTATAGGGTAGTTACTTACAAGGATTAGATTTGGGAACCCAAATAAACACACTTAACATAGTGCCAGGCACATCTGAGCAGACACTCCTAAATTCTAGAAGGGGGAAATAAAAATCATAGTTCTTTTTGGGTGCAAATTTTTTTATTTATTTAACAATTGTCTCCTATGGAGTGCTAAGTATGGAGGGGACAAGACAGTCCAAGCTGAGCCGCCAACTTCTAGGAGTCTGCGTTCTCACTCCTCTTAGCATTCTCATTGCCCCAAACCACACCTGGCACATAGTAGGCGCTCAGCAAATGTCTGCTGCCCAGGCCCAGCCAGGAAGACCAGCTCCTCACCCGTGGGCTGCACAATGCTACGAATGACTGAGAACCACAAGAGTTGTATGGACAGTAAACACACCCACTCCCCAATACATCTCTAGACAGACAGTCACGGTGATAGCACCTTGGGTTTTTCTTTAACTTTTTCCGTATGCTTTCCTGTCGACTCCCCTTGTCTCTCATTTTTTTGAATCAGATTGATGTTATTATGTGTGTGGAATAAGTGGCACATTTTTCACTCCCGACGCCGCTGTGCTCCTTGCTTCTTCCCCTCCCCAGTCCCATGCCACCTGGACTTCCTCAAAGCCCCCCACCCCCACGGAGGCATTTTTCTGAACTGCACTGTTAAATTTTCTGGAAGTCCCACTGTGCATTCTCGTAAGTGTCAGCATCAAGAGTCGCAACACTTAGGCGAATTCAATAACATAGGTACGCTAAGTCACCCAAGTCGTTTTCCAAGTCCTCTGAGTTACAGTCGAAGCTCCCGTTAGCAGAACTCGGAAGCTCATGGTGAACACTGGTAAACACTTCTGGTGAGAGACCCGTCCTGACAGCTCTGATGAATGGCCAGATTCGTTTTCCACCTGGCCCGACTCATTCCAATCGCATGCTGCTGAAAACACCTTTTTCATTTGCCCTTTGATGAGTGCTGAGGCATGAACAAAAGTCCATTGCCTAGCTGGGTACCTAATTTTTATTAATAATATCTTCACTCTATCAATCATTGTTAACTAACGGGAACACTTGAAGAAATGAATTTAAGCCTGCCGAAAGGAAACACGGCAGCCGGTACACACCCTCCCAAGTGGATTCTGAGGCTCCGGCCACATCCCAAATGTGCAGAGCAAGTCAGGCTGGCTGGGCCCGATTTTCCCCAACAGAGGACAGCTGTTCCCTCAAAGACAAGGTGCTCTGTACAAGGGGGCTGTGTCAGCAAAGCAATTTCTTTTTTTTTTTTTTTTTTTTTTTTTGAGACAGAGTCTCGCTCTGTCACCCAGGCTGGAGTGCAGTGGCGCAATCTGGGCTCACTGCAAGCTCCACCTCCTGGGTTCACGCCATTCTCCTGCCTCAGCCTCCCAAGTAGCTGGGACTACAGGCGCCCACCACCACGCCCAGCTAATTTTTTGTATTTTTTAGTAGAGACGGGGTTTCACCGTGTTAGCCGGGATGGTCTCGATCTCCTGACCTCATGATTCACCAGCCTCGGCCTCCCAAAGTGCTGGGATTATAGGCGTGAGCCACCGCGCCTGGCCTAGCAATTTCTTAATTGCTTCCCGTACCCCACCTCATTCCCCAGAAGCCTGGGGTGGCTGAAGCCCACTCATGATGTGGAGGGCTGGCCCGAGTGTGAGAGTGTGCTACTCATTCAAGTCATCTCTCCGCATTTTAACCCAAAGATGGAAAGTAGTAAAAGAGGAAGACGTAGTAGAGGCTAAAGAGCTAAATGAATGACAGGCGCGGGAACAGCTGTAAGGGGGTCCCTGACACCCTTGTGTCCCTGAGTATCCATCCCCTAGACCTGCAACATCCATTCAACCTGAGACACTGCAAACCACAAAAAGCTCAGCATTTGTATCCCCAGGCCATGAACTCATCTTTCAGGGGCTCATGTTCGTTTCTATTCGGCCAAATTCAATGTCCAGGACACAAGTTTAAGGAGGTGCACAACCACCCCTGTACATTGAATGCTTCTTTAACCAAACGGAATGTGTGCAGCCACAAAACAGGCCGGTCTGGATTCAATGCACTGCCTTATGGTGGTAAATAAAATGTTCAGGTGCTTTGAGTCAAGTATGTCTTAAAAATACATGTATTTTTCTATACGTGTCAAACACTTCTGTGTTTAGACATTCCTGCAAGCATATTGAATGTGCGAAACCTACTTAAGCAGCCTTAATGCATTGTTTTTTCATTTCAGGTGAAACTCCCGAGTGTCCTTTATATTAAAATGGGTCTTCACAGCCTCCACTTGCAGAGAAAGAGAAGGAGAGGGAGAGAGAGAGAGAAATTAAATAATTGCATTCAGTAGGCGACCACATAAAAAGTAGCTTGTGTGAATTATTAATGATAAATTCTTTGGAAGAAAAACTTCTTGACTTTTTTTGTTGTACTTTTAACAATTGAATGCAATACTCATCAGATGGCTTCTTGTGAGCTGTCAAATTATTTAAATGAGAGCATATCTGACATTTCCAGAGGAATGTGCTGGGTGAGTACTGAAAAGACAGTGTTCCCTGTGCTGCTTTGATGGGCACTGTTCGGGCTTTTCAAAATAAAGGTTTTGAGCACTTTAATTTTGGAGTGACTTGCCATAGTTCAACACAGAGATTTAAAATGCTCTCAACTACTTTGGGAAAGAATAGAGAAAAAGTTTTGTGCTTCACGACAAACAGACGAACACTCCACAAGTGACATTTGAAAGGCACTGATGGTGGGTAATAACTGCTCAAAATACACTCAGGAAAGCGCAGCTCCCTCATTGTTCTTTATGTATCTAATTATTCCAGGTATTGTCATGTCAAAAAAAAGTTTTATGTGACATGTGTTTTTCCTTAACAAAAAAAAGTCTAAGTCAGAGATGAAATCTAACTCTCCCCGGGAAGCCAGGGCCTGCACGGGCCATCTTGGTGATGGGAGAAAGCTGATCATCTGTGGCTACAGACGCTTGCACTCTAACAAAAGCATTTAGCCACTGCAGGACTGTCCACTCCACTCCATTCTTCTTTCTGCAGTGCCGTGACCATTTGTTAACATGTATCTGAGTGCAGTTCGCAGGCCGGGCACCTTGCCAACAGCTTTGAGGGGTGAGACAGCCATGGGAAATCACATAGAACAACCAGAGGAATCCTGAACATTCCAGTGCATTGCTTTATTGACCTGTTCCGTCTGCTGATTCTCGCCTCTGTCTCAGACCGTGGTCCAGCCTTGGAAGCTAGAAGGATCTCCTCTGAACTTCACAATCGGCTTCCCCTTTGTGAGTTGAACTTGATCGCATCCTCGAGCCACCCTCATCCCCAGTTCAGGGCCTTTGCACCTGCTGTGCTTCTGCATGGAGCACCCTTCCTGGCCTGCACATGGACGGGCCTTCGTGTCATCCGAGTCTCAGCCTTTCCCAGCTCCTGCAACACATGCCCCTGTTATGTTTCCTTTCTGACAGTTACTATTTGACGTTGCCTTCTTCACTTGTCTAGGGGTTCAATCCCAGAATCTACGACTAACTAGAACATAATCTCCATGCTCGACAAAGACGTTGTCTGTCTTG